>NC_000018.10:23411206-24036206 GCF_000001405.40 Homo sapiens | reverse complement strand
AAATAGCCAAAATATCTTGAAAAAGAACAAATTGGAAGATCTCACACTTTCTGATTTCAAAACTTACTACATAGCTACAGTATTAAAACAGTGTTGTACCAGCACAAACCCTGACATATAGACCAATGCAAAAGAATAGAGAGCCTAGAAATAAACCTTCATGCATGGAGGGCAATCTTTTCAACAAACAGTGCTGGGAAAACTGGATATCCACATTCAAATGAATGAAGTTGACCCTTACTTTATACCATACAAAATATTAAGTCACAAGGGATGAAAGACCTAAGCATTAGAGTTGAAATTATAAAACTCTTATTAGAAAACAGAGAAAAAGCTTCATCACATTGGATTTGGCAATGGTTTCTTGGATGTGATACCAAAGGCACACACAAAAACAGAAAATACAGATACACCGATCTATATCAAAATTAAAATTTTTTCTGCATCAAAGGACACTAACAACAGAGTGAAAAGGCAATCCATGGAATGGGGGGGGAAATGTCTGAAAATTATACGTTAGATAAGGAGTTAATATCCAGAATACATAAAGAACTCTTAAAACTCAACAACACAAAAACCAAACAACCCAATTAAAAAATGGGCAAAGGACTTGAATAAACATTTCTCCAAAGAATATATACAAATGACCAACAAGCGCATGAACAGATGCTCAATATCACTAATCACTGGGGAAACGTAAATCAGATACCACCTCACCCTATTAGGATGGCTATTATCCAGAACAAATCAAGAAAACTGTTGGCAAGGATGTGGAAAAACTGGAACCCTTGTGTACCACTGATGGGAATGTAAAATGGTAAAATCGCTGTGGAAAATAGTATAGTAGTTCCTCAAAAAATTAAAAATAGGGCTGGGCACAGTGGCTCACATTTGTAATCGCAGTGTTTTGGAAGGCCAAGGTGGGAGGATCCCTTGAGCCCAGCAGTTAGAGGCCAGCCCAGACAACACAGCCAGACCACAGCTCTACAAAAACTAAAATTAGCTGGACTTGATGGCACGTGAATGTAGTCCTAGTTACTTGGGAGGCTGAGGCAGGAGGATCACTTGAGCCAACAAGTTTAAGGTTACACTGATCTCTGATCACACCACTGTACGTAAGCCTAGGCAAGAGACCAGATTCTGTCTCTTTAAAAAAAAAATAAAGAAATAAAGAAAATTAAAACTGGAATTACCATATGATCCAGCAATTCCACTTCTGGGTATATACCCGAAAAAACTGAAAGCAGGAGCTCAGATATTTGGACATCCATGTTCACAGAAGCATTGTTCACAATAGCCAAAAGGTGGAAGCAACCCAAGTGTCCATTAATGGATGAATGGATAAACAAAATGTGGCATATACAAACAATGGAATATTATTTAGCCTTAAAAACAGAATTCTGACATATGCTATAACATAAATGAACCTCATGAACATTATGCTAAGTGAAATAAGCCAATCACAAAAAGATAAATACTGTATGATTCCACTTATAAGAGGTACCTATCACAAACAAACTCATAGAGACAGAAAGCAGAAGGGCAGTTGCTGGGGCTAGGGAGAAATGGGAAATTATTGTTTAATGGGTACAAAGTTTCCATTTGGAAAGACAAAACAGTTCTGGAGATGGATGCTGGTGATGGCTGTACTTAATGCCACTAATGCCACTGTACCGTACATCTAAAAATGAATAAAATGGTGAATATTACCTCATGTATATTTTACCACAATTGAAAAAATAATTTAAAAGCATTTAAAAACTCTACCATTTATAAACATTAGGGAAATAAAAAAGTTAGCAAAACATTTATTTTACAAACTCTTATTTAAAACATTGAGCATTAAAGGGATTTCCTTTTTTGTAAGAAAACTTATCAAGAGGATTTTGAGCAGGGCGTGCCCTCTTCTTGTAAGATAATGTATGATGTAAAGTACGCATCTCTGTCGTACTTTGAACTGTGACACTCCTTATGAAGTTTGGATTAGCTTCAGGGTAGCCTTTGTGCTTTCGATGTTGTGAGATCTTTCCAAGAGTTCTTTGAATGGGAAGTTTTTCTTGGCCAGTGTCACCTCCTCTGGGACATCTGCATCTTTTTTCTTACAACCTTCCTCCTTTATGTTTAATAAACTCCCCTTCACTAACTGCCTGTGGCTGCACATCCACAGTCCCTCAAATAGGGGCAGTGTCAACATTCCAGGTCAGCTATTCCTTCCATTTAGATATCATTCCAATTTCAGTTCCAGTGTTACCACTTTTTTCTTTGCTGCACTTTCATCTTTGTTGGCCAAAGTCCTCTTTCAATTATCCCTTTGAGTAAAATGTCAGTGGGTCTATCACTAGGAATGAAGGAAGCAACACAAGGACACTCTTTGCTGTCTGTGAACTGAACAACAGAGGTGCAATGACCAGTCACAGACAGACTCTGAAAGAAGTCACACGATTGGCTACTGATCATGTTACATACATAATGATTTGTGGCCTGAAAAGCTAGTGGCTACAATTACTCAAAGCTCATACACAGTAGTAACTGAAAATTGAACTGTGTTATTGGGGAACTGGTGTTACTTAACTCTGGAAACTGGAATCTGTGCATATTAGAACCAAGTAAGGCCAGGGCTGTCTGTGCATGATTACAAACTAAGGTAAGAACCCAGAGGATTCTTACAGAATGCATAGCAAACAAATGAGGCTGGAAGACCAGAGAAAGCCTCTCCAGGAAGGGAAGGTGGAGTTGAGGTTGAAGGATAAGTAGAAATTGAGTCAGCTTGGAGGAGAGATTCAACGTGCAATGAAAACCCTGTGTCAGGAGGAAGCAAAGCAAAGTCAAGAATCTGAAAGATCATGGTAACTACAAGTCAAAGAGTAAGGAAAGAACACAGCAATGGAAGACAAGGCTACCAAATGGCATAATTGGAGAAAGCACTGGTTATTTATTTTATTTATTTATTTATTGAGACAGAGTCTCACACTGTTGCCCAGGCTAGAGTACAGTGGCATGATCTCAGCTCACTGCAACCGCCGCCCCCCAGTTTCAAGTGATTCTCATGTCTCAGCCTCTCGAGTAGCTGGGATTATAGGCATGTGCCACCAGGCCCAGCGAATTTTTGTATTTTTAGCAGAGACAGGCTCTCGCCATGTTGGCCAGGCTGGTCTCAAACTCCTGGTCTCAAGTGATCCACTCGACTTCACCTTCCAACGTGCTGGGAATACAAGTGTGAGCCACTGCACCCAGCCAGCATTGATCTTTTCAATGAAGGTTAATATGGATTCTAAAGCTGGTTAAAACGAAAGCCATTGCCAATTTAAAGCTATTTTACTTTTCTGTTTTTCTACAAACCCCTGTATAAAAGGGGGAAATATGAGTCTATTTTATAGCATGAGCTAACTGGGATTTGTACAGCCACAACCTAGAAATCATACAACAAAATCATTTTAAAATACAGGTTGGGCAGCCTAACCCACAAATCTGAAACCCAAAATGCTCCAAAATCTGAAACTTTTTGAGGGCTGGCATGCTGCCACAAGTGAAAAATTCTACACCTGATCTCATGTGACGTTCACAGTCAAAATGCAGTCAAAACTTTGTTTCATGCAGAAAATTATTTAAAATATTGTACAAAATTACCTTCAAGCTCTATGCATAAAATGTATATGAAACATAAATGAATTCTGTGTTTAGACTTCGGTCCCATTCCTAAAATATCTCATTATGTATAAGCAAATATTCCAAAATCTGAAAAAATCTGAAATCCAACACATTTCCGGTCCCAAGCATTTAGGATAAGGGATACTCAATCTTCATATGAAAAAAATGAGATAAGGCAGTGACGGTCAAGGGGCAAACCAAGCAGGCCCAAGCTATGCCAGATAAATCCTGCCACAGATTTTGGTCCTAATCCTAAAAGCAATGGGAGGCTGAATTAGTTTTCTGTGGCTGTTGTAATAAATTACCATAAACCTGGTGGCTGAAAACAAGAGAAATGTATTCTCTTACAGTTCTTTAGACCAGAAGTGTGACATCAGTGTCACTGGGCTGAAATCGAGGTATCGGCAGGGCCACACTCCCTGGGGAGGCTCTAGGGGTGAGTCCCTGCCATGCCTCTTCCATCCTCTGGTGACTGGCTGCATTCGGGCTTAGGGCAGCTGTGGCTCTAATCTTCAAGGCCAATGTCTTCAAATCTTGTCTCTTGATGTTTCCATTTCGCCACCTTCTGCGTGTGTGTAAAATCTCTTTCTGCCTTCCTCTTATAAGGATACATGTGATTGCATTTAGGGCCCATCGAGATAATCCGGGATAATCCCCCATCTCAAGATCCTTAACTTAATCACATCTGCAAGGCACCTTTTATTCTTTTCCTTACAAGGTAGCACTGAGAGATTCTAGAGATTAGGAAGTAGATACCTTTTGGAGGACCATTTTTGAACCCACCACAGAGGCTGCAAAAGAGATTTTAGTGGCGAGGCATGCAATCAAGACATTAATGTTGAAGAGATCACTCTGGTGGAGGTAAAGGAAGGGCAGGGAGGATATAAGGCAGCCAGCTGAGCCAGTGCAAGTGTCCAAGTGAGAGGTGAGGGTGGCCTGGACTAGGCGGCAGTAGTAAAGATGAAGAGAAGTGGATGGATTCAACAGATACTTGAGAGGCAAAATTGGCAGACAATAAAGGTGAGAGAGGTGCCAAGAGCCTTCTAGTGTGTACAACCAGGTTTCAAGTGGTGCAGTCCACTGAGCCTGAGAGCCCCGGAAGAAGATCAGGGCTAGAAAACTGACCTGCAATCTTGCTAGGTCCACGTAATACTATTCAGCATAAAAACAGGGTTCTTTTGGAGGAACCAGCATACACTCTAGGACTGGGAGCATATCTTCCACTCACAATCTTTTTCACTTGGGTTTGGTAAACCTTAATTTTCTATGTGCAAGGTGATGGTAAAAGACTTATCCTCGGAGGACAGGCGCAGTGGCTCACGCCTGTAATCCCAGCACTTTGGGAGGCCAAGGCAGCCGGATCACTTGCAGTCAGGAGTTCGAGACCAGCCTGGCCAACATGGCGAAACCCCAGCTCTACTTAAAAAAAAAAAAAAGTAAAAAAGGTAGCCAGTTGTGGTGGCATATGCCTGTAGTCCCAGCTACTCAGGAGTCTGAGGCATGAGAATCACTTAAATGCAGGAATTGGAGGCTGCAAGTTGCCGAGATCGCACTGCCACTGCACTCCAGCCTGGGCAACAGAGTAAGACCCTGTCTCAAAAACAAAAACAAAAAGCCGGGTGCAGTGGCTCATGCCTGTAATCCCAGCACTTTGGGAGGCCGAGGCAGGCAGATCGCCTGAGGTCAGGAGTTCGAGACCAGGCTGGCCAACATGGCGAAACTGTCTCGGCTAAAAAATTAGCCGGGCGTAGTGGTGGGTGCCTATGATCCCAGCTACTCAGGAGGCTGAGTGAGGCTGGAGAATCGCTTGAACCTGGGAGGTGGAGGTTGCAGTGTGTCTAGATCATGCCACTGCACTTTAGCCTGGTGACAGAGCGAGATTCCATCTCAAAAAAAAAAAAAAAAAAAAAGGCCTATCTTTGGGGCTGTTGAGAGAATTAGGATTAAGGATGAAATACACACGACACAGTGACACACGAACAGCGTGCACCTATGACCAACTTGACCCCCATTCACTGTCACTGTTTGTCTGTGCAGGCATTTAAGCAAAGATCAACAGACTTGTATGATTACAAGAGTGTACTACTTCTAACTGTATTCAGATTCCTCTCTAGTTTTGCTTAATTCATATTCATTTATTGCTAAGTCTCAATAGTCATTAAGAGTTACTGATCTGTTCTGAAAATAATTCTTCAGATTAGTCAATTTTTAAACAGGTTTTCTCAATCTATCATTAATGTGTATCAAATATCTTCCTAACTCATCAGCAATAGTTCCTTCTCTATCTTACGTCATACAAATAAATAGGCAATTCATCTCTATTCTATGCTAATGGCACATGGAGACAGCACTGATAAGCAATTCACAAAGAGGACATCCAAACCACATTTCTCAACTAAAAAGACTTTCTAACCCATCCTTCAACAAGAACTACTTAAAAAGTAACAAAATTAATCAAGATATTTTCATTATAAACAGTACGGCGATTCCTTAAAGAACTAAAAGTAGATCTACCATTTGATGCAGCAATCTCACTACTGGGTACTCTGAGGAAAAGAAAAGAAGTCATTATATGAAAAAGACACATGTACATGCATGTTGATAGCAGCACAATTCACAACTGCAAAAATATGAAACCAGCCCAAATTTCCATCAATCAATGAATGGATAAAGAAAATGTGGTATAAATATACCATGAACTACTACTCAGCCATGAAAAGAAATGAAATAATCACATTCACAGTAACCTGGATAAAGCTGGAGACCATCATTCTAAGTGAAGTGACTCAGGAATGGAAAACCAAACATCGTATGTTCTCATTTATGTGGGGGAGCTAAGCTATGAGGACACAAAGGCATAACAATGACAATAGACTTTGGGGACTCAGCGGGGGAAGGGTGGGAGGCTGAAGGATAAAAGACCACACATTAAGTACAGTGTACACTGCTTGGGTGATAGGTACACCAAAATCTCAGGAATCACCACTAAATAACTTATCCATGTAACCAAACACTACCTGTTCCCCCAAAACTACTGAAATTTAAAAGATATTTTCATTATTTTCTCAAAGAGCTTTAAGTTATAATATGATTCCTCTATTATATGTGGCATAATCTACAAACTGCAGGAATGCTTTGAGGATTAAACACACACATCTGGCCACGTTGGTGGCTCACGCCTGTAATCCCAGCACTTTAAGAAGCCAAGGTGGGTGGATTACCTAGGTCAGGAGTTCGAGACCAACCTGGCCAACACGGAAAAACCCCGTCTTTACTAAAAATACAAAACTTAGCCACGCGTGGTGGTACACGCCTATAATCCCAGCTACTCAGGAGGCTGAGACAAGAGAATCGCTTGAACTCAGGAGGCAGAGGTTGCACTGAGCTGAGATCGCACCACTGCACTCCAGCCTGGGCAACAGAGCAAGACTCCGTCTCACACAAAAACAACAACAACAACAACAACACCACACACATCTATTTATACAAGCAACTCAAACACTAATTAATTTTAGGCAATCATTTAAAAATATTACGTAGGGGCGCGGTGGCCCATGCCTGTAATCGCAGCACTTTGGGAGGCTGAGATGGGTGGATCACCTGAGGTCAGGAGTTCGAGACTAGCCTGATCAATATGGTGAAACCCCGTCTCTACTAAAAATACAAAAATTAGCCAGGCGTGGTGGCATGTGCCTGTAGTCCCAGCTACTCAGGAGGCTGAAACAGGAGAATTGCTTGAACCCGGGAAGCAGAGGTTGCAGTGAGCCGAGATCACACCACTGCACTCCAGCCTGGGCGACAGAGCAAGACTCCATCTCAAAAAATAATAATAAACAAATAAAAATAAAAATATTACAGACTTCTCTATTTTTCAGTTAAAAGTCATTTCAAAGGGAAGCTAGAAACATTCTTCATAATAACATTTTGTGTGAACCAGTTCTCAGTAAACAACTCTGAATGTCATAGAAAATGTCCATCTTTCACTAAGGCATCTACATTTTTCTTCAGTTTTTAGTAGAGCATAGGTCAAGAAAATTTCATTTGGGTTTACATACTATTCACAGGCTTCCTTAAGTATAAATTTCTAGACTTTAGTAGAATAGCTCTTTGATGAAGTTTTGTTTTGTTTTACAAATCAACATTCTTCCATTAGGAGAAAAGATCCCAATTTCAAGTTAGCCTCAACTACTCTCTCTTATAAGCCCAGCCCAGATCCAAAATGTCACACAAGGGCTACAGAAAAACACTCAAGTATTCTCTCCTTGTCATTTTCACATTGGCAATTTCTCCAGAACAAGAATCTCTGAGATTCCACCACAGCAGGTCCTGACACTTTGGCTACACTTCTAAGTAGTTTATAAGTAGTTTAGCCATTTCCCCTATACCACGGCCCTTTCCCACCTCCTTTTTTTTTCCCCTATGCTATTTCAAGAGGAGTAATTTCTAGCTCCATTTGTAATTTTGATAACTCAAAGTAATGAGTGTCTCACCAATCATCAATACAGAAATAATCAAAAATAGATTGGGATCCACGTGGTTGACAGCTGAAGCAAATGGCATTCCAGATGTAAACAAAACTCTTTTCTGTGCAAACCTGGCTATAATGTGGAAAAAAGTCAGTAGCCCAATTCCTTCAACAACTGTAGGCCTGGAAAAGCAGCCCACCCCATGCAGCCTTGGATAGGTCAAGAGTCACATCAGGCCAGGTGCAGTGGCTCACCCTGTAATCCTAGCACTTTGGGAGGCTGAGGTGGGAGGACTGCTTGAGCTCAGGAGTTGCCTGGCCAACACAGCAAGACCTCATTTCTACTAAAAAATAAAAAAATAAAAAATTAGCCGGGTGTGGTGGCACAGGCCCGTAATCCCAGCTACTCAGGAGGCTAAGGCGGGAGGATGGTTTGAGCCTAAGAGATCAAGGCTACAGTGAGCTATGATCATGCCACGGCACTGCAGCCTGGTTGACAGAGCGAGGCCCTATCTCAAAAAAAAAAAAAAAAAAGTCACCTCAGAGATGTGTGCAGCTGATGAATTCCAACATGCTACTTTATTTTAGGCCTAAATAAAGATGCGGGTGAGCATAATTTGCAAGACAGAAAGATATCAAGTTCTTTCTTGTTCCAGATATCAGTTGCCAACACATAACTTGAGATTTTGCAATTCACCATTTGAAATTGGGGAAGAGGGGAAGCACTCAAAGCCTTGCCAGTGACTCATTCTACTGGAAGCGATCCTAGAGGCTGTGCAGCATGAATTTTAGTTTAATCCGATTACTTTTTTTTTTTCTTTTGAGATGGAGTCTCGCACAGTGGCGCGATCTCGGGTCACTGCAAGCTCTGCCTCCCGGGTTCAAGCGATTCTCCTGCCTCAGCTTCCTGAGTAGCTGGGACTACAGGCACCCACCACCACGCTCGGCTAATTTTTGTATTTTTAGTAGAGACGGGGTTTCACCATGTTGGCCAGGCTGGTCTCGAACTCCTGACCTCAAGTGACCCACCTGCCTCGGCCTCCCGAAGTGCTAGGATCACAGGTGTGAGGCACTGTGCCCAGCCGATTTCTTAATTGTTTCTCCGTCATTTAGCAAATTCAACTTGAATTTGGATTCAAAATGTCATTTTCCCTCTTTTTGTCCTGTCCTGTTAGAATAGTACCAAAGAGTTTCATTTGCAAGAGAGACAGAATGATATAAATATTTGCAAATCTGTTTATCTTTGATGCTTATTTTACGGAGTGATAACTTAATGAAGTACAACACAAAGAATGGCTGCTGCAGATGGAAGGAGGCAACAAAAGACAATAATCTGTGTGCTAAGAAGGCCAAAGTGGAAAGAGCAGCAAATAACACCCAGCTGTAGGCACTGGGAGTGAGGCACACCACGCTCAGACTCGTATCTTCCTGGAAAAGCCCCACCCAAAAGGAGTGTTATGGTGCACCTGAGCATGTAAAACAGGCTGAGCTAACATGTATTATGGGATGCAACTGATGTCATGGTTGAGGGTGAGACCAGGGAAAGCTCTGCCTATCTGTGTATCAAGGTGCCCTATAACATACTACATTATGTGGCTTTCCTTTCCCAATTACTTCTAAGTACAAGCTCAACAGAAAACCATGAAGCATCTGACCCTATTTCCTCACATTTTAGAAGCATCCCATGCTTCTAAAGACCATGGAACTTTGAGGCAACTGTGCCCTGATTCATGGAGATTTAGCCTTTGCTATTTAACTAAATTTTTGTTCGTTTAACTTGCACAACCTACTTAGCAAAAAACAAAAACAAAACTTGCTCACTTCCTGGGAAGCATATAGGCCAGTTCATACTTTGAGATTCAAAGTTAGGAAGAGTTGGGTGGGAACAGGACAGGAAAATAAAGTCACCTGGTGGCTGGAGAGACACAGTTCCTTTAAGCTAGATCCACGTGGAGTATGAAGAAGGGAAGAACCTCAGTAGTTCTCCATCCACATGGCAAGGGACAGAGAAACCTGAACTGCCATACTTTTCTGGAGCTGTTTGGGCTCTAGAAGCAATGTGTGTGTGACTGGTGTTTAGGGGCAGTGGGACCCAGGGAGCCCAACACTAGGGGCTCTTTACCTCTCAAGGGACCCTACACCTGGCCTCTGTCCTGCTGCCTGCCGTCACCAACGCAACAGAGACACTCCCTTCTCTGCCTCTCTCCTTCAGCCACAGCTGTGCCAGCCTGGGCAGCCTCTTCCCTTCCTACAGCCCCACTTTGTCTGCAGAAAGACCCTGCTATTGTGCTGTTCTAAGCAGGCTAGGGGATTCAGCCACAGAGACCAAATCTGGTCCTAAACCCTCCCACCCCAAGCTCAGCGCCTCTCAATGGAGACATTTTGCAAACCTGTTGGGCCGTTCTGGGGTGACATGATGACTGTAGTGGAATGGGACCAACGACCCAAGGCATCCTGCAATGTATGAGATCATCCAGCACACTGTCTCATGTCCCGCAAAACTTTTGAACATTTTCTGGAAGTTCACACAGATGAAAAACTGTTTATTTAGTTCTAGAATCTACCTCCATTTATGTAGAAACACAAAATATTCCTTACACTGCTTAAATACACAGTTTATCAAGATTTGTTTACAATTATGGAAAACCATGTCACCAACAGCAACACTGCTTGTGGCATCTGAGTTGTCAACAAACCGCAGCTAAACCAGTTTGCATTTGTATATCACCTGCCAATATTTAATAGGGATACTGAAAGCTCCTTTTAATGTATTTAAAGCCAAATAAATTATTGAAGATACATGAAATCCTGGATACATTTCATTAGTACATTTATTTCATTTCTGCCACCCAATATTCTTAAGGATACGTAGCATACTGAAACTTCTGTCATGAAAATGACATGTCAAAATTATTTTATTTTGGAGGCCGGGCGCAGTGGCTCATGACTGTAATCCCAGCACTTTTAGAGGCCGAGACGGTCAGATCAGTTGAGGCCAGGAGTTCAAGACCAGCCTAGCTAACATGGCAGAACCCCATCTCTACCAAAAATACAAAAATTAGCCGGGTGTGGCGGCACGCACCTGTAGACCCAGTTAATTAGGAGGCTGAGGCACGAGAATCGCCTGAACCCAGGAGTTGGAGGTTGCAGTGAGCTGAGATCATGCCACTGCACTCCAGCCTGGGAGATACAGTGAGACTGTCAAAACAAACAAACAAAAACAAACAAAAACCAACTATTTATTTTGGGTTTGAATCTTGTTTTTCAACCTTACTCTGAAACTGTCCTCAGGAGTCGGTTGCCACTCAACTATCCTATAAACATTTTTTCAATTCATCGTCTAATCCTGGACACCTATTAAAGGCAATGGTCTCTAAAGTTGTTGGTGTGCAGAGGGATTTAACGATGGGAGATATGTTTTCTGAGACACTCTGTCAGCACACATCCTATGTCTTAACACAGGAAATTAATACCATCCTGACAAAGAAGGCCTGGTTCACTGCAAAAATGTCACACTTCTTATTAAAACCACTTCAACAGCCAGTATTTTGCCTTGGCAGGTTAGGGTTATTTCCCTCCTTCCCTTAACATTTACGGGTAAATTTAGTCTGTTACTTCCTTCATTTTAAAGCATACCTGCTCTTTTCTCTCCTCCTCTGCAGCGCCTTCTCACCTTCTCCTAAATCCAAATTTCTTCATTATACAAGGGTGCAATCATCTAACTACTTCATTTTATCATCGGATAAAGGTGTGCTGAGCATTTACACTTTAAAAATATATGTAGGCCAGGCGCGGTGGCTCATGCCTGTAATCCCAGCACTTTGGGAGGCTGAGGCAGGCAGATCATTAGGTCAGACGTTCAAGACCAGCCTGACCAATATAGCGAAACCCGGTCTCTACTAAAAGTACAAAAATTAGCCTGGCGTGGTGGTACACACCTGTAGTCCCAGCTACTCGGGAGGCTGAGGCAGGAGAATTGCTTGAACCTGGGAGGTGGAGGTTGCAGTGAGCCAAGATCGGCCATTGCACTCCAGCCTGGGAGGCAAGGTGAGACTCCGTCTCAAAAAAAAAAAAAAATATATATATATATATATATATATATATATATATATGTATATATATATATATATATATATATATATACATGCATATATATATATGTAATTTTATTTGGGCATTCTATTGATTTTTAGACATTGTATGCATGAGTAGGTTATTTCATCTATCAATTTCATTTCAGGATCATAAAAGGGGAATTACAATCATAAAAGGGGAATTGTTAGCAAAAGGGGGCATTTGGTGTGACAGAGTCGAGAGTCACTGCTCTAGCAAGCTTCCCCTCCTAGCCACCAGATTCTCCCAGAGACCAGTTCTTCCTGAAATGCAGGATCTGGCTTTTGGAATCTGGCAGTTACATTTCTACTTTCTCATGCCAGGCAGGCAAATCACATCAGAGCATTATCATAGCACCACCCCCTAGGGGTACCCCAGAGCCCTGCAAGGGATCAGATGGGAGAAGCACAAGTCCCACCAGTTGGGCTGGCCTCCTTGTCACTGCACACAACACTGAGTAGAGAACAGCTCACAGAGCAGCCATCCAGAGTTACAATGCCCAGGCCAGGTGCAGCTGACACCTGTGACCTCTTTGGAAGCAGGAGACTGAGTGTCATTAGGGCCCAGCTTTCCTTGTGATGGCACTGTTGAGACCTGCATGTGGCTCAGCAGCGGCTTTGCTTCCCATCGCCCTTACTCAGCACAGGGCAGCCTGGACGTTCCAAGGCAAAGGCAGCGACGGGGCCAGGCAGGAGCTCTGGCAACTGCTTATGAGAAGCAGAACATCAATATTAGGGCCTGTCTGGAGCACCTCAAATTGGGTCAAGAGACACACCCATGCCATCAGAATGGGAGGGAGTGATGAGGAACAAGGCTTTCAGAGCTCCTACAGGGCAGCCGCCTCCTGGGCTGCACTTGCTGACTGCAAATAAAGGGGAGCTGCTATGCCTTTAACAACTTGGACCCCACATAACTCCAGCAACCTCAGGAAGGCCAGGAACACCTGGAGAGGATGTCCAGGTATTACCCAACTCTAGCATCTCAGCCCTCTCATGCAGACAGGCAGATGTGTAAACAATTTTGATGCAACACAAGTGCCGGATAAAGGTAAGGATGGGATGCCGCAGGAGTGCAGAGGAGTCATACAACCTTTTGCTAAAAATCTGAGCCGTGTCTGGAAGAGCAAGATATACCTGGCTGGATGACGTAAAATATTCCAGCACAACTAGCATGGAAGGGACAAGGGCAGCAGGACAGGAAGCAGACAGGGCCACATCACAGGACATCGGAGGCCAGGCCAGGAGGCTGGGCTTTATCCTACACAAGACTGGGAGCCACAGAGCGTCTAAAGCTTGGGGTGACATCTCCCCTGAAGACAGATCTCTCTGGGGGTTTGATGGATAGCTTCTGGGTGTCAGAGTGCAATCTGCATATTACTGAAGGAACTTGCCCCAAAATGGCTTTGACAGGACACATGTGAATCCTTTTACTGTAGAAGTTCTGTAAGAGAGGTAGATAGCACATGGTCACACCCAGACTCTGGAGCCATGCAGCCCAGTTTCAACCCCAGCACTCCCCACTACTGCTGCGAGACCCGAGTTGGGCCACTTCACATCCCAGGGCTCTTCCTCCTCCCTCTGTCTAAGGGAGATAATAAAGGCACTCCTCACAGAGCTGGCAGGGGAATTAAACAAGGAGAAAAGTTCAGGCAAGGCTGGGGCTGTGGGCTGGCTCAATGCCAGCCCACAAAGCAAAAGATGTGAGCCTTTAAAAGAATGTGTTCTCTAAGTCACATATGTAGTCATCCCTCAGTATCCATGGGGGATTGGTTCCAGGACCCCCGGCGGATACCAAATTCTGTGGATGCTCAAATCCCTGATAGAAAATGGCACAGTATTTGCATATCACCTACACACATCCTCCCATATACCTGAAATCATTATGTGTTTACATTTATCATTATGTGTTTACATTGACGTACACAAGAAAAAAAAGTCACCTAAGCCAGTGAGTTCACAGATGTTACAGCTTTGGACAAGACTAAGTGTTAAAGTGACTCTGTTTGAGGTAGATTTGAATAAAGGTATGAAGTAATGCCTCCTTGAAGGAAAGACCTGCCTCTCACCTTTGTCCTGTTCATGGCAGAAACTCTGTGAACACAGACTTTTTAAAGAGATGAACTTCCTGACTCTCTAGGGGCTTTCTCTGTAATAACTGAGTTTTCCTGTAAGACAGGGGTAACTACCTTAGATATATGTAGGCATATTTCTTGTGTTCTGAAATTATTGAGCAAGAAGGAAGAGATGGAGAAAGCAACCTCAGCTAGGGAAAAGGGTGGTGCAAACCACCAACCATCTTTACATAAGAAAAGGCCCAGCTTGGCAGGAGAATCCCTTGAACCCAGGAGGCGGAGGTTGCAGTGAGCCAAGATCGTGCCATTGCACTCTAGCCTGGGCAATGGAGCAAGACTCTGTCTCGGAAAAAAAAAAAAAAAAAAAAAAGAAGGAAAGAAAAAAAGCAAAACCCCAGCTCAATCATCAAATCCACTTCAAGGAGGCATGACTTTCTCTTCCTACACAGCAAATGCATGAATAATTTTACATAAAAACATGTATTCGCAGTCACTTGTTCAGAAACTGGAAGGCATTTTCCCCAGGTTAGCCCACAAAGGCTATTCAACCCCCAAACGGACCCACGTTACAGAATGAGCAGCGGCCTCGCGAATTTAGGGTGTTGGGAGGAGAGGACGTGCTGAAAGAGGTGCTGTGTAGGACAGGGACCAGTTCTTCCCTACCCCACCTGACTCCTTTCACAGGGTAGAGCTAGCACTAGGCAGTTTTGAAGTAGATCAATTCATCTTTGCCACACAGCCATCTACTTTTCTGTACTTTCTTGACACTCTCTCTTCTCCCTGAGTCCTTCGTAGCCTCTTCCAGTCCCACTGCTGCTGCTGGGTAAATAGGAGGATTACCCTGGGAAAGGAGACCAGGTGCAAAAATGATATTTCAGGAACTAAAACAGGCTGCGTGAAAGGTCTAGGCTCCTGAAATACCACGTTTGGGGATCTACAAGTGGTTTCGTGTAACTAGAATAGAAAGTGCTTCCATGTTTCAATATTACTTCTCTCTCCCTTTAAAAAAAAAATCCTCATCAAAACTTTATTTCACTCAATATAGCTTCTTTCAACTAAATGAGGGGAAAAAAGGTAATCTCACTCAATCGGTTAATACAATACAGTCAGCCCTCAGTATCCGCGAATTCCACAACCAGCCGCAGATCAAACATACTTGGAAAAAAAGGTTGCATTAGTACTAGATATACAGACTTTTTCCCTTGTCACTATTCCCTAACCAACACAGTATAACAACTATCTACATAGCACTTACATGATGTTAGGTATTATAAGTTACCAGACGATTTCAGGTATATGGGAGGATGTGTGTAGGTGATACGCAAATACTGCGCCATTTTCTATCAGGGATTTGAGCATCCACAGATTTTGGTATCCGCTGGGGGTCCTGGAACCAATCCCCCATGAATACTGAGGGATAACTACATATGTGACTTAGAGAACACATTCTTTTAAAGGCTCACATCTTTCGCATTGTGTATTTGTACAAGTGTTTCTTGTACACTTGTACACACTTACAGAGACTTACACTATAGCACAGGTATTTTTTTCCTGATAATTTCCTCCAAACTCTCCTATTATTCTACAGGCAGTGGCATTTTAAAAGGAATCTCAAGCCAAATGAATCTTTAATGAATATTTAATTAGGACCTTTTCAGACAGTGTAATAGTTGGGGGAAAAAAGATGCCTTTTTCCAACACACCACTGAGTTGAAGAGGATGGAAAAAGTCAACAGATGAGTTTCCTGTCTTTCCCGCCAGTTCCCTTAAACCATTTCTGCTTTTCATTTCTTCTCCTTTTCTTACATCTCTGCATCTGTGGACTCTCCTATCGTCTCCAGGAGCAAGGCAGAGACACATTCTTGTCTGTGAGCAGATGACTTGTCTAGAAATCATGGACAGCCTGCAAGTCCTTCCAGTCCTCCCAAGAATCTGACATGGTTTTAGGCAGAGAAGAGGCTCAGAGGCCTGCTGACTCAACATCTCTTACAAGCGCCTTTGAGTTTCTCCAGGAAGCGCTGAGGTTTTCTCAGAAGTCAAAAAACTTTTTCTGTAAAAGGCCAGAGAGTAGATATTTTAGGCTTTGCATGCCATATGGTCTCTGACACTACTCATTTCTGCAGGTGTAGTGCACAAGCAACCACAGACCACACATAACCAAATGAGCATGGCTGTGTCTCAAAACTTTATTTACAAAAGCTGGTGTCAGGCTAGAATTGGCCCACGGGCCATAGTTTACCAACTCCTGGATTATATGGAACCATCTGTATGGTAACACTGGCTCTGCAATCAACATGCTCACAAAATGAGGCCACAGATCCTATGGCTTTCTCATATGGCTTTGTCACATGCGCCAAAAACTGTGTTAAACAATTTAGGGTCCATACATTCCTTTGATGTACACTCACATTACTTACTATACATTTTTCTTGCTTTTTAATACATTTTCGCCATTTTATAGTTTAAAATGGAAAAGGAAGTGTCACAATTCATAGCAACTATGTACCAATAAACATTCATAGTAACGATACATGTTTCCTATTTTAGTTGACCATGAGTAAGTAGGACTCTTTAAAATATCTACAGCCAGAAACTGGTAGTAGCCCTGGCAGAGGTAAAGACTGCAGAAGTCTTAGGATCAAAAAGAATGCCAAGAGTTAAAGCGGGAGATGGGCTGGTAACCTCAAGAGGGGAGGAGGGAGGCTCAGCATCAGGGCAGCAGAAATAAGAACTGCGAAGCTCATTTGGGTCAGAAGCTCCAAACGTCTCACGCTCCTCAGGCCTCCATGTGCTTCATTACTGCCAGTCCTCTGTTAAAAAGTAATATGTCAAGCCATAAAGAGAAAAAAGGTGGTGACGTTAGGATCCTGAAGTCCCAAGGAGCCAACGGTGAATTATGGCTGTGACAGCCACGCTGTGGACAATGGTCATGGTGAAAAGTGAGTTGACGAGACACCCAGTAGCAAAGTAAACCTGAGGAAAGCACCGACCATGGGAAACATGGACTGACCAGTGGTAGGAAGAAAATAAGTGCAGAACAAGCCATCCAGTGCAACGGCCTAGCAACACTTGTGAGCCTGCAGTTCTGACCACTCTTTTCCCAATGTCATTTCATGTCTCCACGTGGGTTTTTCCGCTGTTTCCTCTCCTAGGTTTCCGTTTAAACCTCACCACCTCTCACATTCTCCTTTTCTCCTTGCCCCGCCCCTCCCAACTCCTCATTCAACTGATTCTCTTCTACCCCATCATAATGCTCAGGCATCATTTCCTCCACAAAACTGTCCTTCAGGCTGAGTTAGACGCTGCTTCTCTTTTCTTCCACAGGCTCCAGGGGACCATGCGTATGTCTCCCAGCCTCCCTATCACCATCAGCTTTACCTACACCTACATTGCAGCACCGAAATATCTAGCACATGTCTTTGGCACCTAACCCACAGCCTGTCTTATGTGCCTGAGCAACTAAAGGTCTGAGTGCACGTCACATATGCAAACAGTGAGTGAGGAAGGGAATGAGTGTGTGTGTGTGGAGGGGGAGCGACTGCTGCTAGACTAGAGCACTGGGCACTAAGACCAAGATCAGGAACTTGACTTCAGGTGGTCAAGATCACGAACTTACAAACACATGGACTTGGGTTCAAAGCAGAAGCGCCCTCCAGCAGGACAAATCTATCCTAACCTTTGGGAAAACACCTCAAAGTGCATAATGGTGGCTCAGCACCACCAAAGGGCAGTTTGTTGCTACATTATTACTATACTTCCAATAGAAAGGCAGCTACAGTTTCAAATCCCAACCAGGGAGCTGCCCTATATTCCAAAAGAAGGCTTCTAACTGTGCATATATTTCTAATTCCTATATGCATAATATCTGAATTATACAATCCAGACTTGCCACGAATTCAAGAGTGGCCTTCAGGATAATCTGTTTCTACAAAGTAACCATTTCTCATCAGGCAGCTGTTGATAAACTTTCACCATTCTAGTAAGGTGGCATGAGAAAATGACCTTCTTGCTTTAATAAAAAATATTGTTACACTAGATACAAAATACGTTTCTACTGTTAAATTGTAACAATAAGACTCTGGAAGGTTTACTAGTAGAGGAAGGGTGTCCCCCTGTGATAAACAATCATTAAAAAAGGAGACAGAGAGGGTAATTTGCCTATCCCTGTTATGTAGATAAAATGAGCCAGGGGGGTGCTCCTCAAACATTTATCAAGTCACTGCTGAGCCTTCAGCAGGCCATTTAACTTTGGAACAGAAAGGGAAGTTTCCCAATGCATAACAGAGTCTTAAATCCTTCATACGTAATACGTAAGATGAACTTTAAATAGAAAAGCTACCTGCACACAGGACATTGTGTCTTGTACTCGAACTATGCAGTCAAGAAGAAAACACAATACTAGCGGGGAAGGCACCACGTACAGAAGCTAGCTAGAGTTTATTGAGTGCTTACACTTAGTCGGGGCCATGGATTATTTCTTTTCATTCTAACCACCACACGATAATGTGGGTACTCTTACTGTTACTCCTATTTTATAGATAAGGAAGCAAATTTTGAGAAACCAAAGTCAGCAGCCACAAAATGGCAAAAGACTGGAACCCAGGTTGCAGGACTCTGGTCCATGATCACACCTGTATGCAACCGTGCTTTCCAAAACATACATCAGAAGCACCTTTTGGGAGGGGGGAAGAACGCAATGATTGTCCACACCACAAACAAATCAGATGGAGCCAAGGAAAGCTGATAGGATGATACCATCTCTGTCTACCTGTCTTTTTCCCTCCCACCATCTCTAAAAAAGGCTTTTTAACATTGCTGGAAAATAAGGTCTCAGAGCAGATGACAAATTATCATAAATTTAGTGAGGGAAGCAGAATGGTAAAATGAAAAGAGTCCTTGATTTAGAACTATAGTGTTTGTGTCCTGGTCCACAGTAAAAACTAAGTCTCATGTCCCTCGTTACAAAACTGTCATGATAAGATACACCTCACTCTTTTGTTGTCATGAGAATAGTGAGAATATATAAGGGAATGTGTCTAGCACTGTGCTTGGCAGAAAAGAGGTACTACAGTTTTCCCTGCCTTATCTTCAGTTCCCATTTCAAAATACAAGCAGACAGCACCTAGCTATACAAGGTAAATATTCCCTGGACACCTCCAACGCACTCACCCACAGAGAAGTATCTTTGAAGGGGCATCTCTCTGCTGTTGCTGGGAGAGAGTTTTCCAACCACTCATATACTGCCTTCTATTAACAGTGCATAAAATTTCTTAGATAGTGCAAAAATTTCATGCTTTCAATGTAAAGGTAGTATTTTCGCCTACTAAAGAAGGGTTAAAAAAGACCATTAAAATAAATATCACAGGAGACTTCAAAGCAAGAAGTACTTAAACATGCAAGTACCTAAATCATCAACTAAAAAGGGTAAATTTGACTCTACAACTATCTCCATCCTTCTCTCATACGACACAAACTGGTAGTCTAAAAAAGGAATCATAGCACGGTACAGGAAATATTCACACCTTTTTTCCTGAGGGCTTCTTAAAAACTACAAAAGAGAAATTGTGTGACAAGTAAACCTTTTAAATCCCCCATCAACAGCCTTTGATGAAACTCCATCTTGAAACCAGACCTGTATGCTTTAAAAATGAAATGTTCTAAGTAAAGCGAAGTTGTTTTTACTTTCAGACCAAAGGGGGGAAAAAATCACCGATTTAAAAGTAAAAGGGCTTTAGTGAAAAGTTCACAGTTGTGAGATACTTGCTTCGCCATTAAGAAGGTGGAAGCTCTGCTGGGTAGAAACCACCATTCTCTGAGGTCTGAGACTTTAGGCATTCTCATTCTTACAGACTCTGTCTCCCGGTCACAGTTGTACATTGGTCCTCTCATTCCAACCAAACTACAGGGTCTCCATAGCGTGAAGCATGTGGTCCTTAAACGTGTTGGGGAAAGCTGCTAATCAACGTCCTTAAGGCTCGTCAACAATCAGACGGCAAATCACAAACTTGCTTCCTCAACCCGAGAACAAACACTCCAGGTCCCCAAAGAAATGAAGGTTCCTTCCACTCCCACAGGAAAACTACCAGGTTTCAGTTCTTTCGCTTTATTTTTTAAAAGACAAATAAAAAATTAACTGAACACACGTGTTTTCCTACCATTCTCATACTTTTTAAAAATCCCTCCATTTTCTTCCTTCCTTTATTTACGTTGGAAAAATTCTTAATAAATAACGCCTGCTTGAAAGACATCAGGAACTCATTTTGAGGACTGAGTTTGCAGAAGACAAGGCAGAGAGATGAGTGGGCAGAGTTGAGCTGAAATTTTTAAATTCCTGCACGGCAAAGCAATTGTGCGTATCTGTTTTCAAACAATAAAAGCGTCTGGAATTGCACAATGTTGCAGAGCCATGCGAGGCGCGAGGAGCAGGCAGCCGGAGGGCTCCGTGTCACAAAGGCTGCCGGGGCAGCACGCGAGCCAGAGTCACGACAAGCCCGGGTCCCAGGCTCGCTGCTGCCTCAAATCTCATCCGGTCCCAAAGCCAGCTGCCCTGCAGAGAGGAGCCTACCGGCACCGGGCACGTCTGTGGGAGGGCGAGGCTGGGAGAAAGTGAGAGGGGGACTGCGGGCGCGCGGGGCGGGCGCGCGGCGGGTCCCGGGAGGGAAAGGACAACGGAGCCGGGGGTAGGGGGTGGACGAGGAGATGTGGCAGAGGCGCATTCCCTCTGGCTGATCTTGCCAGGGAGGAGACCTGAGGACCGGAATCGGTGACCGACAGGAGGGGGAGGGGGCTCCCGGGGGCCGCAGGTCGAGGCGCGTGAGCCGGACACGAGGTGCGCGCTGCAGGGTTGGGGAATCGGGGACGCGTGGGTCACCTGTATTGTTTGAAAAGCTGGTCCGACTCCCTGAAGCCGTTGTTGAGCAGCATGTTGATGCCGGCCAGGGCCAGCTCCGCGTCCTGCAGGGGCGCCGCCGCCGCCGCTGCCGCGTCCGAGTCTCCGTCGTCCCGCCGCCGCGGCCGCTGCTGCTCCGAGCCGGCCATGGGCGTGCGAGGCCCTGCGCTGGGCCGAGGCGAGATCGGGAGCAGCTGCTGCGGCCCCGCGCGCGCCCGGAGCCCGGCTCTACCTGCCCGGAGCCAAGCGGAGCCGGGAGGGGAGGGGAGGGGAGGGGAGAAGACGGGAGGGAAGAGGAGGGAAGGACCGCGGAGGGAGGAGCCGCGGCCCGGCTGCGGCGCGGCGTGGGAGGTGGGCGTCCGGCCGCCGCCGCGGGGATTACTCAGCAGCACCCGCCCGCTCCTCTCGCGCCCTCCGAAGCACCCAACTCGCGCGGGCCCCGAAGCGGAATCCGTTTCCGGGTGTCTCTCACCCCGCCAAGCCGGTCCCCGAGCGGCGGCCGCCTCCACTTCCTGCAGCCCCCGCGCCCCGGCCCCTCCCGGGTCCCCAAGCCGCGCCTTCGCCCACCGCCCAGGACTGCTCGGACACACGCACGCGAGACCCGGAGACCCGAGCGCCCCACCCTCCCCCGAAGGGGCCGGACCCAGGAGTCGGGAGGAGGGCAAGGCGCGGAGGGAGAACGAGCGTGCGGATGTGGAAGGAAAGGGAAAGGGAAGGGGAACTCCGCCCGGGCCGCTATGCTAGCGCGCGGCGCTTTGTCCACGAGTAACTGAAACTCCACGAGTAACTGAAACCCCACGCAGCCCGCGCCCGCGACCCCAGACTTCATCCCGACCCTGGGGCCGCCCCCTAGGACCAGGGCAGCCAATTCCCGAGGAGGTGGGCGGCGGGGGCGGGGTCTCTGGCACCTGCCCCGCAGCTCCCCGGAGCCCCGCGCTGCGGGACTGCAAGGCAGAGCCCCTCGGATCCCGGTACCACCCACTCCAGCCCGCCACCAACATTTGCGCAGTGGGGCAGGAGGAGAAATGGAGGCCTATATGCCATGTGCCCAAATATTTAAAAGTTATAAATTCAGCTGCCAAAGTGTGTTCTATTCTCACACTGCCAATTATTCTTGCAAAGCTTTGGCGTTCATATGACCAAATGTCAGCAAAACATCAAAAGTGACTGAATTTAACCATTATCACAGAAGTCTCACTGTTCTGATGATGGGCTGGTGATATCTGGATGCCTAATATTCTAGAGACAAGCAATTCATAAATCATCTTTATGTTTTTTCCACAAATTTATTTTTCTCTAATTTAGCAAAATCCCTTAATGTAGTGTTGCAATCAAGATTATGCTCTAATGCCAAATTGGACAACCTTCCTTGAGTCGCTGTCGTTTTTAGAGTGTAGTTTATTAATTTCAACTTGAAGAAACTTTGCTGAAACATTTATAACAGAATTTTTTTTAAATGAAAGCAATCCTCAGGTTTAGAAATAACTCCTGAATTTTAAACATTATGTCATCCATTATCATGGGACCAATATAATAAGTTATTACAGAAAAATGCAAAATAATTTTGTCATGTAAGTTGCTTTTACTTATTTTGTAAATTGTACCATCCCTTATAAGAATATCTAAATCCATACAGGATTTTCAACTTTTATAAATAGAAATTTTAGAGTAATAAGAATTACTGCCACTCCTTAAGTGTCATGTGTAACTGTTGCAAAGCCATGCTAATTCTTGAGTACATCTGGAACCACAAACTGGAACACTGACAGAAGCAAGAAAATGGACGATTCACATCCTTGGGAAACAGTACGTTGTAATGCAGGAGTCACTGCATTCATGCTGTCTGAGAAGAAGGATTTGACAAGCTGACCTTTAAAAGAAAATCTAGGTTTTCTTGGATTTAACATAATGTTAGTCTCAAACATCAGCAGTGTCACCATCCTTCATGGCACTGAGAGGCTGTAACCTTTTGTTTTTAGGGCACTGAGCTAAAGATGAGAAGAAGCGTTCCCTGGAGCCTGCATGGCATCAATCATGAGAATGGATGTTGAGGGTTATGCACCCCACTGAGGCAGCACTGAATGCCAGATCCCAAGTTACAGAGGTGCTTGTATGTTTTTAAATAAATTTATGCGTGTGTGTGTGTGTGTGTGTGTGTGTGTGTGTGTGTTTTGATGGGCAGGGCCCTCAAACGCAGGTCTTAGGGACTGTACTGCTCATTGAGGCCCACATGAGGCCATTGGCATGGAGGGCTCCCCTGGCCACACACTGCCCGAGGTCACCCTGACAACATGCACTTACAGGCTGCTGGAACTTTGGATCTGTGGAACCATTTGCCCAGATCCCTGAAGCAGTCTAGTCAATAAGGGAGAGAAGCCAAGAGCAAAATATCAGACATAGGAGATAGCCTGCAGTCCCCCAACTGAGAAAGACAGCCAAGCACAGTCCTGTATGTCCCTATTACTGGGAAGAAAAAACAAGAATTTCAAGGAATTGATGACACTATGTTTATGAGTTATACTTGAGGCCCTGCAGCTGAGGATGTGGGGAGGGGTGAGCAAAGTCAGAGCACTCTTTGTGGGGCTAGTTCTGTCTCAAGAACCTCACACAGTCCGTTGTGCAGACAGGGAAATTTAATTGTTGAACAATTAAGGCAAGGACCACTGCAACCGCCCAGCACCCCACAATAGGCAGGGGAGGGGTGGCGTGGATAGAGGGATAACTCTACCATGTAATACACACCAGATATGTGCAAAATTGGATTTAACCAGGTACCAAAACAGTTACATTAGCATCATCATCATGAAGGGACATTTTAAAATATTTGCCCGTGGTGAGGGATACAAAAAGAGCCTCCAAATCCTGAAGGAAGAGAACACGTGGACTAGTAATACTTGTGGCAGCTGTAGTTGGCATTGACACCTGCCCCGGATTCACATTGCAAGGGAGAGTTAAGGCTGTGTTTTCTCCACTCGATAAAAATGTCAGGTTATAAAGGCAGATAGTGATATCTAAGAAGTCATGGTGCAAATTACCTACAAAAGGAAGGAAAATCTAGATTCCTAACACTCCAGGACACCATATACTTGACACTGTGAGATTCTCAGCACCTTCCTGCAAAACTAATGCAGTCTTCAGTGCACTTGACTTCAGCCAAATAGGATTTATCCGAGTGTTTCCTTTGGAAGTTGAGAGACAGAGAGAGTGGAAAAAAGGGAGAAAAAAAGAGAAAAAGAAAAGCCAGCGAGTGGTGGAAATAACCCACTTCCTTTCTGCAGTGGGTGTTGCCAGTATTTTGTGGTTCTTCATTTGATTTCACTGTGAAAATGAAACTTTAATTTCAAATGATCAGTAAAAGAAGGTAGATTTTAAAAAATAAGGTGTTGTGGTTGCAAATGACAGAAAAACCTGACCCAAACTGGCTCAGCAAAGCAAACATATTGATTGGTGTAGAGAAGTTTTACAAAATGAGGCTGTATCCCTGGCTTCAACACTAACCAGGACCCAGTTTCTCCTCTTGACCTCTTAGCTTTGCCACTTTGGTGTTTATTGGCTCTATTCTCAGACAGGGCCGCCTCTCCTGGTCCCAAAAGGTTTTTGGAAGCTCCCAGAGCTACATGCTTGCTGGCTACATCCAGCGGGAAGGCATTGCTTCTCTAACAGCTTAACTGAAATCCCCTAATTAAATCTCACTGGCTTTAATTGGCAAGATTGTAGTCAGGTGCCCATCTTTGCACCAATTAATGTGAGTAGGAGGGGCAGATCATGCTAATTGGATTATGCCAGTCAGGGTCTGCTCCAGGACCTGGATGGGTAGAACCTATTTCACCCAAACTACCTGGCTGGGAAATCCCAGATCTGTTAGGAAAAGAGAGGTAGGGAATGGATGTGAGAGCGACAATCAACAAACATACCCTACCCTTGTCTTCCTGAACATGTTTTGAATTTTTGGAATTACATTCGGTTTTTTTCTTGAGACAGGGTCTCACTCTTTACCCAGGCTGGAATGCAGGGGCGAGATCATGGCTCAATGCAGCCTTCACCTCCCAGGCTCAAGTGATCCCCCTACCTCAGCCTCCTGAGTAGCTGGAACTACAGGCACATGTCACCACACCCAGCTAATTTTCGTATGTTTTGTAGAGATAGGGTTTCGCTGTGTTGTCCAAGCTGGTCTCAAACTCCTGAGCTCAGGTGATCCGCCCACCTCGGCCTCTTAGAGTGCTGGGATTACAGGCATGAGCCACCCATGCCTGGCCTGGAATTATACTTTAAATGCATTCGAAGAATAAAGTACCACAAGAAAACCTTACTGTGTGTACTTTGGTTGTATTACATTTTTCAGTGATGCTAACAGTCATGCCTTTGTGCATCTTTTTGTAAATCCATATTATCCATCAAAATAAATACAGGTTCCCAAAATGTTTGGAATTCTAAGAAGGAGGAGAGTAGGGAAATTAATATCACTATTTTTATGTTGTGCTAGCTTTACCCATTCAGCTCTTCTACTGAAGGTGAAGTAAGATTTAATTAACTACCTTTAACTAGAAGGCAAATCAGGTCAAGGGTTGCTATGTAAAACCTATTAAATTGTTTAGCCTAAAGCTGCCTTCTTACGTATTTTAGCCTAAAGATTTCTCCGTACATAGTGAACTGTAGCCTAACTGGATGCATAAACAGACTGTAACAAACTCTTGTAACAAGTAGCGGAGTTTCAGCCAATCACAGCAGCCAACTGTTCAAACCGTAGCCAAATAAGGCAGACCCCGAGCTGTAAACAACCTGACTGTTTCTGTATCTCACTTCTGTTTTCTTTATGTCACTTACTTTCTTCTGTCCATAAATCCTCTCTGACGCATGACAGCGCCAGTTGCTCTGAATCTATTCTGATGGTGGAGTTGCCCAATTCTCCAATTGTTCTTTGTTCAATTAAACTCTGTTAATTTATCTAAAGTCTTTCTTTTAACAAACCATACAGCAAGTTCCTTCCTTTTCTGCTCATAGGTGGATCACTAACTTGCCTCTAAGGAAGGGAACATAGTTGTGGACCAGTGAGGTTCACCTGGCTGTTTTTGCAGTTGGATGTGTGTCTCTGAGAGGACACTCATGGCTGCCCTGGGAAACCACAGCAGTTACCATGGGCCAGGAAACCATCCCCCTTTGGGTTGGACGCCTCCTCACCTGCCTTTTCATAAACCACATAGCCACTGGAGTGCAGTAATGGTTTAGGCAGGTGTTTACTAGAGATCATTGTTCTGCTGCTGTAGAGAGTCAGGGACAAAACTGGGGAAGAAGGCATTGTCTCTCCTCCACCGCTTTCCTCCCCTGGGAAGCTTAAGCAGTGATCTCTCCTGCACTAGCCCTTGACTGGGGTGTGTCTTTGAGTGTGACTGCAGGTCTTCTGTTGGTCTTCAGATAGTTTCATTCTCTCTCCCCATTATGCCTCCCTTCCCTTTAACCCATCTCCTTCCTTTTCATTGATAGTCCCTGTTCCCTGGATCTACCATCCCTCCCTCTTCCTTAGAGATAATCAAGTTTTCCTCTCCTTTGGTCCCTCCTCATGACTTGCACATTTTGCAGCCTTGGGTGAATGTCCATTACTTCTCTTGTCTGTCTACTGACTTGTTCTGCAGAGGGAGAGGCCGTCTCTGGTTTCAAGACATGTGTCTACTGAGTCCCTGGAGAGGAAAGTAGATGAGTTCCAGTCCCATGGATAAGGGAAGTGTTAAATGGTAGCAGGTTCTATTCAGTGCCCTGGTGGGTTTTCTCTGGATTGTTTAACAGCAAAAAAAATCTTTCCACTAGAATTTTTTAAACTGGTATTTTAGGTTTGGAGGTACATGTCCAGGTTTGTTATAGAGGTAAACTCATGTCACAGGGGTTTGTTGTACAGATTATTTCATCACCCAGGTTCTAAGCCCAGTGACCAATAGTTATTTTTTATGATCCTCTCCTTTTTCCCAGCCTCTACCCTCAAGCAGACCCTGGCGTCTGTGGTTCCCCTCTTTGTGTCCATATGTTCTCATCATTTAGCTCTCACTTATAAGTGAGAACATGTGGTGTTTGGTTTTCTGCTCCTGTGTGAGTTTGCTAAGGATGATGTCCTCCAGCTCCATCCATGTCCCTGCAAAGGACATGATCTTATTCTTTTTTATGGTTGTGTGGTATTCCACGGTATATATGTGCCACATTTTCTTTATGTCATCTACAGTTGATGGGCATTTAGTTTGATTGCATGTCTTTGTTACTGTGAATAGTGCTGCAGTTGAATTATGTGTCTTTACGAAGACATGTGTACATGCGTCTTTATGACAGAACGATTTGTATTTCCCTGGTTATATACCCAATAATGGGAATGCTGGGTCGAATAGGAATTCTGTTTTTAGCTCTTTGAGGAATGGCCACACTGCGTTCCACAATGGTTGGACTAATTTACACTCCAACCAACAGTGGCACTATGACTAATTTCTATCTGGATTCCCCATTGTTATCTAAACAAGAAAGGTACTTTCCTTCTATTCACGTAACTTTACCTTGTTTCCTACTAAAAATCCTGGGCTTATGCTAAGGTAGTATTAATCTTTTCCTGCATAAACAGAAGGCAAATGGCATGTCCGAGCTCTTCTCTCCAATCAGTAGGCTTCTCCCCTGACTGCAGGAGGAAGAAGGAGATACCTTTTGGTTCATCTAACAAAGTATATGAATCTATTTTGGGTGGAAGCAGCAGCAGTATTGGCATTTGCTTCTCAGAGTGGATTTGTTTCCAAATCTTAAAGTGTAGTCAGATTCCCTCGGACATTCGAGAGCATGCAGTAGGTGTTCATGACCTGTTTGTAAGTTGAATGGTGAGGGTGAGCTACAGAGGGGATGAGTTGGACTCAGAGGGGAAAGGAGATTAGGCCAGGAGTCTAAATCGTGGGTTATGACTCTGGTCCTGCAATGCACTGACTTTGTGATTTGGGGCAATTTTACTTCATCTCTTTCAGCCTCAATTTCCCCATTTATAATATGAAGATAATCAGTACCTTCAAGGCAAGTAAATGAGATAGTGGGCACGTGAACATGCTTTGTTAATCTGTAATACCAAGATATTATTAGAACCTATACAATTTATTTTCAGATATTAAAGTCAGTGTGTCCTTCTGTTCACATATTTACTTGTCAACAGTATCTTGAAATTCCCAGCTAAAATAAAGTCTGTGCAATTAAATAACTAGTTGCATCATATAGAGATGATTAATTTAAACTGTTTCGAATATAAACAATACATGTTCACTATTGTTAATGCAGCATGAGGAAGAAGTACAGATTTTCTTCAGAATGTATAAAAATATAAAATAGTCTGGGTGAGGTGGCTCATGCCTGTAATCCCAGCACTTTGGGAGGCCGAGGTGGGTGGATCACCTGAGGTCAGAAGTTCCAGACCAGCCTGGCAAACATGGTGAAACCCTGTCTCTACTAAAAATACAAAAACTAGCCAGGCCTGGTGGCACCCATCTGTAATCCCAGTTTATCAGGAGGCTGAGGCAGGAGAATCGCTTGAACCCAGGAGGCAGAAGTTGCAGCGAGCCGAGATCATGCCACTGCACTCCAGCCTGGGCAACAGAGTGAGATTCCATCTCCAAAAATAAATAAATAAAGATAGTAAAAATATCTACATTTTAGAGTTCTTCATTTGGACCTGAATTATTTCTGCTTTAATAATCCCTAAGTATTATTTTGGACAAAGAAATAGATAATATTTGGTATGAAGAGTTTTAAAATGCACCTCTATGTTCTGTGTGTCCAACATGTTTTGCAGTCAGCTCTTGTTTACAAGGACATATGCATTGCTAATATAAAATAATTCCTTGTTGGTAAGTCACTTATGTTTTGCTCTGGGGTTACTTAGCAATCCGTGTGTCTCAACCCAGAACTCTGTGCCACGGAATTCCCCTAAAGTAACTTAAGGAACCTGTTGAAGAAAAAGTTTTCTATCTGCAAGTAATTCATAACAGGTATCTCCTTTATGCACAGCCTAGAGCTCATGAGCCTGATACTCTGGTTTTTCGTAGTATACTCACTGGGTGCTCCGACTGTGTCAGCAACAGGGGTAAGTGCTGGCAATATTTAGGCAAATATGACAAGGCCCCTGCCCTAGAGAAGCTCATCCTGATGAGACACGTAGCCAGATACACATTCATAGCACAATATGGTAAGTGTCATAGTAGACCTTGGTGCCAAGTTTGTCAGAATCCATTTATTCCTGGACTGATTTAACACTATCTCCCTAGATGATTATAACAAACTTATATCTTATGCATTGATAATTACTGATGTTTTTATTAATTTGTTCATTCTTTACACCTTTAGAGTTCAGATATGGGCCACAGTAGATCGCCTGTCTCACTAATTTACAGTTAATCCTTGGTTTTTTGATCGCCGTCTCCCCCCCACCCGCCCCCGCCCCGATAGCATTAACCAGTTTGTATTCCTCTGCTGGTCAATGAAGACAGATAATCACTGTTTTTGATTACTTTCACGTCCATCTTCAAAAGATGATCTACCCCAACCGAAGATACTTAAAACGATGTGAACAAATTTTTGAAGACAATTGCAGGAGGTAAATTAGAAAGATGAAAATAATACCTTAAAGAAAGCATCTGTAGTCTCCTAAGGTATGTAAAGGAGAAAATAACTGCTACAGTGTATAATATTGTTTATTTGTTTTTAAAAATTTGGGCTGAGCATGGTGGCTAATGCCTACACTTTGGGAGGCCACGGTGGGTGGATCACTTGAGCTCAGGAGTTTGAGACCAGCCTGAGCAACATAGCAAAACCCCAACTCTATAAAAAATACAAAAATTAGCTGGACGTGATGGTATACACCTGTAGTCCCAGCTCCTTGGGAGACTAAGGTGGGAGGATGGCTTGAGCCTAGGAGGTTGAGGCTGCAGTGAGCCATGATCGTGCCACTGTACTCCAGCCTGGGTGACAGAGCAAGACCCTGTCTCAAAAAAAAAAAAAAATATTCTGTAGGATAAGCTCACTTACCCTAAGGAAGGCACACACATACATTCTAAAAACTAATCTTGAAAATGTTCTAAATTAGATAGTGGTGATTGGTTGCATAACTCTGTAAATACACTGAAAACCACTGACTTGTATTTAGTTATTGGGTTTTTTGTTTTTTTTTTTTTGAGACAGGGTCTCACTCAGTCGGCCATGCTGGAGTACAGTGGTGCAATCATAGCTTATTGCAGCTTCAAACTCTTAGATTCAAGCCGTCCTCCAACCTTAGCCTCCTGACTGCAGGCTACACATCACTGCAGCTAATTTTTATTTTTAATTTTTTTTTTTTTTTAGAGACAGGGTCTCGCTTTGTTGCCCAGGCTGGTCTTAAACTCCTGGCCTCAAGAGATGCTCCCACTTCAGCCTCCCAAAGTATTGGGATTACCGGCATAAGCCTCCTTGCCTGGCCAGATTGTATACTTTAAATGGTGACTTTTGTGTATATAAATTATATGTCAATAAAGCTGTTAATTGAAAAAGAATTTTAATCATTTTAAACCACAGGGTGCAGAGCAGTGGGAGAAGGGAGTTAATGGCTTGAATCCTGTGCTTTTATATACCTGGGGCAAAAAAAATATTTTATTATGAAAAAAAATCTTATCTTTGAAGAGTGTCCAAAAATCTAGAATGACTGCTGGCTAGCATCACTACGTGCTGGGTGCTGGGTTAAGACTTTACAAATGTTGTTCCATTTAATTCTCAAAGTAACTCTGTAAGGTGGGCTTTATCCCAAGTTTAAAGATGTGAGGAGAAAGACAAGTTTAATAACTTTCCCAAGGCCATGAAGCAGGTAATGGTTACAGTGAGGTTTAAACATAGATCTCATTGCCCACAGTGGTTCAGTCTTAGTTGTTAACTTAAAATCTAGTACCTTCTGGAAACCTGACTGAGGGCATTCACACACACGCTTATGAATTTCATGGCATTAGTTCTTCCTGAAAGTCGTACCATTCCTTAGTTAGAAGGCATTTTGAAGGCATGAAAATACATTATCTCATATATGATCTAATTCAGCAAAATTAGGGTGCAGCCCAGGCATCTGCATTTTAGCAATAACCTCAGGTGAGTCTAATGTCAGCACATTTCAGAGCCCCTTATGAGAAAGAGTTGTCCAGATGGTAACTCCCAGAAAGCAGTGTGGCTATTCATCTTTGTGTACATTGCCTGATTTGTTACCCTTAGTATATGTTTGAGAAATATTGCACGAAAAATGAGTGAAAGCACAGTGGAATGCATGATTTTCATGGTAAATCATGCTCACATCCTTGCCTAGGAACAGTTGTATTATTATATTAAACTCAGAATAAAGGTGCATATTTTAACCTTAAAAACAAGAGCATTTCATGTGATGACTTTAAAAAATTCCATGTAGCAGCAATGTATACATCTGGAGTTGAAAGAAACACCACACAAGGGTAACCAGGTCAGAAGGAGACACGCCCACACTAAGGATGGAAGGAGGATGTGGACACTAAGAAATCACTTAATTCCTAACTCTTGACATTTATTTTTAAATGTGGTTATAAAAGAAGACTCAGAACATTTGGCTGTGTCATGGCTAAAAATACACATTTTTTCACTTCTCCTCACTCTCTTCACCCTACCACCTCCTCTGAGACAAAAACAGTAAAAACAAGGATATACTGTGAGATGATAAAGAGAAAATGAGAATGCTGCTGTCTATACCCACAGATAGGGAACTGGATGCTTAGATGCCACAGGGACTCATTTCTTCCTTCCCAAATCCAGGCCAAAGAACAACAGCTGGCTGGGCTCAGGAGCAATCTTACTTCCCTTACTGCTCCAGAAAGGTAACCACCTCTAGTAGCCTTGTTCCTCACTTCTGCCTCTGGAGTGGTGTTTGCCTCTGCACTGTGCTTGCTTGGGGAACTAAAATGGCCTTGTGTAAATAAAAAATGCTGGGTGTGGTGTGGTGGCTCACCCCTGTAATCCCAGTGCTCCGAGAGTCCAAGGCAGGGAGGATTGCTTGAGGCCAGGAGTTGGAGACTAGCCTGGGCAACATAGTGAGATCCTCATCTTTAGAAAAATTTTAAAAGCCTAGCCAGGTGTGGTGGTAGGCCCCTGTTGTTCTAGCTACTTGGGAAGCTAAGGCAAGAGGATCACTCAAGCCCAAAAGTTTGAGGCTGCAGTGAGGTATGATTGTATCACTGTACTCCAATCTGGGTGACAGAGTGAGACCTTGTCTCTTAAGAAAAGAAAAGCATTCATTTTTCATTTTGTTTTCCTCTGTTCAACTAAGTAACTCAAGCCATTTAAAAAAGTATTTGTCTTTAGAGAGCTTTTTTTTTTCATACAAGGGCCATAAAAATAGTCATAGGCACACCAGTGGTTCACTCAAAGAATGATAGATTCTGTAAACTGCAGGTTATCCCAGACGTCATCCAATATGACTTATGATTCATCAGAAACACCATCATATTTGACCTACGACAAGGACCAGTTCAGTTCAACAGGATCTTTTTTGAGGACCTACTATGTGCCAGCCACTGTATGCTAGCTGCTGTGGAAGACATAATTGAATAAAATACAACCCCTGAACCTGAGAATCTTCTAGTCTAGTGGGTGAGACAGACACACTGACAGATCTTTTAATGTAAGATGGTCATAAGATAGAGTTATACGCTGTGTGCTTTGGGAGCACAGAATAGGGGCATTAGTCCAGCTGGGGGTTCATGGAAGGCTTCCTGTGAGGGGTTTGATGACTGAGCTGACTCTGGACAAAAGAGGTAGGAAGTGGATTCCAGGCAGAGGAGCAATGGCATGGACAGGTGAGACTGCAGAAATCCTCAAACAGTGCAGTTGTTCTAGAGTATAGAGAGTGAGGCAGGAAGTGGCCAGAGACGAGGCAGGAGAGGTGGTCAGCCCTCAGGCACAAGGGCTCTCTGTGCCTTACCTGGAGCCTCTAGGCAAAGAGGAGCCAACGAGAACTTAGGACAGGGGAATGACATGGTCAGATTTGTGGGCAGATGGAAGATTTAATATGGATTTAAATTAATATGAATTTTAATTGAGTGTATAGACTAGAGACTTATGGAAGGCAATTGCAGAAGACCAGAGCACTTGTAAGTCCCACTGTGTGTGAAATTGTTAGTTCTCTTTCTGTTGCAAGTGACCAAACCCAGTGCAAACAGGCTTCAGTGGAAAAGGTACAGCCTGAGGGTGGATCTCAGGCATCTGCAGGGCTGGATACATACGTTCACTCAGTGACACCACGATTCTGCTTTTTTCTACAGTTTGGTTTTTTTCTCTCCTGCAGAGGGAGAGCAAGTTCTTCATTTTGTAGAACTGTCCTGCACATTGCAAGAGTCTAGCATTCCTGTCTCACAATGCCAAAAGCACCCCCCAAGCATTAGAACAACACAGAAATCCCCACACATTAAAAAAGGAAAAGATCCTGAGCACAGTACTAGCTCCCATCTTGCACGATCACTCTGGGCATTCAAGACTCCTCTTTGCCAAACTTCAGTTTTTTCCAACACCACCTGCCCTTAAAACATTAAATGGCTGCTGGTCAATTTGGTCTCCATTGACTCTGTGAGCAAGTAACCATCACTAGAGATCTCATCAAGTTAGAGTCTTTAAATCTGGATCCCACCCCACTTCTTTTAGTTGCTCTTTCCTCTTGGCATTGGTCTCCATGCTTGCCCATTTGTAGAGGAAGAGAGACCATCTCCCTCCAGTTTTCTAGATCCCCATTGGCAAGGATGATTCTGATGGTGCTGCTTGTGTCACCTGGGAATCCTAGAGCCAATCACTGGAGGATAGGATACTCTGATTGGCCACCCTGGGTCCTATGGGAAGGCACCAAGGAGGCTGACAGCCCCACAAGACCACACACAATGGGTGAGAAGTTGTCCAAAAAAAGACATGTGCGCAAACAACTTATGTCTGCCTCAGGGGATAAGTAAGCAACGACAAAACAGAATTACCCCCCGTCTCTACTAAAAATACAAAAAAAATTAGCCGGGCGTGGTGGCGGGCGCCTGTAGTCCCAGCTACTCGGGAGGCTGAGGCAGGAGAATGGCGTGAACCCGGGAGGCGGAGCTTGCAGTGAGCCGAGATTGCGCCACTGCACTCCCGCCTGGGCCACAGAGCGAGACTCCGTCTCAAAAAAAAAAAAAAAAAAAACAGAATTACCGTACACCTCACCCTCCCATGTTGCATTCTGTGGTTAATAAATTTAAAACCCCAAACTTCCTCTTACCTATTCCAATTTTCATGAACTTGGAAAATGACCTAGTTGAGTAGAACCCAAGAGTAATGCAGCAACACTTTGTGAAATGTTTACTTAGGACACCGATGGGAGGATGTGGTGGTGATGGAGGCAGAGCTGTGAAGAACTGAGAGGCTATTAGAAAACCGCGGTGGAACAGTGGCTGGGGAAAAGGTAAGAAAGTCAAGGGAAAGGGACAGTTGGCCTAATGGAAGAACATCAGTAAAGCAAAGACTCAAGGGGGAAGACAGAGGAGAGAAAGGAGATGGGAGAGACAGTGAAACTTTATACCAGACCAACCAGAAGGGTTGGTTTATCCCAGGAAAAATGAGAGAGCGAATATCTAGAATCAAGGAAGAGGTTAATTGATTAATTCCTAATATTTTTCACGGACCTTGGCTTAGGACATGAATCCAGTGACCTGAGGTCAGCAGTTTCTATCTGAACCCAAGCCAGGTTGACCTGGGGCCTGGGCAGGTAAGAACCCTGCTTTTCCAGATATTAAGTCTAACAGGAACACAGATAGAAGTAGACTAGAGCAGACCAGTGACCAAGATGAGGCTGGTAGAGGAACCTCTTGACTATCCAGAAGACCCCAAGCTGGCTTTCATGTGTTAAACTTCAGACAGGATAATCGAGTGAAGGCAAGGCAGCTGTGTAAAGGTTTAGCTCCAAATTTTCTTACATTTTACATAGGTTCTAGAATGACAGAATCTCAAAATTGGGTGGACACAGAAGCCATTGGATCAGAGATCTCAGATCTCTGATCCAACTCTGGGGAGGTCTGTTGACCTTGATCAAGTTGCTTAACATCTCTCAGCTTTGGTTTCGTTATTAATAAACACAAGTAACGACAGTCTCTGTTTACTTCACGAGATTACTGGGATAACCAGGTGACAGGACCCACACAATTTGGGGGGCCCTGTGCAAAATGAAAATGTGGGGTCCCTGGTTTAAAAAATCATGAAGAATTTTAAGATGACAACAGCAGGGCATTGAACCAAGTGCTGGGTGCTTCTGAGAACAGAGCGCTGTGTGACTGTGTGACTGCACAGGTCTCATGGCGGTGAAGACAGCCCTGCCAGGCAAGGTAATGTGCATCACAGTGCTTAGCAATCTGCAAAAGTTCAACAAATTGGTAAGGATTCTCTTTCTCTTTTCCCCCTTGGCTTCCAGGATTGTATTTGCTGGGGCTGCTATTAAAAAGTACCGTGAACTGAGTGGCTTAAACACCAGAAATTATTCTCTCACAGTTCTGGAGGACTAAAGTCCAAAATCAAGCTGTGGGCAGGGTGGGTTTCCCTGAGAGCTGCAAGTGAAGGATCTGTTCCAGGCCTCTCTCCTTGGCTGGTAGGTAGCCATCTTCTCTTTATGTCTCTTTACCTTGCCTTCCCTCTATACATTTCTCTATGTCCAATTTCTCCTTCTTATAAGGACTGCAGTTATATTGGATTAGGGCCCATGCTAATGACCTTGTTTTAATTTGATTACCTCTGTAAGACCCTATCTCCCTATAAGGGCACACTCCAAAGTGCTAGGGGTTAGGACTTCGACATAAGAATTTGGGGGTTGGGGGGAGCAGTTGACAAACATCAGAGCCCCTGTGCTCTTTGGAGGCATGCTGATGGTGTGAGGTCTCACTGGGAGGTGGTGATGTTAGGCTGTAGTAGGGAAAGTGTCCTGCCCCCATGGTAGTGGTGTTTGGGCCCCGGTTTCTGCTGCCTAGTTGGCAGCTCTCATTGCTTGCACTATAAGCCCACTCTTCAGTTTCTGAAAGCTCTCCCATGTACACCCAATAAATTCTTTTTTGGTTTAAGGAAGCTAAAGTAAGTTTTTGTGGCTTGCAAGTAAGAACCCTGACTGATACTCCGATACAACATTAGAATCAGGAAGGGAACTACTTGGACCTAAGTTTTGGGCCTCCCCACATTTGCTCAGCCCCATCTGCCTGCTGGGCCCTGGCTGCTTGCTCAGTGGGGAGCTCCAGCTTCCCAGTCTCACCTTCTCTCTGCCACTATCTGCAGATGCTGCTTCCCCACAGGGTGAGGGCTGAGAGCTGGGCTTAGGCATGGCTGCTACAATGCCCACCTTATGGGAGCCGTAGGCATTTGCAGCCCGGGCCCTAGCACAGGGCACCGGCTGTTCCCAGCACTTGCAGACTCAGATGAAGCTTCTTGCCCCCTGGCTAGGGACCTAGAAGATGGCTGCTTTGCCACTGTTTAAAAGGTAAATAGCCCAAAATGGGGGAGAGTTGAATCCACAGAGGACCCGCTTTGACCAGAGAGTCAGGAGATAAGCTCCTCTCTCTTCCTCCCCTGTGACGATTTCGAAGTGTGGTGGCTCCATATGGCCCATCCAGAGAGTCCTGCGTGGCTGTGACAGGTGTGGTTTCTGTGGCACCCTGGCCAGTTTGGTTCATATCACCCCACATTGACTCCCTTCCCCTCACCCTTCCAGCTCTGGGATAGAGCCTTATACCTTAAACTTGGCCTCAGGCTCTGATTTCTATGGAAACCCGGAAGGCTAGGAGCCTTGCAGGAAGGCTTAGGTTTCGAAGGTGGAAAGGGAAGAGAGGAAACCATTTCATCACACCCATATGTCCACAGCGCTCAACTTACCTGAGGCTCAAACACATAAACTGGCACAGACCAGAACTGTGAACAATGAAGCTGGGTATGTTACGAAAATATCAATTATGTCAGAGCCACACAGAGACCTGAGGCAGTCATCCAAGATGATTCAGGACAGAAGCTGGAAAACAAAAGGGCTTTCACCTGGCAGCTGTGTAAATGGATACCAGGGCCACATGTGTATATTTAAAGGGTGTGGCTTACTCTCCCCATAATGACAGGTTCCCGAGCAGCAGGATAAAAGGAATTTTTACCACTGTTTAGTAGTTTACCACTTGAGTGCTCCAGAGAGCTCCACCAGCTTCATGCTTACAGTTCAGACTGCAGTACTACACCAGAGAAATAATTAGATATACCACTTCTGTGCAGCATTTATTTCAGCCCACAAATTGATGATCAGTTAGGCTATTCAGGGATGTGTAAATACCTTTATAAATTCTTATAGTTTCTTTTTAAAAAATAATTTTTCTAATTTGTATTATTATTATTATATATTTTTGAGACAGAGTCTTGCTCTGTCACCCGGGCTGGAGTGCAGTGGTGCAATCTCAGCTCACTGCAACCTCCACCTCCTGGGTTCAAGCAATTCTCCTATCTCAACCTCCCAAGTAGCTGGGATTACAGGCGTGCACCATCACACTCGGCTAATTTTCATATTTTTAGAGAGATGGGGGTCTCACCATGTTGGCCAGGATGGCCTCAAGTGATCCAAATGCCTCGGCCTCTGAAAGCACTGTGATTACAGGCGTGAGCCACTGCACCTGGCCTAGTTTCTGTTTAAAATTAGGTTCCAGTAGGTCTTCTAAAAATATTTAATAATAAAAACCAGAGTTTGGGACAACTAAGGACAACAATAAGGGAGACTCCAGAAGGAAAAACAGCCTGACATCTGCTAGTCCTATGATATTGGGCAAATGACCAGGACTCTCTGAACCTCAGCTCCCTCATCTACAAAGTAGAGAATATAATAACCTCTAACTTGTTATAAGAACAAGAGGAGCTAGTGTGTGGGGAAAGCCTAGCACTAATTAGTGCTCATACATGTTAGTTATCTTTATTGATCACTACAAATTATTGCTTCTCAAGAACAGCTTGGCAGTATACAAAAACACACTATCCTGCCCCTCTCTGTTCCTCACATTTCAGAAGTAGAACACACATTTCTATGCCCCAAATTGGCTCAAGGCAACTCTTCTCTAAACCAATTTCTTTTTCTTTTTTTTTTTTTCTTTTTTCAGACGGGGTCTCACTCTGTCACCCAGGTGGGAATGCAGTGGCGCAATCACAGCTCATACACCTTAAACTCCTAGGCTCAAGCAATCTTCCTGCCTCAGTCTCCTGAGTAGCTGAAATTACAGGCACATGCCACTATGCCTGTTTTGGTTTCTTTCTTTCTTTCTTTCTTTCTTTCTTTCTTTCTTTCTTTCTTTCTTTCTTTCTTTCTTTCTTTCTTTCTCCTTCCTTCCTCCCTCCCTCTCTTTCTTTTCTTTTCTTTCCTCCCTCCCTCCTTCCCTCTTTCTTTCTTTCTTTCTCTTTTTTTTTTTTTTTTTTTTTTTTGAGACAGAGACTTGCTCTATTGCCCAGGCTGGAGTACAGTTGGGCAATCTCAGCTCACTGCAATCTCCGCCTCCTGGCTTCAAGCAGTTCTCCCTGTCTCAGCCTCCTGAGTAGCTGGGATTACAGGCGCCCACGACCACGCCCGGCTAATTTTCGTATTTTTAGTAGGGACAGGATTTTGCCATGTTGGCCAGGCTGGTCTCGAACTCCTGACCTCAGGTGACCCACCTGCCTTGGCCTCCCAAAGTGCTGGGATTACGGGCATGAGCCACTGCACCTGGCCTTTTTATTTTTCTTTTTAGAGACAGGGTCTTGCTGTGTTGCCTGGGCTGGTCTCAAACTCCTGGCCTCAGGCAATCTTCCTGCCTTGACCTCCCAAAGCACTGAGATTACAGATAGGAGCCACTGTGCCCTGCCTAAACCAATTTCTTTTTTTTCTTTTTGAGATGGAGTCTCACTCTGTCATCCAGGCTGGAGTGCAGTGGTGCGATCTCGGCTCACTGTAACCTCTGCCTCCTGGATTCAAGTGATTCTCCTGTGTCAGCCTCCCAAGTAGCTGGGACTACAGGTGTGTGCCACCATATCCAGCTAGTTTTTTGTATTTTTAGTAGAGACGGGGTTTCACTATGTTAGCCAGGATAGTTTCGATCTTCTGACCTTGTGATCCACCCACCTTGGCCTCCCAAAGTGCTGGGATTACAGGCGTGAGCCACTGTGCCCGGCCAACTGATTTCTTAATAGGAAGGCATCCACCTATGCCCTGAAGTGGAGATTGGGTCCCCAGTCTTCCTTGAGCAAGATAGGTCTCAAATTTTTGAGTGTGTGGAAATCTGCTGGGCTATGTATATAGATTTCTAGGCCTCATCCTCAAAAGTCCTGATTTAGTAGGTATGGGGCTTGGGACTGGGGAATCACCATTTTTCACACATGTGCACAGGTGCACACATGCACATACACATGCCATGATTTTAAAGCAGAAGATATTTGGGCCACATTTCCAGAAATATTCCCTGCAGGGCTCATTCCTCCAGCCTTATGATGAGTATATGCAAACAACCTGAGGTCATGGAAAGCATCTCCAGTGTTTTTCCCTTGGACTGCAGGCATGTTTAATTAGCCAGTGCCCACACTGACCTTATTTTAATATTAGCACAAGTGCAATGGCTTACATTTAGAGTGTACCTATATAAAGAAGTTATAATGACGCAGTGCTTCCCAAACTTGGCTGCATAGTAGATACACTTAGGGAAGTTTTCGATGCACTGCCCCTCTTCCATCTCTCTGGCCCATGCCCAAATCCAATTAGAAAATGGGCAAAAGATATAAAGAGACATTTTACTGAAGAGGATATACAGATGGCAAATAAACACATGAAAAGATGTTCAACATCACTCATTTTGATGGAAATGTAAACTAAACCCCAATGAAGTTCCACTACACACCTACAGAATGGCTAAAATAAAACATAGTGACAATATCAAATGTTGGCAAGAATGTGGAGAAATTGGATCTCTCCTTGCTGGTGGAGATGTAAAATGGTACAGCCACTCTGGAAAAACGTTTGGCAGTTTCTTTGAAAACTAAGCATATACTTAACATACGATCCAACAACGGCACTTCTGGCATTCATGCCAGAGAAATAAAAACTTATGTTCCCACACAAAAACTTTTCATAAATTTTTGAGACAGAGTCTTGCTCTGTCACCCAGACTTGAGTGCAGTGGTGTGACTGTGGCTCACTGCAGCCTTGACCTCCTGGGCTCAAGCGATCCTCCCACCTCAGCCTCCTGAGTAGCTGGGACTACAGGTGTATCCCACCATGCCCGGCTAACTTTTTTTTTTTTCCGGCAGAGATGGGGTTTTGCTATGGTTGCCCAGGCAGGTCACACAAAAACTTTTATACAAATGTTCATGGCAGCTTTATTTGTAATAGCCCCAAGGTGTAGTACATCTATACCAGCAATAAAAAGGAATGAACTATTGACTCATACGACCTAGATGGATCTCAGGTGCATTATGCTGAGTGAAAAAGCCAATCTCAAAAGGGTACACACTGTATGATTCCATTTATTTATTCATTTAGAGACAGAGTCTCACTCTGTCGCCCAAGCTGAAGTGCAGTGGTGCAGTCTTGGCTCACTGCAACCTCCACCTCCTGGATTCGCGTGATTTTCGTGCCTCAGCCCCCTGAGTAGCTGGGACTACAGACGCGCGCCACCACACCTGGCTAATTTTGGGGTATTTTTAGTGGAGATGGGGTTTCGACATGCTAGCCAGGCTGGTCTCAAACTCCTGACCTCAAGTGATCCACCCGTCTCGGCCTCCCAAAGTGCTAGAATTACATACATGAGCTACCACGCCTGGCCGATTCCATTTATTTAACAGTCTTGAAATGACAAAATTATCGGGATTAGTGTTTGTCAGGAGTTAGGGATAGTAGAGAGAAGGCAGGTAAGTGATACCATAAAGGCATATCTTTGTGATGAAGGAATAGTTCTGTATCATAATTGCAATGCTGATTAGACAAACCTACACACGTGATAAAGTGACAGAGAACTATACACACATTTTACCAAAGTCAATTTCATGGTGTGAGATGTAACCATTAGGAAAATCTTGTGGATTATAATTATTATTATTTTTTTTTAAAAAAAAGGAAAAGATCCTGATGTCCAGGCCACTCCCAGACCAATGAAATCAGAGTCTCTGAGGGTGGAGTTCACGCATCAGCGCGTGGCCCTGGTGATGACTAAGTGCAGCCAAGTTGCAGTTTATTATAAGGCAGTTCATAGATGCTGCTGCTGCTGCTGCTAGCATTTCATCTGCTGAGAATCACACTCAGTAGCAACAGCCGTCCAAGATACAGCCCTGCGGGGCTTTGAGTGTTAACGTTGGGTGCATAGTGATGAGGCTTTTTTAAAGCCTTGAAACGGGGCCAACTGGTAATACCTAAGGAACGTAAGTACCATTCAGTGTGTTTGTGTAAGCCCTGGCTATGAGGGGAGGGGCGAGTGGGGGAAGCACATGATGTTAAACTAGGCTAATGGGTTTAATTTTCCTTTGTTTTCCTAGATTTCCTGGCAAACAGAAAAAGCTCTCTTGGTCTTTAAAGTTCATGACAGATTCCCTAAGTGTTTGTAAAACATCTGCCAACCACACTGATGGGCTCTCACACAAAGGTTTTGGAAATACAGACTGATTTCCTTTGGTTACTAAAACTGATTTTTTTTTTTTTTTTTGGTTACTACAATTGATTTTATCTCTATAATTTTCTTCTCTGTCATCTTATTTTAAACAAAAACCGTGGCACAAAAATAAAGTGATGGTTTTTGAGGAAAACATATCTATTTGTTTTTCTTTTTGTATCTTCAGCCAAAACATCTAAGGAATAATAATGAAAATAATAGAAAATCTTTTGCACTGGGAAATTGTTTCCCTCTGTTTTTAGCCTTCATTTATTTTTTTGCCAGAGCTTCATATCTTTTCAGAGATTCATGTGCATAACAGTTTTAAATGTTTTCCAAAATGAACTTCTCCAGCTGAATCTCAGAGAAGAAAGCTTTGTTAATGGCAACAATTCATTTAAGATTAATATGAAGCTTTCTGGATGATTGTTGGTGATGTCATATGAACCATTAGGGTGGTGCAAAAGTAATTGCAGTTTTGCCATTAAAAGCAATTATTTTTGCACAAACCTAATACCAAAACATCTAATGTCAAACTATGGTCCATTTCTATTATATTTCCCAAGACAATTAAATTAGTATATAATTTTTTTCATAGATTTTCAGTTTATAATATGTAGTGAAATTAAATAATTATCTAGAATAGCATTGCTAATTGTGACATTACTTAAATATTTATGAAAAATAAACTTTGATCTGGCATTTCACTCACAGCTGGTCAAGGCTAGTAAAAGATGAGATTCTAAATTTCACAGCTGGAGGCCTACATTTCGATCTTTATACAAGATTTAATGAAATTCACAGTGACATTTTTAGTTATTTTGATACATTCTCAACCAAGTAGGAGTACAAGATCTATAAGTGAGGGTCTAGTAAATTATTTGATATGAAAAGGGGTCCGTGTACTTCATAATAATTAGTCATAACAAGTGCTATGGCATTTATTGAGCATCTGTGTGTGGACATTTTGTTATTGTAGATATTTTCTATTAACCTGATATTAATGCATGTCTTTACACCCAACCCTCCAAGGGATACTATGCAAATGCTTTAACATCTGGCATTTGTTGAAAAATAGCAGAGATTTTAAAGAATGGCACTGAGAAAGTCTTGCCACGTTTTTATGGAAATCCATTCTGGAAGCATTTCTTTCCATTATATGTCTTGTCTATTTCATATTGAAAGCCCTTTTATCACAGCTTCAATTTGCGTTAGTATTTTACCATCAAAGATGAACTTAGCCAGTGCAATGACAACATGATAAAAACATAAAATGATACAATGATTCTTCTTGTTTATCACTTACCCTGTCTCATTAAGCCACTTACCACAAAAGAAGCTTGAGATTTCTTAGGAGCAAGATTTTAGAATTCTTAGGACTCAGCCTTTCTGAGCCAGTGGCAGGATAGTTGCTTCTAAAGAGGCTGTGTGTGTAGGTGCTGGAGGGGTTAGGTCTCCAGGAGGGACAAGATGGGCAGCTGGAAATAAATTCAGAATCCTGCCTCTGTTGTAGCAAAACTCTCCATTCTCTTTCTCACCTTTTCTCAGAACCTGCTTACATAACTGTGGTTAACCTATATGCGTAAGCATGATTAAAAAGATTGACACAGCCTGGCAGTCTTTTCTGTGCTATGCACCCAGGAGCACAGCCCTTGGGCCTGAAGCATTGGCAGCGGGCTCTGGCTCTGTGTGTGGCGCAGGTCAGTCCGGCCTGCCTGCCAATTACTCAGTAGTTATGTCCAGGGAGAAGCAAGCCATGCTTGTTAGGCAGATTGCTGCACTCTGAGCACAAAAATGTCAAGGGCACATAATTACTCCTAATGCAAAAACATAGAAAAGCTGCAATTAAAAGGCAGTGGAGCAGTGCCTTTCTTATTTCTGGAGAGACTGGAAATTACAGTAAGGCAGCACACTGGGCTTTCTCTGCCTCCTAGTATACACAAATATTTTCAATTAATTACAACGTGTAATGGTATATTTATTTTTGGATCTCCTGTCTCCCCATAGGCTTCATGTGAGCAAAGACCACATGTCTGGCTTGTTCACCACTGCACACTCCCAGGACATGGTAGGAATTCAGTGACTATTTAATGAATGGATGACCACGGTATTTCAGTTTTAGGAAAGAATTTCCAAATACATTTTTCCCCATTCATTGAGTCCTTATTTAACCAAGTTAACTAGACAATACGTCCTCTACATTGTTCATGGGGAATTACTGAGCCAGACCTGGGGGAAATGACATAATATCCTATTAATTTTTTTTAAAAAATTATTTTTAATGTTCGTGGGTATATAATAGGTATACATATTTATGGGTTACATGACATATTTTGATATAGGCATGCAATGCCTAATAATCACATCAGGGTAAATGGGGTATCCATCCCCTCAAGCATTTATCCTTTGTGTTACAAACAATCCATTTATATTATTTTAGTTACTTTAAAATGTACAATTACATTATTTTTTGCTATAGTCACCCTGTTGCGCTAGCCAATACTAAGTCTTATTCATCCTATTTTTTTGAACCGATTAACCATCCCCATTTCCACCTACTCCACCACTACCCTTTCCAGCCTCTGGTAACCATCCTTTTACTATCTCAATGAGTTCAATTATTTTAATTTTTAGCTCCCACAAATAAGTGAGAACATATGAAGTTTGTGTTTCTGTGCCTGGCTCATTTCACTTAACACAATGATCTCCAGTTCCATCCATGTTGCTGCAAATGACAGGATCTTATTCTTTCTTATGACTGAATAGTACTCCATTGTATATATGTACCACATTTTCTTTGTCCAGTCATCTATTGATGGACACTTAGGTTGCTTCCAAATCTTAGCTATTGTGAACTGTGCTGCAATTAGTTTTTTATGTAAGGTATCATGGCCATGAAAGCTTGAATATATAAAAAAAGTCATAGATAAGATCTTGTCTTGGAAGAGCTACACAAAGAAGATCTTGTTTTGGAAGATCTACGCATATTTCATTTTGTATAGACACATTCTGTATCCAAATGAGAAAGATTTCTTAGAAGGGAGATTCATTGCCTCCTATAATTTATTCAAATGCTTAACAGCCTTAAAGATGACTACCACACTGTTGCCACATAACAGATGTTAAATAAATATTGTTGTTGTTTTTGTGAATTGAACTTGGCAGTAAAAAATGAAAATTGCAGCTGCTAAATATTTGGTGTGAGTTACAGCAGCTCTCTTTAATCTCTGTTTTTAGTTGAGTTGTGTTTGCATGAGTTAAATTGTTTTCCTTCTGATGTCCAATTTACTTGCAGCTCTTCTACCAGAGGCAAGCATTTTCACCAGCCATTTTGAATTTGATGTGCTCAGCACTTTGAGGTAGCTGGCTCCTGGGCGTAAGTCAGATTCTGACTCACTGGCTGGATCACCATCCTCAGGACCCCTTGCAGGGTAGACCTTGCTCAGTTGTTCCTCGATTTTCTTCTGTGTATTTGAAAGAAATACATGCTCTTGTGATGTGCAATGCTTCATAGATGTCACCTTTTAAGTTTATTACAAATCACATTTGTATAGTTCGTTATTGAATTTTAGACCCATATAACTTCTAAGCATGAAGTATTATTACACACACACTAAGTACTTCTTATGAGTCAAGTGCTAGAACTATGGCTATCACAATGATTAAAGCATTTGTTTACCCCTTGGCTCACCACCATAAGTGAAGGAGATGTAGCTTTCTCTGCAAAGAATTATGCATGAGAAGGCATCTTGGCCAAAGCCAAGGGCTAAAGGTTAAGAGTATTATTCACAGATAATTTTAAACTTAAAATTGTAAAAGAACCCAACTCGATTGAGGTATAATCGACATGCAACATGTGGTACATACTAAAACTGTTCTATTTGATAAGTTTTGACATGTGTGTAATACTATAATCAAGATAGTGAACATATTCATCATCCCAAAAGGGTCCTGGTGCCCCTTTGTCATCTCTCCCTCCCATCCCTAATCTGCTTTCTGTCATTATAAGTTAGTTTGACTTTTCTAGAATTTCATCTAAATGAAAGTTTATAGTGTGTACTCTCTGAGTCCTTTATCTTGCTTCTATTACTCAGAATAATCATGTTGAGATTCATCCAAGTTGAAGTGTATGTATATTAATAGTTCGTTTCCTTTCATTGCTGAGTAGTCACTCTCCATTATACAGATACCCTATACAGTATATTCACTTATCTGTGGATGGAAATTTGGGTTCTTTCAGTTTTTCTTTTACAAATAAAGCTGCTATGAGCATTCATCCACATGTGTTTGAATGAATATATAGCTCCTTTCCTTTTGGCTAAACACCTAGAAGCAGGATGGCTGGATCATATGGTAGGTGTATGTTTAACTTTCAAAGACTCTGTCAATTGTCTTCCAAAATGTCTGTATCATTTTCCATTCCCTGCAGCAGTATATGAGACTTCCATTTCTTCCACATCCTCACCTACACTGACACGGTCAATCTTTTTCTTTTTGGTCACTCTAATAGGTATGTAGTGGTATCTCACTGTGGATTTAATTTGCATTTCCCTAATGGATAATGATGTCAAGCATATTTTCATGCACTTAATTTACTGTTAGTCTGTCTTCATTGATGATGTGTCTGTTCAAATCTTTTGCCCAGGTTTTTACTGAGTTGTTTTCTTATAATATAGTTTTGGAAGTTCTTTATATATTCTGAATTAATCATATCATTAGATATATGATTTTAAAAGATTTTCTCCCAGACTGTGCCTGTCTTTTCATTCTTTGAAAGAGCAGAAGTTTTTAATTTTGATGAAGTTTAACTCATCAATTTGTTTTTTTTTTGGATTATACTTTTGGGGTTGGGTCTATAAGATCTTTGTTTAACCCAAAGTCAAAGGTTTTTTCCTTATGTTTTCTCATAGAAACTGTATAATATTTAGTTTTACATTTAAGCCTATGGCCCATTTTGAGTTAATTTTTAAACATAGTACAAGACATGAAGTCCATTTTTTTGGCATATGAATATCTCATTGTTCCAGTACCGTTTGTTGAAGGGACTATCCTTTCTCCACTGCTTTGCCTTTGTGACTTTGTAAAAAATCAGTTGCCATCTATATGTGAGTCTATTTCTGGATGTTTTGTTCCATGGCTCTACATCTATCTTTATGACAATAATACCTATCTTGATTAGTTTAGCTTTATAGAAAGTCTTGAAATCAGGTAGCATTGGTCCTCCAACTTTGTTCTTCTTTTCTTTTATTATTTTTTTTAGAGACATGGTCTTGCTCTTTTGCCCAGGCTAGAGTGCAGTGGCATGATCATAGCTCACTGCAGCCTCCAACTCCCTGGCTCAAGCAGTCCTCCCACTTCAGCCTCCTGAGTAGCTAGGGCTACAGGTGCACACCATTATGCCTGGCTAAATGTTTTATTTTTGTAGAGATGGGGTCTTGCTATGTTGCCTAGGCTAGTCATTGTTTTTGTTTTCAAAGTTGCTTTCACTATTCTAAGTCCCTTGGATTTTAGAATTAGGTTGTTAATTTCTACAAAAACCAAGCCTTCTGCTATATTGATTGGCAGTGGGTTGACTCTATAGGTCTATTTGGGAAGAATGAACATCTTAATAATATCGATTCTTCTGAATCATGAACATGTTATATCTGTTTGTTTGTTTAGTTAGGTCTAATTTAATTCCTGTTGCCAATGTTTTATAGTTTTAGTGTAGAAGACTTTCACATCTTTTGTCAGATTTATCCCTATTTCATATATTTGATACTATTGTAAATAGCATTATTTTAAAAAAGTTATTTTCCAGTTGTTCATTGCTAGTATATAGAAATACAATTGGTTTTTGCATATTTATCTTGTGTCCTATGATCTTGCTAAAATAATTTGTACTAGTATTTTTAAAAAATAGATTCCATCACATTTTCTACATACATGACCATGTTGTCTGCAAATGGAGAGGTTGACTTTATGAGCAATATTGACTTGTAGTTTTCTTGTAGTTTCTTTGTTAGGTTTTAGTATCAAGGTAGTGCTTGCCTTATCAAATGATCTTTTAGTACTTTTAGAGATGTGGATACATTGTCTCCTTACTTGTATTGTTTCCAAAAAAAAAGAAATCTGCTCTCATCCTTATCTTTGTTCCTCTGTATCTAATGTGTGGGTTTTTTTTTTTATGTGGTTGTTTTTAAGATTTTTCTCTTTATCACCGTTTCTGAGCAATTTAGTCATGATGTGTCTTGATGTTGCTTTGTTTATATTTCTTGTATTTGGAATTCAAAATTGGATTTGTGGGTTAATAATTTTCATAAAATTTGGAAATTTTCTGGCCATTTCTTCAAATATATATATATAGTTATATATATTTTGTTTGTTTGTTTTTAAGACAGAGTCTCACACTGTCGCCCAGGCTGGAGTGCAATGGCACAATCTCGGCTCACTACAACCTCTGCCTCCCAGGTTCAAGCGATTCTCCTGCCTCAGCCTCCCATCTTCAAATATTTTTGTACCCTTATCTTATTTTTTCAGGAACTCCAGTTTCACAAATATTAGCCCAAGTGAAATTGGCCCACAGATCACTGATCCTCTGTTCATTAAAAAAAAAATAAAAGTCTCTGTGATGGTTGATTTTGGGTATCAACTTGCCTGGATTAAGGGACACTTAGGTACCTGGGAAAGCATTGTTTATTCTCAGTGCTTCAGTGGGCACTGAGCACATCCCTTTTCTGCTGAAAGGGAAACCCAGATGGCTTGCCATTTGATTGGAATGATTGGGCTCCCCCAGGAATGTTTGAGAGGGTGTTTCCAGATGACATTGGCATATGAGTTGGTGGACTGAGTGGGGAAGATCTAGCTTCAATGTGGATGGACATCATCCAATCAGCTGGGGGCCTGAATTGAACAAAAGGATGGAGTAAGAGTGAATTTTTGTTCTCTCTTATGGAGTGGGGATGTGCCTTTGGACATCATAACTCTAGATTCTCTGGCTATTGGACGATAGGACTTGTATGACAGCCCCCTGGGCTCTCAGGCCTTCAGCCTCAGTCTCAGAGTTCTCACCATTAGCCTCCTTGGTTCTGAGGCCTTTGGACTTGGACTGAGTCATACTATGGTTTCCTTGCTTCTCCAGCTTGCAGACAGGCTGTTGTGGGACTTCTCAACCTCAATCAAGTGAGCCAATTCTCATAATCAGTCCTTTCTCATGTATCTATATATATATGTATTCTATCAGTTCTGTCTGGGTAACCATGACTAAATCAGTTTCCTTTCTCTCTTTGCTTCATTTTGGACAGCTTCTATGTCTATGTCTCCAAGGTCACTAATCTCTTCTACAATGTCTAATCTGTCAATAATACCATTAAGCATACTTTACAGCTCACACATTGTACTCCTCATCTCTAGAAGTTTGATTTGAATCTTTTTTTATATCTCTCATGTATCTATTAGTTATAATTATTTTAATATCCTTGTTTGCCAATTCTAACCTTAATGTCAGTTGTGAGTCAGTTTCAACTGATTGATTTTTATTCTTACTATGAGTCACATTCTTCTGCTTCTTTGCATGCCTAGTAATTTTTTTATTAGATTTCAGACTGTCTTAGTCAATTTGTGCTGCTGTAACAAATTACCATAAACTAGGTGGCTTGTGAACAAATATTTATTTCTCATAGTTCTGGAAACTGAAATTCTGAAATCAGGATGTCAGCACAGTTGGCTCTGGTGAGGGTCCTCTTCTGGGTTGCATATTGCCAACATCACATGGCAAAGAGAGAAAAAGCCAGCTCTCACATTATTTTTTATAAGAGCACTAATCCCATCCATGAGGGGTCCACTTTTAGGACCTAATTTTCTCCTAAAGGCCCCACCTCCAAATATCATCATATTGGGAGTTAGAATTTCAACACATAAATTTAGAGGGGGACACAAACATTCAGTTCATAACACAAACATTGTACATTTTATCTTGTTGAGCATTGGATATTTTGGAATTCCTATAAATATTACTGAGCTTTGTTCTGGGATGCAAAGAAGTTACTTGAAAACAAATCGATTCTTTCAGATCTTACTTTTTCAAATTTGTTAGGTGGGTCTGGAGCAGGGGTCTGGGTCTGGTCAGTCCAGGACTAATTCTTCCCTACTCCTCAGCCAAAGTCTTTTGTACTCTACCAATGTCCTGTGAATCATGGGGCTTGCTTTCTGGCTGGTGGAAACCGACATTGTTATTGGATCTGTTTGAACACTGGACACTGTTACCTCTCATTATGAGTAGTTTTTTCCCTAGCCTCAGGTAGTTGCTTCACATATATACATTGATGAGTACTCAGCTGAATGTTGTGGTGGGGGGGATCTGTATTAGTCCATTTTCACACTGCTATAAAGAACTACTTGAGACTGGGTAATTTATTAAAGGAAAGAGGTTTAATTGACTCACAGTTCTTCGTGGCTGAGGAGGCCTCAGAAAACTTACAATCATGGTAGAAAAGGAAGGATAAGTAAGTACTTTCTTCACATGGTGGCAGGAGAGAAAGACTGTGAAGGGGGAAGTGCCACTTTTAAACCATCAGATCTCATGAGAACTCGCTATCACGAGAACAGCATGGGGGAAACTGCCCCCGTGATCCAATCACCTCCTACCAGGTCCCTCCCTCTATATATATACAGAGAGAGTAAGCTAAATAAAAGCATGAAAAACAAAGAACAAAGCAGAATTCAGCATGTGTTTGTGTGTATAGAACCTTCATACGTACCTTGCTTATTTCGTTACAACAGATAGGAATAAATTTAAACTAATTGAGGCATCTCCTGATCCCACATCTAGTTTGAGTTATCCAAACAAGAAGAGGAAAATTTGTTTTGGGTAAGGTTTTATGTTTTCTTTGCCTCGATATTCTTATCTACTTTGAAATGTTTTATTGTAAACATTTTAGTCTGTTTTTAATAAGTTTTAACAATCAATCTAAAACTCATTATTTGCTTTAAAAATATGCAACTGAAGACAAATCACCTGTATATCACTCTGTCTCCAGGATACTTTTGCGTATATTTGGTGAGTTACTTAACTAGTATTAATTTTCAAGTAGTAATTCAGTTGTGGGAAGCCAAATGTTTACCTTAAGTGTGTTTTCTTATTAAAAATTAAGATCTATACTAGACAATGAGACTAGACAAATGTTATGTCTGAATGTTTGTATGTCCCCAAAATTGCTATGTTGAAATCCTCACCCCTAAGGTAATGACATTAGGAAGTGAGGCCTCTGGGAGGTGATTAATTCCAGAGAGTGAAGCTCTCATGAATGGGATTTGTGCCCTTGTCAAAGAGGCCCCTGAGAGCTGCTTAGCCCCTTCCACCATGTGAGGACGCAGCTAACCAATAAGCGGGCCCTCACCGGACACTGAATATGCCTTGACCTTGGCTTTTCACCTCCAGAACTGTAAGAAATAAATTTCTGTTGTTTACAAGCCACTCAATTTATGGCATTTCATTATAGCCACCCAAATGGACTAAGACAACAAATAAAAGAGTTGCAAACAGAAATGCGCTCAACTGTCTACTTTGTCTACTCAAGAACTAAGTCTTCTTGGTTAAAGAGAATCAGAAACTTGAGGTAGTCATCTAAAGAAATGTGGTAAAAATTCCACTAAAATGAGAACTGCTTCAGAACATGATATAATAAAGTACTATTCTGTACTGGACAGTGAAGTTAGTGGTTGGTGGAGTTTGTCTTTAGTAGACAAACCTCCTCCTCATCTTTCTCATCCTCTGTGCCCAGGGCCAGCAGTGTCCATGAAATAGGCAGAATTTCAGGGAAAGGAGGATTTGTACCTTTATACTTTGCCCATCTGTGACTGATACACAACGTGTCCATTTACTGAATCTCTGCTAGGTAGGTACTGAGAATTCAACTAATAACAACAATAATAACTAACACATGATACTATGTGGTGGGTACCAGTCTAAGTACTTTCAATATATTAATACTTTTAATAATCATTACATCCTATTAGGTAGGTACTATTAATTATCTCCTGTTTACAGAGGAGGAAACAGAGGCACAGTTAGCACTACTAAGTGACAAAATCTGGATTTTTACCCAGGCATCTTGGCTGCAGAGTCCTACCTTGACTATGCTATACTGCCTTTCAGATGGAAAGGTAAATAAGGTACCATTTCTGTCCTTGAAGTGCCCTGGTCCAGTAGGGGAAACAGATGCAGTTATTCATTCATTTGTTCCTTCCTTTCTTCCTTCAATGTTCATTAAGCACCTGCTCCATGTCAAGAGCTTGGTATATCCCTAGCCCCCATGGAACTTACAGACATACAAGCTGTCATAAAATGTGGCAAATGCAAGATGGAGACATGTACAGAGTATTTGTTATGGGACCTCCAACTAGTAGCAATTAATGTAGTCTTGGGGGTTAGGGAGAGCTTCCTAAATAAAGTGATATTCTTATTTATTTATTATTTTTTTTTATTTTTTTATTTTTTGAGACAGAATCTTGCTCTGTTGTCTAGGCTGGAGTGCAGTAGTCTGATCTTGGCTCACTGCAACCTCTGCCTCCCAGGTTCAAGTGATTCTCCTGCCTCAGCCTCCTGAGTAGCTAGGATTACAGGCGTGCACCACCATGCCCAGCTAAGTTTTGTATTTTTAGTAGAGATGGGGTTTCACCACATTAGCCAGCCTGGTCTGGAACTCCTGGCCTCAGGTGATTCACCCACCGTGGCCTCCCACAGTGCTGGGATTACAGGCATGAGCTACCGCACCGGGCCTTGAGGTTCTTTTCTAAGGATGAATTGCACATCTCCTGTTAAAATAACACAACTCCTGGGAGACTTACTGATCAGTTGGATTCGTTATTTTCTAACATTTTGAATTTTTGAATGAATTTTTCTTCCTGAGGAGCAGGTTCTGATGAATACTGCTGAGAAAGGGACATTGTTGGTGTTGGGCAGCTGGGGTCAGTGAGAGGGGTTCCCCTAGAAGCAGGAGGGAGGTGGAAGCTTCTGAAGGGTCCACTTGCTTTGCCTCCCAATTTCCCCTTTCTTTCTGCTCCCAGGCCCAAGGCTGGACAGATCCACGTAGGCTCAACTGCCCTGAGAATGGTTCAAGCTCCAGAATGACTATGTTCCTTCCTTTTATATTCTTGGTCAATGTCTTAGTTCCTCGTGGAGAAAACCTGCTGTTTTAAATCTATATGTGCTCATTTTAAAAGTAATTTTTAATACTGTGTTCTGGGTCTATGATTATCCATTTGAAATCCGAAATTTGGGTATTTTAGAGTTCTGTGTTATGGTAAAAGTTGCTTAAGAAATCATTTGTATGTAATTTCAAGCTGTCCATGGGTTGGGGATTTAGGCTGCCAGGAGGATTTCTACTTTATGAAGAGAAGGACACCACCATGGAGAATCACCCTGGCTGCATAATCTGTGTGTGATCCTTCTTCCAAGAGAGGATGGAAAAGGCGTTTGCTCCCTTGCACGAAGAGAGTATGTGGTTTGTTATGTGGTGTTTACATTCTTTGTATACTTAGAGGAGATCCAAACAGACTTCTATAGCGCAGGAGGATTTGATAGAAAGTTAGGTAGTGTGTCAGTGTAAGAAAGGGAAAGAAAGCAAGGTAAAGGGATACAGATGAATGGGGTGTGGTTTTAGGTGGTGTAGCCAAGGAGGCTGTTTCTAAGGAGGTGACCTTTAAGCAGAGCCTGTGTGAAATGAGAGCGAGTCACCGCCGAGAGGAGGGGGAGGGGGAGAGCCAGACAGACGCCGGACATTGGCCAGCGCTGACGCAGGCCCTTGGCTGGGCAGTCCAGGGGGAATCATTATTACGGGAAGGCACATTTTCTGTAGCTTTGCCCGAAGAGAGAAGCTGTTTTCTCTCAGAGATGGAACATGTTAGCTGGTTGCCATGATGTCTTCATTTGTCCATCGCTGCCCCTCTGTGAGCAGGCAGCCATCAGGACAGAGAGTGGCATGCTGGACAGGCCGACTCTGACAAGGAGCAAGGTGAGAAGTGGGACCCATCCCACTCAAATGAGGTTGCCATGGTTATCGCCCCTGGGAGGATCTGTGCCCCTGGGGGAGAAAGGTTTCCTAACACAATACAGAGAGATGGAGAGGCCTCGGAGTCTAACTTCACACATTTCAACGTTTTGTTCAGAACCAATTCCAGATTCTGGAACAAAGCCTTCCTCCCTTTCTTTTTCCCTCCTTCTATTCACTTCTACCTCCTTCCTTTCATTCCTCCTCCCTCCTTCTCTTCTCTTCCTCTGTCCTTCCCTTAGAGACACATAATTACATAAACCCCAACCCTCAGTTCACAGCCCTCTCTCTTGGCTGTCCTGCGCAGCATCTTGGAGCAGAGCATTTTAAGTGCTTAGTGTTTCCCTGCTTCTCTCCTTCTCTTGAATGGGTGGCTGGCTTTAATCCTTCAATTCCCGAATGCTGTCACCCTGACACTGGGAGGCATGGGGGCCAGCAGCCCATAACCTGCTGTGACTGTGGAGGTACAGGGATGGCGATATTCATATGCTTACTGACTTGCCATCTAATGCGATGCAGACTAAATCTCCTCTGAACAACCTTTTGTTTTTAGAGGAAACAAACTTTCCAAAGATGTGCTGCATCGATTCCTGAGTGGAAGCACAGGGGAGCTGCAGGGAGTGCAGCCCTGGCAGTGTCAGGGTTCCCTGCAGCACCTTCTGTCCCTAATGCTGAGCAGCTGTCAGAGGGAGTGCTGCAGAGAGCTGCCCGCTGCCTGCTCGGGAAATCCTTTGCAAACTTCCCCAGTCACAGAGCATTAGAGCGGAGCCCAGTGAGTTACTGCCTGGCCTGCTATTTCTAGCCACCCCTCTCTTAAGCAGACATATGTACACAAGAGCATTTCTAGACAGAACTAGGTTTCCTGTCGCCTGTGGCTTCAAACAGCCTTTCATTATTAATCCTTTTAAAGAACATGAGCTGCACCTGTTCAGACTTTAGCAGGATTACAAGTAATTATTGGAAAAGAAGCGTGAAAAAGGTAGGAGCTCGGTTCTGTAGTACAAAAGTCTTGCATGGTGTCCGCCACCACCATATCTGCCACAGTCTCTCAGAATTCATGCTGCCTTGTGGATTACTACACAGCTCCCTGAATCTGGGTTAGGATACCTTTAAGGACAGAGTAACATACTCTCGAAGAGTTGAAAATAGGAAGAGGAGGAACAATTGAACAATTGTATATTGCATAGACATATACTTTGTGAAATCCTCAAAGCTTCCTGTGCTGAACAGTGTTTTTTTAGATGGAGTCTTGCTCTGTTGCCCAGGCTGGAGTGCAGCAGCGCGATCTTGGCTCACTGCAACCTCCGCCTCCTGGGTTCAAGCGATTCTCCTGCTTCAGCCTCCTGAATAGCTGGAATTACAGATGCCGCCACCATGCCTGGCTAATTTTCATATTTTTAGTAGAGATGGGTTTCACCATGTTGGCTAGGCTGGTCTCGAACTCCTGGCCTCAAGTGATCCACCCGCCTCAGCCTCCCAAAGTGTTGGGATCGCAGGCATGAGCCACCGGCACCTGGCTTGCTGAACACTTGATGATAACAATCACTATTATTTCCTTAGCAGTATCAATTTCATCATCAGGCAGTATAGACTAGTATATTTTCAAAAGATCTTAGCTCAGTTAAAATAGTTGGGCTCCATTCCATTTTAATAATGTCTCTTTAAGACATTGAGTTTCTTCCAAACAGCATAAATCAAGGTGACAAGATTTAGAAATAATAATCAATAAAATATGTCATTTAAAATGATCACACAGTTTTTAAATTAGAAGCCAAGAGCGTGTTAATTATTCCTTTGAGAACGGCATAGGTTTGTTGCAACTTGTAAATTAGTTTAGAAGCTAAGAATCTTAGCTGCTCCTTGAATTGATTCCAGAATTACTGCAAACTGGGTATGGGGATGGGGCATATGAGAACTACTAAGGTTGGTACAAAATGTATCCATGATCTTAGCATTTGTGCCCTATGAAACAGCACCTGAGAGAACGACTTGGGTACAGGTAATTATAATCCTGGGAAGAAGGAGTTAGGAAGTAGGGAGAGACAGGGATGGAGGAAAAACCAATATAAGTGCATATAATTAAGGCACTTAATAATATGGGGTGTATTAGTTATCAATTGCTGCTGTAACAAATGACCACAAATGTAGTGGCTTACCACGACAAAAAAATTAGTAGCTTACAGTTCTGTAGGTCAGAAGTCCAACGTGGGTCTCACTGAGCTAAACATCTCAGCAAGGCTGTGTTCCACTTGGAGTCTCTAGGAGGGAATCCTTTCTCTTTTCTAGTTTCTAGAGGTTACCTGCATTCCTTAACTTGCAGCCCATTTCTCCATCTTCAAAGCCAACAGCATCACATCTCTCTGAGCCGTTTTCTGTCATCACACTCTTTCTGACCACAGCTGGGAAAAATTATCTGCTTTGAAGAACCTATGTAATTAGATTGGGCCCACCTGGATAATCCAGGCTCCTCTCCCCAACTCAAGGTCTATAATCATATCTCCAAAGCCCCCTTTACCATAAAAGATAACATAGTCACAGGTTCTGGGGTTAGGATGTGGACATCTTTGGGGGCCTTTAATCTGCCTGCAATGGAGGCAATGGGCAGTCAGCAGTCAGGGGAGTGCTCTTTTCTAATGGGGCTCTCAGGAGTATACAGAATCCCAGAATTGTCTACCTGAAGTACAGAAGCCGGAGATGTTACCAGCTCCCATCCTCTGCTGGTTGAAGGTTCTTCCTGGAGATAATTTGCCTGCACCTCCAGGCTGTACTTGGCATAGAGCATCCTGGGCCCTGTCAGCACAGAGCAAGAAGAGCTGGCATGAAATTGTTCCCTACAGCTGTGCTGAGAACAGAGATGGGCCAAGAGGATGTGAAATAGGCAGGCTACAAGTACCTGCTACATCTATGACATGGCATCACTTAGGCATGGAGCTTGGATACTGGAGTTCAAACCCAAGGCCTGCCACTCACTGGGAAGCCTTTACAGGTGTTAGATCTTTCTGAAGTCTTGCTTTTTCCCATTTATTAGGTGGGGAGACTTATATGGACTGCATGGAAAGTTGGGAGTATTAAATGCACTAACATATGCAAAGCAGCTAGATGTATAAGGAGTGGTCAAAAAATAGCAGTAGGAATTTTTATCTATAGATCCAAAGAAACATTTATTGGTTGCCAGGCAGTGGGGCTACATCTGTGAACAAGACCAGTAAGGTCCCTGCCTTCACTGAGGGGCTTCCTTTCCAGTGCTGGAAATCAGCAATTGACAAGTAAACAAAGAAATATACAAGTCCTTACAGATTATGGCTGCTGCAATATAGGACATGAATAGAGTAGGGTGATATGATAGAAGGTAAAGAGACAGGGGTATGGCATACATGGTCCAGTCCCCTCCACTCCTGACCCCTTCCTTTTTTTTTTTTTTTTTTTTTTGAGACAGAGTCTCGCTCTGTCACCCAGACTGGAGTGGAGTGGTGCGATTTCGGCTCACTGCAACCTCTGCCTCCCAGGCTCAAGTAGTCCTCCTACCTCAGCCTTCTAAGTAGCTGGGATCACAGACTCATGCCACCACACCCAGCATTTTTTTTTTTTTTTTTTTTTTGTATTTTTAGCAGAGACATGCTTTTGCCATGTTGTCTAGCCTTTTTTGAACTCCTTATCTCAAGTGATTCATGTGCCTTGGCCTCCCAAAGTGCTGGGATTACAGGCGTGAGCCACTGGACCCAGCTCCCCTTCCATTCTAGGAGGACCTAGTGTGTTCAGGTGGCATCCAGGGATTCCTGGATCATGAGAAGGTGGCTCCTACCCCAATTCTAGGGGTAAATCACAACTGGTCTAAATCAGTGTGATTATCCTATTTCCTTTGGTGAGTGACTGGCTTAAAAGGAGACAGGAAACCCAGTGAGATTCAAGGGGTCACCTCTGGGTGGGGGTAAGTGAGACTTCTGTTCCTGCCTGGTGAGGAGAAAGCCTCTTACCTTTTCCCCCATTCTCTCTGCCTTAAACAAAATGAATGAGCCATCTGGCCTGGCAACAGCCTTTTTGAGATCATGAAAGAGCAAGCATGAAGATAAAAGTGGAACAGCGGAAAGCTCTGAAGGGCTGAGTCCCTGATGATGTCATTAAGCAGCTGAACAAGAGCCAGTAACTATCTCTCACAATGGCTCAGTAAGAAAAAGAAAGCTCTATATTTTAAATGCTATGGCTAGACTGGTTTTCTGTCACTTGCAGCTGAACACATTCTTAGCTCATATGGATTGTCCAAAGCCAACATTTAATTTGAGACCTGAAGGGTCAGCCATGAAAAGAGCCAAGACAGCATATTCAGGCAGAGGGAAGAAGAAGTGACATGATCTTACAAAAGCATTTAGAGTGGGTGAGAAGGAGGAAGGAGCTCAGGAGGCTGGGGGCTGGGTGGAGTGTGGGAGAGAAGTCTGTCAAGGTGGTGGTCACCCCCTGCAGGGCCTTGACTTCAAGCCTTGACTTCCTGTCACCCAGGATGGAGTGCAGTAATGTCATCATGGCTCACTGCAGCCTCAGCCACCCTGGCTCAAGCAATCCTCCTGCCTCAGCCTTCCAAGTACCTGGGACCACAGGTGCATGCCATGACACCTGGCTATACACAGTAGTTTTTAAGTAGGAGAGAAACATATTGAAATAGGAAATTGTAATGCCCGCATTCTTTAATGTAGAATTGGAAACCTACAAAGCCTATAGTTTTGAGAGGCTAATAAAATTGAGTTGTTAAAAATTATGCTGAAAATGCTGAGGGAATTCATCACCACCAGGCCTGCCTTGCAAGAGCTCTTGAAGGAAGCACTAAATATGGAAAGGAAACTCTGTTACCAGCCACTATGAAAACACGCTGAAGTATGAAGACCAATGACACTATGAAGCAACTACATCAACAAGTCTGCAAAATAACCAGCTATCATCATGATGACAGAATCAAACTCACACATAACAATATTAGCCTTAAATGTAAGCAGGCTAAATGCCTCAACTAAAAGACAGAATGGCAAGCTAGATAAAGAGTCAAGACCCACTGTTGTGCTGTATTCAAGAGACCCGTGTTCACGTGCAAAGACACGTAGGCTCAAAATAAAAGGACGGAGGAAAATTTACCAAGCAAATGGAAAGCAGAAAAAAGCAGGGGTTGCAATACTAGTTTCCGAAAAAAACAAACTTTAAACCAACAAAGATTAAAAAAGACAAAGAAGGGCATTACGTAATGGTAAAGGGTTCAATTCAACAAGGAGAGCTAACTATCCTAAATGTACATGTACCCAATACAGGAGCACTCAGATTCATAAAACAAGTTCTTAGAGACCTACAAAGAGACTTCGACTCCTACACAATAATAGTGGGAGACTTTAACTCCCCACTGTCAATATTATACAGATCATTGAGACAGAAAATTAACAAAGATATTCAGGATTTGAACTCAGCTCTGGATCAAGTGGACCTGATACATGTATACAGAACTCTCCACCCCAAAACAACAGAATATATATTCTTCTTGGTGCCACATGGCACTTACTTTAAAATCAATCAGTAATTGGGAATAAAACATTCCTCAGCAAATGCAAAAGAACTGAAATCATAACAAACACTCTTTCAGGCCACAGCACAATCAAATTAGAACTCAGGATTAAGAAACTCACTCAAAACCAGACAACTGCATAGAAATTGAACAAGCTGGTCCTGAATGCCTCGTGGGTAAATAATGAAATTAAGGCAGGAATCAAGAAGTTCTTTGAAACCAATGAGAACAAAGAGACAATTACCAGAATCTCTGGGATGCAGCTAAAGCAGTGTTAAGAGAGAAATTAAATGTCCACATCAAAAAGCTAGAAAGATCTCAAATCGACATCCTAACATCACAACTAAAAGAACTAGAGTGCCAAGAGCAAACAAACCCCAAAGGTAGAAGAAGACAAGAAGTAACCATGATCAGAGTGGAATTGAAGGAGACAGAAGCATGAAAAAACCCTTAAAAAGTCAACAAATCAAGAAGCTAGTTTTTTGAAAAAAATAATAAAATAGACCACTAGGTAGACTAATAAAGAAGAAAAGAGAGAAGAATCAAATAGACACAATAAAAAATGATAAAGGGGATATCACCACTGACCCCACAGAAATATAAACCATCAGAAAACACTATAAAGCCTCTATGCAAATAAACTAGAAAATCTAGAAGAAATGGATAAATTCCTGTACACATACACCGTCCCAAGACTGAACCAGGAAGAAGTTGAATCCTTGAATAGAACAATAACAATTTTTGAAATTGAGGCAGTGATAAATAGCCTACCAACCAAAAAAAACTCAGGACCAGATGGATTTACAGCTGAATTCTACAAGAGTTACAAAGAGGAGCTGGTAGCATTTCTTCTGAAACTATCCCAAATAATTGAAAAGGAGGGATTCCTCCCTGACTCATTTTATGAGGCCAGCATCATCCTGATACCAAAACCTGGCAGAGGTACAACAAAAAAAGAAAACTTCAGGCCAATATCCCTGATGAACATCGAAGCAAAAATCCTCAATAAAATACTGCCAAACTGAATTCTGCAGCACATCAAAAAGCTTACCCACCATGAGCAAGTCGGCTTCAACCCCGGGATGCAAGGCTGGTTCAACATATGCAAATCAATAAGTGTAATTCATCACATGAACAGAACTAAAGACAAAAACCATATGATTATCTCAATAGATGCAGAAAAGGCCTTGAATAAAATTCAACATCCCTTCATGTTAAAAACTCTCAATAAACTACATATTGATGGAACATACCTCAAAATAATAAGCCATTTATGACAAGCCCACAGTCAATATCATACTGAATAGGCAAAAGCTGGAGACATTCCCCTTGAAAACTGCCACAAGACAAGGATGTCCTCTCTCATGACTCCTATTCAACATAGTATTTGAAGTTCTGGCCAGGGCAGTCAGGCAAGATAAAGAAATAAAGGGTATTCAAATAGGAAGAAAGAAAGTTAAAACTGTCTCTGCAGATAACAAGATCCTATATCTCAAAAACCCCATTGTCTCAGCCCAAAAGTTTCTTAAGCTGATAAACAACTTCAGCAAAGTCTCAGGATGCAAAATCACTGTGCAAAAATCACAAACATTCCTATACCCCAACAACAGACAAGCAGAGAGCCAAATCATCAATGAACTCTTATTCACAATTGCTACAAAGAGAATAAAATACTTAGGAATACAGCTAACAAGGGAACTGAAGGACCTCTTCAAGAAGAACTACAAACCACTGCTTAAGGAAATCAGAGAGGACACAAACAAATGAAAAACATTCCATGCTCATGGATAGGAAGAACCAATATCATGAAAATGGCCATACTGCCCAAAGTAACTTATAGATTCAATGCTATCCCCATTAAACTACCATTGACATTCTTCACAGAATTAGAAAAAAACTACTTTAAAATTCACATGGAACCAAAAAAGAGCCCATATAGCCAAGACAATCCTAAGCAAAAAGAACAAAGCTGGAGGCATGACACTGCCTGACTCCAAACTATACTACAAGGCTCCAGTAACCAAAACAGCATGGTACCAGTACAAAAACAGACACATAGACCAATGGAACAGAATAGAGAACCCAGAAATAAGACTGCATGTCTACAACCATCTGATCTTTGACAAATCTGACAAAAACAAGCAATGGGGAAAGTATCTCCTATTTAATAAATGATGCTGGGAGAACTGGCTAGCCATATGCAGAAAATTGAAACTGGACCCCTTCCTTACACTTTCTACAAAAATTAACTCAAGATGGAGTAAAGACTTAAATGCAAAACCCAAAACTATAAAAATCCTAGAAGAAAATCTAGGCAATACCATTCAGGACATAGGCACAGGCAAAGATTTCATGATGAAGATGTCAAAAATAACTGTAAGAAAAACAAAAATTGACAAATGGGAGCTATTTAAACTAAAGAGCTTCAGCATAGCAAAAGAAACTATCATCAGAGTGAACAGACAACCTACAGAATGGGAGAAAAATTTTGTAATCTATCCATCTGACAAAGTTCTAATATCCAGAATCTATAAGGAACTTAAACAAATATGCAAGAAAAAAACAAACAACCCCATTAAAAAGTGGGCAAAAAATATGAACAGACTCTTCTCAAAAGAAGACATTTATGCAGCCAACACACACTTGAAAAAAAGCTCATCATCGCTGATCATTAGAGAAATGCAAATCAAAACCACAATAAGATACCATCTCACACCAGTCTGAATGGTGATTATTAAAAAGTCAAGAAACCGCAGATGCTGGCAAGACTGCCCAAGAAATAGGAACACTTTTACACTGTTTGAGGGAATGTAGATTAGTTCAACCATTGTGGAAAACGGTGTGGCGATTCCTCAAAAACCTAGAACCAGAAATACCATTTGACCCAGCAATCCCGTTAGTGGGTATATACCCAAAGGAATATAAATCATTCTATTATAAGGATACATGCATTCATATGTTCATTGCAGCACTATTCACAATAGCAAAGACCTGAAATCAACCCAAATGCACATCAATGATAGATTGGATAAAGCAAATGTGGTACATGTACACCAAGGACTACTATGCAGCCATAAAAAGGAATGAGATAATGTCCTTTACAAGGACATGGATGGAGTTGGAAGCCATTATTCTCAGCAAACTAATGCAGGAACAAAAAAACCAAATATCAAATGTTCTAACTTGTAAGTGGGAGCTGAATAATGAGAACACATGGACACAGGGAGGGGAACAACAAACACGGGGGCCTGTTGCAGGCGGGGATCAAGGAAAGGGAGAGCATCAGGATAAATAGCTAATGCATGCTGGGCTTAATAACTAGGTGATGGGTTGATAGCTTCAGCAAACCACCATGGCACACGTTTACCTATGTAACAAACCTGCACATCTTGCACATGTATCCTGGAACTTCATAAAATAAAATAAATGATGCTGAAGTCAGAGACTGCAGACCTCTAATAAGCACTTGTTAGCAAAGAACCTTGGGCATATGACAGACTGTTGACTTCACTGTCATGGGAGACAGGCCCTGAGCTATACAGCCTTTTACAGCTAATTGTTAAGGAGAAAGGCTGGGAATATTTACAGGACATTTGACTTGGAGACCCTTAGAATATAAATCCTAATCTTGTTGGGGTGAAGGCCTGTTGTGTCAGATTGAGACTTCTTCTGTACTTTTGAATTATAAAAATGTCTTGGCTGATTTATAAGAACTTAAAAAAAAAACCACCCAGACTTTAAAAGTGTCATATTATCTCCTGTAGAATAAAAACCATCAATCCAAAAGCAACATACTAATTGATTGGCATAGAAAAAATTGTACTCAGCCCACTCTCTGTACCTTCTACGGGATTTGAATTCCTCTTTTTATTTTTTTCCCAAGAAAGTATCAAGTCCTTGGTTTTTTTCCCTTCAGGCCTAATTGAAATAGATGACGAACACATTCATTGTAATAAGAGTCTCAAACATTTATTTCTCAATAAAGAATTTTCCTGAGAGACATGATCTGATGTGTTAAAAAAAAATCCCTTTGGCTGCAATGGGAAGAATGATTTATAGGAGAGGCTAGAGTTGACGTAGGGAGCCCAGTGAGGCGGCTATCACAGTGGCCCAGGAGAAAAATTGATGACCTGATTTGGGGAGTGACAGTGAAGACACAAACACGAGTACTGATTTGAGATGTACGTAGGAGGCAGAGCCGAAAGGACTGCCTGGAGGAATCAAAGATGACTCAGAGGGTTTTGTCTTGAGCAGTGAGGTAGACAGTGAGACTCTTTAGTGAAATTGGGGCATTCTGGAGATGAACAACTTTAGATGAATTAACAGTTTCGATTTGGGCATACTCTGCTCCAGGTACCTGGTTGGTATCCAACTGGAGATACAAAGTAGGCATTTGGATGTGCATGAGTCTGGGGTTCACACAGAACAAAGCCTGTGTCTATAGAAGGGAGCTCAGGTGGTCCCCAAGCCACTCCAATATTTACAGAATTAACACCACCCTCATTTACAGGTAAGGAGTAGTTTGATATTAAAAAGAATAATGCTAACCTATTTTTTGGATCTGCTATACTCTATCCTTTTTTGGAAGCCCTACATTTGCAAAATTTGGGTTAGGTGTTCCTATTGTAGAACCTGCCATTCTGTAGTCCCTAAGCGATCCTCCATCAATTACTTAGGTACAAACAATGGAAGCTAGTGCTGACAGTGGCTACCTGGGATCAACGTGGATAGCTAAGTCCTATTAACTGTGTGATTCAGATCATTGGAAGCTAGCTATATCTTGGGTGACTAAAACTCCTTTGAAAACATGCCTTTGAAAGAAGATGTAGGCTCTGGGTGCTATTTTAGTACTTGGATTTTAAAGAGTTACGTTGTGTTTTTGTGTCTGAGTACAGAAGTCTTGAAAAGCAAGACAGGATTAGTAGGATCACAGCTGAAGCCCTTAAGCTCACTCATGTGTTAGCTGCTTTTCGTAAATGTGGTGTTGTAGGAAGAATGGCTCCAGGAAATGTACAATCCTGTGTGTGTCAGGATAGAACAGTGTGGGGGAAACAGGCCAAATAAAGTTATTTTGGTGATTAATTCCTATTTTCAACCAAAGTCTTTGGCTTAATTATCTGCCGTAAGTATGCTAATTTGGCCAGCTGTCTCTAGGTAGCTAACTTTACCCCTAATTTAAAAGCTTTCGGCCAGGCGCAGTGGCTCACGCCTGTAATTCCAGCACTTTAGGAGGCCGAGGCAGGCAGATCACTTGAGGCCAGGAGTTCATGACCAGCCTGGCCAACATGGTAAAACCCTGTCTCCACTAAAAATACAAAAATTAGCCAGGCATGGTGGTATGTGCCTGTAATCTCAGCTACTTGGGAGGCTGAGGCCAGAGAATCACTTGAACCTGGGAGGCGGAGGTTGCAGTGAGCCGAGATTGTGCCACTGCACTCCAGCCTGGGAAACAGAGTGAGGCTCCGTCTAAAAAAAAAAAAAAAAAAAAAAAAAGCTTTCATCTATGGTGGACGAATGCTTTCTGGAGGAAGTAAGAATGCCAGCCTACCAGAGGGGAAGGATGACCATGTTCGTCTGCTGTTCCCAACTGTTTCTAAACCCCTTTTGATGAATGTGCAAAAATCATCATCCTCCAGAGAGACTGATTTCTCCTTCTTCATCATCATTGTGTTATCAAAACTAAGCAGGAGGCCAAGAGTGGTGGCTCATGCCTGTAATCTGAGCACTTTGGGAGGCCAAGGTGGGAGGATGGCTTGAGTCCATAAATTTGAGACCAGCCTGGGCAACATAGCAAGACCCTATCTCTACAATGAAAAAAAAAATTAGCTGGAGATGGTGACATACACCAGTAGCTCCAGCTACTCAGGAGGCTGAGGTGGGAGGATCGTGTGAGCCTGGGAAGTCAAGTCTGACATGAGCCATGATGGTGCCACTGCACTCCAGCTTGGGTGACAGCCAGACCCTGTCTCAAAAACAAATAAAAAACCAAGCAGGAAATGAATGGCTGCTATCTGCATCTTGGATAGAATTAGTGGGTAAGACTAGCAGTCCCTCTTCTTTCTCATGCTCTTGGAATATACCCCTAAAGGCCTTAATTTGTCTTTGAGAACACCAATACTAGTGATAAACAGGATGTGATGTTTCCATTTGTGGTTCTGCTTTTTTGGCTCAGATTAGCACAGGGGCGACACTGGGCATGCGTATTAGAATGTGGGTCTGTTTTTTCTGGTATGGGGAGGCCAACAGATCAGAAGACAATTGCCGTTGAAAAGATACTCTGTGATACTCACATATTCCAAGAAAGGGGCCCACACCATGCCACAGGTGCCAAGTGGGGAAGTACCAGGGCCAGTCAGGCAGCAGAGGGAGTGAGGGGGAAACGTAGGCAAGAGTCTTTATCATGGTTTCTGCAGGAAGGAATGGCGCCAGGCAGGGTAAGCAGGTTTATGATTTGCTAGTTTGAATAATTTCACAGGAGTCTGGGACATAGGGGCTGCCTCTTGCTGTCTGCCATCTGTCCCTAGGGTGATTAGAGTGGGAGCACATGGTCCTGAGTGTGAGAGCTAATAGAAGAGGTGGCACCCGGGGTATGGGCTCTGGGTTGGGTGGCTTGCATTTGAAAGGTGCTCCCAAGCAAGTCATTTACTTTCTCTAGAAATTAGCTGACCCTGAGAAAGGCAGTTCCTCCAGGGTCAGCAAAGCCCCAGACATCTAGGCATCAGGAACGCATTATTAATATAGGGTAATAGTTCCATAAGGACTGGCCCGGTTACTTGGGGCTTCCTCTCTCTTTTCTCCCTGCTAAATGCAATAATCATACCCGATTCTCAAAGTAATTGTTGGGATTGAATGAGATGCATAGGTAAGGGGTTGGCACAGTGCCTTGGACCTACCAAGTGCTGAATAAATGACACAAAGGTCTATTTGTGAGTGGCTGGAGCATGAGTGCCACTCATGGAAGTTCCGAGAGTTGTTTCATGGCACAGCGTGGAGAAGGGTAGGCGTGCTCCTTCAATACCTGATTCTCCTAGGTGGAAAGCAGTTCTCATCTGTAGCCAGAGATTTCTTTTTTCTTTTTAATTAAAAACCCTCAGGGGTACTTTGCACATAGGTGACCGTGTCATTCTCAGGGATCCATTGGTTGAACTGACTCAATTTTACCATGGGAAAACTTTGGACCCAGGAGAATAAATGGTTTTTGTAGTTTTCACCAAATAAATGAGGAGTTGCGCTTTTTCTGAAAATCTTTCATGGATTAATTAGTGGCTCCATTTCTTATTAAGCTTTAGTAGTAAAATACATGATGCTAATGAGGGCAAGGCTTGGAAATCTTTACATTTTAGTTCATCTCCCACTTGTGCAATTCCTTTCTTTCCTTCCTTCCATGAATATTTATTATGCCCAAGGCACAGGGAGGAAGCAATTTGCATAAAAGAAATGAATGGAAGGAAAGAGGACAAAGCTCAGGATGCTTCACATTGTCTTGCCACATCACCAGTATTTGCTTTTATTTTGGGTTTCTGTCCACTTTTATGAGTAAGTAAAAATACCAAGAGAAAGAAATGTACAGAGGGCATCTAGCTGAAGTCTGAGGCCAGAGAATCACTGCCCTGAAAAGTAATTAGTTTCCTCCATTTTAAATTTCCCTTCCTCTGACCTGAGGGCTTTATCCAGCTTGTAATTATTCTGCAATTATTCTGCAGTGTCTTCTGACCAAGGGGTGTTAGCTCTTGGATTTGTGTAATAATTGACAGCACAACAGTATCATTAGGACTTGAAATATCCACCCATTTGCTAACCCAGCTCCTCTAGGTCCCAGGTCCCAAACAGGTCAGGTTCAGATGCAGAGAGACGCTCTGTAAAAGAGGCCATGATCTTTCCCAACCTGGTCCCCAGTACTTCCCTTGCATGTACCCTCCAGCCAACTGAAACACTTGGTTTTTTCAGCTTTCTCCCACCTGCACCATGCAATTCCAGCACATGTGGGTAACATGTGCTACGAAGTCAGAGGACCTGCATTGCAACTGTGGCAAATTGCTTAAGCTTTTGGAGCCTGAGCTGCTTGGGCTATAAGACGGGTGAATGGTACCCACAGTCAGATGTGTTTCTGGAAGAAATGACATCAGCATGCCTATCCCTGTCTCTGGCCAAGCCTCCTACTGGCCTATGGAGGCTTCCCTCGGTGAGCACAAAAGACGTTGCAGGCAAATCCACCCTCTTCTGTACCAGGCAGAGCTTTGACTCAAATCCCTAGAAGACTTCTACCATGGAAATGGGAGCTGGGCCCTGTGTGAGTGTCAAGAGTCTTTTGCTTTTTTTATCTTAGGGCTAGAGTTGGGCCAGGCAATTTGGTTTTTCATCAGGTTAGAAAACCTGCCCAAGATGATAGCATCCATGTGTAACAGAGCCCAGGCCCTAAGCCCACATCTGCTGATCCCAAAGCCTAGCTCCTTCCTCTCCCTCTCCATTTTATACTGATGGGCATGGAATCCAAAGGGACCACTTTGGTGCCTGTCAGATTACTGAGAACTCAAAAACAAAACAAAACAAAACAAAGACAAATGGCAACAAGGAAACCCAAAACAACAGCAAAACAGAACAGCTGCAGCTGATCCTGGAGAAGATGCCCTGGGGGCTTCCTGGCTTTCCCGCCCTTTGGGGTAGATCATGGCAGATGGGCCACCCTGACTTGGTTTGATCCTCAGTTATTGCAGCACCCACACAACTCTGCTCCTCAGTCCCTCACCAAAGACTCACCTTCTGTGGCAGAAACCAGCCACAGTGGGATGAGACAGGGTGGGGTCCAGCGTGCACCATTCCTTGCTGCAGGACTCCCTGGTGAAATAAGGAGAGAGCCAGTGGGGTGTGGCTTAGCGGTGCTGGACCCATGGGGTGTGACTTAATGGTGCTGACCCAGTAGGCATGGCTTAGTGGTGCTGCACCAGTAGGGTGTGGCTTAATGACACTAGCAGGAGCCCCATGATTATGCACGTGGAGTGGCAGGGTCAGCGATGAGAAATTCGGCAAGTTGGCTAGCCCAGCCTCCTTCCCAACAGTCTCCGCCAACACCCAACATTGACAGCACCAGCTCTCAGGAGAATGCTCTGGTGGCAGCACCCACAAGCTCTGTGGTCACGGCTTTCCCTGCCTGGTAAGTGAAAGCAGAAGCTTTTAATGTGTGACAGTTTCTAGCAACTGGTCAAGTACTTGTGAATAATGCCTGCAGCAGGCAGCAAGTCATGGTAGGATCAGAGGAGGGCTCGGGGCCAGCTTCCCCTTCCCTGAACCATGGTAAGTGTTAGCCTTGGTGAGGGTCAAAGGCGAGAGGAGCCACAACAGGGTGGTGTAAATGGCCATGCATTAGACAGGCCCTAGGAGGTGTTATTATCCCAGTGGCTTCAACCACATCCTGTACTAGGCAACCAGTGTGAAGATGACTGGCAAGGTCAAAAGCAGCTGATTTATTCAGAGGCCCTGGATGGCATCCCTCCTCTGAGGCAAGGAGACAATTTAGTGCTTCTCTGCCTTCCATGGTTTAAATGTAACTGCGAAGGACACATTTGGGACACAAGAGTATTTGAGAATACTCTTTCTCCCTGGTCACACGTCTCATTTGCTATTCTACCTGGCAACTCCTTCCATTCTCCCGCTACTCTTATCTGGAACACCTGCTCTTTGTTGCCAGTTGGGAATGCCGCGTGTGTGTGTGTGTGTGTGTGTGTGTATACAATCTGCTTAATTCTGATACTGTTTCCTTCCCTCCTTCCTGGAGGGGCTCTGCTAGTGTAATGAGCGGCACACACGGCAGTCAGGCTGAAGCACCTACCACCCCACAGGGGCATGCATGCTGCTTAGCTTAGCAAGGCTCCTCACTGTGATGCTCGGTGTGGTCCTCTGAGTCCAGGGGATCTATGTGTCCAGACAGCCCTCCCATCTACCTAAAATGATAAACAGTCCTTTAACTCAGAACTTTGTAGAAATTCAAAAGATTTTGTTGAAAAGGACACTTTAAAATGAAAGCTATGTACATTTACCATAAAGATATGTGTATAAAACAAAATCCAGAAGTTTCAGTGGTCTTTTTTTTTTTTTGAGATGGAGTCTCACTCCTGTCGTGCAGGCTGGAGTGCAGTGGCGCAATTTCGGCTCACTGCAGCCTCCACCTCCTGGGTTCAAGCAATTCTCCTTCCTCAGCCTCCTGAGTAGCTGGGATTACAGGCTTGTACCACCACGCCCTGCTAATTTTTGTATTTTTAGTAGAGATGGGGTTTTACCATGTTGGCCAGGCTGGTCTCAAACTCCTGACCTCAGGTGATCCACCCACCTCGGCCACCCAAAGTGTTAGGATTACAGGCATGAACCACCAAGTCCGGCCTTTTTTGAGACAGAGTTTCAAAGACCTCAAGCGATCTCCCAGCCTCGGCCTCTCAAAGTGCTGGGATTACAGGAGTGAGCCACCGCGCCTGGCCTGGTCATCTCTTATACACTTCCAGGTGTTTCTCACCAGGGAACTGGAAAGGACTCTCCCCTGGACACAGCTAAGATGAGGGCTTCCCAATCCTGGCTCTTCATTAGAATCACCTGGGCTGCTTTAAAGATCATGAATACCGGTCCCACCTGAGATCAACTCTGTGGGGCAGGGAGACACACACCTGTATTTTAAGTGATTCTCAGATGCTTCTGCTGCAAGGGCAGGTGAGAGCCCCTGGATGAGATGAGCCAACCAAGCTGTGAAATGAAGACAGTAAGTAACTCAGCTTTTGGCACCTGGAAAATGGAAATAGAAGAAAAAAATGAAATAGAATCCATAAGCTTTATTTTCTATCCGTCAGCCCACCTAACTGTTAATTATGTGAATCAGTGCCACTCAAAACCTATCTAAAACTATAACCCATGATATGTCCTCAGTTTCCTTCAGTAGCCACTGTCTGTGTACCTGGCCACTGGCCCTCGCACTGCCCATTGACATTTTGCCCACTCTTCTCAAGCCTTCTCCCCCAGACAACCTTATCTCCTAATTCACTAGGAAAACAGAGGCCCCCAAATTCCCCACCTGTACACAATGCTATCTCTCTCCACCTACAGTCACCTCCTCTCCTCTAGGCTCAGGGGAAGAGGGGCTCCCTCACCTTTCTTCAAGGTCACTCCCTCCAAGAGTCCTCCAAGTCCATTTCCTGCCCCCTCACCTCTTCAGTAACTAGGCTGCTTTCCCTCTGCTCTTCCTTTTTAGCTCTCCCTATAAACTATGTCTTTCCCAGCATACAAAACATTCTATTCTGCTTTCTTAAATCAAAACAAAACAAAGCAATCCATCACAATCACAGGTCCTCCAAGTTCTCCTTTTCGTTACAACTAAGCTTCTTGGAAGAGTAATCGACATGATCTGCTAACACCTTCTTACTTCCCATTCACTGTCTTCAGTCTATTGTAATCTGACTTCTGGCCCCATTGTAGGACAAGCCGCAGATAAAACCTCTCAGACACCGAGTTATAGAAGGAAGGGCTTTATTCAGCTGGGAGCATTGGCAAGCTACTGCCTTAAAATCCAAGCTCTCCGAGTGCACAATTTCTGTCCCTTTTAAGGGCTCACAACTCTAAGGATTTCACATGAAAGGGTCATGATTGATTTGAGCAAGCAAGGGGTATGTGACAGGGGCTGCATATACCAGTGGTCAGAGAGAAACAGAACAGGGCAGCAAGTTTCACAATGTTCTTCTATATAGTGTCTGGAATCCATGAATAACATCGGTTTCTAAGTTATGAGTTGATTTTTAACTACTGGGTTTAGGCCAGGCAGGCCCAGGCCTGGTTTTGGGCCTGGCGCCAGGCTGCCTCTTTGGTTTTACTTCCTTGTTGTTTTCTTAAAACAGGTGATGAGTATAAAACAATATAAAACAATATGAGAGGGTCTCTCTCTTCTCTCACCATCACTCCACTAAAATTGCCCTTATCAAAGATACCAACTGGCTCTTTCTTGCTAAGTCCAGGGCTTCACAGTAGATAGCAGGGGTCAGCACGTTCCCCCAAGGACCTGGCTCCTGCACAGCCCTGCCCCGCAGCATCATCTCCTTACAAGCGCTTGCCCCCTTGCGTTTCCTGCTCACACTACCAGAGGTTCTCTCTAGTTCCCCTAAGCCACGCCCTCTTTCCTCTGTGCCTCTGCTTGTGCTCTTCCCTCTGCCTGTAATGCTCCTTTCCACATTCTTCATTCCTGAATTACACACGTCTTGGCTCAGGTACCTCCCTATTCTCTTTGGAGGTAAAGAGTTATTTCTAACTGAGATGGGAGAGGAAAAAAATGGCTTCCACCACTGGGCAGCACCATGGCCTCCCTGACGCTTCCTGTGCAACACCAATATATGTCCCCCGGCTGTAGCAGCTCAGGAGGTTCGTGCTGCTTTGTATTCTACTAGAAAGGCTACCTTGTTGCCTCCTCACTTAAGTGCAGATTCTCTATTAGATCTGGATGCTAGTAATAGGATCATTTTCTAGGGACTCCTACATGAAATGTGAAGTTCTATTTAATGCAAGTCCTTGTTGCTGTACTACCATATTTCTCACATTTGCCTGATTGTGAAAATCACCTGGTGTTTTTATTGAAAATGCAGATCTCCACGCCACTGCACACCAGCCTGAGAGACAGAGCACGACTCCATCTCAAAGAAAAAACAAAAAAGAAAAGAAAATGCAGATCTCTGGGCCCCACCCATACCTGGGGACTCAGAATCACCAGGGCAAGGTCTCATCCTTATGCGTCACATGTGTTTTGAGATCTCATTATCTCCTGGGAGGTAGGTCTGTGAGTTATGGCTGGCAAAGCCAATTACCTGCCAATTACCTCTTGAAAGAGCAACACTGTGCTTGCTGAACTGGAGAAACTGGGGCAGTTGAGCAACATCTGAGATCAAGGCAAAACAAAATGCTTGGTAAACTTCCCCTCATGAATGAGTTCTTGGCTGGTACTCCTTATTTTTTCCAGGGTGGGATTTCTTCAAATGAAATATTAGCTTTTTGCACAAGGTACACAGGGGAAGGGAGAGTGGAGTTTTGTGGGTCCTGGTAGCACTCTTCTATCTCACAGTGCTGCCATGGAATCCCAACACCCACCGTGGCTCAAGTTTCAGGGCATCTGGTTGAGTGGGGTCATTAGCCCTCATAGAGAGGTTGAGCTTAGGGCTCCATCTCCAGGTCACTGAAAATTTATGATGTGGACTTGGATATCCCCCTCATTGCTTCATTATTGCTCAGGGATCCTAGTGACATCTTGATGAAAAGGCAGGATTTTAAGTATGTATTTTCTCTTGTCCCTACCATGTGAAACCATATGGCCCTCAGCCACCAGGGATAGAATTGGAGGATAAAGCAGGATTCACTTATCCAAGTTGGGGTCAAAAAATGGAAGCTGAGGTAAAGAATGGAGAGGGTAGCCTCTGTTTTTAGGGACATCTGCACACAATGAACTATTATTAAAGCATCAGACTTATCCTGGTCAGTGCTTCTCTCAGAGGGACACAGGCCACCAGGCTTCCCGTTTCTTACACCTAACCCGACTTGAGGGAACTCTTTTTTTTTAAGAGAGAGAGTTTTGCCCTGTTGCTTAGGCTAGAGTACAAGTGGCACAACTGTGGCTCACTACAGCCTCAAACTCCTGGGCTCGAGTGATCCTCCTGCCTCAGCCTCCCAAGTAGCTGAGATTACAGGTGGGAGCCACCGCACCTGGTCTTGGGGCACATTTTATTTCCAACTTAAAACAACATTATATGTATATGTCACATATTAATAATATATAATACATATAGCAAACAATGCTATATGAACACCCTTATGGTTGCATTGTTACTCATATCTGTTTTTTTTAAGACAGAGTCTCACTTTGTCACCCAGGCTGGAGTGCACTGGCACGATGTTGGCTCACTGCAACCTCTGCCTCCAGGGTTCAAACAATTCTCCCTACTTCAGCCTCCAGAGTAACTGGGATTACAGGTGTGCACCACCATGCTCGGCTAATTTTTGTATTTTTAGTAGAGATGGGGTTTAGCCATTTTGGCCAGGCTGGTCTTGAACTCCTGCCTTCAGGTGATCCTCCTGCCTCAGCTTCCCAAAGTGCTGGGATTACAGGCGTGAGCCACCATGCCTGGCCTATATCTTTCTTAACTAACTAGGACAAATTCCTAGAAGTAGAATGCACATTTTTTTTTTCCTTTGGCTTTTTCCTTCAACTTTTAATTTAAATTCCAGGGCCCATGTGCAGGATAGAATGCACATTTTAAAATTTCAATATCTATTCCCAAATTGCCACTTTCCTGCCCCAAAGTGATACCAATATACAATCCTATTGCTTACTTATAGATTAAACAACCTTTGTCAATTTTATAGACAAAATAATATATTTCATATTTTACATTTATTTGATTTCTAATTAGATTGAAGATAGGCCTCATACGCTTAGGGGAAATTTGTATTTCTTCTTTTTAAATTATCCTGTCCTTTACCATTTTATTATTGGGGTGTTTATATATTTTTAGAATTAATCTGCAAGAGCTCTTAATCTGTAAGATTACGCTTTCTCTGTTATATGTTGAAATATTTTTCCAGTGCTCTATTTTAATTTCATTGCATTTCTTGCCTTCTAGAAATTTAATATTCTTATGTGATCATATTTACTAATTTTTTCCTTATAATTTCCTTATTTGGTGCCATGTTTAGAAAACCACTCCTCAACCTAAAGCATATAAATAATTTTCCTAATGTTTTCTTGCAGCACTTGATGGTTTATTTCACTTGAATCTTCAATTCATCTGGAATTAATTTGGGTAGAAGATGCAGGATAAGGAGCCATCTTTAATGTTTTAAATGGTTAGCCAGTTACCCAACTTCAAGGGGACATATTATTACCTTGGATCAAAAAATGTAAAACGAGATAATTTTAGTCTGCCTCCTCCAAGATTAAAAAAAAGCCAAAGAGGAGTATGGGCTGGAAAATCAAGAAAAGGAGGAGACTAATCCAAAAAATGGAAGCTGAAGTTGCCAGAAGTGAATGGCTGCACATTAGGCCTCCCAGTCCTCTTTCTCCTTCATGGTTAGAAAGAGGTATGGCAGCCTTCACTTGGCCACAAAGCTTTACCAGGCAGTGAAGATACAGGCATTAGGAGACTTGATTGCTTTACTTACTTTGACACAGAGGTAGCATAATGCTACCTTAGAATTTAGATGATAATTCCTCTTCCCTTTTCTTCTCATGCATTGATTGAAAATATATGTTAAATTTATTTACAAACTGTAAAGTGCTATTCAAATATGAAATATCATTAGTACCAATGAATATTTTTATTCAGAAGATATTCTCCATGGGTAATCCAGTCAAAATTCACATCACAACATGAGTATTAAATAATCAGTCAAAATGCATCCTCATGGAGCAAAGGATTTCTTGATATTGGTTGACACAATGGGCAGAGTAGGCAATATTCCTTGTTTTTGTGAAAAGCAAGAACTAGTCATATTACAAATATAATATTGTCAAAACCTAGGACAAGATTTCCTTCCACTCTTTGGAGGGTGTCTAAGCTTGGGTTCCCTTGGAGCAGACTCTGAGCAGGAATTTGAGTGCAGGGAATTTATGTTGGAAGGGAAGGAAAGACCAATAATAGGAGGAGGGGATGAGGGAAGGAGATAGGGAAGGTAAGGCAGTGGAGGAAGAAATGTTCCCAAGCCAGATCCTGCTGTGGGTGACTGGCATGTAATCCTGCTGGAGAAACTCCGGGATATGGGGGAAAATGCAGGTTCCAGGGGGTGTGGGAGCTAGCCCCAGACTCCTGTGAGCCATTGCTGGTGAACTGCACTTATGACATTAATCCTCTGCACAGCTGATCTGCTGCATAGGTAAACAATGCTGGCTTCAGCAGCCAAAGAAATGCTGGGGCTGGCACTTAGAAGGCAGGGTGGCAGGCTCTCAAGTGGTCAGGGTGAAGTGGGTGCTGGTAGCATCTTCTACAGAGGTTTCTCCTTTTTTATCCCCCCCTCTTAGAGCCAAGGTCTTGCTCTGTCACCCAGGCTGGAGTACAGTGGTACAAACATAGCTCACTGCAGCCTCAAACTCCTGGGTTCAAGCAATCCTCCCACCTCAGCCTCCTGAGTAGCTAGGACTACAGGCATGCACCACCACACCTGGCTAATTTGTTTTCTCTTATAGAGACAGGGTCTTGCTATGTTGCCCAGGCTGGTCTGAAACTCCTAACCTCAGGAGATCCTCCTACCCTGACTTTCCAGAGTGCTGGGATTACAGGCATGAGCCACCACACCCAGTCCCAGAGGTTTCTCCTTAATTTGAAATACATCTTACGTATGTACACAGCAATGCTATATAACAGGGGAACATTTACTTTCTCCATTGTTTCCTCAGAATGGCAAATCAGGAAAAGTGATAAACATATGTCACATGTAGAATAGGAAACTTCTTTATTAGGTCTTTGGCTTTTTGATATTTGAATATCCAAATATTTAAATCTCCAAACATGCCTAGGAATAACTAAAGCCACAAGGAAATATTCAACTTTTGATACTTCCACTCCATGTTTTTACAGTGTTGTTTATAGTAGTTACATACATATATATTTTATATCAAATATATATAGTAGTACTTATAGTAGCAATATTACTACTATAAACACTGTAAAAAGAGTGAAAATATCAAAAGTTGAATATAGATTATAGTAATATATATTAAGATATATATTCACATTTATAGTAATATATCATATATATATTTGATAGAGGTTCTTGCACTGTTGCCCAGGCTGGAGTGCAGTGGTGTGATCATAGCTCACTGCAGTCTTGAACTCATGGACTCAAGAGATCCTTCCACCTCAGCTTCCCGAGCAGCTGGGACTACAGGTGGGTGCCATCATTTCCAGCTAATTATTTTATTTTGGTAGAGATGGAGTCTTGCTGTGTGGCCCAGGCTGGTCTTGAACTCCTGGCCTCAAGGAATCCTCTCACCTCAGCCTTCTAGAGTACTGGGATTACAGGTGTGAGCTAGCATGCCCAGCCAATAGTAATAATATTAACAATGATATTCTCATAACATTTTCACATCTGCCATTTCATTTAACTCTCAAAGAAGCCTTATGAAGCAAGGGAGGTAATTTCTGTCCCTCAAACTTCTAGGAAATTTTAAACGCCCTGACAGAAAGCTTACATGCTTAAACCACTGCTGAAATTACAGGCCCAAGGGAATAAGGGGTGGCTCAGATTCAAGAGACTTCCAAGAGCAATAGCTCTTCTCCAAAGTGGGGGGGGGGGTGGGGGGGGGGTGAGGCTTTCCTCTCATTGTGGGAAAGTGGGAAGAGATAGTTTATAGGAAACTAAGGAATAGGAGAAAAGCCCCCTGGGAGCTGGGCTAGGCAGAAGCTGTCCCAGTAGCAGCTGGTCTTTGGCCCAGGAAGTGCCCCTGATGTCCTAGGATGCATTTCATCCTCTGGCAGAACCCCTCCTCCCCCACTAAGGACACTGCACTTCTGGGGAAAACATGGATGTTTGGGATTTTTTCTCCCTTGACAGCACTGCCGTTGAATACTAGCTATGCTCAACCACCTGTTTTCCAGAATATAACCTTTATGTGTAAGGAAGCATATTTCCTACAGGAATAGTAAATACCTTCCGAGATGTGCCTTTCGAATGGACACCATGCCAAGCTGCAGCTCCGCCACACAGCTCCATGCTAACTGTTTAGAAATGCATGCTCCCTGAGTGTGAAACGATTAAAGTTAGTGGTTAATATGCAAAAGCCTTTTGAGCAAGTGATGATTTAATCAGTAAGTGTGTGCTGCTGTGTGACCTGTGTGCATTCGCAAGACTCAAGTGCTGCAGAAAGTTCCGGCCCTCTGCCCTCTGAAACTCCCAATTCTCATTTTATCAAGGGCTCAATGTAGAGTAAAATAAACCACACATTCAAAATGTATGGAGAAAGAAATCTTCTGGAAATGGAAAGTTACACTTTATATACTGGGGTCATACAAGTCTTTATGAGCGAGGCAGAAAAGACATTTCCAGTCAATAGCATTCACCATCTCAGGCCCCTGTCCCTCTACTTTGGGAGAATTACGTTCCTTGCCCTGAGGATGATTAACAAGGATATCCCCGATTTCATCTCTGCTTTCTATTCCCAGCTACGCAGACATTGTGCTGGAATTTCTATGCTGAAGAATTAAGCTATATTGTTTGGCAAAAGAAGAAACTGAAAACAAGAAATCCATCCCTTTCTACCACTGCTATTATATCATCCACGTTTAAAAAAAAAAAGTTTGTATGTAGTTATATACAACAAGAAGTTTCTGCTTCGGATTTCTCTGTTGGGCAGGGTGGTGGGAGGGATGGGGTCTCGAGTTTTTCCCAAGTGAAATCCTGGTAATCCTGCCTGAGAGAATTCTTATGAAAGTTTCACTCACAATGAAAGCAAACTTCCAAGGTGGAGGAGGGTGAAGCCGGCTGGCTGGACCGATCACTGAGGCCCAGTGCTGCGAAGAGAGTTCAGCACATTATTCCAACCCTTTCTGGGAGCACGGCCCAGGCTTGGCACCGGTTTGGTGTTCTCGAGTGTGATGCATTCTGAAAACCTGGCTGCGTCCGTGGCCCAGCTCCAGTTCTGCAGGGCTCAGCATCAGGCTGCCCCCTCTCCTAAGGTGTTTTGCAGGATCGCCCCTCAGAGCTAAACACCCACCAGCTGACCACCTGTTCCAGGTGATGGGATTTTGGCTCAGATCAGCCTGGATCAGGGTGGACCTCTACAAGCTGGCTTGCATGAATGTAAATGTCTGCTGCCCATCTTGAAGACCATCGGCAAGCTTTGGTGGGTTCATATTCAGTGGCATTAGGGATTAAGGCAAACTTAAAATGATTCTGAGTGTAAACAGATACAGATATAAACTTTTGGGGGAACAATTTGGTAATAGCTAATAACAATCGTTAAAATGTTTATATCCTTTGACCTGATAGTGTTAGTTCTAAGAATTTACCTTAAGAAAATAAATAAATTTATATCCCATGATATCTTCATTTTAGTGTTGCTTGTAATTGCAAAAAGAAAAAAAAAGAAAAGAGAAAAAACCCCATTTACTGAATAATTGGAGGGTGGTTAAATACATTACGGTAAATTCATCTGATAGAATAAAATGCTCTACAGTTAAAGACCTAGGAAACACAATAGACTTTGCAAAACCATATAAAAACAATATATATGGTATCATCATGATTTTTGTAAAAAAATACATGTGAATTAAAAGACTAATGAACATATAACTATATACAAACAGATTTCGGAGTGGTGAGATTCTAGGTGATTTTAATGCCTCTCTGCATATTCCAATTTTTCCATAACGAACACACATACCACTGATATTCAATAAAAAAAGGTTATTTTAAATTTTTTTCTACCCATATGCTGACTGTAAGTCCTCATTCCAAAGGAAGAATAAGACCTTTCGGGGGCTACCACTGACCTGCCCAAGTTGGAATTAGTAAAAAGAGAACTGGGGAACCGGAAGAGAAGAGTTAGAGTGGCTGGCAGACGCTGAGGTGTGAGGGGTTTTCAGTGCAGCAGTTTTGGGGGTTGGGGAGAGTAGAGAAAGGAGCTGAGTTCAAGTTCTCTGTGGGGAAGTGGGACCACATCCTGCCTGGGAGAAGGGAAGGTCAGTGAGTTCTGTCCGGGGCTGCTGTCCTCTGGTACAGGGATATTATGAGCACGGCAAAAACTCAATAACTGTACGTATTAAGGAGTGAGGTCAGCCAGCACCTGGAGGGATGCTGAAGAAGGCAGGCCCGTGCAGACCCACGATTGCTTTACAGTTACTTGGTGCCCCTGAAGTGCCTGCTGCCCAGGGAGATGCACTGTTTCCAGTCCCCAATCCACTGAACGAAGATGGAACAATGGTGGACCCATCGTGAACTGGTCAGTGTTGTCTACCAGAGATCCTGCTGTCCCTCCCGAGACTCTCCTCACAAGGTCGGCCCAATTTGTGTGTGCCTATGAGCCAGGAAGAGCATACCAGTGACAATATTTGTATAGCATTTGATAGTTCACAAACAATTCTCATGAAAGTTCAGTCAAGGAGCTCTAGACATTCTTTTCAGGAAACACATATTTACAATCTGCAAATAGCCACACTGAGGGTGTTCTTTTTCCTCAGCTGTAATTTCATCTGTGACTCTCTCTGCTGCTTTCTGGTGGCTGGAACTGTATTCAGCAAGGGCAGATAGGTGGCTGTTCTTCAAGCTTTTACGAAATGGGGGAAAACCATCGGTATTAGTCAGTGAGGAATAAACTAGCCCTTTCTTTTTGTTTTTCTTTTGCTTTTTTAGACACAGGCTGGAGTACAGTGGGGTGATCCTAGTTCACTGCAGCCTCAACCTCCTGGGCTCAAGTGATCCTCCCACCTCGACCTCCAGAGTATCTGGGACTACAGGCATGTGCCACCAAGCCCAGCTAATTTTTTTTTATTGTTTTGTAGAGACAGGGTCTTGCTATGTTGCCCAGGCTGGTCTCAAACTCCTGGCCTCAAGCAATTCTCCTGCCTTGGCCTCCCAAAGTGCTGGGATTACAGGTGTGAGCCACCACACCTGGTCATTACCCCTTTCTAATGAATCTAGGAAGTGCTAACAAATAATCGGCACCAGTGAATAACTCCTTAGATTCAGTGAGGTTAACACTGGGGACCCAGAAGAGAGAACCACCGGCTTAGTGTAGACCTGCCAAAGGCAGGTGTTAAAATGGATGATCCTCTTGCAGACTCAGTTCCTGGCTGGTCATCACCTGGTGAATTTTTCATTTTAAAATCAATATTTCAAGAAAGCACATAGCTTAGAGTCATGTAGTTTAACCTCCAACCCAACATGGCATCCCTAAGGACCACCACCCAGCCTCTGTTGAATACTCCTATGATGGGGACCTCGCTACCTCTCCAGGAGAACATTCAATTTCTGTATAGATGTGGTTAGAAAGCATGTCCACAAGACTGCAGTGTGGAAGTCAGAAGAGAACATTGGGTTGAAGGGGATGTGACTCAGTTTCAAAGGTGCAGGGTGTGTAGCTATAAGGGTACCACATAGGATTACTATATCCAATTTTTTAGAATTATTTGTTATTTTTCTTCTGATGAACAAATACTATGTAGAGGATATGGAAATGCTTGTGTAGCCTTCTCTGTTAGGGAAAGTGGTGCTGGGTAATAATATTGGTTCAGTACATCATTCATTATTTTGTAGATAAAACTAGAAGTGAGTCCTCCATCCCACTGACTTTGGTTAGCTTGCCATATGAAGCTTCAGTGATGGTGCGTTACATCCATCTCAGCTTCCCTACCAGGTAGTTTGTGCCCTCAAGGAATTGATCATCATAATCTAGACTTGGTTGGTAGCAGGCTGGGGAAGGCTAGGATTGGGAAACCAATGGGCTTCATTAATTAATGGGTTCATTAGTTCAGTTTGTTTGTAAGTTACTATTTTATGAATATTATATGTCTCCCCAATTGGACTGCATATTCCTTAAGGGCAGGAATTTATTTCTTATCCCTCACTGTAGTTGCAATAGTGAACACACACAAAACCCTCATCAGTATATGCTCAGTGATTATCTGTAGAAGACTATGTTGTAGGTAACACATTGAACTGGTGCTGAAGAATTAATCCAATTAACAATGACCATCAAGCCACTTCTTTTATGCTAATAAAACATCATAATTTAAGGACTACACTGCATTTTTTAATTCCATAAATTATAATCCTTTAACATATATGAAAGTTTCATATTCTTAAAGTGCTTTAAAATATATTTAATTTTTTTAACAAGTGGAAAAGAATGTTTCTTAAAAGACATTTAATTTTTTAGTGGAAATTAATATTACCAAAAACATTCTGTGCATAACAATTTGAATAACAATTTTTTTATCTTCAAGAAATGGGATTTTTATATAAAATACACATGTAGCACTGAATGCCAAAGTGATGGGTATCCATGGTCAGAATTCAAAATTAGATTCGCTATTAAACCTGTCTGGTTTGTGTCCTGAGTGAAGAATGATCTCGAGCTGGGGAGGGAGGTGCATTGGGTAATCAGTGCTTTTGAAGGTGAATTTCCTTGCTGTGAAATAGGCTTGGGTTACTGGTCAGGACAACCATTCAGACTGACAGGCCCCTGGACTTCCAAGGCTTCAGTGACAGGGACAGGGATGTGATTGACATGAATATTCCTCAGACAGCCAAAGAATGATTTCCACACAGGGATCCTCAGTGTCGTCAAATTGGCTGAAAGAGAAAGTGGAGAGGCATTCAGTAAATAATTCATACTGTCCAGGGACTGTTCCCTGGATTTTAAAAGATAGTATTTTTTTTTTTTTTTTTTTTTTAGACAGGGTCCTGCTCTGTTACCCAGGCTGAAGTACAGTAGTGTGATCACAGCTCTCTGTAAACCTGGGATTCCTGGGCTCACACAATCCTCACACCTCAGTCTGCCAAGTAGCCAGGACTAGAGGTGTGGGCCACCACCCTGGGCTAATTTTTAATGTTTTTGTAGAGATGGGGTCTCACTATGTTGCCCAGGCTGGTCTTGAACTCCTGGCCTCAAGTGATCCTCCCGCCTCAGCCTCCCAAAGCTCTGGGATTACAGGTGTGAGCCACCATGCCAGGCAAAAGATAGTCTTAGTGGAGAAAGCTAAAGTGACTTCACATCTCAGCCCACTCAGCCCTCTCCACTTCAGGCAGGCGTCTGACACTCCACCTGCTGTGATAAATCAGCAACAAGGCTACTGTTCAAGTTCTTCAGAGGAGAATCCACTGCCCAAATCAATAGCTCTAAACTGGTACTTTTTATGGGTAATGAAAGACCTATACAATTAACAACCGGATTACAGTGTATTTGGAGGGACAGAAAACAATGAAGAATGAAAAGGCTCTTCCCAGACAACATTCCAGTCTTGAACTTGACTCCATTTCAGCCTACCTGATTCTCCCAGTCCGGTCCCCAAAAGCTTAATAACTCACTAGTAAAACTAAATACCTGAAGAGGACAGAGACCAGTTTTTCAGACCCTTTTCCTGACTCTTTACTGGTATCAGGCTTCTAGGTTAATGCAACCTCTTAAGAAAGGATTATAAATTATAGGCTTGGGGCCAGGTGCAGTGGCTCACACCTGTAATCCCAGCACTTTGAAAGGCTGAGGCGGGTGGATCACCTGAGGTCAGGAGTTTGTGACCAGCCTGGCCAACATAGCAAAACCCTGCCTCTACTAAAAACACAAAAATTATCCAGGCGTGGTGGCATGTGCCTGTAGTCCCAGCTACTTGGGAGGCTGAGGCAGGAGAATAGCTTGAACTTGGGAGGCAGAGGTTGTGGTGAGCTGAGATCACATCACTGCTCTCCAGCCTGGGCAACAGAGTGAGACTCCATCTCAAAAAAAAACAAAAAAAAAAACAAAAAAAAAAAACAAAATTACAGGCTTGGGGCAAGGGGCAACAGCAGTAATGGGGCCTGGGCTGACCTGACAAGTGCTCCTTTCCAGCAACTGCCTTTCCCCACATGCCAGTGCAAAGGGCCTCACCATCTCCACTGTCCAGCCAAGAGCTGCCCTGCCACTAATTAAGAAGTGAATGTTCAGAGCTGACACAGGGCAACACATTATAGAAGTCAGGACAAGAGTTACCTGGAGCACCTCCAAGGTGTAGTGGCTCTTGAGTGCTGGCAGGTGGGAAGGGGATCTGTCCAGCTGTGTAGCTACTGTCTGTGTCCAGTTCCAGGTGCAGGATGTGTTGTTTTATGGTGACTGGGGAAAGGAGGCTGGTTAGGTCTATCATCGGAGGTGAGCCCTGCTTAATGTCTACACCATTGACTTTGTTTTAACTCCTTCATACTAGACCTGTGGGAGTGCTGTTTGCAGAAATTTGGTCAGCTTAGATATAAATTCAATTAACTTCCTCTAAACACCAGGTAGTGCTTCCACGTACATGAATGAATTTTACCCTTAAAATGAATCTGTGAAGAAGAAATTATCATTCCCCATTTCCCAGATAAGAGAATGTGTCTCACTGAGGAGCCTGACAAGATGGCTTGGTTACCAAGAGTTGGGATTTAAGCTCTGGTCTCCTGTGTCCAGAGGCCATGCTGATTTCATGTGATCTCAGCTACTTTCTATGAAGACACTGACTTCTGAAAGCTGATGCCAAAGACAGCTCTTTTGACTCTCGACACAAAATTCCTCTCATGTTAATGATCTCAGCTAATTGCAATGTAGTTATCTTTTAAATTAGCCAAGAAAAGGCCACTTTTTTACAAAAGGTATTTTAGCCAATATGGGTTCATAGATCTCTAATATCCACAAATAATTAATAAAATAACAGATTCTTTTTGAGAGGAAATGCTTGCTCTCTACTCATCGGGTTGTCTAAATAGTTAGCATTAATATTAAATGGTTGTTGAAAAAAATAACACAACAATGAGCCTTAACAAAAAACAGATACTTACTGAACACTGACTACATATCAGACACTGGGCTAATAACCTTTCACACATTGTCCCATTTAATTTCCACAACCTTAAGAGCCATACCCTATTTTTATTTCCATTTTACAGAAGAGGAAACCGAAGGTAAAGAACAATTAAGCAACTTGTCCAAGGTCACACAGGGAAAGGGATGGAACTAAGATTTGACCTCTGTTCTAACTTCAGAGCCAAAATCTAAATCACAACGTTATACTATCTTGAAAACTAGCCTAGCTTATTAGTGTGCTGGGCTCCAAAAACAAACAAACAACAACAACAGCAACAATAAAATATTTGATAAGTTCTGGAGAACTGGAGGTGGCAACCATGAGTGACGGAAGCATGGCTGGGGTTGTGAATGGACACGTTAGCCTCGGGGGCTGGCCCTGGTCAGGCACTGTGGATGGAGGGGCTGAGGCTGCCTTTGGGATGTTCAAGTCAAAATGGAAAGGGGGCCTGTTTTAGTGCATGAACAATCAGCTACTGGACAACATACCTGCCACCGAGTGCCACTGTCCATCACACAGAGACTGCTTTGGTGTGACCGACGTTGAGGTCCCACCTGCCCCACTGTCCATAGAGGCCGTGACCTGGAACACACATGCATTTTCCTATTTCCTTCAGGAAGGCAGGTGGAGCCGACCTTCCCCTGCCATCTTCCCTCCCCAAACCGGGCCAACTGACAGCTTAAGGGCACATTAGATATTGGCCCTCCTCCGCTTTTGAAGCATTTGACCACATGGGGTCCAATGCTTCCAGAGATCTCTCTGCTGCATCCCTTCCAGGCAACTATAAACCAGGGTGGACCCTGGCCTGAAGTCGTTGCCAATGGCAATGAGTTGTTCCCTTCTAATCCAAACCCCGCCCCCATCAGCTCAACTCAAAGGTTACTGATTGGAATCCTCCTTAGCAATTAATGCGTGACAGTGGCTCTGTATGGAAGGATATGTGAGATGTGGAAGGCAAAGCTACTGGTGGAGGCCTACAGCCTGCTGCAAGGGCCAGCCAACTGTAATAGTTCCATGCATGGCAAGACTTTAAACAAGCAAAATGATTGAGTTTGCTCTGGGCACGCATCGGGAGCCAGGCACGCAGTCTGTTTTGTGCAGAATCCCACATTCCTGCTTTCTAAATCAGGGTCTCCTCCAGGATCTTCCAAGAGTTGAATCAAGGGGAATGAAATGAGAGGACTAAAATAAGTGTGTTTATAAATAATTTACATTTAATTTGCATGTAGCTAGATGGGACAGCCTATTCACAGGCAATTTTTGAGCTAAACAATGTCACTGCTATTATGAAGGTCATCGGGTCTTGATTTGTTTTCCTGAGAATAATTCCCTCCCAGAGACTCTCAGTAGAGACTCTCTCCAGCTCCTCCTCTGAAAAACCAGAATTGTCTCAACCACCTTGCAAGTGGATAGTTACTTGCTTTTCTGGGCTACCAGAGACCTACTCAGACTTAATTAAAGACTACAATAGAAAGTATTCTAGGAATTTTGGGCATTTTATTTTCTTCTGGGATTCTTTTCCCCTCACATTTAGTAAACTGTGGAAGGACGGAGATGAAAGAAAATGGCATATTATATCAATCTTTCACTCGAGGCCTCAACTAAGGGTCTTCCTAGAAGAATCTGGTTTTAAAGAGACATCTTTGAGAAGGAAAGAGATATAACTGGGTGGTGGAAAATAAGATGTTGACTCAGGCCTGTGAGTGATGGAAAAATGAGGCTGCAGAGATGAAGAAAGAATCTGTAAGAATTGAGTATATGGCGATTTCTATAATCTTGACAAAAGCCTTAAGTTATAAGAGTTATTATCTACATTTTACAGATAAGTCTGAAAGAGCTTGAGTAACATCCTTAGGACCATATAACCAAGTGCTGGACCTGCAATTCAGCCCGACTTGTTTGAGTTTTCCCAGTTTTAAAAATTAAGAACAGAAAACATGATGATAAAATTACTTGCTAAAGGAAAATGGTAAGTTAGCACTGAAGTCAAGGCTCTTAAATACAAGATTGGATCCCATTCTCTACTACAAACCTGACCCGCTGTGGCCTCCAGACATTGAAGCTGGTTTCTACAGACCCTCCCCATGGCATCAGACTGCTACACACCTTTCCTGCCTCCAGGTAAACACATAAGTGCTTCCCGGGCTGACTTCCGATGTGTATTAGGATCCCAGTGAGACTTCTTGGGCGGATGCTGAAAACAAGCTTAAATTCTGGCCCCAACAATACAGAGTGAGCTTTCAAAAGAGAAACAAAGCAAAAGTTAAAGCATCACCATGAAAGAAAACAGGATACAGTTCTTAAGATGCAAAGACTTAAATTCTATAGAACTGCTCCTTACCCAAGACGACATGACCTCCTTCTTCAGAGAAATAAATGCCTTTCTCCAAAGGACCACCCAAGCAGGAAGACACCCCGAAGCTTGAAGAAGGGGTATACAAGGGTTTTGAATCCAGCTGAAAGTTCTTCAGGCATCCCACAAAGCTGTTTGTGGGGAGGCTCTGCAACCAAGCAGAAAAGAAAAAGCTCATTACCTACACCTCCAAGAAAGGCATGGGTAGCCAAGGCGAAGGGCACTGCAGCTTGTCAGCAAAAGGGGGAAGGTAGGTAGGGATTCATTCTTCCCGCTTCCAAGTCAGGTTCTTCAAACTCAGGTTCTAATAGCTGTTCTATTTGGCTCTCTGCCCAGAGTGCCAAGAAAAACCTGTATACCAGATGTTGGGTGGGTGGTCGAAGATTGCAGGTGCCACCAAAAAAAGTGGTGTGTGCAGGAGGGCGGGCTAGTGCAGGTTGCTAGCTTGTGCTAGAATAAGAACAGGGAAGGTTGACCTGACCCTGGTCCTCACAGATGGAGCAGCAACAAGGGAAATTTCCACCTTACAGTTCACAGATTTCACCGTCTCTTTGCAGATACAAACCACTTCTTAGAGTTCCACGAGGCAGTGTGTTAGCTTACTGCAGGGCAGCTGACAAAAATAAAGAGGCCAAAATGTTCCCAAAATAATAAAATGCAAAAAAATCTGCCTACATTGTTGGGCTCAGTGCACCACCACCAAGTCACGAATGCTGCAGAGTTAAAATAAGACACAGTGTGCATTGACAGTGGGCTTGCGTGGAGCCCCATGCCTGCCTAGAGCCGGCTGGAACAGGGGACTCCTCTCCTGGGGCCCAGGAACAGGCTTGTGGGGTTCTGTGCTCTCCTATATTATACACCAGGTGTGTTCTGCGTGTGCATTTTCCTGGGGAGGACTGTAAATTTCATAAAATTCTCAAGAAAGTTTGAGATTCACCGAATAAAACTCTTGAACTCCCTTCTAGAATGAATGCCTTTAGGACTCTGGAATCCTACAAGTCAGACATGGTAATAAAGATATGGTAACTTTAAAAGAAAATGGTGGCCAGGCACAGTGGCTCACACCTGTAATCCCAGCACTTTGGGAGGCTGAGGCTGCTGGATCACCTGAGGTCAGGAGTTTGAGGCCAGCCTGGCCAACATGGTGAAACCCCGTCTCTACTAAAAATACAAAAATTAGCCAGGTGTGGTGGCAGGTGCCTGTAGTCCCAGCTATGCAGGAGACTGAGGCAGGAGAATCGTTTGAACTCAGGAGGCGGAGGTTGCAGTGAGCCGAGATCGTACTACTGCACTCCAGCCTGGGTGACAGAGCAAGACTCCAACTCAAAAAAAAAAAAAGAAAGAAAGAGAAAATGTTGATGTGATAAATGCACATGGTGCCAGCATCAACAGTAAACTACTGATTGGATTCCCTATGAAACTTTTAGTTTCTTAAGATTTGTCATGCTACACAATGAAAAAGCTGTGTCCTAAAGCTAGGACTCCCCAGGATGGGCCAGAACCCAGCATTGATCCCTAAGGGCTGACTGCAGTGCCGGTGTTCAGAGGCAGACACTGATCGGATGTGGCCTGCTCCTGAAAAGGATATGTGGGAGGGCCCATGAGATGGTTTATACCCTCAGGTTGAAAGAAGGCTGCAAAAAGAAACTTGGTCTGTAAAGAGTATTGTAAATGGGGTGCTACTATTTGGCCCAGATGTTAGATGCTGGGTGTGATTAAGGTGGTTTGAAGAGAATTTATCCAAAGCCAAAGAATACCCAAATCCTGCCCCATCCTGTGATTTCTCTGAGTTGAAAATAGGGGCCGGGCACGGTGGCTCACGCCTGTAATCCCAGCACTTTGGGAGGCCGAGGAGGGCAGATCACGAGGTCAGGAGATCGAGACCATTCTGGCTAACACGGTGAAACCCCGTCTCTACTAAAAAATACAAAAAATTAGCCAGGCATGGTGGCAGGCGCCTGTAGTCCCAGCTACTTAGGAGGCTGAGGAAGGAGAATGGTGTGAACCCAGGAGGCGGAGCTTGCAGTGAGCTGAGATGGTGCCACTGCACTCCAGCCTGGGCGACAGAGCAAGACTCCGTCTCAAAAAAAAAAAAAAAAAGAAAATAGGAACAGAGGTTGAGAAAAGTAAACATTAACAATGAGAATCCTCCTTAGCAATTAATGTGTGGTGTATATTATATATATAATGTGTATTATAAATAATGGATAATATGGTATGTATTTTTATGAAATATATATAAGTTACTGCATATAGCAAAGCAAAGTAATACTCTGTTGCCTGCTGGGGTATAATAAATATACTTTATTGTATAACACTGGAGCTCTGGCCCAAACCCCAGTGCAAAACCCAAGAGGGCCAGGCTGAGCCCTGGTCAAGGCTAGGGCAGCCTAAGCAGCTAGCATCCAAGCTGGTGGAGAGACCTGCTTTCATTATGCCCATTTCTAGGCCCAGATTTGAGCCCGGGGCTCTTTTTTTCCCACTGCAAGCAAACATCACACCAAAATGTGCCACTGGGTCTGGAGGAAAAGGGCAAAAATTGCATTAAGGCGGAGGACAGTCCCTAGACCTGAGCTGTTGATAGGCTCATCTTACTTAACTTTGTGGGGTGGGGGGAAAGGCAAATCTGAGACAAGAAAGACAGGTGCCCAAGGCTGCCTCAAGTAACCCTGGTGCAATTAACGCTGTGGCAGGGGGTAGGAGAGAGGAAGGGAGAGGGCACTCACAGAGCTCAGCCCTGGAGCTGTGGCCCCATCAGAGCGCCCCATCAGAGCCTTGAACTTGACAAACCTAGAAAAGCACCCCTCCTCTCTGGGGACAGAGGGAGTCCCAACTTTCCCTTCGTCTGGCATTCCCAAGATGGGTTTTTGAGATAATTTTGTTATTTCAGACATCAAATAACATTAAAACACATATTCCATTATTAAGTTATTCCTTTTTCAATTCTCTTTCTAGCGTTTGGACGAGGACAAGGAACAGCTTTTGGCTTTGTGCTAGTATGTCTTAAACACCCTCTTGATTACGTGTTAAGCACCTTTTTCTCCAAGCAAAGAACACATAGGTCACACTACTTAGTTTGATATTAACAGTGTTTGGTTTTCAAATGTTTATTTCTCAGGGTTATCTATTATTTATGGTAAAGAATATTGGGTTTCCATTTATGGGAGAGATAAAAAGATCCCATAGAAGCACATTTAAAATAAATAGTTTGATGGAGAGAAAACAGTTAAGCCAATGTTTTACCTTATGGCAAAGATGGTGAAAATGGCACAAATTACTGTAATTTGAAACACATTATGTTAACCAAAAAATCTCTGTCTATAACCTAAAACCTACGTTTTTGCATTCCCTGGAGGAGAAGCCAATAGATTCAGGTTTAGGAAGTGGCAGAGAAGCTCTATCTTCACCCTTTCAGGGCCTGCGTCTCAACCTGCACCTTAGAAATGAAGGCTTTGGGTTAAGAAATGGGCACTTACTCTATGTGGTTGTGAACATTAATTAGATCCTTAAAAATCATTTAAAGTATTTTGAGATTCTCATATGGTGAGTATTTTGAATATCTCATACAATTATGCCTATAATATAAGGTGAATTGTTTCTGTCCATGGCTCTGAACATAACTATTTACCTTTGGTTTCCCTGATGGAGGTGATCCCAGGTAAACTGGCGCTCTGATGCTGATGGTGGAGTTTCCAGGCAAACTTCCCTCCCGGGCCCTCAGTCCATCCACAACCAAGCGCCCCTTTTCCCCATCATGGCCAAACACCACCTTCAGAGTAAGAAAGATACGTGAGTTGTATTTTTACCTTTGACAATTGGTGTTGTATTTTATTAAATATTAGTGGCCAAATTAAAAAAAAATGTTTTCATGCTCCTTCAAATAGCTTCAAAAGATGAGAGATTTTTTCCTCCGGTTATCACTATCACCATCGTTTTGTGAGATTATGTGAAATACTGAACAAACTGAGCTCAAAAGGGGAACTGAAAAAAAAAGGTTGCTTAGAAGTGAACTAATCAAAAGAGATTATAGAATTCATCTGGAAACTTACACAAAAGAGAAACAGTTCAAGGCACAGCCACAGGCAACCCCCTCCATGTAACAAAGGGGCAGGGACAGTTTATACAGTGCTGGGGACGGGGGTGTGTTGGAGTCGTGGCACCCTGGGCTGGCCTCTTGGAGCAGGTAGAACGAGGGCACTTCTCTTCAAACAAGAGGAGTGTTTAAACTCTTTGCTAAAATTTCTGATCCCTGGGGTCTGGTGTGGATTCTGCCATCTCATAGGTGTGGTGAGACTATTCACTACGGACACTTCCATTTATATGCCAAGCTGTGACCTTTGGCCTCTACTGCCTGCTGACACCTGGGCTTGAAGGTCTGACAGGCCACTCAACCCTGAGATGTTCACGACAGAAATCCTCATTCTCCCCCAGCTCTGAACTGCTCTCCTCCTGGCCACATCTGCCTCTTCTCCATCTTCATCTCAGTAAATGCCCACTAATGACTCAATTGCTGGCCCCAAATCACAGGATGTGATCTGGACCCTCTCTTCCTCTCACCCTCTATATGTGATCCATCAGCAAGGCCGCGTGGTTCTACCTTCAGCATGCGTCCTGGCGGTCACTTCTCCCGACCTCCCCACAGCCTCCGCAAGCAAAGGCAATAGCAGCCATGTGGGCCCCCTGCTGCTACTCTTGCCCCCTGGCAGTCTCTTCAGCTAAAGAATTAAATAATATATGAATCTGTACATGTAAGAGTTTTATTTTTTTTATTTTTATTTTTTTGACAGAGTCTTGCTCTGTCGCCCAGGCTGGAGTGCAGTGGTGTGATCTCGGCTCACTGCAACCTCCACCTCCTGAGTTCAAGCGATTCTCCTGCCTCAGCCTCCTGAGTAGCTGGGATTACAGGTGCATGCCACCATGCCCAGCTAATGTTTGTATTTTTAGTAAAGATGGGGTTTCACCATGTTGGTCGGGCTGGTCTCGAACTCCTGACCTTGTGATCAGCCCGCCTTGGCCTCCCAAAGTGCTGGGATTACAGGCATGAGCCACCGCGCCTGGCCAAGAGTTTTAAGACTCTTTAAAAGCTTTACAGACACTTTCAAATAAAGTCCAAAGTCGGAGCTTGGCCTTCAAAGCTTAAATGATCTGGGCTCTGTCTTCCTCTCTAATTCCATTTCTTATTGCTTTGTGTTTTGTTCATTCAGCTAATTCCCACCTCCAGGTCCTTGTTATTTGCTCTTCCCTCTTCCTGGAACCCCCTCCCCATAACTTCATGTGACTACCACCTGCTGTACCAGGGCTTTCTCTACTGCCTTATTTAAAATAGTCTCCCTGCTCTGTCATTTTCTTACCTTGCTCTAGTGTTTTCTCAAAGCACTTACCAATCTCTGACATTACATTGAGGATTGTTTGCTTATGTGTTCCAGGAAGGCAGCTGAATGACTAAGGGAATGCAACTTGTCAAGTCACTTACATTTTCTGAAGTCCAGTTGCCTCATTAGAGAAATAAATAGGTCCCTTATTGCCTTAAATGGTATTTCTTGAAATCTGGAATGGCTTTAAGCAAGAGCCAAGATGCTAGGGTCATTCCAGGTCCAGAGAGGGGCCTGGAGGCCTGGAAATTGGCCATAAGGGGAAGAAATGGTCCAGGATGAAGGAGTTAGAGTAGGCAAGGGGCATGAGGCAGCCTGGGGGAGGGCTGGAGGGGATGGAAGAAGCATCAGTAAAGCCCATCTTGACTTTACTGTCTAGGATGACAGCCATGCAATGTGTGTGCCGCGGCCTCCAGTACTGAGATGCTGGGAACGCAGCGCCTGCAAGCACACAAGCTCTCCCACTCCACGCCCTCATGTCTGGGAAGGATGCTGGGACTCCTATTTTCAGCGACTCCAACAGTGAATTCCACACCAACTGGAGATACTGACACAGCCCCAGCTCTTACCGTGTGCCATTTCCCATCATTGCATTTCTCCTTGCTTTTGATCCTCAATTTTTTCCCATCTGTCCCCAGTGCAAAGACCAGACGTCCTTTTGAAAGATAAAGAGCCATAAAGGAGTTCTTAGTGCCCGTGTGAAACACCAGTCCTCTGGAGGATGTTGTCTGCATGTCCACAGCAAACTGTGACCTGTTGGGAACATCGGCGATGAAGGGAAATAGAGGTGTTCAGCGTTCCTTCGAATCTCAGCACTGAGACAGAGGGTGGGGAGCAAACACCCAACCCCCATTTTTCAAATGGATAAGCTAACGTAGGTACTGATTAAATGACCCGTTTCTCTGGAAACTTTAAAAAGCTATTCTATTCCAGCTGTTAATGGTTTTGTTGTATAATTTCCTTACTACATTGGGGAATAACATGGAACTTTTGTGGCAAACTTAGCTAGTGGTGTAAGTCCCAGCACATGGCAAGAAGAAACATGTCTGAATCTTTTATAAAAAGTCCATGTTTTAAAAAGTTAGGGTAAAATACGCTAACCTAAAATGTGCCATCTTAACCTTTTTTAAGTGTATAGTTCAGTACTGTTAAGTACATTCAGATTGTTGTACAATCAATCTCGAGAACTCTTTTCATCTTGCAAAACTGAAACTTGTACCCATGAAACAAGAGCTCCCTAGTCTCGCTTCCCACAGCCCCTGACAACAAACCACCACTCTACTTTCTCTCTCGATGAACACGACTACTTGAGATACCTCATGTAAGTGGAATTGTAGGGGACTTGTCCTTTTGTGACTGGCTTATTTCACTGAGAAGCCTGTACTTTTCAAACTCAATGAATATGCATTCTGTTTTGTATGTATTCGTGGAGAGGGAAGTCGTAGGAGAAGTAGGGGACAACTTGAATAACAAGGATGTGATTTAAGCATCAAAGAAGCCTTTCCTTTCTGTTAGACAGATTTAACCAAAGACACGGAAGCACAGACCCACCTTCTCCCACCCATCTCTACATTTCTTAGACCCTAATACCCTCCCTGTGAAGGAAGAAGAATGAGGCAAATATCATACAGTAAAAGCAGAGTGTGCCAAGCAAGGTGGCTCACGCCTGTAATCTCAGCACTATGGGAAAATCCTAGCACTTTGGGAGGCCGAGGTGGGTGGATCACCTGAGGTCAGGAGTTCAAGACCAGCCTGGCCAACATGGGGAAACCCTGTCTCTACTAAAAATACAAAAATTAGCTGGGCGTGGTGGTGGTGCCTGTAATCCCAACTAACTTGGGAGGCTGAGGCAGGAGAATCGCTTGAACCCAGGAGGTGGAGGTTGTAGTGAGCCAAGATCGTGCCACTGCACTCCAGCCTGGGTGACACAGCGGCTCTGTCTAAAAAAAAAAAAAAAAAAGCAGAGTGCAAGTTAGTATTCATTTGCATGATGGTTACATGTTCTATGCACATCCAGCTAAGCAAGCTTTACTTTTTATGAAAACTCACACTCATCCATCCATCCACCCATCAAACAAGTATTTAATGAGTGTGGAAGATGCATAAGGTGCAGTGCTGGACAGTAGGAATGCAACGATGGATGTTTCCTTCCTTGAGTGGTTTATGGTGCAGGGGTGCCCTGAGAGGGATGCATAAAGGTGTGCGTGAAAGGGTCGTGGGAGATGCAGATGTCAACAGGCTGTCCTCAGCCATTCCTGTGGCTAACGTCTTAAGCAGACACCAGATAGGAGGCATGGGTTCATCCCACTCACAGCGGCATCCCCAGTGCCTATTACGCAGTAGGCACTCGATAAATAGTTACTGAATTGAATTAAATGGTAAATGGGAAATTTGGAGGCAGAAACCAGAAGTGGAAGAAACAAATTATACTGTTAATTCTCTTTGCTTTTTAATTCTGTGAGGCTAAGATGCACATTTATTCTTCAGATTAGCAAGTTTCCTTGAGGGCAATGTTCTTCAAAACGAAAGAGAAATCTATATTTGTTAAATTAAGCCAACCAGATGGTAACACTGCTCAATATTTCTCTTGGTGTGTCTGTGTGTTAGTGCGGAGGTTTGGAGAATGAGGGGTAGCCAAGTTAAGGAGGATATTAGAACGTGCTGCAGAATAGAATGTACTTTCCATATGTGGGCCTGGTGATCAGATTTGACATTTGCTTTCCAGAACTGTTTCCTAAAGCAACTTTCTTTCATAAAAGACTAACTGACTAACACCCAAAAAAAGGCAGCAGTGGATTCAGATCCCAGTACATGATACTGTAGCTATGACTCTTCATTGCTGGAGGATGGGAGGGTAGGGCAGAGAGCTAAAGAGCATTTTTATACATTCACCAAAGGGGTAAAGCAATGGCACCAGTTTAAAGGAGTGTCAGAACACTGCTAGAATGTAAATCAGAATGAGAACAACAGAATCCTCCAACTCTTACAACTTTCTGAAAATAACTGATTGCTACAACATTTGGGGCTAAAATATAAGTTGAAAATTATATTTACTGTTTGACTTTTTAAAAAATTTTACCTTTTAAAATGTTACTTTTTCATTAATGATGTACGGTTTAATGTTGGACGGGAAGGCACAGGGGTTGAATCGTTAGAAGTTGGTAACTCACTGCACTGAATGTGTTGAGAGAGAAGCTGCCGGGCGGGGGGGGGGCGCCAAGCTGATGGAGAGGCCACAAGGGGGAGGCCAGAGGCGGGAGGCTGGGGAAAGGGGCCTCCAGGCAGTTTCTTGAAAGAGAGAGGTTGGCCGGGCGCGGTGGCTCACGCCTGTAATCCCAGCACTTTGGGAGGCCGAGGTGGGCGGATCACGAGGTCAGGAGTTCGAGACCAGCCTGACCAACATAGTGAAACCCCATCTCTAATAAAAATACAAAAAAATTAGCCGGGCGTGGTGGCGGGTGCCTATAGTCCCAGCTACTCAGGAGGCTGAGGCAGGAGAATAGTGTGAACCCAGGAGGTGGAAGTTGCAGTGAGCCAAGTCGCACCACTGTACTCCAGCCTGGGTGACAGAGTGATATTCCGTCTCAAAAAAAAAAAAAAAGAAAAGAAAGAGGGAGGTCATTGTCATTAAGGTCAGCTTGACCAAGAGAGCAGGGGTGGGGAGTGGGGCCTCCCTACCAAGGAGTAGCCAGGGGAGGGGACAACTGGAGGGACAATCTCCTCTCCTTCTGCCTTAGCTTCTACTAGCACAGTTTTGGAAAATGAGGGACCCCAAGACTTTGCATGGGGCAGCTGGAGACGTGGAGCTGTCCACACAGGCTTTCTCCTTCAGAGCTTGGCAGTCAATCTCTCTCTGACCTTTACCTCTCTCTGCCTGTGATGCATGCTCACAGCTTGCTGAGTGGGCTTCAAGGGCCAGCCTCCTTATAAGCTATGACCTCTCCTCCCTGCAAGAAAAGCATCATCGAGCCCATTTAACTAACAGGAAAATTGAGGTCCAGAGAGAGGTAGCAATCTGCTAACACGCAAGACAGGCATAGAGGGACAGCTTAGGCTTAGAGAAGTTAAACGGCATGTGGCAGCCATGAAGTCGTGCTCCAAGAGAAGCTGCTGCAGGGAGCACAGTGGGGCTGCCATGCCCTAGGTCTTCAGTGACACTCGGGGGTATTAGAGCCGGGCCATTTATAGCCAACACTGAGCTCTTCTCAGAGATGATCTCTGCTTGGGGGCACTGCAGGCACCTGGCTGAGACTGTGTTACAGTCTGTGGACTGCGACCCGAGGCCCTTCCTACCCGGCTCTGTCCTCCCTGCGCCCTCCCCTCACAGTATCTGCAGGCCCACAGCCATCTGCGGGCTCTCCCTGCCTGCCCCCATCTCTGTCCCCTTCTGGTCATCTCTCACAGGCTTCCCCACAATGAACCTCTTGCCCATCTAATCCCATCTTAGTGTCTGTGTCTCAGAGGGGCTGCCCTGGCACATGGTCTGGAGTCACCCAGCCAGTAAGTGGTGAAGCAGGACTGAAAGCCAGATGTTAGAGCCAGCTCCTTTTAGCCCCCCGGGCAATTCTGCCTCTGTGGGAAAGCCGTGAAGAAAAGGTCAGTACCTTTTTATCTATGGCTCCTTCAAATCACCTGAAAATGACAAATCTTGTTTTTCTAATTTTTTTCTGACATAATTAATATTTCTGCTCATTCCCGCCTCCCCAAAAGAGGTGCAACTTGTTAGCGCAAAAAGGCCAAATGTATTCTCTAAAAATGATCTATCTGGCACTGCGTCTACCAAAAAAGAATGATTTTACTTTCACTACAGAATACAAGAAAAGAAAGGTGATTTATCATGGAAATAAACAGCAGCTTTAGAAAAAAAATGTCATCCTTATTTTTAGAACACCATCAATTCTAAACCAGACCTGAGCTGATTGTTTCAGCCTCTGAGAAGTACACTGTCGTCACGTTTGCCTCCAGCTGTTGGGAAAGCACATGGCAGGCAATCACGCTCCCTGTCCTGTGCAGGCCAGCACCTCTTTGCACAAAAATGGTAGTGCCACCTTCATTAGAGAGAGCTGCATGGTGTCATGGCAGTCAGACTTCCCTGAGGTGGAATCGCAGAGTCAGGTTCTGAGCTGGTGCTGGGGCAGGAAAGCTAAATAATACCTGGGTTTCAGCAGCTCCTGAGGAAGCTTGAATAGCAAGTGGCTGGTGGGAATGTCCCCAAACTGGAGGGCTCCATGATTGGCCTGGGTCTTGGGAAGTGGTGAGCAAGCATCTTGCCACACCTTCACGCTCCTTGGGGAGGCCACTGGTGTGTCCTGCAACAGCTGCATGGGAAAAGAGCAACACAATTATCAGGGGAAAGAGTGAAGAATGCTTATCTTGCTAAGTACATTGCTTAATTTTCACCCTTGATCCTAAGTGAGGAATTCAGTAGGGCAATAGAAGGCCTGGTACCATGGAGATGGGAAGTTTCCGCTGAGAGCCCTTCCTGCGGGTCACTGACTGGTATGGAGTGGGCAGAATGGAGAGCTCATTCTTTATTTAGCTCTTTAACCTTTCCCGAAGCCAGATCCTCGTAATCCCCTTCAATGCCCTAGTGTGGCTTTGATTTGTGAGCATTTTGCCACCAGGAAGGTGTAAGACAGGGCTAGGAGGCAGAGGGGCTCATTCTTTTGGGGAAAACAAAGTTTAGGAGAGTCTAAATACCCCCCCTTTCTCTCCCTCCTTTGGGGAGCATGCCTGTTATTCTCATCTTACACAAGTCTGGGTTCTTCTCTGAAAGCTGCCGCACCTGGGACCAGTGGCTGCCTGGTGCCCCTTTCCACCACTGAGCATTGGAAGAACTGCAGTGTCGCTTGAGGGGGCCAGCATTTGGCCAGCGGCACCGAGACACCCACAGCCTGCCAGTGAAACATGGAACTGCAAACCTGTGGCCACCTCCCCTAACAACCATTCACTTGGGCAACAGGGCAGGTGAAAGGACCAAGATAGCAGGAGAGAAAGAGAAGGGAGGGGACCACATCCTGTCCCCACTTCCACCAGAGTTGACTCATGCAGAGAAGTTTGAACTTTTGAATGGGACTGAGTTTTAATGCAGAAAAACAACCATAATAAATGTTAAATGTGACTAGGAAAATTGTTGGAAGTAACTGAGATTCCCCAGCCCTGCCCCTCTTTTCTCCACCGCAGAGCTCAAGTTCTGAAATGCCCATGCGCTTTTCCCAGGCGCTCAGAGCTCAGTGGGGATCTCCATCAGTCAAAGCAAAGGGTAGGGATTCACCGTACTAGGGGTTGGTTCAGAAATAAACACGTGACCCCTCCCTGCTGGCCAATGAGCCCTGAGAGGAAGCTGAAGGCGGGGCTTCTGGTAAATAATTCCATATTAGCACGAAGAGAAACCCAGGCAGAACTGGTGCTTCTTGTGCTGGATGGTGTGGTGCGGATGTGATTCCCAGAAGCACCCAGGATGGAGCCAAGAGGACCAAGAGGAAGCAGAGCCAACTCCTGATGGGCCAGGCCTCAAGCCTCACCTACCCCTGCATGGCTCACTGTGTGAGATTATTATTATTGTTTAAGTCATTAATTTTGCAGTGGGTTTTCTGATTCAGCAGCTAAAGGCTTCCCAAAAGATTCACATTCCTTCAGGAGTGGGTTTTCTTCCCTGACCCATTTCCTGGATATAGTGCTCAGAACGCAAACTTGAAATCAGTTATTTAAAATGATGCTTGCACGTTGCTGAATGGAGACGTTCTACTGTACCCAACAGAAACTTAAGTGAGTTACTTATATCAGCCAAACCTTGATCCTACTGAGATTAAAACCCAGCCTGGGCTCCTGCCTGGGACTCATACCAGTGGGCCTTGCTCCCTCTCTGGAGTCTTCTCCGTGTGTCAGCAGCATAAGCATCAAGATGAACAGTTTTGAAAGACAGCCTTTGCCACCAAATGTCCCTTAATTCTCTTAATGGCATCATCATCCTTTAAAGCATCCAGGCTCAAAATCTTGGTCCTCATGGACACCCGCCTCCCTGGCCTCTATCATGCATTCAGGCATTCAGTTCTCATGTCCTACTCTTCTTCTGTGTGACATATTTTGTTTCCACTCCTTCCTTTTCATTTCTAGTGCCTATGCCCTGAAAGTCAGCCCTCTTTTTTTTTTTTTTTTTTTTTTTTTTTGCTTTTGAGAAGGAGTCTCACTCTGTTGCCCGGGCTGCAGTGCAGTGGCGCGATCTCAGCTCACTGCAACCTCCACCTCCCGGGTTCAAGTGATTCTCCTGCCTCAGCCTCCCCAGTGGCTGGGATTACAGGTGCCTACCACCAAGCCGGGCTAATTTTTGTATTTTAAGTAGAGACGGGGTTTCACCATGTTGGCCAGGCTGGTCTTGAACTCCTGACCTCAGGTGATTTGCCTGCCTTGGCCTCCCAAAGTGCTGGGATTACAGGTGTGACCCACCTTGCCCAGCCAGCCCCGACTCTTTTGCCTAGATGATTACGGTAGCTTGCCAATCTGACTCCTTGGCTCTAGAACTTTCCTACACCAAACCATCCCACAGGCTGCTACCAGCTTAGTAATCTTTAATCTTTTCAGCTGTTTACAGGACTCCTTTCAATGACGTTACACTGACTATAGAAAAATGTCCAATTGATGTAGGTCATATGAGGCTTGCCTGATCTGGCCCCAGGGTGTGATTCCAGTTTACCTCTCTCTAGTCTCCTTTCTCCATTCCCACTGTTCACCAGGCTCTCGGGCCTGTAGAGGCCACATGATGTGGCTTGAAGAGCACATTCTTTGTGCTTAAGTTTGAATCTTGTGTTCTTCTTGTGCTTCTGGGAATCACATCCTCACTACACTGTCCAACACAAGAAGCATGGATTCTGCCTGGGTTTCTCTTTGTGCTAACATGGAATTCTTTATCAGAAGCCACGCCCTCAACTTCCTCTCAGGGCTCATTGTCCAGGAGGGAGGGGTCACATGTCCATTTCTGAACCAACCCCTAGTAAGGTGAATCCCCACCCTTCGCTTTAACTGATGGAGATCCCCACTGAGCTCTGAGTGCCTGGGAGAAGAGCACGTTCTTTGTGCTTAAGAGTCTTAAGTTTGAACACTTGGACACAGGAAGGGGAACGTCACACACCAGGGCCTGTAGTGGGGTGGGGGAGGGGGGAGGGATAGCATTAGGAGATATACCTAATGTAAATGACGAGTTAATGGGTGCAGCACACCAACATGACACATGTATACATATGTAACAAACCTGCACGTTGTGCACATGTACCCTAGAACTTAAAGTATAATAAAAAATATATATATATAAAAAGAAAAAATAAAAATAAAAATTTAGTTAATATGGAAAAAAAAGAGTCTTAAGTTTGAATCCTGACTCTACCATTTACTGACAGGATGCTCTTTGGCAACTTTTTTTTTAACCTCTTAGACACTCAATTTCCTGACCTGTAAGGTTGGCATTTGATTCTGCTCTCAGAGGGGTGTGTTGAGAAGGGAGAGAGAGAGCATGAAGTCAGTCTGGTGAGGATGCATGCAGCATGTCTTGCACCCGTGAGTCCCAGCCACATCCTGCCTCCAGCTTTGGGCTTCTGCTTGGGCAGCAACAATATTCACTCAGCTAAATTCGACCCACACTCCAGACCCAGTTCCTGGGGTACCTCCTCCAGAAGAACCCTCCTGATTCCCATGGTAGGAAAATTCCTGCCACACCACTCCTGTAGCATCTTATGCCCTTTCATTTAGGTTTTCATTAGCATGCATAGTAATAATAACTAGCATTTAATGCATACTTACTATGTGCCAGGCACTTTTCTAAGTATTTTGTGTTTATTACTTCATTTAATCCTCACATCAACATCATGAGGTATTACCATTATTTATCTTCATTTACATTGGAGCAAATAGACCCAGAGAGAGGTTTAATAATTGCCCAAGATCACATACCTAATAAATGGTAAAGCCGGATGCAAACCCAGGAAGTCTGACTCCAGAGTCCAGTACTTAACCACTAAGCTGTGCTGTATTCTCTCTGCTACTGGGCAGAGACTAATGTCCTATTCCATCCAAACTGGGGGCTTACGCAAAACAGGGGGAAATGAAAGTGTATTCGCTGACGTTTTCCACATTAATAGCCCCAGTCCCACCCTATCTGCTGAAGCCCACGCAGAGACTCCTGACAGTCTCCCACCAAATTTCTGCACCTGGGTGTCCTGCAGACTCCTGTCACTCAATACACCACAAACTCCATTCTCTTTTCCTCCAAATACGTGTCCTTCTCCTATCTCCATGGAGGGGACATCCCCATTCATCCAATAACCCAGACTGGGTGCCTCAGAATTATTTTAACTCCTGCCTCTCCCTTGTCTTCCCAATTCAATTATTGTCTGAGTCATGTGTATTCTATCCTGTAAATAGATTTGAATCCATTTGCTCTCTCCAGTTCACCATCACTGGGCTAATTTAGTCTCTCAATAACTTTCAGCCTTACAATGAAAAAGTGAATATATGACTTCAATTTTGATGGGGCAATTCTAAAGATGTTCCCATAATGGGAAAATGACAGCCCTTCTGGATTTATGAAGTATATTTCTTCTTAATAGCATAAAACATGTATTTTATTAGGTATTATCTGTTCATGCTCTCCCAAATCATTGTGCAGTGGGGAAATATTGGTAGAGAAGCAGCACGTGGTTGACATTAAGTGGAAAGTGTGTTGAACAGGAGCACATAGCTCTCAAGAGGCCACGGGCTCCTAGGTTGGAACTCCAACTCACCTTCCACCTGTGGGAGCTTGGGCAGAACTGCTTACCTTTCTGCACTGCAGCATAAGGTTATTGAAGGATTTGGTAAGAAAATCCATCTGGAGTGCATAGTGCAGTGCCTGGCAGATCCGAGGTGCCCACTGTTATCCATTAACCATATTAATTGTAACCTCAGACCTGGGAAAGTTACATTGTTGACCTTGAGCAGAGCAAGGAGCTCCTTAAACCCTGATCCTGTGTTCAACTCATCACAATGTTCTGCTCCTCCAAATAAGGAGTTTCATTTCCTCTCAGTCCCTCTGAGTGCTGTACTTCAGAATCACCTGGGGAGCTTCACAAACTACTGAGACACCCACTCCACGAGCATCTAACTTAATTGGGTCAGATGCAGCCTAAGCATTGGGGTGTTAAAGCTCCCCAGGTGTTTCTAGTCTGTAGTCAAGGGTACACCACGTATCTTGTCATAGGAGTTGCATCAGAACAGAGGGGAGGTCTATGGGCAGGAAGAGGAGCATGGCCCTTATATTCTATAGAAAAACATAGGACCTGCTGGGGACACAGCAGAAATGTTAAAACAGCAAGACATCAGCTACAGAAATTAAGAAACCTAAGTCATGGTTCTGTTCTGTGAGTGCAAAACTTGCCAACTTTTCATCAAGATGCGAAATACAAGCTAAAAAGAAAACCATTTTGACATTTTGGTGTGATTCAACTGTTGATAATGCATCAATCCCACTTTATGGACTGGTGAGCTCTCACCCCCTTCCCCAATATCTCCCACAAGGCAGGCTCAGGGGAATCCTCCAGGGAAGAGGGAAACCCAGGGTTAGGTTTGGACACTTACCTGGTTGATACGAAAAGTCTTGGTCTTGTTAAACCTGGTAGAACCTTTAAGCAACATTAGAAAAGGTGGTTTGTTTAAACTGCAGCCTCCCAGGGACACATCTCTCTTGAGAGAGTTACTGGTCAAATCTAGGACTTCAGGACTCAGTGATAACCTGGAAAAAGAGCAGAAATGAAAGATGCTGCCAAACTTGGACATGTCGAGGAAGACCCTCTGGTAGAGAGAGCTCATTTCAAAAAGTACATGTTTTGGGGATGAAGAGGGGTTGGTTAATGGGTACAAAAATGCAGTTAGATAGAAGGAATATGATCTAGTGTTTGGCAGCACAATAGGGTGACTCAAGTTAATGATGATTTATTGTATAATTTAAAATAGCTAGAGGAGAAGATTTGGAATGTTCCCAACACAAAGAAATGATGAATGCTTGAAATGAAGCACATTCCAGTTACCCAGATTTGATCATTACACATTGTAGAACTGTATCAAAATATCACATGTAACCCATAAATGTGTATTAATACAACTGTTATGTATCCATGATTTTTTTAAAAATTACACATTCTTATGGTCATGGTTCCTAGGGAAACTTTCATCTCCTACTTTAATATCACCTCTAGAAGCCGGCGAGGAGCCCAAGAAACCTTTATTGACTTGGGATTGTGGCAGAATTGTGGGAGGGCCGGGATACTATAGTTCTTTCTTTGAAATGGGTGTCATGTGGAAATACGAACGTAAAATATGCACAGAGGGAGAAGATGGGCACTGGATGATACTGAATGATGGTAAATATAAGGAAACTTCAGAGGTGAGTTTATGGAAGGATTTATCTGACTATGAGGAGGAAAGTCTTGGACAAATTTGCTTTATCTCACGATTCTTGTCCAAGCCTTATCATGGCAGTAAGCTGTTGCTAACAACCCCTGGGCCTTCCCCATCCCTCCCACCTCCTGCTCCAATCCCTGAATTAGATGTTCAAGGAAGATGTTTCATCAACCAGGAGGGAAATGAGAACTCTAAGCCTCATCCTGGCCAAGGAGGATGGAGCCCTGATGGGTGGGAGGCTCCCTGTCATGGTAGCCTGAGAATTCCAGCCTGAGATTCATAGCCAGAACCAGGCCCTCTCCTTACCCTGGAGAAGATTTTGCCTCTTATCTAAAAACAATAATTTTGTATCAAAAAAAATATGTAAACACTTGCATGGAAGCCCCAAGAGCTACTCTCTCTCTATTAAATATCACGTTCAACATTGTGGTGATTTGGTTTCCTAGCACAGCACTGGTCCATGCAGTTCCTTGGCCTTGAAAACCGTGGAGAGCTGATTAAATCTAATTGCACAATCTTGATTATAATGCAATAAAATTCCAGTGAATACTTTTCCGGGCCATAATCTGAAGTTAATTTTAATTAGGTCTTTTCCAAGGTTACATGCTAACGCTGCTCCTCCAAAAGGAGGCCGGGCCCAGGAGTTTTTTATGGGTTTTTTAATGGGTGTATCTTGCCAAAGATGGCATTTTGAAAGACTGTGGTATGCGGGTCTCGTGCAGCACATGTTGACAAAGCTGACTTTGTTAACTGGACCAAAGAGATACCCTTCCCATGGGCAGGCCGTTCTCATCAGTTACCCACAAAGAGAGGATCACCTACCTCTGGACAAAAACATTGCTAATACAACCCTCAAAATTGCTCCCGCCCAGACGCAGAGACTGCCGGGAACTTGAAATGTGTTTTAGCCTTTTGCTATTTCTCAGAAGCTGGTCATCGATGAGAAGCCGTAGTCTGAAAGGGAAGAAAAGCAAATCATGGGTGAGAACTGCTGGAAAAAAGGGCCCTTGCCATGTGGCCAACTCACTGTCTAAGACTCAGATTCAATATTTGTTATCTAAAATAACTAGTGAAACTAGACTTTATTTTTAAAGAGCATTACAACTTTTTTCATGTATTTTCTTTTGCACATCACATTTTTATTAAAATGGGTGTATCTTGCCAAAGATGGCGTTTTGAAAGACTGTGTTATGAGAGCCTCATGTACAGAAAGTGCACAGGCTATAAGTGTTCAGCTCAACGAATTTTTGCAACAGAAATACACCAACATTACCAGCACCCAGAAAAAGAAACGGAACAGAGTAGCACCCCAGGTACCCTGTTGTGCATTCCCTTTAACCCTATAGCCTCCCTCCCTCTATCCTGAATTCTGATGGAATGGATTAGTTCTTGCCTGTTTTTGAACTTTGTATAAAGGAAATCATATGAGATGAACTTTTATGTGTGACTCAATGTTTTCCACATTATGTTTGTGAGGGTCATTCATGTCATTACATATAGTTCTAGATCCTTCTTTCTCATTGCTATATAGCATTCCATTTGAATACACCACAATTTATCCATCCAACTGATTTATTTTTAAAATTTTATTTATTTACATTTTATTTTATTTTAGTTTTCGTAGAGACATGGTTTCACTGTGTTTCCAAGACTGGTCTCGAACTCTTGGCCTCAAGCAACCCTCTTGCCTCAGCCTTCTTAGTTGTTGGGATTACAGACATGAGCCACCATGTGTGGCAGTTTATTTTTTTATGAAGAAATTGATATGGAAAAAGGAAGAAGGACAAGACTTATTAGTGAAGTATTTTTGGTATCAAGGACAAATATTTTGCAAAAAGACACCAGAAAATTCCATTAAACGAAAGAGAGTAAAACTCACTCACAGCTCTGACAGAAGTATTATTCCACTCACCCAGAGTTGTCGCTTATTACAGATACATAATGCAGTAAACCATCCATATACGTCTGTGGAGATTTAAAAATTGGGCCGCCGCTATCGCTGGTGCTCAATTCAATGTAACCATCTTCCAGAGTGACCTGCAGGTTCCTTGTCTGAAATCACCATAGAAAATACCCATCAACTAATTTGCATATAAGGATTATGCCTGTATCTTTACTGAATTTATCATCCAAACCATGTATAAAACAATCAGGATGTTTTGACCCAAATGCTTTGAGTTTGCTTTTTGCTCTAAAGATTATTTTTTGCATATTTGACTCCATGTTTATAAATATAAAAATCTTATGCAAATTATGTCAACACCAATGAATTTGTCAAAATCATTTTTTGGACCTACATTCATTAAGCCAATTTAATTTCTCAATCGACTATACAAAACAGTTAAATCATTTCTAAATTTTTATATTTTATCTTATTATTATTATTATTTGAGACAGAGTCTTGCTGTCTTGCATAGGCTAGAGTACAGTGGCACTGTTCCAGGCTCAAGCGATCCTCCCACCTCAGCCTCCTGAGAAGCTGGGACCACAGGCGCACACCACCACAGCCGGCTAAGTTTGTAATTTTTTGTAGAGACAGGATCTCACTATGTTCCCTAGGCTGGTCTCAGACCCCTGGGCTCAAGAGATACTCCTGGCTTGGCCTCCCAAGGTGCTGGGATTACAGGTGTGAGCCGTCATGCCCAGTCTAAATTTTTCTATTTTTATTTTTCTTTGGCTGAAGTTATTTCTATCGGATCAATTCATTGCTAAATAAATTTTACAGCAAAGACTCGATTCCTCAATTTTTAATATAAGAATATTACAATGATTTCTTCTCTTCAGTCATTATAAATTTTTTATTTCCTAGTCATTATTTTTGGGAAGTCCAATTCTCCATGTTGAACTCTGAAGATGTAAATTTGGGCAAGATAATTTGACTCTTCCTGTCAATCATTAATTTAAAAAATGTGCAATCTCAGCACTTGTCATTTCAATTTTGTTTGTGTTTTTTCTACCAAGTATAATTTCTGCAGTTTTCAACAAGATGTGATTCTTTGGTAAGATTTCAGTCTAAAACAAGTTTTACAGTGTGTGGTTATAGCCATTGTTGATTTTACTTTGTGTTGACTTTTTTTCAATTGGCAATATTCATTATGAATTGCATAAACTAATGCTAACTTATATGTATCTTTAGCTAACCCATTATGAAATTGAGGGCAATGTCCCTATGCTATATCCAGGATTCCCCCATTGTCCAGGGCGGATCTAATCTTTTGCTAACCTAATTCTTCCATCTGCTCTCGATCATTTTGTGAATTGTGTACTAAGTGTTCCTACACGTGGCAGAGGAAACAAGTGTTAGGTATCATAAGAGCTAGATCAAAACATCCTGCTTTCATGGAAAAGCCACCCCTATAGTCTAAGTGTTAGCATGTGCTTCTTTAGGGCTCATTTTAAAAATAAAACCTCAAGGACTGGTGAGCAAGCCACCAAGAGAGGGGTGGCCTTCCTGATATTACAGAGCTACAGAGTCAGCCACCAAGAGAGGGGCAGCCTTCCTAATATTACAGAGCCACAGAGTCAGCCACCAAGAGAGGGGCGGCCTTCCTAGTATTACAGAGCCACAGAGTCAGCCACCAAGAGAGGGGCGGCCTTCCTGATATTACAGAGCCACAGAGTCAGCCACCAGCCATTTTCTTGACAGATACTAGAAGTCTGCTGTGCTCTGCAATCCTAAAGAAACAAATTCAGAAATAATCATACTCTACTTCTATTTAAAAATTCCACTCATTCCACAAATATTCATTTCTAAATATTAGGTGACTTCTGTATCTACATAACCACACTAGCTAAATCTGCTTAAGTTACAGATGGTATCTCCTTGTGGAAGAGAATTTATGTGGCTCTGTTGTACATGAGGAAAGAGAAAAGGATCTTATTTTCTCCAATTCCCCAGGTATAAATATTGTCCAACTAGCTGCTGCTGCTGCTGCTGCAAAAAGGCAATCTGGAGAGAGCTACCTTTAATGCAATCAAAAAGAAATCATAGGGACACACTCTGATTTTCTTTCTGAGCTCTGAAACTTTAAGCTACATTATTAACTACAGTAGTTATAATCCACCTTAACTCTTATTATAAAATATACCTGAAAAGAATAAAAATGAGTCCGCGAGTACACACAAATGCAACTCTGTAAATTATAATGTTACTTTCTAAACTTGATTTCTTTGAGGACCTACCCCAGAGTGGGGAATAACGTTTATGGTTGAACTATACAATAGCATTTACTGTGTGATGATAGAAAAAATGTACAACTCCACCACTTTCTAAATCTCTCTGTTGTTTTTAACATCAAACTTTGAGTCAGGTTTAAATCTTGTTTGATATTAATGCACTACTGCATACCCATGTCTGATGATCTAATAATATGCCACTGGGTTGAAAGGTCTGAAATCCAAATGAGGCCTGGAGGTGGTCAGTAGGTGGTAAGCCCAAATCAGTGAAACTCAATTGTCCTCCTCTGGAGAATGAGGCAGATCGCACAAGCTGAAATGCAAACATGGAATAAATTACTGGCATTGTAATCATTTCTTGGCTGAAATACAGTACCTTACCCTATCTCACTTTACTCAAACTGATTAATGTGATTTATGTAACCTCAGAAAGAAAGAGAGCTTACTTTTCTGCATAATAAGTCAGCAATCATCTGTAAGTTTTTGTGTATATAGTTGGTCTTCCTACTTTCCTACAAAGTTAATGTGCAAACCTGAAAAGGTTCAGCATCTTGCAAGCACATGGGGAGTGTATATGAGCCAGTTCACTGTAACACTGTGTGCTATCAGAAAGAAGTCAAAAGTTGCTGCGTTAATGGATACGGAAGGTGGGTTGGCTGGGAAGCACTCCTTCACGAGGTTCTGAACTTTCACTTACCTTCCAGTCTTCCGAGCACTTTTTGGTTACTCCCACAGTATCATTCAATCTAACGACACCACTGGTTTTCTTCAAATTTTTCATGCAGCCTCGGAAAGCAGGCGTAGAAATGTTAAATCTGATTACGAACACAGATAAAAGGAAGAGATGGATCATGTCAGGCTCACGTGAAATCAGAGCTGAAACGCTGTGCTCTTTAGTACTTTTCACCCATAAATGAGTAGGTGTTTTATGTTTATCCTTTCCCATGGGATTCCCATAATGCTACTTATTTTATGATGCTGGGAGAACTGACTTCCTTTCTGTGTAAGTTTACATTCCCAGCTTTAAAAATGCAGACAACAATGTTAACAGAAGAATGGCCAGTGGCCGCAAAAGGTAAAGAGACAGAGAACATGCACAATATCTAGAACTGCCCGTCCCTCCCCGCTGGAGTCACGGCATTGCAGGTGGATAGGACATGTATTAATAAGTTAATAGATGATATATGATATACATATATATTAATAAAGTAATAAATCATTTGTAGGAACCAGGAGTGCTCTAGAAAACCTTTTGCTCTTTTTTTTCTGTTCACTGTTAAGTTAGCCACTGTAAAGTCAGAAGAAACAAAGTGTTACTTTTTGGTTCTATTCAATTATGAAAAACGTAGCTTGATTTAACCAATGCCAAGCTGAAACAATGGAACACATTGTCTGGGTTCATATGCTGCTGTATCTACCACCTCCTACCTGTGGGCAAAGGGTTATTGCCAGGATTTAAAAAATTAACGGGCCGGGTGGGGTGGCTCATGCCTGTAATCCCAGCACTTTGGGAGGCCAAGTCAGGTGGATCACTTGAGGTCAGGTGTTCGAGATCAGGCTGGTCAACATTGTGAAAACTTAACTCTACTAAAAATACAAAAATTAGCTGGACGTGGTGGCAGGCACCTGTAGTCCCAGCTACCCGGGAGCTGAGGTTGGAGAATCATCTGAACCCGGGAGGCGGAGGTTGCAGTGAGCTGAGATCGTGCCACTGTACTCCAGCCTGGCAACAAAGCGAGACTCTGCCTCAAAAAACAAAAACAAAACCAAAAAAACAAGTTAACGTACAGCAAGAGCTTGCAGCAGTGCATGGCACCTGGACGTGAATGCTCAGCAGGTGTTTCTGAGAGGCAAAATTGTGCTGCTCTGGACCAGCCAAATTGCCTGGGTTCAAGTTCTGTCCCTTCTGATTGAACAGGCAACTTTTCTCCGTGCCTGTTTCCTCATTTAGACAATGGGAATATGTGAATCTGTTTCATAGGGCTGTCATAGTCTAAGAAAGTTAATATGTGTAACACACTCAAACAGTGTTTTGTACAGAGTAAGGACTCAATGTGAGATCGTCAAGTTAGTAACTACTCCCATATTACTGCTCTTATATAATGAGAGCAATTTCTAAAGCAGCTCTTTCTACATGGCCCCAGGGCATTTCCCCTTCGATTTGACTTCTGGATCTGTCTGGAGCTGAATGCACATAAAGCATTCACACACATGAACTAACTGAAGTCCAGGCAAATATTTGTGTTTCTTAAACAAATGATGTACTAAGAAAACCCAAAGCTGATTTCATTCTAAATCCCTAATGCAGCTTACTTTTCTAAATGGAAAGGTGTCTGCATTCATTTTAATCCAATTCATTAGAAACAGTTGAGCTACCTGTAATAGACCTAAAATTAAATTTCATTAAAAGGAAAAGAAAGAAACAAATCCTCACTGGCATTACAGTATAAGCCTAATTATTTTATAAAGATGGCCTTTTGCCTCAGAAGAGGAGGAGGGTTCATTTCCATTCCTGGAGCTTGCCTATTTATACATGGTTTTAGGTCAATTCTTCTTTGGGTTTCAACATATCTCTTGGACAACGACATTCCAGATGTCCCTCTCTCCATAGATTATTGGTCAAAGAAAGAAGGTTGCAGAAAAGGAAAATAGTAGGAGAGAAAGGCAGTTAACAGATACAGACCACCTATTTTGCACGAAGCTCTATGAATCCAACTTACAATAAGCTTTTGAGGGAGGTATTTTCTCTTTTATATTATTTTATTTTATTTTAAGTTCTAGGATACATGTGCAGGAAGGGCAGGTTTTCTTATCTAACATTTATTGAGCACTGACCATGTGCTGACCTCTGCTAATTCCTTTACACACTCTGAATCTTCCAACCACCCTAAGAGATAGGCAGCTACTATGCCCATACTATAGATGTAGCAATGAGGCATTAAGAGGTTAAGGCCTTGCCTAAGGTCACACAGCTGGTAAGTGGTAGAGCTGGGGTCTGTACTGTCAGTGTGTCACACAGGTTAGTGAGGCTTGAAGCCCTTGCTTTTTACACTTACAGTTGGTATTCCTGCAGCACTTGGAAGTGATCATGCCTTTTTCTAGAAGAGTTACCTACAGCAGAAGTGTTAAAATGGAAGAGATTTACTTCCACTATTCCTGGGGGGATTCTTGTTACCTTGGCTTACCTGAGGACCTACAGTTCTACATTTACTCCAGGATACAGGGTCTGAACATACTTGCTAGAGGAATGTGATTGCACTGGGGCATGAGTTGTTGTGTTGGTGGGTTCCTGCGTTGGGGTATTTATGTATACTTTGGGCCAATCTGTCCACAAAAGCTTAGCCAGCTCCATGGCTGTTGCAGGCCGACTTCAGAGAGCAAAAAGAACAAAAGGCAGCCCTAATCTTGGTGTTGGGTACTTAGTCGATGTTCAATAGATCTACTTTTTGGATCATTTTCATTTTAGTGTGTATAATCACACTCTGTAAACAATGGTGTAGGTCCTCAAGAAAAATGCCCTTGTTGGTGTCACACCCTCTGGCATTACCAGGGATGATTTGCTCTTCTCCTGGGTAGGAGATGGGATTAACAGAATGATTTCTGATTATAATCGGAAACAAGCCATTCCAAGATCTGGGTCCCCATTCCCAGAAGAAACACTACAGTGAGAGGGGGAAGAAACAAAACGTGCACAAAATCCCTTGAGCAAAGCTGATTTAGTGATTACACTTGCTTGCCTTGCTCCAGGTTAGGTTTGAGAACTTTGTCTAAAAGGTCCCTCCATTTATGCCAGGGACCAGAACACCTCCCTGCTCTGGAAGCGTTGGCTGGTTGCCCCTACAGAGCTTGGCTGTGGATTATCCATGGAACTCCTCTGTGCCCACCCCACCTCCCAGTGACTCATGCCCAATGGCAGTTTCAGGAATCTCTGGGCCACCAAAGACTTCACCACAGGGATGAGGCAACACCCAGAACAGCTGACTATTCCTTAGAATTTTGCTTTAGAGGGAGTGAAGGGCCAGTGAAATCTTTTGACTGGCCTCTATCTCCTGCATTTTCCATGTTCCAGTGATTTTAATAAAAAGTCAAAATATAGGCTGTGCATGGTGGCTTATGCCTGTAATCCTAACACTTTGGGAGGCAGAGGCAGGTGGATCACCTGAGGTCAGGAGTTCGAGACCAGCCAGACCAACATGGCAAAACCCCGTCTCTACTAAAAACACAAAATTAGCCGGGCATGGTGGCAGGCACTGTAATCCCAGCTACTCGGGAGGCTGAGGCAGGAGAATTGCTTGAACCCGGGAGGTGGAGGTTGCAGTAAGCCGAGATTATGCCATTGCATTCCAGCCTGGGCAACAAGAGCAACACCTCGTCTCAAAAAAAAAAAAAAAAAAGAAAAAAAAAGGTCAAAGTATAAAACTTGCCCAGAAAAAGGAAGCAGTCCCTTGTTTGGAGGATCCCAAAATAAGTTACTAAGAAAATTCTAGGCCAGGCATGGTGGCTCATGCCTGTAATCACAGCATTTTGGGAGGCCAAGGTGGGTGGACTACCTGAGCTCAGGAGTTCAAGACCAGCCTGGACAACATGGGGAACCCCGTCTCTGCTAAAAATACAAAAAATTAGCCAGGCATGGTGACACATGCCTGTAATCCCAGCTACTCAGGAGGCCAAGGTAGGAGAATCACTTGAGCCCAGGAGGCAGAGGTTGCAATGAGCCAAGATGGCGCCACTGAACTCCAGCCTGGGTGACAGAGCAAGACTCTTGTCTCAAAAAAAGAAAGAAAATTCTGGACTGGGCACAGTGGCTCACGCCTGTAACCCCAGAATTCTGGGGGTGGGAGGATCACTTGAGGCTAGAAGTTCGAGACCAGCCTGGGCAACACAGCAAGACCCCATCTCTACAAAAAATTGTTTTAAAAAAGCAAATTCTCTATGTATATGCATCTCTATATCTATATATTTCTTTAATGGATGGAGATGAAAAGGCAAATAAAGGTTGAGTGCTGAATTAACCTAAAGTTTTGCTGAGCCAAAACTAAAGCCACCTCTTTTGTGGTTCTACCTACTGCTCTTTTCTAGAAAACCTGGACTGACTGGCATCCACATCACTGTCTAGGGGCCTTGTGTTAATATCATGCAAACACAAACCACCACCAATGGGTTCCTTATTGCCTCAACTTGAGAATTCCTCCTGGCTCTGGGTAAGCCCACTGGCCTCTACCACCTCAATGACTACCTGGCCCTGAGCTTCATTTACCCTTCTCCAGACTGGCCTCCTTTCTGGAGGCCCAGGCCATTTTGTGCGCCTGCTTGTGGGCCTCTCCACCTGGCTGTGTCTCAGGCTCCTGGACTAAGCCTGTCTCAGACTTAACTTCTCACCCCACTCCTCCGTTGGTGTGTTCCATCTGCCAAGGGCTTAGCCAAAAACCAGGCATCATTCTTGACTGCTTTTCCCCTTTATTCCCCAACCCAAGCCATTGTGCAGTGCTGCCCATTCACCATCCTAAATATATTTGGAATCTGATCCCTGTTGCTCACCTGCATAACCACTCCTTGGGCCAGGTCACCCTCATCACTCACCTCTGTTAATATACTCGGCCTCCAGCCACTCTACCTGCCTCTGCCCTTTTCTTCTCTAATCCAGTCTCTGCCCTGCACTAGAGTGAGCTACTGAAAACCCAAATTTGGTCATGGCCTTTCTCTGCTGAAGTCCCTCCAATGGCTCCTTACTGTGACTTTCAAGGTACTCTGTGGTCAGGCCCCTGCTGCCCACATCAGCCCCATGGGGCATCCCTATCCCACTTCCTGCTGTACTCTAGCTCTTTGCAAGTTCATGCTTTCTCTATCCAGCTTTGGTGCTTCACATACACTGACTGCTAGCATCTCTCAGGTCCCAGCTGGAGGTCACTTTCCTGATGGCCCCAGTTGGATTAGGTTCCCTCCTGGGCTCTGTCAGCACCCTGAGCTTCCTCCTATGGCACACGTCATGTTCTCCTGTAGTGACTGTCTCTCTTCTGTTCTTCTCCAGGCTCCACCCTGCTCATTGTTGCCTTCTTGGCACCTGTCACTCTGCCTGATGCCCATTAGGCACTCAATAAATCCTGTGTAATGAATGAATAAGTGGCAACTCTCAAACATACTCAAAAGTACTCGAAAAAACTACCTTAAACGATTTTATTTTATTCCATTTCATGGAAATAAAATCAATCTTACTGACAATTCATAACTGGCTATTCATGGCTGAATTGCTATTTGATATTGATAATATTAAATATTAATATAATCTCACTGGCTCTGAATTTCTTCATTTGTAAAACTCAGGGGCTACATACCATGATCTGCAAGGCTCCTTCCAGAGCCCAGGGAGTAAAGATGTCACCCCCAGGTTCTGTTGAAGTGCCCAGCTTTCCCATTTGCATTTTTGCCTTTGGAGGCAACCCTGACAACTTTAAAACAAAGATTAGTACCTGACTACGTAGAATGGACAGACGCCCACATGTATAAGGACTCTAGAAGAAAGAATACCTTGGCATGACACCTTATAAATCATATTCTAGTTCCTTCCAACTGATGTATAAGTTAGCAAAAGAGTTAACTAGCTTCAGATCTCATATAAAAGTCATCATAACCTAACCTTCTGGGAGCACTCTTACTTAGTCATGAGGCTGCACTAATCCTTCCAGGATATGTTCTGTCCACACACTATCGTCAGCTATCTAAAAGCCTTCCGGGAGGATACAAATGATCAAAATGTAAAAGTTATTTTTACGTGCATTCCAAAATGGTGGGATTTTTCCCATTCAGATAAAGCTTTACTGCCTTTCACATTAATTAATTCATGTGTTCACTCATCCAAGAAACAGTTACGTAACAATTCCACGCTCGATAGCATGTAAGGAGCAGCTGATGCCGAAGTGAAGGAGACATACTGTTTCACATTCTTCCAGAGGCTCCCTGAAGGTGGCAACCTCAGCTTTCAGTTCCCCAGGGATGTCTGTCAGGCCTTGGGAGGCCCACGCTCTCCTATGCAGCCTTCAAGGGCCCAGGGCCACAGCCTCTGTTCTACTTGCTGCCAGCATTGTTAACCCAACTATACCCTTCGTGGTCCCTCCCCTCCCGAGAATGACAATGGCGGTGACACACATTCCCCCACCCTCCTTCTTTCCACTGCCCAGTCTCATTATTCGGGATTTAAATCTGTTTTATTCTGTTGACTATACTGTTAATATGGAAAAGTTAACTTTTTGTGTTTGTTTGTTGGTGGAATTAAAAATGGCAGACCAGATTTTTTTTGGTCACAATCATAACCACTAACAAAGGCTTTAAATCTCGTTTTAAAAAAATCATCTTACCTTTCCCTGATTGCAATTGGAATTCCTCCCAGATAATATGTGCTGAAATCAAATACTTCACCATCAATTATAGTGTTTTGAACGTCCACATTTATCCACATACGCTTTTGGAGTTTTCCAATTTTGATCTGAATCTGAAATAAATGAGAGATGAATCAGCAAGCCAGCGAAAATAAGAGAATCCTATTCACAGGGGTTCAGAACTATCATGTTTTTATTTATCTTCCCCCAGATTCATTTATATACATAGTAGGAAGGCTCTGAGCAGTAGCATTTTTGGATAAAAATATGATACTAAAACATTTTGATAGAAATGTTTGTATTTGAAGTTAACCGTGTTTTATAGATATCATGTATATGTTATACATTTCATGCCGAAATGTGCAAATTTTAAAAGGATATATCCCTCAGTTAACATCCATAAGTTTATCTGGTAATAGGAAGTTTTATTTATTTATTTGGGGGCACTGACTTAATTTTAAAGGACTAAGGACATTTAACGATTCAAGTAAACAGACTCAAAAGGTGTACCGAATGGTCTCTGCCGTTGTTTATGGCGTCTCCAACTCCTCTCTCTTTTGGTAGCTCTGAATTCAGTTTGTATCTCACCATGAGCTTGCCATCTTCTATATTTAGAGATATGAAGCGATCCTAGGACAGAGGAACAATGCAGATGACCAGAAGGCTTGGCTGAAGAAGAGGCAGAGCACTGGAACTCCCGTTACTCTCACAGACCCCCCTGCTCTCAGCTTCAGCTGCTGCCTCAGTGAAAAGGGATAATGGTGCTGCAACAGCAACCTCACGGGATGGGATGATGGTTCAATACTGTAAGTCACGTTAAATGTCACGCACAGTGGTTGGCCCACAGGACAGACACAATAAATGCTAGCTATGATCATGATTTTGTTTCATGCGATCCATAACTGGTGTATAAAGATGGAGACCGAAAAGATACAGATCATTAATATTATTTGAAAATATGAGTGCCTTTTAGAGAGAGGCGAGGTCTTATGCAGACCTCAGATACCTTCCACCATCTGTTTTCTGACTGATTCTTATGTCTCTGTCTCATTTGTTGGTTTATCCCCTTCTACCTTCCATGTCAGTGTTGGGGGTTCCTCGGGGATCCTACACAGGACTCCTTCCTCCCCACACCACTCCCTTTGCCTTGACAATCACAGGCTCTCCTGTAGCTCCAATCCAGGTGTACTGATGGGCCCCAAATTGTTCTCCCCAGCCTAGACCTGTCTTCAGGGCCAAGTCTGCACACGTGATTCCCTTGTTGTTATTGCTTTGCTTGCATGACTCACAGAGACCTCAAATTCAGAATATCTCACACAGAACGTATGACCTACATGCCTCCTACAGGCTGCCAAGCCTGCCTCTTCTTCCATTATACCAGGTGCATGCGCTCCCTGACTCCCAGCCTGCCCCCTGCATGCACGTGTGCAGGGCACACACATACATCACCATGCTTACCTTTCCCTTATTGCTGAGCAAGCCACAAACCTAGGAGTCATTTTTTTTCTTTCTCATCCCTTTATCATAACCTAGGAATCATTCTTGATCCTTCCTTCTCTCCCATCCAACATAATCTTGTAAATTCTGCCATTCTTAGCTCTCTCTTTATGTCATCCCACCTAGTCTCAGCCACAACATTTTTAGCCAGTCCCTGCAGCAACAACCCGCCGGTCTCCCCATGTACCCCCGAAAGTCCATTCCCCCCTACAGCCAGAGCAGTCTTTGAAAATGCCAGTGGGAGCCTGTGACTCTCCTCGGCTGTCAGGATGAAGCCCTGACCCCTACCAGATGCTGCGTGGCATCTGCCTCTCTCTCAGCACTGCCTCTGGCTCTCCAGCCCCGCAGCCACTGTTCCACTGAGTGCTCCCTGCCCTTCCCACCTCCAGGCCTTCTTCATGCCTCTCCCTCTGCCTGGATCCCCCGTCTTGCCTGTCCCCATGTCCTGTTCAAATGCTGTCCTCCTGATCTCAGAGGAAGCATTTCCTTTGCTCAAGTGTCTTTTATGTTGTACATCCTCATTTCACCCCCAAACTTTTCCTTGATACAGCTCTTCACAGTTGTGATGAAATAAACAACCTATTAACAGCATTCCTTTGCATATTCTTCCCCTCTAGATTATAAAATCCCGGAGGGCGGGAGCCATATCTGTCTTTGTCATTATTGCATCTCCATTACGGTGTGAAACATATACTTGAATCAGCTACTTCCCTAAGATAAGCTGAGCAATTTCTGACTTAGGGCTTGAAGGCTTTGCTTTTACACAGTTCCTTAATGATAAGAATGCCTCTCTTTGAGGTCCAGGGACCGAGTTCTTTTCTAAGAGGAAAATCAGTCCTTATCTGGATCCTAAACCTTGCCTTTGGGAGTCAGCTTAGGTTGATCAAACCATAAACAACAGAGTTACACCAATTTACTGAGAGTCATGAGCCATCCTACTTAAAGCAGATCTCTAGGTCATTTCTTATGTAATGGTATTATGTTAAGTTTTCTTATTATATGAGTAGTATTTCTGGTTCTTAGTCTCCAAGAACTTCAAATTATATACAAAGAAGACCTTGTTTTGTAAAACAACTGCCGTGTCCTGAAGATGCTGGATGACTTCTCTGCTCTATGTATCCTTCAGGCTGGCTGGGACCTTCCCAAACCATCAGAACTGGTCCAGCCTTGGAATCTCCTGAAGGGTCCAGACCAACCCCAGAGAGGAGAGTTGGACCGGGTCAGTGTCACCACCCTGCGGTAGAAGACTCTGGTAAAATCCCAAGCTCCTTATCAATCCCATGTTCTCGGACCACCAGAAAGCCTTTGGGCTCATCCACATTTCTTCAGAAATACTCCGTGAGAGCAACTACAGAAGCTCCTATTCACCGGAGGGTTCAACTCCAGGCCGGCTATAGGTATAAAGCAGCAAACATCACGCCAACTCTCCATCAACCAGCAGATGGCGCTGACGATCACTTGTAGAGTGTCACTTTGGACTTTTCTAACCTAATAGATTTTAGAGGGTCCCTAGGAATCTCAGCTACTTGAAAACAGAGAAGCTTCAGTGTCTTGAGAAGGCAAACATGCTGATAAAGACACAATCCCACACAGCCTGGTAAGAATCAGATCAAGACAGAAACAGCAGGAAGTCAGTCTAGATCTTAGAGATCCCAGGAAGTTTTCACATGTTTTGGGTCAGAATAAGTAGATTCTTAGGCAAGCAGTGGTTCTCAAATAACAAAACTGATAATGAGAATAGAACAGGAAAAGGGGAGATTTCTCCCACATTTTGGGGGGCATGTTCTCAAATTCCTGATTATTTGCCCTCATTAAAATAGACATCAATGGAACAGAATAGAGAGCCCAGAGATAAAGCCACACGCCTACAACCATCTGATCTTCGACAAAGTCAACAAAAACAAGCAATGGGGAAAGGACTCCCTATTCAATAAGTGATGCTGGGATAACTGGCTAGTCATATGCACAAGACTGAAACTGGACCCCTTCCTTTCACCATATGCAAAAATCAACTCAAGACTAATTAAAAACTTAAATGTAAAACCTAAAACTATAAAAAAAAACCCTTGAAGAAAACCTATTCTAGACATAGAAATGCCTAGAAATACCATTATAGAAATAGGCCTTTGCAAAGATTTCATGATAAAGACCCCAAAAGCAATTGCAACAAAAACAAAAATTGACAAATAGAACCTAATTAAAGAGCTTCTGCACAATGAAAGAAACTATCAACAGAGTAAACTATCAACAGAGTAAACAGACAACCCACAGAATGGAAGAAAATATTTACAAACTATGCATGTGAAAAAGGTCTAATATCCAGAATCTATCAGAACTTAAATAATTAACAAGCAAAAACCAAACAACCCCATTAAAAATGGACAAAGGACACAGACTTTTCAGAAGACATATATGCTGCCAGCAAGCATATGAAAAAATGCTCAATATCACTAATGATTAGAGAAATGCAAATCAAAACAATGAGATACCATCTCATACTGGTCAAAAAGGGAATTATGAAAAAGTCAAAAAATAATAGATGCTGGTGAGGTTGAAAGTGGAAAAAAGGGAATGATTGTACACTGCTGGCGGGAATGTAAATTAGTTCAATCACTGTGGAAAGCAGTTTGTCTATTTCTCAAATAACTTAAAACTACCATTTGATCCAGCAATCCCATTATTGGGTATACACCCAAAGGAATATAAATCGTTCTACCATAAAGACAAATGCACGCCAATGTTCCTTGCATCACTATTCACAACGGCAAAGACATGGAGTCAACCTAAATGCCCATAAATGGTAAACTGGATAAAGAAAATGAGGTACATATACACCATGGAATACTACACAGCCATAAAAAAGAACGAGATCATGTCCTTTGCAGCAACATGGATGAAGCTGGAGGCCATAATCCTAAACAAACGAACGTAGGAACAGAAAACCAAATACCACACGTTCTCACTTATAAGTGAGAGTTAAACATTGAGTACACATGGACGCAAAGAAGGGAACAACAGACCCTGGGGCCTACTTGAGGGTGGAAGTATTTTTAAGGACAGAAAAAATTACCTATTGAGTACTACATTTATTACCTGGGTGATAAAATAATCTGTGCACCAAACCCCTGTGACATGCGATTTACCTATATAACAAACCTGCACCTGCACCCCTGAAACTAAAAATGTTAAAAAAAAAAAAAAAGTACATTTCCCAGCCAACAGAAAGTACAACTGGGTGGAGGAAAAGGATGCAGGTAACATTTACACATTGTTTTCCAGATCTAGTGGGTCATTTATAACAACCCAGTTATCTCCAAATTGCTAAACAGAATGAATATATTTGGTTGTATCTGGATGCTTGTTATAGATTACCCCGTTTTCTGCAAAGAACAGCAAGCCTCTATCCACGGTGGTCTGAATTGTCTGTCCAAAGGTTGGGATGGGAGCATGTGGTTGAGTTGGAACTCGAGCATAGCCCGTACCTTCAAAATAATTTTTGTCTGACTCTTCCTTCCTCCTGTCAACATTAATCATCATAAATTAGAACACAGCAGCAAATGATCACCATGCCAGTGTGCTTATTAATACAAGATGTTGCTATCTGAAAAATGGAGCCAAGAAAATGCAATCTAGTTGTCATAATTTTGTTAAAGCAGAGGAGACATCTTTAAAATGTTAAGGCAGCCAGCTCTTTCTCCTGGATGTGCTCTCATACTCTGACAATCAAACCCTAGCTCGACAAAGATGAGTAAGATACCCTTTTGGAAATGTCTGCTTAGGAAGATGTGGTCTGCCAGCTGAAGATTTTGAAATGTAAGAGATTATTAACTTGCAATGTAATTTTATTCTGAATAATAAATATTTGGTCCACCTCATATTAGAATATACCATGTCCTTGTAATTGTAGGGAAGGTTAGGAGTTCAAGGCAGCAATTTTCAAAAAGATTGAGGTGGAAGAGTACCAAAAAAGTCATGGCACATTTTATGAACCACTTTTTCTTTTCTTTTCTTTTCTTTTTCTTTTTCTTTTCTTTTCTTTTTTTTTTTTTTTTTTTTTTTTTGGAGATGGAGTCTCACTCTGTCGCCCAGGCTGGAGTGCAGTGGCATGATCTTGGCTCATTGCAACCTTGACCTCCCGAGTTCAAGCGATTCCTGTGCCTCAGCCTTCCAAGAGGCTGGGACTACAGGCACACACCATCACACTCGGCTGATTTTTGTATTTTTAATAGAGATGGGGTTTCGCCATGTTGGCCAGGCTGGTCTCAAACTCCTGGCCCCAGGTGATCTGCCCACCTCAACCTCCCAAAGTGCTGGGATTACAGGCATGAGCCACTAAATCAGGCCTCTAGATCAGGTACCATCTAATATTAAATATTTTGTGGTAGGAGGCACAAAAATTTTCATAAAGACTTTTTTCAAGTGAGAAAACTATCTAGCATTTCATACAAATTAAGAAGAGACTACCATAATTAGATTTTAGGGCAGGACTGCCAGTGTTGCATGCACACATACTTGAAGAACTACTGGCCCAAAGCAACTAGCAACATCAATAGCATCTCACTGGCCCATCCTTTATCATATGTAAAAGTACTGCAAGTTACCAAAACTCCAGTTACAGAGTTTCTGGTTTCTACATTTTATTTACCTTCTACAAGGCTCCACTTCAGTTGTGTTGAGATTGAATGTTTTTTTGAAGTTGTACAAGCTCAGAACATTTTCATTGAGGTCATCTAATTCAATACAACCTTTGTATGGAGGGAAACTTAGTCGACTGGGAAGCTGAAAATGAAATAAAACATCTTCCACCAATTGAACAAAGGACAATAATCAAAATAGTATCAATTAATCACTTTTAACAGTCACTATGGCATAAGGGTTAATTAAGAATGTGAACCCTGGAACAAGATGCCCTGGCTTTGCTATTTACTAGCTGTATGACTGTGGGCAAGTTATTACACCTCGCTGTCTCTGTTTCCTCATCTGTAAAATGGGAATGATCATGATGCTTATTTAAATTAACATACTAAAGCTTAGAACAGTGCACAGAGGAAGCACTCAATAAGTGTTAGCTAGTATCTCTAGAATGTGCTGTAAGAATGTGCGGTTAAATCCATTTTATATGTAATTAACAATTAGAGACATGAGGTCATCACCATACCAAATTAAAATTTTAATATTTAATTCAGTGAAATAACATTTACACTTACTTTAAAATCAGGTGGGTAACCTCCAACATAAAATACAACATTTTCAGGATCCAAATTAAGGAGTGTATTGCTATTTCTACCATCCATGTCATAGACTCCGGGTGTTTCTGGTTTACTGGATGTGGCTCCTTTGGTGTAATTAAGCCTTGCAAACTGATAAATTCTGTTTAAAATGAATTTAGATAATAAAGTTAAACAAAAAATTTGAAGAATTCAAAGCCAAGCCACTAAAAATGGGGTTCAGCAACATGTATACATGGAAGTTTGGTGAGCACAGGTACAGTCAATCAGACTTGTACCTCTGAAATTTCACCCGATCCATAACTGCCTCCTTAGTCTCACTCTTGGTCAAGATCTGGTCCACTTGGAGTTCAGCCTCACGGTCCCCCAGGTTGTAGACACAGGTGAGCTGGCCATCCACAACTGCCATGCCGATGTAGTCCCGGGAGGCCTGGAGACAAAGGGCCACCTCAGAACACTTCACATTGTGGTTTCTCAAATTCCCATCCCAAGAGGATGAGGATGCATTTCAAATAACTAATGGGTTTTAGGCAATAAGCCTTGGAGAGACAGAATAAACAAGGTGCAATATTTTATAGAATAATATAGAATGCAGAATTAATAATGTGAGAGCTGTCTCTGCTCATGTTATAGGGCACTCATTTATTCATTCCTCCATTCACTCAATCTACAAATATGTGCCAAGCACCTACCATACAGAGGGCCCAGGTATAGACTCAGCCGTCCAACAGATTTTAGTCTGGTAAGGGAGATAAGCCATTTTGCTTCTCCCAGTACCACACAACATCCTCTTAACACTTTGTGCATGCCTCTGTTGTCACACCTCTATGTTATCATGGTTAGTTATATATGCATCTTTCTTCCCTGCTAGAATGTGAGCGCCTTAAGGTAGAAACAAAATGTTTTAAAATCACGGCATAATATCCATAAAACTTACCATTTTAACCATTTTAAGTGTGCATTGGCATTAAGTACATTCGAGAATAAATTTTTGTTTATCACAAAGCCAGAATGTGACACATAGTAGGTATATGGTATAAATTTGCTGAAGGAATAAAGTAATGTGCATTTTACCACAAAACAAAGCAAAAAATCATGACATAACAAGCTACAAATAAAATGCCAACCTCTTGAAGCATGGAAGAGTAATTAGCAATAGTGTTGATTTTAAGAATCTTTAAATACAAGATCCACTAGTGACAACTAACAATTTCCTAATTGGGCAGAATTTTTGAGAACCATATTTCAAGCATTTTTCTTCCAACAACTGAATCCTAACCCAGTGAGTGATTAGCTTTTCCTCTGACACTTATGTCAAAGAAATGTATTTTAAAAGGAGGGATTAAAAGCTAAAGCCAGCCATTCAAAATGCCTGTATGGGTAGTGAATTTACACTGATAGTAGTAGTAGTGATGAATTTACACTGATAAAGAGACAGGGCAACTGCTTTTCTTATCATTTAGGCAGGAGAGGGAGGATTCATTCCACTCCAGTCCTCACCCATAATCTCTCCATCCCACAGGCTTGAGGAAGGATCTGAGGCTGGGCAGTCTGAGGAAGAGGACAAGGTCACAATTCTGTGAGGAGGAGCTACTCCTCCTTGGTATTGATCCCTGGTGGTGTGGTGTCAATCATACAACTTGGTAGTATGGAGGGGTGCCAATCATCCTCCCCAAGTGCATATGTTTTTTACATGTACACACACATGCCCACGTGCTGGGCCCATTGGGTAAAGCCTCTTGATCCTCTAGCAACCAACAATGCATGGGAGGCCCCTCGAGGGCACTGCCACAGTGGGGAGGTGGGCAGGGAGGAAGCTGGAGGGATTTGTCGATGTCTCAGTAGGATTTCTGCCTGCTGTGCTAATGGCAGTGATGCAGCCGTGCCACACATCTCAAAAGCACACCTCTCGAAAAACATTGTTTCAAAAACAAGAGAGATGTCCAAGCAATACTTACATCTTTATTTCCAAGGTACATCACAAACATATTCTCAGTACCCCCATTTTCTCTTGAGTTGGGCCTTTGGAGAAACAAGGACAGAGATGTATATCCTTTCAAATCTTCCAGGTCATTTGGCAGTCGGACTTCGACTCCAGATTTACCATTGAACCTCATGGGGACAGCAACCTGTGAGGAGTAAGTTACATGGTGTCAAACACTGTCCTGTGAAGAAAGTAGGTGTGCTCAGAGAGCTAGTTTGTGACTCGTAGCCATGTATCAGCCTTTCCTGAGTTGTTATGATAAGGAGCAAGGGAATGTGAATGTCTCTAAGCCCTGGATCATAATCTCCAAGACCCAGATTATAAACTCATGAAGCTGTTTCCGGAGCTGTGTCATAAGGCATTTGTGTTTCTTATTAGTCAGGGATATTTGAGCAGTGCATTTAGTCCTCTGTGCTAGCAATAATAATAATGATAATGACAATAATATGAATTACAACCCTAGAAGGTTTTTGTGCAGATGAACTAACATCTATGGAGGCACTTGGCATGGTGCCTGGCATACAATCAGACATGTAATACATTAAAACTATATTTTAAGCCAGGTGCAGTAGCTCACACCTGTAATCTCAGCACTTTGGGAGGCTGAGGTGGGAGGATCACTTGAGCTCAGGAGTTCCAGGCTGCAGCATGCCATGATCATGCCACTGGACTCCAGCCTAGGGAGCAAAGTGAGACTTTGTCTCAAAAAAAAAAAACTATATATATCTATATGTTTTTATATAGATATATATTTTTAAATATATGCATTTATATATTAAATATATAAAATATATTTTTATAAGTATATATTAATATACAATTTATATATAATTATGTATTATATATATTTATATATAAATATACATTTTAATATATTAAATATATAATAAATGCATAAATTATATGTTATATAATATATAATTTTATATATTATATTAAAATGCATATATAATTATATGTACATTGTATGTAATATATAATTTTATTTAATATATAAAAGCAGATATAATTATATAACACTATATATGCATAAAATATATGATTATAATATATAATTAAATATATATGCATATATTAAATTTATACTTATATATTAAAATATTTTAAATGCACTTTTAAAGGAACTGCTTCTGTTGGATATATTACATGTTACAGTTTTATTTATTATAGGTGTTCAGTCCTGAAAAATAAGTGAGTACATCAAGGCTCTCTAAAATAGCGCTTCTTGAGCTCTCTGTGGTGAAGGACCATTTTTTCCTTCTAATATGCCAGGGACAAATACTTTTGTAAAACATATTCAAATTTAAATCACTACAAAAATAAAAAAAACAAAGTAGACAAAATACAAGCCCACCGATCACATGCTTGCATGTTGAGGCAATTCAAATTGTTCAAAGCTTCCAAACATTTACTCTAAACTTTATAACTATATATAATAGACCACTGACAAAAGTTCTCTGACTAGGCCTGGTGTGTGGACCAAGAAGATAAATATTTCCTAACGATCGAATACAAAAGAATGAGATTTAACTCAAGTCTGCATTTTCTCTATCAATATTTAAATATTTATCAAGGATCTTGTATATGCAAGGCATTAAATCAGGGGACTTAGCGATGGGGTCCCACATTTGCAGGCTCATTTCACGCCTCTCTCTCCTACTCACCCCCTGCCCTTCAGAACCTTCTCTGAGTCTCTGCCTGGCATTCTCTCCTGCTTTTTGTCACCTGGCAAATTCCTACTCTTCCTTTAAATTTTTTAAATTAAGATATTTCTTGTATTTAAGGAAAGGGAGGGAGAAGAATATGCCTGTATGTGCATCACCATGAAATGGAACATGACTGACAGAACTGGCACCCGTTCCCCTCTCCCTTCTCAGAGGTCACCACTACTCTGGATCTGGATTCCCATGCAAATTCCCATGCATTTTTTCATAATCTTTCAAAACTAAATATGCATTTATCTGTAAACTGTAATTAGTCCTATTTTTCATGTTTTAAATATTTTTATATAAATGGTGTCCACCTGTACACATTTATCTACAACTTGCTTTCTTTTCTGGGCACTACGTGTTTGGATTTATTCATGTTGATACACACAGCTCCAGCTCATTCAGGTTTGCTATTGTAAATGTGGCTTTTTTTAAAAAAAATCTTTGTGTGTGATTATAAACTATGTTGCAATGAACATTCTTATCCATGTCTGTTAATGCTACTTATTAGTGCTATTCTGACCCTCTCCAGGTAGAACTGGGGGTTTTGAAGATACACATAACACACCTCTATCCAGCTTGTTACCACAGTCTAAGAAACAACCTGCAGTGGCTGGAGAGCAGCCTGAGTTCAGAACTATGACTTAATAATTTCTGTGTCCTCAGCACCCAAAGAAGTGCCAATGCCAACCAGGCATTCAAAAGCACTTACTTACTGCTTTTTATTTTATGTTTTTCCACTAACACGGTACCTACTATTTGCCAGGCACTGTTCCACATTAGCTCATTTAACCCTAACAATCTCATGAGGTTGGTACTTTCTATGCTCTATAGACCAAGAAACTGAGGCACAGAGAGGTAAAGAGACAGGGCTCAGGTCTCACAGCTCACCAAAGGCAGAGCAAGAATTGAAACCAAGACAGTCTGGCTTGGTTAAACAGCTGTTAACCACTGTGCTATAATACACTTCAAATTTTTGTTGGATAAATTAGTGAATGAACACAGAAGGGTAAAAGCTAGCATACATTCTTATTCATTTGGTTTTTATAAAGCATGTATGAGTGTGAAGAGGGTGCGTTCTTCCAAACTTTGCCTTATGCTCTTTGTTTTCCTGTTCAAGTTTTTATGTTGGGAATACTTTGCTTTCTTAGAAGAAAGGGCAGATTCTGAGGCTCAAAAGAAGTAACAGTGAGCCTGGTTATTGGGCACGATGCCTCCAGGGCAATGATATTCTGACTAGGCTCTCCAACCCTCTCCCTCCAAAACTCTCCTGTAGGGCTGTCTAGGAGTTATTGGAAAATATAAGAAATTGTATTTATGCCATTTTAGGACAAAACAAATCTCAAGAGACAAGTGTCAGTAATTCAAGCAAATAATGTCAGGTTAAAACAAGAAAGGCTGGTGAATCAGTACTCCAATGATGGAAAACTGCTGTCATCTTAAATCCTCCATCCTCAGCAAAGATGGATTCTACAACTTTCAAGTTACAATAGGAGGGTAGGTCCTGTGCAGTATCACACTGGCACATTCTGACCACAGAACCCTCCCTTGAATGTGCAATTACAGTTTACAAACTGGGGCCTGGAAGAAAATCCTTCTTTCTGCCTGAATAAACTCAATGGGGGCAAATTGCTTCAGGATCCTGATATACCAGATAATGTAAGGATGAAGGTCATGTACACTTGTAAAGGATGACAGGAGAAAATCAATCTTTATATTCAAGCAACACAAGAATTGGGGAAAGAAAGACAACCAATTCTTGAGTAAATAAGTGTTTTTTTCTTTCTTGATAAATGTGATAACTCATTAAAGAACTAGCCTTGGCCACTGACCACGTGGGGACACACTCACCTTACTGGCAGCATCTCTGGCCTGCTGAATTAGTTCTCGTATTCTGTCCATGTTGTCAGAGATGTTTCCCAAGGGCAACAGCTGTTGGTTGATACTTTCAATCTTGCGCCAAAGATCAGGTAGTTTGTTGGTTAACTTATTCACTGTTGGTGAGAAAAAAAATAGAAATGTAAGATTGTGCATTAAGAAAAGGCTAACTACAAATGTTCTTACTGACAGTATTTGTCAAGTGGCATGTTTGGTCCCCAGATGTTGAACAGGATGGGTCATAATTAGTTACGGTAGTTCCCCCCTTACCCATGGTTTCACTTCCCAAGGTTTCAAGTACTTGCTATCAACCATGGTCCAAAAATATTAAAAAAGAAAAATTCCAGAAATAAGCAATTCATAAGTTTTGAATTGGGTGCTGTTTGGAATAGCATGACGAAATCTCATATGGTCCCACCCATGTGAATCTTCCTTTTTTCCAGCATATCCTTGCTGTCTACCCTACCCACCCATTAGTCACTTAGTAGCTGTCTGGGTTATCAGATCGAAAAAACATAGTATATATAGGGTTTGGTACTATCTGTGGGTTCACACACCCAGTAGGGGTCTTGGAACATATCCCCTGAGGATAAGGAGGAACTACTGTACATGGTGAATTGTATTCTGCAATCTAGGTACCAAATCCTTTACTTTGACCACTACAGAAAGAAAAAAAAAAACCTTTGTTTTCTGATTCTTTTTCTTTCTTTCTTTCCTTTTTTTTTTTTTTTTTTTGTTTGAGATGGAGTCTCGCTCTGTCGTCCAGGCTGGAGTGCAGTGGTGCAATTTCAGCTCACTGCAACCTCCACCTCCCAGGATCACGCCATTCTCCTGCCTCAGCCTCCCGAGTAGCTGGGACTACAGGCGCCCATCACCACGCCTGGCTAATTTTTTGTATTTTTAGTAGAGACAGGATTTCACCATGTTAGCCAGGATGGTCTCGATCTCCTGACCTCGTGATCCACCCACCTCGGCCTCCCAAAGTGCTGGGATTACAGGCATGAGCCACAGCGCACAGAAAACACAGCCTGTTTTCTGATTCTTAATATCAATCATAATTCAATGCCTCATGATTTAGAAACATATATCTCCACTTTGTAAAAAAGCAAACCAATAGCATTTTCAATGTATTTTCTAAAAATTAAAAATCCTGTCTGGTCCTTCCAACTAGCAGGATATCTATACGCTTTGAATATATCCTGTATCAGGTGGAGCTGTTTTCTAATGTTTTAGTTTCTGAGATCAGACTTTACCAGGGAAGAATGGAAATGGACCAAAACACATAACAATGGAGAGAATGGCTAAGATGTCCTGGCCAGAGATCGCCTGATACCCGAGTTATCTGCATCAGTCAGAGCCTTTTTGAAGTCTTCGTTCTGTGTCCTCCCATAGGTGTCCTTAATTCTTTCCACATCTGTCTGGATGGGGTTGAGCCCATCCAGAACCTCATCTGTGATGTCGTTGGCCTTTCTGACCATGCTCTTTGCACTACTGATCATAGCATCAATATCACCTAATGCACACACAGATAGGGAGGTATAAGTATCTAAAACGTTCAACAAAAGAAGCCAACCGAGTACAATGGATTAGGAAGATGCTGACCTCTCTGTATCCCATGAAGACCATCTCGGAGAGTTGTGAGATTGGTGTCTATCACTTCTTTCTGAACTGTCACAATATTCAGGGTTTGCTGTAGGTTGTTGAGAGCTGGACTGACTTCTAAAATAAAATAAAGCATCAGGAGGCAATTACTTTGTGCATTTTGATCCTCCATTGGTATTTGTGGCCCCTGAAGTAGCCAGTGTCTGCACAGCATTGAGTAGACTTGCTTCTTAGGGGTCACCTCAGAGATGCCCACTGCATGTGCCCAGACCCACAGCTCTGGGATCCTCCAGTTACAGAGGTCAGCAGCAAATCAGAGCCTTGTGGTAATGCCTTGGAAATACACAGGAAGAAAGAAAGAGGCTGAATAACTTGGGGAAGGCTAAACTTCTTAACTGCTCAGAGTAAGAGACTCTGTTTAGTAAAAGATGCATCTGTCTTATCCACTACCATGTCCTACCACATAATGTAGTGTCTGGCACTAGTTGAGGCGTAATATTAGTATATGTTTGTTGAGTAAATGAATACATGAGTGAATGAATGAATTAATAATGTAGAAAGGATCCTCTTCCATCAGAGGACAAGAAAAGAGTGTTGTTGAAAGAGCCTCATCCAGGCAAATACAGACACAAAGTAGGCACTGTTTGTTTCTGTTAATTTCCAAAATGACACATTTTAAAAATTCTGTGAAAGAAAGGGAGCTAGCAGACATTCCTAGCTGATAATATTGCCATCCTTGGGTCATCAAAAATGACCAGCAAATGCTTTAAGACCATCTTGATGATTCATGGCTTCAATTACGATTCCAGGACTGGTTTACATAGCAACATAGTTAGCATCCTAACCCTGTTTAGCACACTGAGCCTACCTCGAAGCTCAAATTTTGTAGAGAGAAATAGATGTCATACCAGGAAATCCAAATTATTGAAATTTGCAAGGCAAATGATTGTATGTTAGTACTTTTTTGGTATTTTATTTTTCATGTCTTTAATTTTTTAACATGTGAAGGAAAGAGAGAAAGAAAGAAGGAAGGAAAAGAAGGAAGCAGAAAGGAGAGAAATTATTTAATTTACAGAGGCATCATTTAATCCCTCTGAAAGGACTAAGAGGCTGAATGAGGGCCTTGGACTCATGGATGACAACAAGAGCCTGGAGAAACACAAGAAACAGCATTTTTCAAACACAGAAATTTGGTGAGATTGAGAGAGTTTAATTATTTAAAAAAATAAGTAAGTAAAATACATGAAAATTTTCCAGAGATAAAATTTATGCTTAAAAAATTCTCATGCTTCACAGTAGCAGTGATTTTGGGGACTTTTAGTTGCAAAGATTTTAGGACTTAAGAAATTTTAAAGCAGTTATTCTAATGATCCCAAACCAATGATCTTGACATGTGGGGTTGCCAATGCCATGATCACAGGTGGGTTAAATTAAAATAGCCTCCCCACCAAGGCCAGGCCCAAATAGGCCTATCACTCTCAAGATTTATTTATATTTATAAGGCTCTAGTTAATTTTGTACATGATAGGTGGGGAATATTTAGAATATTGGGTGGATACATGAAATTGATAAATAAATCATGAATTTAAAAAGTATTATCTGGGCCCGGCATGGTGGCTCATGCTTGTAATCCCACCATTTTGGGAAGCTGAGACAGGAGGATCCCGTAAGGACAGGAATTTGAGCCCAGCCTGGGAAACATAGCAAGACCTTGCCTCTAAAAAAAATACAAAAATTAGCTGGGCATGGTGGTGCACGCCTGTAATCTCAGCTACTTGGGAGGCTGAAGTGGGAGGATAGCTTAAGCCCAGGAGTTCAAAGCTACAGTGAGCTATGATTGTGCCACTGCACTCCAGCCTGGGCAACGGAGACCCCATCTCTATTAAAAATAATAATAGTAATAAAATAAAATAAATAAAGGGTATCATCTGCATTGACACTGAGATTCAAAAACAACATTTGCTTCTAGGGCTGCCCCACCTGGTCCCAGAGGTCATTTAAAGCTCCTGACTATCCCTGCCATTGCCCACTCCCCCTAATACCTTGCTTTAGCTTCTTTTGTGTCATCTTGGCTTCATTTAACAGTTTATCACTGTTGGAACTCAGGGTTTTAGCTTTTCTTGGCAGATCTTCCTTTATCACTGTCTGAAAGCAAAGCATTTAACAGCCTTAAACAAATGCTATATGTTACGAAATATGGAATAAGATTTCTATCCTAGTCTGAAGCCCTTAATTTTAAGGATGAAGTTCAAAGGGGGAAGGAGTTATAACTAGATTGTTCCCTAAAAGAGTTAGGGCTCCAGGTAGCCCTAACACCTATGTGAATTATGTGGCTTGGGGAGGTGGGCCTATCTCTGGTGGCATACTGACAAATTATGTGACACTTGTTTTAGCTGCTCACTGTCATTCGTACAAAAACCTCTACAATAACAGAGGAGAGAACTTAGTTGTTTTCAGGCTTTCAAGCTTTGGGACAGAAAAGTCTTCACTCATTCAAGAAGGCCTGTCCCCCTGAACTCTGATATTTAATATTTTGTTCTTTATTTTCAGATATAGGAATTATCATATGGTGCATATAAGATCCCACAGGACTCCACAGACACACCGAGATGTAAGACCAAATGACCTGATGAAAATGCTGATCAAGTTGTTTGCAAAAATATCTCTTTTTGGCTAATGATCACAGCATAGAAGCATACCTGGTAAGATATAGGATATAATATTTGTTCAGGTTGAAAATTGACAATCAGTGTAATTTCTATCTGGTTTTACACATAGTTTTAAAACTGTGCTACAGACATGAAATAGTCAAATACAGAAATTACCCATATCTAGGGCAAGTTCTATTCTATACAACAAGTTCTGATTTAAAATAATGCTTTGTTTCTATTCCTTGGAGCCCACGGAAAGAAAATATAAAAATCAGCCATCTCCACAGCGAATGTGGAGAAGCTGCTGGTACAGGTGCCCACCTGGAGGGCAGATTCAGATGCACTGGCAGCCCTGTTGGCTGCGTCCTCGGCCGCTTTGATGGCATTGAGGATGTTCTCGTAGGCGGTGGCGGCATCCACAGCACAGCGCACCAGCTCATCCCCGCTGGCGTTTCTCTTGATCCTGGAAGACAGGGCAGGTTAGCCACTCCCCACAGCCTTCCTCTGCCAGCAGCTGACATCCCCCCAAACCTTTCCATTTCTTCTTTTTATTTTTTCTTTCTTTTTTTTTTTTAAGAAATGGAAAAAAACAAAATAAAATAAAGAGATGGCAGAGTCTCTCTCTGTCTGCCAGGTTTGACTGCAGTGGTGCCATCAACTTGAGCCCAGCCTCTTCGCATTTCATTTGGTAAGTGGATACCTGAGGTGATGGCCTCTGTAGCTGTGCCCAAAGGACGTGGCCAGGAATTAGTGCCCTTATTGCTGCTCTGCTTCTGACTTGGGCCTGGGGCATTGGCCTTGACCCCACCCTCCGCCCTCCACCCAGTTCTGGAGACCCAGCCAACCCAGGGGAGGGCCTTGCTTGTCTCAGGACAAGCTGCTGAGCTCAGCCCACGTGCCCTTCTGGTCTCCTGGGCCATGCACTCACTCTTCCAGCTGCTTTGCCAGCTCTTGTAAGGACCGCGCGTGCTTTTCTGCCTCCTCCACAAGGGATGTTTTGCCAGCAGATCTGGAAAGTTCTCTTACTTTGTCACTTAGTTCTTGTCTTGCTTCATTTAAACTGGCAGCTAATTTTTCATATTCCTATTTTTTCCAAATAAACAAAGACAGTATAAATTCAAGGAAAGAATGTAGGTGCTGATTTCTCAAACTCTATCATAACTGATGTGTTTCTGGGGCAACAATGAGATGTTATATTTTCTAAGCCTATTTACCATACCAGTTAATCCTTGGTCACTTCAGACAGTAGCACTGGTAATATTTCCCCAAGGTTTACCACTATCTTGAACATTCTCATTATGGTGAGAAACCCTTTAGTAACCTTTACAAAAGCACAATGTTATCATCAATATAAAGTTGTAGTAAACCAAAGAACTTTTTTATGATTTAGAAATAGTTATTAAAGAGTTACTGGGTGCAGCACACCAACATGGCACATGTATACATATGTAACTAACCTGCACGTTATGCACATGTACCCTAAAACTTAAAGTATAATAAAAAAAAGAAATAGTTATTATAAAAGACACTTTAAAATCCCCATTGAACTGCTAAAAAATTGTGTCAGTTTTGATCAAGTCTTAAATATCTTCTGTTAATAAATGCTTGTATGCTTGATATTTTAAAAATAGCATTATAATTTTTTTGTTGCTATCACAAAAGTGATTTGCTCATTGCGGACAAATTAGGTAATACATATGAACATAAGAAGACATGTCATTCATACTTCTTTTGCAAGAGAGAACTATTGTTAACATTTCATTATATTCTCTTCCATCTAAGAGACTATACTTTGAATAAACAAAAAAGTAGGTCAGCCCATTTCATTGTTTTCTCACAATATAATTAAAATGTTTTTAGATTTTTCTAGAGAACAACTATTTCCTCTACCTTCTGGCTTTTCTCCATCAGCTGCAGCGCAATGTTGGTTTGCAACAAAGATGAGTCTGCAGTGGTTAGATACTTGGTGAAATCACTCTGCAGGGAATTTATTTCTTTCACTTGTCTCTGGAGAAAATAAAAAAAAATTGCTTGAGCTCTATGATATATTATCAGAAGGCATAGACAAATTTATGGGACAATAGCATATACGTAATTTCAAAGTCAGAATGCTTTCTTGAACCTGAACATTGTCTAGGCAATTACAAAGTGATAGGAAATCAGTTCTTTTTGTAGTGGAGGTACGTCACCATAGTTTCCTTAAATGATATGCCAATGAAACAATTGCTATCACTGCTGAAGAAGGTTTCTACAGTAGGGGTCAACTTGCCCAATGAGATGGGTATATTATCAAAATCTGGTTTGTGAAACAGACCAAAAGATTTTATGTAAATAAACCATCACTAACCATCAGCCAGTACCAATGAGAACACAGCAGGCACTTGACCGAGAGGTCACACGGAACCTGAGAATGCCAGGCTGGAAGGCTGCCAGAGTTCAGAGGCCTATAAAGTTGGGTCTGCTCCCTTACCTTGGCATAATCAGCAACTTCACACAGACATGGTACTATCCAAAGAGGCTTTGGGAGCTAAGCATGGAGTCATCCACTAAGACATCATTTATTTTCATTTGCCAACTTCCTCCTGTGTTGGGGTCTGCCCTGTGTTATTCAATTTTGATTTTACTGTTGTTTTGTAACCCTATAAAACCGCTCATATTTTTGTTGTTTTTAATTTTTTTTTTGAGACAGGTCTCATTCTGTTGCCTAGGCTGAAGTGCAGTGGCTCGATAATGGCTCACTGCAGCCTTGCTCCCAACCCACCAGTGTGTTCAAGCGATCCTTCCACCTCAGCCTCCCGAGTAGCTGAGACTACAGGCTCATGCCACTATGACCAGCTAATTTTTAAAAAAATTTTTGTAGAGACAGGGTCTCACTACATTGCCGAGGCTGGTCTCAAACTCCTGGGCCCAAGCAATCCTCTTGCCTTGGCCTCTCAAAGTGTTAGGATTACAGGCATAAGCCATTGCACCTGGCCTCATTGTTTTAGCATACAATGTTCACTATTTAAAATATGAACTATAAGGCCGGGCATGGTGGCTCACGCCTGTAATCCCATCACTTTGGGAGGCTGAGGCGAGTGGATCACCTGAGGTCAGGAGTTCGAGACCAGCCTAGCCAACATGGTGAAACCCCGTCTCTACTAAAAATACAAAAATTAGCCAGGCGTGGTGGCGCCAAATATATGTATATATGAACTGCAAAATCCAGAGCTCTAAATTCTGTCATTGCAGCTTCTGTAGGTGGCCTGTACTTTTATTTCCTATAAAGCAGATTATGGCTTAAAATGCCTTTGCTGGTGATTATGATAATTATGTTCATTAAAAAGTATACATATTTGACACAAAAAGTAAATTACCAAAAACATAATATATACTTTGAATTAATTATAGCAATATTAATTTCTCATCTATTTGGCAACATTATTCCTCCAACACTCTTTCAGCTGGGGATGCAGGTGAAGCAGTTTGCACTGCTTTGTCTGTGGTTTAAGTTCAGAATCTTTTCTGGTAGCTGAAGACTAGAAACAACTATGGTTTTGCACTTAACGCTTTGTTCCTGTCTGATCTGGGTCTGAGGTGGTATAATGAGATGTACAGACAGGTGCCTGGCTATGCCACTTTATTAATAATAAAGATCCCTGCTTCTCTCATCCTTATTAACGAAAGTGTGCAACTTCAAACTGTGAACTCACCTGAATGGCTCCCAAAGCTCTCTCGTTTTCTTGGTTCAAGCCATTTGCCTGCTTGGCTTGGGCAGCTGCCTCCTGCAGCCGAGCACGAAGGTCACTGAGTTTGGCTTCGTATTCATTTAAAGAATCCCGGATACTGTTAGCAAGCCCATTGTTCTCCCCCTGGTGGGTTTTCTGCCAGGTCCTTATCCGGTTCAGCACTGTAATACATCACCTCATGTTTTCTATTTGACAGATGAGCATACTGAAGCTGGGTTATAAAAACTACAAAGGGAGAATCGAGTTTCTACTCATTTCATGGTTTTCCTTGAACTTTGGAGGGGATGGGAAAGGAAACTCACATTGACACAGACCTGCTATGTGCACTGTACATGTTGCCTCATTTAACTTCCACAGGAAAACAATAAATTATCATTCTCATGTTTTAGATAAAGAGATGGAAGCCTTGAGAAATGAGAGGACTGACCCAAGGTTACATGGCCAGTCGGGCTTAGGACTTGAACTTGAGCTGGCTGCAGGGGGTAAAGTGCATGCTCCTTCCACTGTGAATACTGCCTACTTACAATTAAAAGCCAAGACTCATATTAAATTTGAACAATAAAAATTTAAGCAAGAAAACTGCTAGTATCTGTATATTAACCACTGATACATCATTTTATTAAAGAATAAATACCAGTATCTGTAAAAAGTATGCACTAAACTAATATTTCTCAGTTTTGAACTAACGAGGCATTTTCTCTAGTCAAAACCTTTTGATGTATTCTGTTAATTTCTAGTATATCCTTTTTTTGTTTTTGTAATACAAATTTGAACATCCCTAATCTAAAAAGCCAAAATCTGAAATGCTTCAAAATCTGACATTTTTGAGCAATGACATGATGCCACAAATAGAAAATTCCACATCTGACCTCATGTGACAGGTTGCAGTCAAAATGCAGTCAAAAGTTCATTTCAGAGGCTGGGTGCGGTGGCTCACGCCTGTAATCTCAGCACACTGGGAGACCAAGGCAGGCGTATTGCTTGATGTCAGGAGTTTGAGACCAGCCTGGCCAAAATGGTAAAACCCTGTCTCTACTAAAAATATAAAAATTAGCCAGGCATGGTGGCAGGCACCTGTAATCCCAGCTATTGCTCAGTCTGAGGCATGAGAACCGCTTGAACTCAGGAGGTGAAGGTTGCAGTGAGTTGAGATCACACTACTGCACTCCAGCCTGAGTAATGGAGTGAGACTCTGTCACATACACACACACACACACGCACACACACACAAAGTTCATTTCATGCACAGAATTATTAAAAATATTGTATAAAATTACCTTCGATATATGTGTATAAGATGTAAATGAAACGTAAATAAATTTTATGTTTAGACTGGGGTCCCATCTCCAAGAGGTCTCATTAAGTCTATGCAAATATTCCAAAATCCAAAAAAATCAAAAATCTGAAACACGTCTGGTCCCAAGCATTTTGGAAAGGGAAACTCAATCTGTAGTAGTGCTAATATCAATTTGTGATTCAAAAATTCAGTAGTGGTGAGGTGACCATTAATAATGATGTAATGAGAAAACTGGAAAGAGGTGAATAAGCATCAGAAAAATGCAGTTAAGAAGGAAAAAGAGGCAACCATATCTAACTTTTAGAAGAACTTTTTTTTTTTCTTTGCATGATGGTAAGCTGTTATATTCTACAGCCCGTTGGTAACCTGGGACTCCTGGGGGCTACCAATTTTCACCACGTGATGCTCTAACAGTAATATTCGCTGAAACCATGAGGCCTTCCACCTATAACGGGGAACTCTACATTGCACTCTGCACGTTGTGTTTCAAATCAATTAGAATGGACTGGATGCAAGAATTTGGGAGCATTCTTACAGAGCTGCGACTCCCTTTTATCAGCTTCTGCTTCTCTGAGGTGCTTTCCAAAGTTCCTGTTCCGCAGTTCCCTCATCATGCGCTGGGCTTCAGCCCACTCTCTGGAAAAGTCACCTGAAGGCACGTTGTTTCCCTCTCCATCTGTCCCAGAGATCTGCTTTAAAAGAACTAGGAAACATCAAGTGGTCTATTAGACTGGGAATTCTGGGCTCCAGTAGGCTACTTAAAAAAAAAAAAAGGTAGAAACTTCTATGGAGATTTTATATTAGTTTTTTAGTATCACTATGGGATTCTTTTCATAATGTTGAAATCTTAAAGGGAATTCTTTTAGTGTACAATGAAGGTTATGTAACCAAAAAAAATGTAATTGGGCTTAATAACTCTTCTTACTGTGCACATTCCGGATGACATTTTTAATCTTCACATCCAGTTCTTTTGCGCTTTGTGTTGCCCGATTAACATTGTTGTTTAATGTTTGTGCTTTTCTGGAATTTACTTGAGCCTATATGAAAAATAAATTGATTAGCAGCAAATTAAGTCAATAAGGAAAAATAAAAATACTTTGAAAGCAAAAAAACCCCAAAGTTAAATGGACCTAACACATTACCTTTTCTTGCAAAGTCTCAAATTCTTGATTCAAATCAGTCAGTTCTCTTTCCAGGCCTTCTATTTTTGATCCATGATTTGAAATGGCAGAACGGTAGTTGAGCAACTGATTCTGGAAACAAAACACAAATGAATGTCACTTTACAGTATAAAGACTAAGTCCTATCAACCTGGTCAACAGGGTTATAAATGAAGAATCATTTGGCAAGACCATTTTCAGTTCCACACACACACAAATGTGGTTCTTGGAAATAGGTTACATAAGGAATCTATTTTCTGATGTACATTGTGATATGGCTCTAAAATAAAGTAGCAAATGTGACAAATGTGAAGAGATAAGAGCTACTTCACTTGAATTAATGACCTAACCTTATAGAAATGAGGGTGATACTACTTACCTGATTAATTTCCAGATTCTATAATAAATACAGTTTTTTAAAAACCTGCAGTTAACCTGACAACACTAAAAGCAGTGCATATGGCTACTTGAATGAAGGAATCATTAAGAATCTATTCAAAGAATCTCGTCCAACAGAACCACAGGGAACTCAGAGCTCTTGTAGCTGAACAGCCTCATATTGCAACTGAGAAAATGGAAGCCCAAAGAAGTCGGGTGACTTGTCCACGGTTGTATAGCTCATCGGTGATTGCTTCAGGACCATAATCCGGGTCCCTTGCCCTTTTTTTAGGCTAAATTGCCTCATTACTCTTAGACCCTTAGACACTACTGCACGTAATATCTAGAATGGTGATTATTTTCCATTTTTTGGAAAAAGTATTAATATATTGAAAAAGTTTATAGGAAAAAATGATATTATTACCTCAATATGTATGTCAGAACCAGTGTTGGGTAAAAGAATACAGGCTTTAAATAAAGCCTAGGTCCAAACCCTTAGTCTGCCACATGATAGATGAGCCTCACTAAGCCTTGCTCTTCCATTAGTAAATTGGGGATTATCGTATTTAGCTGCAGGGTTGGTTTTGGTGATAAGCGAGCTAATGTATTGTAAAATGTCATGTACATATGAGCATTCAAAAATGTTACTTCCCTTCTTATACGTAATCTTTCTTAATTTTCGCATGTTTGTGTGATACAGCAAGAAGATAGTTCTATTTTAACTTTACTTTGGGGAAAGGGAGGCAAGTCATTATATAGATTGTCAGCAGAACACCTGGATAAGAAGTGGAGTGGGTAAAGCATGGTCTTTAGAATTTGATCTTGATTTGAATTCTTCCAGAACCACCATGATTCTAGGCAAGTTTCTCAGCTTCTCCATGCCTGTTTAATGAGAACAACACTAGGTTCCTCATGAGGAGGTTGTGAGACTTGAGTAAAGCCCTTAGCACAGGGTGTGGCAAACAGCGTGTGTGCAGAATGGTGAAGGCTGCAGGGCCATGTTGATGAAATCCAAGCAAGCCAGTGGCTTCCTTTTTTTTCCCCTCAAGACATAAATGCTTTTCCCTCCTCTTCTCCATATTAAGCCTATAAACCTTGGACTAAAGTTATGCAAAAGGATAGGAAAGAGTCATTTTTCTAGAATAATCTTTTGCTATATATACTCAGCTATAGTCACTAGAATCAGCCCTCAACCCAAAAGTACTTATTAAACTTTCCCCAAAGCCTTGTTCACTGTGTCTAGACTAGAGCTGATCTCATCTACTGAATTCTTTTACTTCAATGAGTGTATTTTTTCATTTCCATGATTTTCAATTGGGTCTTTTCCTATCTACCTCTTCTTGTTTGATTTCTGGAGGTTTCCCCCTCAAATTTCCTAATTTCTTGTTCCTTCTATTGGGTGTCATTCTGCAAAGTCATTTTCAGATTGTCCTGTTGTTTTCATTTTATCCGAAGTGAACTCATCTCTTGACTGTTGCTTCTGTTGGGTGTCTTTCTTATTACTTCTCTGCTAACAATGTTTGCAGGCTCTTTCTGGGTGGGAGTTCCCCTTTCTTTGTGCTCTCTGGGCCCTGTCTAGTGCTCTTATGCTTATCACCACCCCTACTCGAACCTCCAACCCACGGTCTAGGACCAGGTCTTACTTTGGCAGTTTAGGATTTATATACCATAGTGGCGTTGAGAGTATGTAACATTCCAGCATAGATCCAGGTCTGTAGATTTGTCCTGCCCCTGTAAGCTTTGCTAGGCTCTCATGTGGCCATCACCCAACGATGAGCATTGGGCAGCTTCCAGGCTGCTTTTTAGCCCCCATTCATGGGCACAGCATCCCCTATTTCCCCTCAGGGAAATAGGTTCTATTACTTCTTAGGATACCCTCTCAGCCATATTCCATCTAAGTATACATACAGCATTCACCCAAATGGACCACATTCTGAGCAATGAAACAAACCTCAACACATTTAAAAGGACTGAAATCATGGAAAGCGTGTTCTCTGACCATGAAAGAGTTAAATTAGAAACCAGTAACACAAAGTTATCTGGAAAATCCCCCAATTTGGATATTAAACAACACATTTCTTTTTTGTTTTTGTTTTTTGTTTTTGCTTTTGTTTTTTGAGATGGAGTCTCGCTGTGTCACCCAGGCTGGAGTGCAGTGGCACCATCTCAGCTCACTGCAACCTCTGCCTCTGGGGTTCAAGTGATTCTCCTGCCTCAGCCTCCCAAGTAGCTGGGACTACAGGCATGTGCCATCATGCCTGGCTAATTTTTGTATTTTTAGTAGAGTTGGAGTTTCACCATGTTGGCCAGGCTGGTCTCCAAGTCCTGGGCTCAAGTGATCTACCCGCCTCGGCCTCCCAAAGCGCTGGGATTACAGGCATGAGCCACCATGCCTGGTCAACACATTTCTAAATAACACATGGGTTACAGATACGTCACAAGGAAAATCAGAAAATCCATTGAACTGAATGAGAATGAAAACATAACATTGCAAGGTGTGTGGGATACAGCTAAAGCAGTGCTTAGTGATAAAACTGATAGGATTATATGCCTACGTTAGAATCAAGAAAGATTTTGAATCAGTAAAATAAGCTTAGGAAACCAGAAAATGAATAGCAAGTTTCACCCAAAGCAAGCACAAGGAAGGAAAAAAAAAGGATAAGAACAGAAATCAATGAAATTGAAAATAGATAAACAATGGATAAAATCAATGAAATAAAAGGATCAACAACATTGGTAATACTCTAGCCAAAATAAGAGAAAGAGATAAGTCATAAATTATCATTATCAGAAAATGAATAAGAAGGCATCTTTATAGACTTTGCAGATGTACAAAGGATAATAAGGGAACATTATGAACAATTTTATGTCAATATATTTGGTAATTTAGATGAAATTGACATATTATTTGAAAGGTGCAAATGACCAAGTATCACTCAAGAAGAAACACATAGCCCAAATACTGTAGTCTCATACCTATTCTTTGAAAATTAAATTCATGGCTTATTTTCAAAAACCACAACTTCCAACAAAGAAAATTCCAGGCTCACATGGCTTCACTGGAAAAATTCTATCCAACATTTAAAGAAGAGTTAATACCAACTTAACACAAACCTGTGTTTGAGTCTTCTGAATGCAAGATACTGAAATAAAGGCTCGATGAGAAAAACTCACCTGGAAATGTTCAGTAAGTATTGTTCACCCAGATGTGCTAGTTTTGTGTGTTCACAAAAATGATTTTCCACCAGGAAAAGTCTTATCTTCATTTGGATCAGAGGAAGGAGGACAACCCCTGAGCCTTTCCAGGAGTCAACCTTTCCCTTCCTGCTTATGGAGAATCCACTCCCGCAGCATCTCCTCCCCACGTGTCTACTCTCGGCCGCAGGGGATTTACCCTCAGGTCCTTGGCCTGGGTCTCCATGTGCCTCATCTGCTCCAGAAGCCCTGCGCTGGCACTCAGGCCCTGCAGCTGAGACTTGACCAGGCGGAGCTGCTCGCCCATGGTGGCCAGGTCGTTCAGGAGGGTCATCACACAGCTGTCGCAATCTGTAGGGGCCACAATCAAAGGCAAATGTGCTGTGGGGGGAGCCGTGGGACTGCGAAAAGACCACAAGTGCTATGCAGCCCAGTTGGCATGCACGCAGATCGTCACGGGTGACAACCACAGCCCTGGCCTTCTCAGGGATGGATGTGGATTCTGAAAAAAGGAGAGCCCTGTGCACAGGGAGCATTTTAGAAATGGAGATTCCATGCAACTGGTTGCTTACTTTACACATAAGGAAAATAATAATAGCCTTCATCTATGGGATGCTTGCAATTTACCAGGCATTGTGATAAGACATTTACAAGCACTTCCCTAATATCCCTATAAGGTAGGTCTAGTTATCATGTTAACTTAGCAAATGATGAAACTGAGGCTTGGAGAAGCAGGGTCCCCTGCTGAAGGTCATACAGAGAGAAGCTGATTTGACCCTAAGTAGTCCTTCCACCTCCTCCCACCCTTACTTTCCCAGACTGGAAACTGCATGACCCAGCATGGTGCTCACATATCTTAAACCAAACCCCACAACTTGGAAAGGAGGAGGAGGGGCTTTCTTTTCTCACCATCACATTCTTCTGCAGGGCTGCTATCTTTGGGTTCTTGGTTTATGCAGTCTAAAATCAGAAAATAACCAAAGAAGACATAGTTATTAAACTTACTTTTCATCTGCTCTTTAACTTGGTTTTCAGAAAAGCTAGTTTTGCAAAGTTTTATTAGTTTGGTGCAAAAGTAATTGTGGTTTTCACCATTTTAAGTAATGGCAAAACCCACAATTACTTTTGCACCAACCTAATAGACACCCAACTACCCAGCATCGCTAGCTCTTCCTTTTCCCTCCCTCACCCATGCCAGTGCCCAGGAAGCCTTCTCATCTCCCAGCAGGCTCGCTGCAGGAACTGCTTTTGTGGCCTCCCTGTTATATATTCAATTCCTTCACTACAAAGGTCAACTCTATAAAGGGCCATGTTTTCTTATCAAATCAAACGTCTCGATCATTCGCATTAGGGCTTTCTTCATTGAAGAGCCTCTTGTATGTTCATGCTGCTTCTGGCATCATTCAAGAACATTGTGCAAACATTCACTGAGCACCTTTGAGCATTTACAGTGTAACAGAGCCCCATGCTAGCTGCTGGAAATACAAAGATATCAAGACAAAATCCCTGCTGCTCTGTGACTTAACAGTCCCATGAAACACGGGGGGCAGACAAGTTACAAAACAGTGTGACAGATGTGGTGATAGTGATGGGCATACAATGTCAGTGGGCCCACACCACCAACTACAGCACATATAAGCTGAGTTTTTGTTTTTGTTTTTTTTGGCCGGTGGGGAGGGGGGAGTCTCACTCTCTCACCCAGGTTGGACTGCAGTGGTGCGATGTCAGCTCACTGCAATCTCTGCCTCCCAGATTCAACCGATTCTCCTGCCTCAGCCTCCCAAGTAGCTGGGACTACAGGCGCGCACCACCATGCCTGGCTAATTTTTGTATTTTTAGTAGAGACGGGGTTTCACCATATTGGCCGGGCTGGATAAGCTGAGTTTTGAGGTTCTCAGCTACAGTAAAGCCTGCTGGTCAACCCTGGGCATTCTTGACCCCTTCCACATGTACTGTTTTCCCCATGCCATGCATTCTGACATTGACATGTCCTCTCACTTCCCCCTGAACAAACTATCTACCTTCACAACAGCAAAACTCTATGCTTAACATTTTCCTGGACAAGCTACAAGAGGCTTTCACATCTGTTATTCTCACCAGCCAATAATATTCCACACTTTGTGTGTATATACAGACATTTTAAACCACATTTACTTTTAATTGTAAAAAATAATATAAATTAATTATGGAAAATATGGGGAAGTCAGAAAAATGAAATAAAAGCATCATCCTTGATCCTGCCACTCAAAGACAATGTTCCCTTTATAAATATTTATATACATTTTAATTTATTATATATAATCATGGGTTCCTTTTTAAAAAAAGCCTTACTTGCTTTTTTTTTTTTTTTTTTTGAGACAGAGTTTCGCTCTTGTCACCCAAGCTGGAGTGCAGTGGTGCTATCTCAGCTCACTGCAACCTCTGCCTCCTGGGTTCAAGCGATTCTCCTGCCTCAGCCTCCCAAGTAGCTGAGATTACAGGCATCTGCCACCACACCCAGCTAATTTTTGTATTTTTAGTAGAGACAGGGTTTCCCCATGTTGGCCAGGCTGGTCTCAAACTCCTGACCTCAGGTGATCCACCCACCTCAGCCTCCCAAAGTGCTGGGATTACAGGCATGAGCCACCATGCCCGGCCATTTGCTCTTATATGTATATATTGTGATACTTCTATTTCCTCAGTTAGCCTGTAAATGGCTTCTGGCCAGCAAGCATGGTCTTGTTTCCTTGACAATTTTCAACAGCAGCCTGAATAGTTTATGGGGGACTAGGCTTCTCTGGATGATTGATTTATTAGTGGAATTTTCCTAACAAGCTTGCATTTTGACCACCAAGGAATGTGTCCCTTATTAGTTGAAGAAAAAAAAAAAGAATAAAAAACAACAACAACAAAACTCTAACAGGAATAAGCAAGTCTCATACATAAGCATTTTCTTCCATTTTGGGAACAAATAGTTACTATCCTCATTTCATGTTGCTGATTTTTGTTACTGGCGTGGGGGAAATGAGGGTTGCAGAGGCATTAGTCTGGCGAGTAAGCTGTGCGTGATGTTGAAGCTTCTTGAATACCTCCAGTGACAGGAGAAATTGCCTCCTTTTAAAGCAATCTGTTTCATCTTTAAGCATTAGACACTTCTTCCTTAGAATCATTTAAAATAGAGCTTCCTCTTGCTTCTACTCTTTGCTCTAAGTTCTGTCCCTTATGTCTCAGAGAACAATACCAACCCTTTCCCACACGCCAGCCTAACAAACATGTCCTTTCCAGCTCTTCCTTTCACTGCCCTGGTCAATCCTTCCTCGTGTGACACAGTTCCACATCCCTTCAGAGTCTTACTCTCTTTCTGAACAACTATAGCTCTTCTATTGTCTTCTAAAGATGTAACTAACTCTCACGTGAGGACTTACATGAGCAGTGTGCCATGGACCCCGGCTTTAGACAATGGAACTCAGTGAAGACAGTACGAGCTATCTTAGGGGCCACACCACACTCTAACCTACCCTGCACTGACTGCTGATGACAACCTTAAGCTTTTTTACACCTCCTGCTACTAAGCCAGTTACCACTTATCACATAGCTAAAGGTTTATTTATTTTTTCCACTCAACTACAGGACCACACCCTTATCCTTAACATCATTTTGTCTGGTTGAATTGGCCCATCATTCTAGACTGTTGAGGCCCTTCTGAATTCTTAATGTCATGGGAGGCACTTACTATTGGAGAAGACCAGGGAATTTCACCCCAAAATATGGCACCCTGGTGGGCTGATTATTTTAAATTGAAGGCCCTTGGAGACCAGCAGATGCCGGAAAAAACTTTACTCTGATACCCACTTATCTTCCCAACATTCAGACTTGCCAAAAATGAAAACAAACTACTTCTGGTTTCCTCCATGAGTTTTCATTAATTTAACTCATATTTCAGGGAGAAAGACTGAAGTCTGTCAACACACCTGGACAGACTCTTGTCACAAACCATTGTCTGTTCTGTGGGCCCAAAAGATTTTGTCCCAGGCCTCACTATATGTTCTCTGAGTCCACTGAGTCAGCCTAAAAATCATTTACCATTCCCCTTAAAATCATCCACATTTCCGCATCTCTCTTTCCCCTAAGAAGAAGGGTACATAAGCATCTGTGCCCCACTGGGTTATTGGGTAATCATTGTCCTGTGATTCTCCTGTGTTACACACATTAAAATAAAATTGTGTACGCCTTTTCTCCTATTAATCTGCCTTTTGTCCACTGATTTTCTGTAAACCTTCTGTAGGTGAAGGGGAAGTTTTCCCTTGGTCCCTTTACTGTTCTTCCCAACTTTGTGTCATCTGATAAATGGGTAGGCATGCTTTCTATATTTCCATCCAAATAAAAAATGTGGAGCCAAGGATGAAGTCCTGAGGCATGACAATAAATACCCCATTCTAGACTGGCATTAATCCATTTACTCTGCATTCCTTTGGGGATAGTCACTTGACCAGCTGGAATCCACATATCCAGGGTTTAGTTCTTCAACTTGTCCATAAATATAAGATGAAAGATTTTATCTAAGTGTTTGGTGTCACACTACATCAATAGCATTTTCCTGATTAATCCTATTAATATTCTGTCAAAGAAGGAAGAGGATAGTCTTCCTTTTTGTTCCAAGTTGCTCCTAATAAACCATACTAACTTCTGCTAATTATCTTTTTCTTGGTGTATAAAATCCACCCCAATTACCCACCCACATCCCAGAACATGTACTGCTGTAAGATAAAGAGTATTTCAATTTCTTCAGACACACACGGGAAAGCTGATGAGACAATAACCCTACAATATCAAAGGGAGATCTCAGCAAAATCACCAAAGTAGGATCTGAAGTTATTTTGGTTATAATTAGGTAAGTTTCAAAAACAATTCACTTTTTAAAAAAAAAAAGTGCATTGAAACAGGTTATTCACCAAAGCTGAAAATACTATCTAAGCATTCCCAGGTTTGTCAAAACAAGGGGACAGCTTGCTGGCTGGAATTGTGTATTATGCATCCTGGGGACAGCTTGCTGGCTGGAATTGTGTATTATGCATCCTGAAGATGTGTGCTTGGGTTCTTAGGCTGTTAAGTTATACCAGCTTTATAAATGCAAGTTAGCAGGGGTGTGGGTCGGCCTTACCTCCAGTCAGGGGATGACAGCTGCCCAGCTGGCCATTGCTGTTACAACTGCATGGTTGGCAGCTACCTCCGAATTTCTGGGGATTCCCGAAATATCCCGGTGCACACCTACACAAAATATAGAGAGGAGGAGAAACACCCAAATAACTCATCGTTTATCTCAACCAATTTTCTCAATCTCTAGCTCTCTGTTTGGGATATTGTAACCCAATGGGTGGAAGACCGACATAGATCTGCAAGAATGAATATTTCTCAATACAGAGGTATTTACCCCTTGAATTGTCTCACAGAAATAAATCTGAAGTAAGATCCATGTAATTTCCAATTTTTTGAATGAGGGAGGAGTTTCTTAATATTTCCTATTGCATTATTTCTTCCTTCCTTTCCTTCCTTTCTTCCTTCCTTCCTCCCTTCCTCCCTCCCTTCCTTCCTTCCTTCCTTCCTCCCTCCCCCCTCCCTCCTCCCTTCCCTTCCTCTTCTCTTCTTTTCTTTTTTCCTTTCCTTTCCTTTTTCTTTCTTTCTTTATTTCTCTCTTTTCTTTCTTTCTTTCTTTTCTTTCTTGACAGTCTTACTCTGTTCTCCAGGCTGGAGTACAATGGCACAATCACAGCTCACTGCAACCTCGAACTTCTGCACTCAAGCAATCCTTCTGTCTCAGCCTCCCAAGAAACTCAGACCACAGGTGCATGCCACCATTTCTGGCTAATTTTTTAATTTTTAGTAGAGATGAGGTCTTGCTATATTGCCCAGACTGGTCTTGAACTTCTGGGCTCAAGCAATCCTTCTGCCTCAGCCTCCCAAAAAACTGGAACTACAGGTGCATGCCACCAGGCCTGGTTAATTTTTTAATATTTAGCAGAGATAAGGTCTTGCTATGTTGCCCAGGCTGGTCTTGAACTCCTGGGCTCAAGTGATCCTCCTGCCTCAGTATCTAAAGTGCTGGGATTACAGGCATGAACCACTGCACCTGGCCTGCACTATGTCAAGTCTGCATAATTCATATTTGCACTAATTGCTGCCGTGCTGTATATAATGACTCTTAAACAACTGAGAGCAGTTACAGCTGCTACCTTTGGCCCTGAGCCTTTTTTATTCTAGATAGTATAGTAATGAGAACTCATTACTGGTTTACAAGTTTAAAGATCACATTTCCTTGATTCTTTGATTTTTTTTTTTTTTTAAAGTCAAATAAGCACATATTCATGCTCCTGGAGTTGGGATGTCAATTACAATATTTCCATTAATAAAGTTCCACTCCCCATCCAGTCACCCCCAAATTGTCATTAAACTGATGTGTGGTGTCTTATCATCAATTGACTTGATAGACTCAAGGGAATATGGTATTTACCTCATTTCCCCAAATTTAAGCACTGCATCAAAAAAAATTAGGCAATTCCAATACACGTTACCATGTACTTCCAATATACTTCACCAATGTATTACCATGGATACACTGTTGATATAATGTAAAGGATCAGTAAGATCTGGCTGGACTCCTATCTCTACTACTTACTAGTGTGATCTTGGGCTGTTGCTGTAACCCTCTGTGCTTCAGTTTCTTTACCGGTCCCCCCCACAGCCCCCATGAAAATATAAGCTCCATGAAGATGTGGAGTTTTGGGCTGTTTTGCTCACTGATATATCCCTACGGTCACCTGGCACATATTCATTCATTTGTTGAATGAATAAGTGAGTGGACTAATAATACCTATTTTGCTCAGTGAATATGAGATAATGTAATAAAGAATCTAGCGTAATATCTGCACATAACAGACAATGAAGGGTAGCTATCGTAATAAGACATGACAAAATATTCATCTTCTAATTGGCATCATTTGAAATTATTACAAGAAAGCAGAAGGCCCATGTATCCCCTAATAATCCAGAAGGTAACTAGGCTGAGGTGGCCTATTTAAGTCTACTAAGCAGGGTGGTCATATACTAATAATAGGGCTTTACTTTGTGACTGGCTTGGTATTCTACCTAACAGATCATGTTATGCAGAAGCTCTGTGTTCTAGAATACTTTATTTTTGATGTCTTTCTTACCTACATCTAAACTTCCCATGTAATAGATGCATAATTACAAAGTACCTTATATTTAAATCACAGAAATATTCAGGAAGTTCGATTCTACTTCTTCCTTACTCTTGCAAAGCATTACTTACTGGTTATAAGAAATAACTGGTTCTCTTATTCTCAATTTATGGCAGTGGCTAAACCCAAAGGACTGAAGTAAAACCTCCTGATTTCACGAATGACATTGGTACAACAAATAAAGAGCAGAAAATAGGCTTGTCTTGTGTGGCCCTGTGTGTCTGAGGGAGAAGAGGGGTAAGAGCATGCATGGGCTGGAAAGCCTTTGCGAAACCCTCCCCACAGCTGGCCACTCTGGCTTCTATCCAGCTAGTCTCCTGCATAATCTATATTCCTGCTTTTCACCCTTGACTGTCCTTGTGTTTATCATTGTGTAGTTAATCACTAGTGCCAGGAATGATGTCTGGGTGCTGTGTCTAACAAATGAAAAATGTTGACATAAAATGGCATTTATCCATGAAAAAGCTTCAAAAAATTTTTTAAAGAAATAATAGCTTGTTTTCTTGAGACATCAGATATAACAAACATCAGCTGAGAGAAGTACTGTTAATTAAAAATTTTGCCTGCCAAATGGATGTCTCACCGAGCCTGTTGCTGTTTAATGCTTCATTGTTTGTGAAGAGCCATAAAGAGGATGAAATTAGGACGCCTCTCCCAGGTGTTGGTCCCCTGTGGCTTTTAAACCTCAGAGCCTAGAATCCTTTCCCACTCCCCACATCCTTCCCTTCTCGCTGGTTGGATATACCTCCTAATTGCAGCTCAACTTAGCCCAGTTCTCCCATCTCTCGCTATTTTAATGGCATGTTTTGATGTCTGTCCACCACTGGACTGGAAAGCCCTTGAGGACACTGTCTGTGCTGTTTGTTAATGTGCCTCCAGTACTTAGCACTGTGCCAGACATATATATACTAGGACCTCCATACATTTTTCATTGAAAGAATAACTGAATAAGTGTAAGGCAAGTGTGAGAAATGCTCCTTTTGCTGAAATGGAAAATGGAAAACAGAAGAACCTTCCATTACCATCTTTTGCCATAGAATTGGGCTCCTTAGCTGCTGCTCAGTGTCCCCAGTCTAAGGCAGTCCCCACCTCCTACACATGGCAAGTGTCTTCCAGCCCCTTGGGCTTTTCTGCCTTGCTTCCCCAACCTAACCTGCCTCCCACTTCCATCTTCTGGCTCCACTGGGTTCTAGTAACCCCTTGGACCTACCAAAGTCCCACCTTATCCATAAACATTTCAGATAACCCCAGTCTAGGGTGGTTATGCCTTACTTGAAATCTGGTTGAATTCATTTTCCGGTTAAACAAAAATTAGTCAAACTCTTTTAAAGTTTAAACAAAACAATGTAAATTAAAATGATACACAATTTTTCTCTATCAAATTGGCTTTTTTTTTTCTGTTGCCCAGGCTGGAATGCAGTAGTGCGATCATAGCTCACTGCAGCCTCGAACTCCTGGGTTCATATGGTTCTCCTACCTCAGCATCCCAAGTAGCTGGGACCACAGGCACACACCACCACACTTGGCTAATTAAAAAAAAAAATTATGGAGATGAGGTCTCTCTATGCTGCCCAGGTTGGTCTCTAACCTCTGGATCACATGAAATAATCCTCCCAACTTGGCCTCCCAAAGTGCTGGGATTACAAGTTTGAGCCACCATGCTTGGCCCTAATTAGCAAATATTTAAAATATTGATCCTTTCCAATATCCATTGTGGTAGGTAGTCACTCATTCTCTTTTGCTGCTGTAAGAATATAAACTTTTCTGGAGGGCAATTTTGCAAAAAGTATTAAAAGCCTGGAAAACCTATCCTCTGACCCAAAGAATCCACTTTTACAATTATACCTTGAGGATATGCATACACAAATATTAAGCTGCAAGGATTTAATTTTAGTGTTGCTTTAAATGCAGAACAGTAAAAGGATCTCCAAGACCAAGAGTAGGAGATAATGGAAACCCAGTGGAAATTTTTGGTCATTGATGTGATGTTATCAGTGAATACTTACTGATATGGAGAGATATTACTAACATAGTATTAGATAAGAAAACAAGTCAAAACAGAAAGTAAAACAGGAATCTACTTTTTTTTTTAAGGGTTCACACATTTAGAAATGATTTGTAGGAACAAACAGCCAGCTTTTTAACAGTGGCTTTCTGTAGACAAAATGATTATGAATAGGATTGTATGTGAAAGCGTTTGAGTGCACAGGGCTAGGTTGTAGGGGGGCCCTCACTGGTTCTCTGCTCGTTTGTTTTTCATCATTTTATAATAAATATGTATTGATTTTATGAGAAAGTTATTTTAAATTTTAAAATATGTAAACCATATGATTCATTTTTCATACTGTTACTTTCCCAAATATGTGTGTGCTTTCTTCTCAGCTAGGTTATAAGTATCTTTTATATCTTTCTCAGTACTTGGCAGTGTCCTATGCATAGTGGCTAATCATGAAAATTGTCCATGAATAACTAAAGCTTGGTTCTGCAGCCCTTTGTCATTAATTTTACAGTTTCCATTCCACAACATTTATTATTTTGTTTCACAAACATTACCGAACACCTATTATGTGAACAGTACCATTCTTGGAACCAGGGATTCCGAAATAAACAAGACATAGATTGTCCTGAAAGTGTTCAAAATATAGTGTGGGGATAGAGGGGTGTGTGTGGGGTGGGGGTGGGGGTGGGGGGGTGGGGGGGCTATCTAGGCTAGGGCTGTGGATATGTGTGTGTACGGAAGAGTGTAGACAGTTGTACATGTGTACAGGTAAGTAGGGATACGTTGAGGGCAGGTGTATGTGGAGATATGTGGAAGGGACATGTCGAAATAGGGGGTATGCAGAGATCATTGTGGAGGAGGGGTAGGTAGGGAGGTGTCGGGGGTTGAGGTACACAGGGGTGCGTGTTGGGGGGATGTAGGTAGAGCTACTTGTGGGTGAGTGTATGCGTTGTGCCTCATTCTCAGTTTTCTGAAACGTACAAAGCAGGAAAGAGAATGATATTAATGATTTATTAGGTGAGCAGTCTTGTATTTTTCCCAAGAGACCTTTTTCCAGGCCTCAGTCAAACTCCCAGCCCCACCCCTAGCTCTGTGCCAGCACCTGGCAGCCCCACCCACAGCCCTCCCCGCCCCCTCTGCAGGCTGAGGCGGGAGGGGCGCCCACCTTACCTTTCACACTGTGTTCCTGTGTACCCAGCTTTGCAGGAGCACCGCACGTCTCCCCCATTCACCACACAGCCAGTGGCAAAGCTTGAAAGAAGACAGAAAAAGGCCCCATCAAAAACACAGATCGATAGGATTTATGCTTATTTTTTACCACAAAGGACTGGCTTGTATTAAGTGAGCACTGAAACCCAGGGTCTGGTTACTTTGTGTGAAGAAAATTTTGCCCATCAAGACTTGGAGAGATAATGATGAATGATCTCAGCCGACACAGGGCAATTTTGGTGAACAAGGACTGAAGGCATTTATTTTATTTGTTCCTTGGGGAAGAGCATTTTTTCCCCTTAAGACAGAGCAGAGTAACTCACTTTGGAAGAGATGATTACAACAGCATTTTTCCAGGAATAACAAGGAAGGAGTAAAACAAGTCTAGGCAGAAAAAAGAACAGAGAGTTCTGATTCTTTAAAAAAAAACGTTCTCCTTGTTGATTCTAGTTCTTTTCTATCAGGCACATTGCCTTCTGGGAAGAAAAGTTGGTGGGGAGGCCAGGCCCTGGAGCCCCCTAAAGATGCACAGAGACCACTCGCCTGCCTCGGCATTTCTGTGGGCACAATCATTGCTGATTCTCACTTTTTTTTCAAACCAAGTTGTGGAATTTTGATCCCTTTTCTTTTAGCTCTAAAGTGGTGATATTTTACACTTGATTTTAGCCAAAAGGCTGAGAAGCAATAAGTGATGATATTTTAGAAGCAGCTTTAAACACACACACACACACACACACACACACACACACACACACACACACACACACCAAAGAGACCATGAAAAAGCCCTGTTGTCTGCCACTGGACATGACACTGATGACATCTGAGGGAATATCACTCCATTTGCTGGTAAGAGAATGCCTGTTTAGGAAGCCTCTCAAAAGACAGTTAGACATTGGTCAGCACTATTAATATTGCAGGAAGGAGAAATAGATACAAATAGAGTTTTACTGATAAATTCAAAGACCTACGTGTTACTTCAACTTATGGAAGCTGGAAGCTGACCTTGATGCTACTACGCTTTGCAAATGAAAATGAAAAACTTTTTCCAAGCACCCCAGTGGAAATCTCGCTGCTTTCTACTTTTGCCAGCTTCTCTTCAAACAAGTCTGGGCAAGCTCATGTGATTGATCCCTTGACAAATAAAGCTGCAGGATGGGGCGGGCTTCACGAGCATCAAAGACATAGACAGCAAAGCAGGGTGAGCATTCCAAATAGGTCTCTCCAGAGAAGCCACACTTGGCACATGACTTCTGGTGATGTTAGGACTTGGCCCATGTGTCTGTTAAGGGCTGATATAGGCCTGCCTTTGTGATCCACACTTGTTTCTGAGTCTATGTACTAGTGAGATGTTCTCAGTATCTTCTTGATTTTCAGAACAACTCTTGCTTCACTTAGTTTGTTACATCATTCTTTGCTTGGGCCCACAGTGAACCCTTTGTGATGAGTAAGGATATGACAAAGTGCCACACTTAAGGAGAGAGGGGGTTACCTTGAAAACACAGTGGTGGATTCCTACCTATGTAGTCTATTGGTCACTCTGGAGGCTGAATGAGAGCTCAGATCACTCAGTGGCTCAGAACTGCCCCAAAATTTCCATCGCACTGAGGATAAGATCCAGATGCTTGACCACAGCCTGCAGGGTTCTGCAGGATCTGGGTCCTGGTTGCTCCACCAACCTCACCTCTGGCCCTCTTCACACTGCACTTCTGCCACTCCTGCCTTCTCACTGCCCTTGAACACATTGTCACAGGCCTTTTCCTTCTGTTTCATCCTTGTCTAGGAGCCTCGTGGCCAAAATACTGCCATGGCTTCCTCTAACTTCAGGCCTCCTTGGCCACCCCTCTAAAGCAGCCACCCCCTCACTGTCAGTGACACAGCCTATTGCAGAAAATGTCATCTCTATCTCCAGTTATACCTCTTACTGATTAGTGTGTGTATTTATTGAGTGTGATGACTCCCACCCTTTCTCTCCCTCCCTGCCACACTCTAGGTCAAGCCCCAGGAGAACAGGGACTGCCTCTGTCTTCTTCCTTCAGCTTCCTCATCACATAGATAGGGCTGAGGCCTGGCCCTGTCATGGGTGCTCGAAAAGTAGCTGCTTAGCCACTGAATGAACAGTAAAAGAAAAGAGGGAAAGGAAAAGCCTGGAAGTATACAACTTGGAAAGACGGTTTCTGTTTGTTTTCTTTTTTTTTTTTTTTTAAGATGGAGTCTCGCTCTCTCGCCCAGGCTGGAGTGCAGTGGTACAATCTCGGCTCACTACAGCCTCTGCCTCCTGGGTTCAAGCGATTCTCCTGCCTCAGCCTCCCGAATAGCTGGATTACAAGGTAATTTTTGCATTTTCAGTAGAGACGGGGTTTCACCATGTTGGCCAGGCTGGTCTCGAACTCCTGACCTCAAGTGATCCGCCCTCCTCGGCCCTCTAAAGTGCTAGGATTACAGGCATGAGCCACCACACCCGGCCTATTCATTTGTTTTCTTGTATGTCGTGTTTGTTCATTTTAATATCACAGCTTTATTGAGATATAATTTACATATCATGCAATTCATCATGTAAACTGTACAATTCAGTGGCTTATAGTATATTCACAGAATTGTACAAACACCACCACAATCAATTTGAAAATGTTTTCATCCCTTCAAAAAGAAATCCCAGACCCTTTGGTAATCACTTCCCATTCTCCCCACCTGCTCTCCCACCCCTAGTCCTAGGCAGCCACCAAACGACTTTGGGTCCCTGTAGGTTATGTCAAGCTGCTACGGTACCTGTTAGTGTGAGGACATGGGCAGGCCCTGCAGGATCCGTGGACGGCGTTGCCATAGTAGCCCTCCTGGCAGCGTTCACAGTGCTCTCCCGCGGTGTTGTGCTGACAGTTCTGGGGACAGGTGAACAGCACAATTCACAGCAGCCAGTACAGTCCCTACTTCTGAGATTATTGTAATCTTACTTAGTCACATGACTACAACTCAAGTCCTCTGACTTTGCAGTGATATCAGCTCCTCTAACCATGTATTTTCCCTATCCCTCTAATCATTGCTGGTGTTAGAAAAGAGGGGTAAGTGTCCTTCCCTCAGTGACGCGGTGCTTAACATTGGCAGCGTGACATAGTGGGGACAAGCCAGCTGAGTCCCCATCCCACTCCAGCATCTCAAGGCCACGGAGCCCTGGGGCAAGATCCTTTCAATTGTATCAATTTTACTTATATCAATTTTACTAGTGTATGATTTACATACAATTATAATTTTCTCAAAATGTAGTTAGGATAATGCCCACTTTCTAAGCCTGTTGGGAGGATTTAAAAAAGCAAGTGTACTAAGCTCTTGGGAAACGTAAATTCTTTTCTTTCTTCCCCTTAGCACTGCTTTGATGAAAATTACCCTCATTTTACTTCACGGTTCACCTAACAATGATATACTGAAGAGTGATATTATTGAAATGAGTTCTTAACACAGAATTTGTTAAAACAATAAAAAATTGCACAGTATCTGAAGAAAATACTCAACTGAATTCCAGTGTCCCAAAGAAGCAAGAAATTAATGTTATCTAAGCTTTTTATTTATGTAAATCCAATTATTTTCACATCAAAGTTGCTGTCTAATGAAATTTGTTCTTCAGTAAAGTGTTGAGATGAAATAATTTTGCAACCAAGTGGTCTATTGAGACAAAACCTAGTGGATTGGGTCAAATTTGTTTATTTTCTTGGTGTTACCCTAGCAAAAAAGATCTAAATGCACAGAAACATCCAGGAAAACTCCCCTTGCTGTGGGCATTTGCTAATATGGAGACACTTTGTGTTAATTTTATGGGCTGGAATAAGTATAATTTTAAACATTTGCCTATGTATTTTACTTCTGTATGCAGAGGTGTTGCTTGAGTAGGAAACTTTAATGAGTGTCAGGGGTTTTGTGTTTTGCTTTTTGTTTTGTTTTGTTTTCAGACAGATTCTTGTGCTGTCGCCCGGGCTGGAGTGCAATGGCCTAGTCTCAGCTCACTGCAACCTCTGCCTCCTGGGTTCAAGTGATTCTCCTGCCTCAGCCTCCCGAGTAGCTGGGATTACAGGCACCCACCACCATGCTCAGCTAATTTTTGTACTTTTAGTAAAGACAGGGTTTCACCATGTTGGTCAGGATGGTCTCAAATTCCTGACTTCATGATTCGCCCGCCTCGGCCTCCCAAAGTGCTGGGATTATAGGCATGAGCCATCGCGCCCAGCCATGAGTGTGAGTTTTTAAATAATATCTGAAGGTAGATTGGGAAAAGCAATATACGTTTATATCCCAAGAAGACATGGCTTGTTCATAATGAAAAAGGTTGCCCTTCCATCATAAATGCCGTCAGTTTGTCCAGATTGAGCAAATCCATCCTTCACTAACCTTTGAGTAACTGAAAATTACACAAAACACTAAGATGTTAAAATATCCTTTCTTTTTTTCCCAGCTATAAAATTGTGCTATAAACATAAGATATTAGTATTTCAGAGCATGTGGAGGGGCTTTAAAGTAGGATGCTGCTCACGTGTTCACATTTGCTTATCATCAGAAAGCTCACCCCTATCCGGAATCCTTCCTTCCCCAAATCTCACTGCACTATGGGTCCAGACTCCTTCAGGTCTGGACACTGGGAACAATCTTCCTTGCAGTTGATTAGCTCCACAGAGGAGTCCTCTCACGGGTGACTGAGGAGGACACCAGCGGCTTCCCTCACCCTCACCCAGTCTTCAGCTGCCCTGACTCTCTCAGAAGACATCAGTCCTTTGGAACTAATACTTTTCCATTTTAGTTCTCTTTCTCTTTTAATCCAAATGACAATTTAAAAGTAGAACATGACTGTATAGATATATTTCAGTCCTGTGTCTACTTAGCTCTGAGACTGAACACATTGGAGAAGCAAGAATGTACAGATGCAAGAATTGAGGTGAGGACATCCGTATCCTACTAAAATCACTCTGAGTACTGGTCCTTCACAGGGGTGAGAGGAGAGGATCAAGGAAGAGTGTCAAAACCCGTGTTGCTTGACAAAGTCCCGTAAAAATATGTGAGAAACCCTTCACTGTCAGTTGAGAGTGGCCACCCTGGAAACTGTCCTCAGTCCTGCAAACTTGGAGCACCTCCCTTCAGGTTCCTTGTGTTTTACTGTGAATAAATAAATGAACGAATGCTGCAGAAGCCCACGTCCACTCCCATGGCACGTGCTCTCCTAGCTCCATTTGTCACCAAATATCTATTAGGCATTTACTATATGCCCAACTATGCTAGGCTCTAGCGATGTAAAGAAGGGTTGGTCCCTCGACTCGGGGTACATGTAGTCCTGTGAATAGACGTATTCAATATCACGTGGAAAATAGGACACAAGTGTGCCAGCATCCCACGAGAGCAGGAGGAGGGGCTGCCTGCGAGGGCCGCAGAAGGACAGGGATTCACTGAGCGCAGAAGTGAGGGAAGGGCATTCCAGGCACAGGGGACACAGCGTGCAGAACCTCAGTCTCACAATAGCATGGCAGTGTGTGGAGGGAATGAAAAGCAAAGGGCGTGCCCAAGGCAGAAGTGCAAGGGGGCGGGATGCAGCTAGAAAGAGCCCCCAGTACTGTGCTAAGGGTCGTGGGCTTCCTTCCGTCTGTGAGCCTCAGAGGAGCACCATGTCAGCTGTGAATTTCAGATAAATCATTTGGAAATTCCATTGCAACTGCAGAGGGGAAGATGGGCTCAAGTAGCAGAAAATAAAAGAAGGAAGATGAAGAAAGAAGACAGAAAAAGAAAAGGGGAGGGAAATAGGAACGGAGAGGAAAATAAGGGGTGACGGGGATAGTAGAGAGGAAGGGGAATTGGGGGGAGAGGAGAAAATATGGGGAGAAATTGGGGCAATGAGAAGAGGGAGAGATGGGGGTCTCAGCACATAGGAGGAGGCCATCATCGCAGGTCCCTCTGGACGGTGGCACCCACATTACCCGCTACTCCTGCCCTTGACACTGGACACCTACTGCTGTACTGGCAAAAAGTTGGGCTACTTATCTTTTCAAACTTCAGAGTCTATTCTTGAAATATCTTGAAGATTTGCACCTGGGTGAAGGTCCTGATGTTAAACATTTACTTTGGACCTTGAGAGGTGGAGGTCAATTTGCAGTGAAATCAGCCAGAAGGCCCGTTTGATATTCAAATATACTGGATTTCCTCTTTACTGTTCTTTGAGAACGAGGAATGCATTCTCAGCTTCCATGCAGTGGACACAATTCAGGGCAGCATCAGCACTCAGGACTTGCCACGGAGCCGTTAGCTGAGTGCAGACATGGGCTCCGTGTGTGTGTGCGTGTGTGTGTGAGTGTGTGTACACACATACACATTGCCTACTAGACAGCAAGCCTCGTGAGTGTAGGGATTAGGTCTGATGATTTTTAACTCCAGCACTTAGCTCAGTACCTGCCACACTAGCAAATGCTCAGTGAGGATTTCCTGAATGAAGAGTCTCTGGCGGCCACATGGCCATTAGGGACAAGTGAAGACAGAACTACAAAAAAAATAAAATGGGAAAGAAAATCTTGTTTGATTAAAATATGAATTATGACTCTCACAAGTTTTCCTTTCAGTGGGTGACTACAGAAAAAAACCCTCCCTTTGTTCTTTGGCAGCTTTCATAAGATGGGCTTGACATCTGGCAATGGTTCACTGATAACATATTTATTCTTTTTTGTTTTTGTTTTGTTTTGTTTTTTAGACAGAGTCTTGCTCTGTCACCCAGGCTGGAGTGCAGTGGCGCCATCATTGCAAGCTCCGCCTCCTGGGTTCACGCCATTCTCCTGCCTCAGCCTCCCAAGTAGCTGGGATTGCAGGCGCCCACCACCACGCCCAGATAATTTTTTGTATTTTTTTAGTAGAGACAGGGTTTCACTGTGTTAGCCAGAATGGTCTCGAACTCCTGACCTCGTGATTCACCTGCCTCAGCCTCCCAAAGTGCTGGGATTACAGGCATGAGCCACCGTGCCCGGCCAACGTATTTATTCTTAATTAAAGCATCTACTCGTGTTACACAAAACATACAATATCAAACATGAACTATTCTATAGGAATACTAACGAGCTGGAAAACAGTATTTCCCAATACCCTTTACTCTTTTTGAATTTATAAGATTACAATCCAACAAAATATTCTATCAGTTGGCTCTTCACAACAATTTCCTCTTCTAGCCTGTCCCATCTTGCAGAGGAAGCAGTTCCCTGGGCCACGGTGAACGAGCTTAATACGGTCTAGGAACTCATACTTGAAACACACTCTAGTTGCATTACACAATACAAAGAAAATTTGTGCCAGAGGAGTGCATTTCCAAAAGGGCACAACACAACTGAAGCCCTGTATTCCTGGAGTATGCTCCCTCTTTTTCACTGTCCATTTTCCTCACTGGGGAGGCCCTGGTTACCAAGAAGAACTCTAATGAAACAAAAGAAAAAAGCAGAATAAAAAAGGTTCTGCTTCAGGATGCATAAGAAAAATTTCCTAAGAAACTAATTTTAGGTAGAAGAATTTTATAAAATATTCCAAAATAAGATCATGTTCCAGTGGATATGCTGTAGTCATCCAAGACAGCCTTGAGGCCATGAGAAAATATAGTCAATATAGGGAACAGGCAGGCGGTGGATGTTGTGAGGACGGGAGGGGTGAGCAGCACTTTCCCTTCCCCACGACCTCCCTCATCTGTCTTCTCCAAGCCCCGCTCTGTCTTGGCAGTAGTGAAGCTTGTGTTGGACTGATTTCTGTTTGTTGTTGTTGTTGTTGTTTATGGTGTGGGGGTGGATGGAATGCAGACCGAGTTTTGTTCTTGTTGCCCAGGCTGCAGTGCAGTGGCACGATCTCGGCTCAGTGCAACCTCTGCCTCCAGGGTTCAAGCAATTCTCCTGCCTCAGTCTCCTGAGTAGCTGGGATTACAGGCACCTGCCACCATGCCCAGCTAATGTTGGACTGATTTCTTATGAGCCTTGAGCCCTCCTCAAATCCCCTTCTCCCTGGCTGCTTTCTTGAGTTACTGGACATCTGACAGCAACAAGCCCCACTCCTGTAACTTCCTGCCGCCCCAACAAAATTGGGACCCAAAGTAGTGGCTTGGATTAGTTTTGTCCTGGCAAGAGTTAACTTCCAAGGTCCACCCATTACTATCATTTCACGAAGGAGAGATTTAGAAGCTAAAGTGTAACTTAATTGCTCAGACAGCAGCGCTCTTTTAATGGTGCATGTTAAAATGGAGGAGAAAATGAAATGTAAAATAATTCAGCCTGATAATGGAGCCTCATATATTTACACAGCGACCTCTATTTAGGGTTTGGCGGGAGATGTAATGTTGATGTCTTTGGGCATAGTACAGGGGAATGGAGGAGAAACAGATTGTCTGCTGATAGCATTAAAGTGTCAATTTACTCACAACACATATGCCTGAGCCATCCTGGCATTGATTTGAATGTCCGTTGCAATTGCAGGGAACACACCGTCCGGTATACAAGCCTTTATGATCCCGATAGTATCCAGGGCTACAACCCTATTTTTCAAACAAAGTGTTTAATCAATACAAAGAAAGAAAACAATTACTATCCAAAGCATGTGACACCTCTCACTGTGAAGCATTCACATCATTTTTATTTTTTAGACAGGGTCTCACTCTGCTGCCCAGGCTGGAGTGTAGTGACTATTCACAGGTGTGCTTATAGTCCACTAGAGTCTTGGGCTCCTAGGCTCAAGCAATCCTCCTGCCTCAGCCTCCAACGTAGCTGGAACCACAGGCATGTGCACCACTGAGCCCGGCTGAGGCATACATTTTTCAAACCTTCTTTCCTTCAGTGAGTGTGAATATTTTTAATTTCAACCACCTGTCATGTCCACTTGTTTTTCTCTCAAGCTGTTTGGTTTTCATGCCCTGGTGGGAGTGTGAGATGCATGGTGGGGAAATCAGAGACAGGGCACGTGTGGAGATGGGGGATGAGAAGGGGCTCCTCTCTTCTCACAACTGTTTTGAGGGCAGGTGGAGAAGGTGGAAATGGACAAATAAAGAGACTCGTCCTTAGAGGGGAGGACATCTAAGCAAATCACTTCAAGTCCAAATTATCTTTGGCTAGCCGTTTTCTCTCCAAGTGTGGGTTTGGGCTGGTGAGGGGGCAGTATAGTAGGAGTAGTGGGTTGTGGGGAATAGGAGTCTTAACTGAGATTTAGACAATCATGCCACAATCAGTGGAGTCACTTTATTGCCACTCACTAGGCCATGGGCAACAGAGAAGCCAGGGGAGGGGAGCGTGCATGAGGTTCCCATACAGGACTGTTCACGAACATCTGGTCCACCCGAACACACAGAGGCTCAGCCTGAGGGACTCTCCTTGGGTTGGTCTTGTTTCCTTGTTCAATCTTGATTTGATTATTTCTATCTCCTGTATATTATCTCTCTCCAGTATAATACAAGTTATGCATTTTCATCTGGATGAAAAGAATTATAATTTTCTTTTCATGAACTAATATCTTTTTAAAAGGATTCTAGTTAAGAATCCCTCCAACAGAAAAAAAACAATTCTTCTTATACCAGCCATTAAAATTATTTAGATTTCTGTCTTTAAAGGAAATTATAGACATGTCCTTTATTTTGGCAGAGCAAATCAGTGCACAGATTCAAATCACATATTGGCTGGTTGTGGTGGCTCAAGCCTATAATTCCAGCACTTTGGGAGGCCGAGGCGGGTGGATCACTTGAGCCCAGGAGTTCGAGATCAGCCTGGGCAACATGGTGAAACCTCATCTCTACCAAAAAATACAACAATTAGCCGGGCATGGTGGCACATGCCTATAGTCCCAGCTACTCGGGAGGTTGAGGTGGGAGGATCGCTTGAACCTGGGAGGTGGAGGTTGCAGTGAGCCACGACTGCGCCACCACACTCCAGCCTGGACAACAAGAGTGAAACCCTGTCTAATAATAAATAAACAAAATCAGATATTGTCCCTAATTTATTTCTCTGATCTCCTATATACCCTATCTTGAAAGCATCAGGAAAACTATTTCAAGATAAAGGATAGTCTTTTATCAAATCTTCTTTAAATAGCACATATGTCTGTAAAACTTGGAAACTATACTCAAAGGAAATCTTGAAGTAGACAGTCCATTCTTATTCACTCATGGCCATAAAGGTCTCTACCTGGTCCAGTGGAAGTGAGAAAGAAGCCACCTGACAGGAGAGAGAGGCAGAAGCCTCATGTGCTCCGGGAGTGGAATCTCCCAGGTGTTGCTAGAACCCCTTCCAAAATTACCAATGAATATAGATCATGCACAATAAGACCACAGTTTCCAATATAATGTTCCTTTAAGCTATTAGGAACCATGTTTAGGGCAAAGAGTATATTGCAAATAAATAGATTATGTTGTTATATGAACAGGCTTGCCTAAAGGAGAATCAAAGTATGAAAGGAATGTTATTTTGCTGAAAGCACAATTGAGATTTACATGTGAACGAAATGCAGCCAATGATGGTGTCATTCTATCTATTATACAATCTGTCCTAATAAGTGGCAAGTAACTTATAATTATCAGTGTATATCACATTACCTGCTTACAAAATAATCACATTTGGTAAAGAGCAAGTTATTCAAATAAGCAGATAGATCTGGTTAGTTTATGACAACATGCCTGAGAAAAAAGCCTTAATTAAACATGCTTTGGGGGAGTATAGTCTGTCCTGATTAAAACTAAATCACCCATCTTAATTTGCTTTTGATTACAAGCAGAAAATATACTCTGCAAGAGTTACATATCATGTGACTCTGAGGATTTGTCAGTTACTAAAATAGAATCATTTTTTCACCTCTTATAAAGCAAGCAAAACCACATTCTACAAAAAAATCAGTTCAAGTACTCAGATTATATTGAACACTCACTTTTAAATGAAAACGAATGTGTTCTAATGCACTATTTCAATACAGGGGTTTTATAACTAGTTAACATGATGATGTTTTATGTTAAGTTTTCCAGTAAACTTTTGTAATACATATTATATACAAATGATAATATTATGTCCCTAATCCAGTTTCCAGGGCTGTATCTGTAGCCATAGGATCTATTTCTCTGTAAGAATACATGCAGCATCCAGGAAGTTTAAAGAGAGCAGAATTTCTTAATGTTTCATGCCTGGCAAATGGAAGCATGTCTTTTAGGTATTATGCAAACTTTGATCACTTTTCTCAAGCATTGGATTTCACTCTTTCCCATTTTCTCCCCCCCGTGGGTAAATTTTCTTCCAAGTAGCATTTGGAAAGCTATAGGCATTGGACTCTTTTGTTCTGAGGCTTGGGATGGTCTCTAAAGGGCATAAAGTTTCATCGTATATTAACATCCCGCAAGCATTCAAGCTCTTAACTGTCTCGGCATTTCCAGGTGGGCTGATGTTAATGGGGTTTGCGGTTAATAGCTCGGGAGAGCAATCTGTCAGGCACTGTAATAAACACTGCCAGTCAAGGTGACTGGGAGGCCATCAGCCCCTCCTCAGTCCACCCATTTACTCATTAATCACCGTAACTGTAACTTAAAATGTCACAAAGCTGGAAACTCTTCCCTATCACAAACCAAAACTTAAAAGGACGTTACCTGGCTGGGTCTAAACTCCACATAACTCGCTTGCAGTTGACTTTGACCGGGAGGCTGAAGAAATGGCACCCTTTGCTGCTGTGAACTGTAGCCCAGACACTGCCCCAGGGCTGCCCCAAAGATCCACAGCCATCCCATGCTGCAGGCTGACCGCCTCACTGCTGGAGGCATCCCGGTTCCTGGACGTCCGCTGGCTGCGCAGGAACCTCTGCCTCTTCCTCTTATACCTGCCCTTCCTGCTCAGTGCCCGGGCCTGCCTGACTCAGGTGAGGAAGGCTGTCTGCGGCAGGGGCCCCACCTTTAAACTTCACACATGAGTCAGCCTGTGCCAGAGCGCACATAACAGTCCCGCAGGTAAGCGCACCGCTCTGTAATTCCTGTGAGGTGGGGCGGGCATCACCTTCCACCCACCTCACCCTGCAGACGCCCTAAATCACAGGCTGAGTCACGGGCAGGGAACACGCCCTGGGTAGGAGGGTGGAAATCCAGAGTCCCTCTCTTTCCCTCGGGCTATCAATTTTAATCAGGCTAGAAAAGAGATGGAGGAAGGGGAAGAATGTAGGCAACCTGTGGGCTAAATATTACAACTTTGGAGTCCCCAGAAGACCACAGCAGGTCAGATTTGTTTTTGCAGGTTTAAAAAGTGGGAACTCGTATGCGCAGATCACCTTGGGGTTTTCGGCTACCAGGGGGCCAGGAAAGAAAGTGAAAGGTTTTGCTAAGCCTACGTACTTATGGATGTATGGAATACACAGAATGAGTGTTTGCTACTTTTATTAATCATGCTAACGTTGTGCTTTTGCCCTGATCTTTAAGAAAAGACATACTTATAGCCAGAGAAATTAAACAGTTTCATTTTATGGCACATTTTAATCATCTGAAGACAGCTCTGGTTGACTGGACCTCAAACAACGAGAGTCCTGCTGCAAGCTAGAACATAATGTCCTCTAAGAAATCCAGGATATTCTCTGGAATTCAACTCTACTGGGGAGTTGAGAGTGGGTAGAGGGAGGCTCCGGATTAGAGAAAGGTATAAGGTCAGTTATTGGGAAAGCAGGGGCTCAAATACTAAGATGCTGGCTGGTGAGCTCCTTCATTTAAAAAATATGTTATTTTAAAAACTGATAAATAATAATGATAAATACTTATGGAGTCCATAGTGATGTTGTGACACATACAACGTTTAGTGATCAGATAAGGTAATAACATATCCATCATCTCAAACATTGATCATTTCTTTGTGTTGGGAATAGTCAATATCCTCCTTCTAGCTATTTGAAACTATAGTACATTATTTTCCTACCCTGGATTTCTCTAACCCTCAGCATCTATTGAATCTCTGTGGCTTTCCTATGAATTCTGAGACACTGATGATGTCTTTTTCACACTTAATTCCTGAAGGGAGTCTAAGTAAGATATAAGATAAGCCCTGCAGAAACTTGAACAGAGAAACAATAGACAGAGGGCCCCAAACCATCCCACAGTGCTGGACAGCAGCCAAAAACGGCCACAGGAGCTCCCTAGGGAAATGTTGCGGATGGGAAAACTTCCTACCTGACAAGAGTCACCAGCGTAGGCAGGGGGGCAGGCACAGATTTCCACAGCAAGTGCTATGCGCCCACTTCCTGTGTCAGAGGCTTCCTCTAGCCCCACCTCGCTCAGGGTGAGCCTTTGAGTCTCTGTGAAGTAGAGGCCTTGGATGCGCACATCTGCCAGTCTAGACAGCACTGTCATCAGCTCCTCCCTAGACACTGGGGCACGGCTGCTGGCATGTCTGAAGTTTCCCTACACATGGAAACAGAAAGTCAGGGTCTTCCTTAGGCAGGCTCACTTCCAGGGGTTCCTTAGAGGCAGACACCCCGAATGAATCAAAAACAAGACACTTAAAATGCATAGGGAGAAATGAAATAAGACGGGGAAATACCTGCCTCCTGGAGTATTTACATTTAGAAGTCAGGTGTCCTGGGTTATTCCCATGAAGGAAGGAAAAAAAATGAAGGCAGGGAATAAGGGGCAATAAAATGAAATAAAATTCCCAGTGTCCAACTTATCTTTTAAATGTGCTTTTGTTTGTGCAAACATAAGGTGAGTGAGAAAGAGGGAAGGAAGGCATATGGAAACTGACTGAGTCATGCAGCTCAGGTCATTCATTAAACGTACACATCGGTGACAGAAAATACAATCTTTTCTTGCACAAACGTTTATATTATTTTATTTTAATTGTTATTGTGGTAAAAAACACACAACATGAAATTTACCATCTTAACCATTTTTAACTGTACAGTCTTGTTAACTATAAGCACAACATTGCACAACAGATCTCTAGAACTTACCAGCTTGCAAAAGGGAAACTCCATACCCATTGAACAATTCCCTTTTTCCCTCCCCAGCCCCTGGCACCACTATTCTAATTTCTGTTGCTAAGAATTGACTATTTCAGATAATTCATATAAGTGGAATCATGAAGTATTCGTCCTTTTGTGACTGGCTTGTTTCACTTAGCATAAGGTTCTCAAGGTTCATCTATATTATAGCCTATGACAGAATTTCCTTCATTTTTAAGGGGGAATAATATTCCATTGCATATATCTATATATACCACATTTTCTTTGTCTATTCATCTGTTGATGGACATTTGGTTGCTTCTTGGCTATTGTGAATAATGCTGCAATGAACATGAATGTGCAAATATCTTGTGAAGATTCTGTTTTCAGTTATTTTAGATAGATATCCAGAAGTGGGACTGCTGGAGCATATGGTAATCCTACTTTTAATTTTCTGAGATATTTCCACAGTGTTTCCACAGTGGATGCACCATTTCACATTCCCACCAAGAGGGCTGAAGGGTCCCAATTTCACCACACTCTTGTCAACACTTGCTATGTTCTGTTTGGTAATTTTTGTTTTTTTTTTGAGACAAAGTCTTGCTCTGTCACCCAGGCTGGAGTGCAGTGGTGTGATCTCAGCTCACTACAACCTCTGCCTCCCGGGTTCAAGTGATTCTCCTGCCTCAGCCTCCCAAGTAACTGGGATTATAGGCACGTGCCACTACACCTGGCTAATTTTTGTATTTTTAGTAGAGACAGGGTTTCGCCATGTTGGCCAGGCTGGTCTCGAACTCCTGACCTCATGATCTGCCCACCTCAGCCTCCCAGAGTGCTGCAATTACAGGTGTGAGCCACTGCACCTGACCTAATTTTTTTTTTAATGTATTTTTGGTAGAGACGAGGTTTTGCCATGTTAGCCAGGCTGGTCTCAAACTCCTGACTGCAGGTGTGTGCCACCACGCCTGGCTAATTTTTTGTATTTTTAGTAGAGACAGGGTTTCATGGTGTTAGCCAGGATGGTCTCAATCTCCTGACCTCGTGATCCACCCACCTCAGCCTCCCAAAGTGCTGGAATTACAGGCGTGAGCCATTGCGCCTGGCCTCCAAAAGCCTGCCTTTTTAACCTTTATATTTTGTTGCCCTTGTTGAACTCAGTTTTTACATCTCTTAAATAGGCACAGTAATACCTAATGTCTTGTGCTATCATTATAATTAAGGTAAATTAAATGATACAATATATATAAAGTGTTCAGCACCATTCTTAACAAATGGTAGCTATTACTAACATACAAATATGATGCTTATATAATTTTAATTTATATTTTAGCAGCTTAAGGAATAATTTACATACAATAATATTCCCTCATTTTAAGCATACAATTTGTAATAAATTTACGGAAGCATGCAAACATCATCATAATGTAATTTTAGAACATTTCTATTACCTTAAGAAGAACCCTTGTGTCAATTTGTAGTCACTACCCATTACCACCCTCAAACCCAGGCAACCACTAATCTACATTCTGTCTCTATGCATGTGTCCATGCTGGACGATTTATATAAATGCCAGCTTAATTTCAACAGTATACAAAAACTTTGTTTCTATTAGTATCATTCCCTCCTCTTCTCTGGTATGTTACTATCATATAAATTGCATCTTTATACATTGTGTGCCATTTCCAGATGGCTGCAAGGCTTTGAGTAATTTCCAGAGTTCTGAAAACGTTGATTCTGAACTTTTTTTCCCTGTTTGCCAGTTCTCTCATTGCTTTTATGAAGGACAGAATTTTTAGAGATTCTCTATCATTTTACTGATATCACCTGTCTCACATAAATAGAATCATACAATATGATACTTTTTTTGTGTCTTATAGCAAGTATCAATATTTTGTTTCTTTTATTGCCAGATAGTATTCCATTGTATAGATGTACCTTTTCAGAAACATTAAAATATGTCTGCAAGTTCAAAGTACTCAAAAAGTTTCACCTAGAGGTACTGGTCATATTTAATAATATAAATGGAACACTATTTTTAAGGAATAGTTGTAACCAAATAAGTATAACAAAAGTTTTATGATCTGATGAGCTTTCCTTTATTTTGCTAGTATTACTCTTATTTCTTTGGATGTAAAACATTTTCATAGCTTTTCTATTCATTCATCCTAAGCATATGTTGAACATTAACCAGGTCTCAGGCACTGAGGGAGACCTGAGGATGACAGAGAGCTATGTCATAGCATTTATAAGCTCACAGGTTTTTTGTTTGTTTGTTTGTTTGAGACAGGGTCTCACTCTGTTGCCCAGGCTGGAGTGCAGTAGCGTGACCATGGCTCACTGCAGCTTCGACCTCCTGGGCTCAAACGATCCTCCCATCTCAGCTTCCCAAGTAGCTGGGATTACAGGCACACCCCACCATGCCTATTGAATTTTGCTTTTGTGCAGACAGAGTTTTGCCATCTTGCCCAGGCTGACTCATGGGGTTTTTAAGATATGGATAATTAATTGTGAAATGGGAGAGAAAGTGTAAAAAGGCTGGACAGATGGTACCAAGAAAGCCACATGGGCATCAAACACTCCACATTTTATATAATTCATGTTTTGAATCTATACAAGTTGGGTATCTCTGAAATGTTTGTGACCAGAAGTGATCCAAGTTTCAGAATTTTTTTTCTATTTTGGAACATTTGCATTGTATTTACCCACTGAGAATTTCTAATCTGAAAATCTGAAAGCTGAAATGCTCCAGTGAGCATTTCCTTTGAGTGTCATGTTGGTGCTCAAAATAGTTTGCGTTTTGGGGCATTTTGGATTTTGGATTTTCAGATTAAGGATGCTCAACCTGTATATATAAACATATTTATATAAATAGAATCCATATTTTACAATTCTTAAAATGAGTAAAAATCATGATTGTCTGAAATAATTAAGTCACAAAACAGAAAGGACCATCCTATGGTTGCTCTTCCTTTACCTCGACCACGTGCACTCGTCCATGATGCAGCCGGTCTGGCCGTGGGGTGTTTGTCTCCTCATAGATGATGGACATGTGCTGACCCTGTTTAAAGAAAACCATGAATGTGTTAGTACCTTCACTGGGATCTTTCAAGATTTATAACTGATCTAAGAAAACATTTCTATGGTCTACATCATATGACATACCTGACTTAAAAAAATAGTTCAGAATTAACTGACTGGTAAAAATATTAGTGACATGGAAACAGAATAATTATAAGTAACACAGTGTCTTTTCACAAATAGGAAATCAGGAAAATTGCCTTGGACAAAAATAGCTTAAAAAGATGGAATTTCTTTTTTTTTTCTTTTTTTTTTTTTTTTGGCAGGGATGGAATCTCACTCTCTTGCCCAGGCTGGAGTGAAATGGCACAACCTTGGCTCACTGCAACCTCTGGCATCCGGGTTCAAGCGATTCTCCTGCCTTAGCCTCCCTAGTAGCTAGGATTACAGGTGCTCACCACCACACCCTTCTTATTTTTGTATTTTTAGTAGTTTCACCATGTTGGCCAGGCTGGTATCAAACTCCTGACCTCAAGTGATCCACCTGTCTTGGCCTCCCGCAGTGCTGGGATTACAGGTGTGGGCCACTGCACCTGGCAGAAAAAAAAATTTTTTAAACTATGCCTTGCAGTCAATGCAGGAAGTGCTGTTTTCATTACTGGCCACCGAACCAGCCTGCGGTGGGAAGAAAGTGCTTTGGTGGGTGGGTTACTGAGGAGGGTGGGGAGGGCAGAGGGTTGGCACATGCAGGGAGCTGCAGCTGGCATGTGGAGCGAAAAATTCCCCTGCTGCCTCCCCCTGTGGGACCCAGCCTCACTCGCTCTCAGCCTCCAGCCCACCCCATTATGGTGGCTCACATGTGCATCTTAACAGGGCAAGGTGGGGTGGCCAGCACTACTGCATCAGCACCCTACCATCAGCAACCCTGCTGCAAAAACACACACATGTCCCAGCTTTTCTGCTGTAGCACAAAACCCTAAAGGTGTTTGGTATTTCATTAGGGCTGGTATTTCAGAAAGAAGGCCATTACCTAGGATCACATATCATTTAAAACCTTAATCTAAGAAACATGCCCTAGAGGCTCTTAATTACAGTGGATTAGAACAAAGCAGCAGGGAAAATGTTTTGTGAGCCTAAATTATTTTCCATGTTTGAAGGTAAAATTAAACAGAAAATTTGGTCATTACCTCTCAGTGAATTCTAATGGTTTGCACAATAAACTCTTTGGCAGTAAAAAAATACGCCTGGCCTGAACTACAAGATGCTCTGCAAAAACATGAAACTGAAATACAGCACTGCTGTGACTGTGTTTTTACTGTGTAGCTATTTTTCCTTAGACTATAACTCTAAAATCTTTGCTGCTTTATCTTCAAGATATTCTGCAAAGGTTCCTTGGAGTTTTTAAAACAGTTTAGTAGATTTGCATACCAGTAAAAACAAAGCAACACAGCAGTGCCTGAACACAAATATCTACCAAGAATATGCTGTGATGAGGTGTGTGTGACTTGCTGGTCCCTGTATACAGTACATGACATGAGAAAACCTTTCCCAAAGCTATCATTACATCGCATTAATCACACCCAATAAACCAGAAATAGAGCCGACTTCAGGCAGTGGCACCCTACCCTATGTTTAGGGTATTATGCCCTGTGTCGTGGGGAATTCAAAGTAGGATGTGATACTACCCTTGCCCTCAAGGAATTTTCTAGACTGCCGCACTGGATTGTGTGCCAGGCACATAGTGTGTGGATGTTGTTACTTCCTTTCTCAAAAAACAAACGTCCCCTCAGTGGTGGGTGGACTACTTGAGGTCAGGAGTTTGAGACCACCCTGGCCAACATGGTGAAACCCCATCTCTAAAGAAAATACAAAAATTAGCCGGGCATGGTGGCCCATGCCTATTATCCCAGCTACTCAGGAGGCTGAGGCAAGAGAATTGCTTGAACCAGGGAGGCAGACTAAAAATCCTGTTATAGCATCAAACCCTTCCAGACTTGTTTTCAATGACTCTGCACACACTGATGATACAGCCCCATTGGACTGGTCATCCATGAGCACAGCCTCCTGCCCTGTACCACCCCCGAGTCCTGTTAGCCTTTGTCCCTGCCCCTGGAAGGGCACTTCTCTTCTTATGCCCATTCTTAAAGACTTAGCTCAAAATGAACCACAAAGTCTTCTAAGGGCCTCTCAGACCACATGACTCCCATTCCCCCTACCCAGACCCCAGCACTGAGAGGGCCCTGTTTGGCTCTCCTCCAATAGTTACCATTCAGTGGGTTGGAGTTCCTGGCATATTTCTCTAATCTCCCCTCCTTTTGAGAAAAGGGGTCACCTGTCCTTTACAGAGTCCAACAATATGATCTTGCCCCGTGGTAAGGATTCAAAGACATTTATGAAACAAAATTGAAAGATAGAAACATAAAAAATGCTTAATATGTGGCTGGACATGTGGCTCACGCCTGTAATCCCAGAGCTTTGGGAGGCTGAGCAGGGAGAATTGCTTGAGCCTAGGAGTTTGAGGCCAGCCTGGGCAACATAGTGAGATCCTATCTCTACAAAAATTAAAATTAAAAACTCCTCAGCTGGCCATGGTGGTGTGTGCCTATAACTCCAGTGCTTGGGGAGGCCAAGGCAGGAGGATTGCTTGAGGCCAGGAGTTCAACTCCAACCTGGGCAACACAGTGAGACCCTGTCTCTACAAAGATAAAAAAAGTTCAAAAAAAGTTTAACATGAGGCAGTAACTTGTGAGAGGCAAAAGCAAAATACGGTTAAGTACTTTGGAGGCAGAGAAGACAGACAACATTTGGTCAGAGGAGGCAGGATCCTGAAAAGATGTTACATGCTTTCAACTTTCATTTAGTTTCTGCAAAATATTGGAAATGATTTAATCTAAACTTTTTGTAGGCCACATATCAAGATGTCCTAAATTTAGATCAGCACCAACTGCAACTGCCACTTCCTGCCACTTAGGTCATGCTCTGATACCTACAGTGAGCTGTACATCCGGCTTCTTTTCCAGAAGAACCATGTCGCCAGGCAAGCCAAAGGACTTGGCTTGGTAAGTGAGGTAACCACCATATGAAGAAACCTAAAATGGAATTAATAGCATCAATAGCACAAGCATTAAAAGAGATGATGTCAACATCAACCCGCATGAAAAGCACTTAGGCACACAAGGTGTGGAAAGAAACACACTCGACCTGGTAACAAGGGTTGTATCTAGGAGGTGGGGTTGAGGATGGTATTTTTTCTACTTTATGCTATTTTTAATGTCATTTGAAATGTTTAGCATGAACATGATTGAGTTTTACAAGCAAGAAGATACCTTTATTAAAAGGAAAAATATGGCTGGGTGTAGTAGCTCATGCCTATAATCCCACACTTTGGGAAGCCGAGGCAGAAGGATCACTTGAGGTCAGGAATTAGGGACCAGCCAGGGCAATACAGCGAGACCCTGTCTCTACAAAAATATTTAAAAATTAGTCAGGTGTGGTGGTGCACACCTGTAGTCCCAGTTACTCAGGAAGCTGAGGTGGAAAGATCGCTTGAGCCCAGGAGTTTGAGGCTGCAGTGAGCTATTATTGTACCACTGCAGTGCAGCTTGGGCAACAGGGCAAGACCCTGTCTCTTTTAAAAAAAAAAAAAAATGAAAGAAAGAAAAGAAAGAAAGTAAGAAAAATAATAGTCGTGTTCCTTTTTTTTTCTAGATGATTACTAAACCAAAATGTTTATTTAATCCACAACTATTCTAGGAAATCTAGGCCATTGGTTTCTTTTTTAACTGAGAGAACTGGATAATATCTATCAGTCACAAAATAACCTCTAAAAATAAATTTTCTCCAAAAACAATTCTCCTGAAAGCAGATGGTGAACATTTCCCAAATTATTGTGAGTTCTGCTGTGTACAGTAGCCATGGCTGACAACTCCAGCAGGTGCACAGACCTCTCAATGTCCCACAAGCAGCATGATGGTGGTGAGGACATGGAGTGAATGGTCAGTTTTCTGACAGCTACTTCACACCTTGGGTCCTGACACCTCCCATCCTTTAAGTAAAACACAATCAAGAAGGAAGAAGTGACAGAAGGATGAAAATCACAGGCAAGGTCACCTCTGATTAGACAGAACAAAATAACCTATAGGAAAATGCCAACAACTTAGAGCAGGCAGGGGAAAGAAGCCACGCTCTTCTAGGATCCCATTCAACAGAAGCTTTTCCCTAGAGTCTGTAACCTGACAAAGCCTTACAGAGCTTTGATCTTCAAGCCTGGAAGTATTCCAAGGCAATGTCTTGAATTATTATTGTGATTTAAGTATTGCTTTTTTGATGGGCTTAAAGTGGTTTTAAAAACATGGCCACAAATTCTTTGCACTCCTGCCTTCAAGAGGTGGGGCTTAATTCCCCCTCCTCCTTTTTGTTTTGTTTTGTTGAGATGGAGTCTCGCTCTGTCGCCCAGGCTGGAGTCCAATGGCTCGAGCTCAGTTCATTGCAACCTCCGCCTCCCAGGTTCAAATGATTCTCCTGGCTCAGCCTCCTGAGTAGCTGGGACTACAGGCGCCTGCCGCCATGCCCAGCTAATTTTTGTATTTTTAGTAAAAACAGGTGTTTCATCATGTTAGCCAGACTGGTCTCAAACTCCTGACCTCAGATGATCCGCTTGTCTCGGCCTCCCAAAGTGCTGGGATTACAGGCGTGAGCCACCAAATTCCCCTCCCTTTGAGTGTGGGCTGGGCTTAGTGACTTGCTGCTAATGAATAGAATAAAGGAGAAGTGAGGGCATGGCAGTTCTGAAATTAGGTTACAAAAACACTGCAGCTTCTGTCTTGAGCTAGCTCTCTCTCTCTCTCTCTCTTTCTCTCTCTCTCTCTCTCCCCCACCCTGTTACCCACCCCCCATAAGTTGCTTTGGGGGAAGCCAGCTGTCATGTCATGAGGACCCTCAGGTAGCCTATGGAGGGTCTCACGTGATGAGAAATGGAGGCTTCCAGCCCACAGCTAGCCAGAAGCAGAGGCCTGCTAACAGCCATGTGGGTGAGCTTGGAAGCAGATGCTGCAGTCCCAGGGGACTACAGCCCTGGTTGACATCTTGACAGTAACCTAGGAAGACTCTGGGCCATCCCCTCCTGAATTCCTCATCCAAGATAATCATTACTGCTTTAAGCTGCGAAGTGTTGGAGTAATTTGTTACATAGCAATAGATAATCAACACATGGGCCCGTCATATAGCGGTAAAGAGGAGTATTAAGTGAAAGAGAAGTGGGATCATAGAAGAGAGGCAACATTTCCCACACTCAGATGTCAAAACCCACAGTCCTTCACCCAGAAGACAAAGTTAGAGACCTCAGGCCAACAAGGCCCTATTATTTTAGTCTTCCTAATGTGAGAATTTGGCATCCCCTGAGCCAGGCCCTGTGAAATCCACCCGTTAGCAAGTTCCACCCTTGCTAAGAAACATATGTCACCTCATGTTTCCACATGAGGCCTGCATTTCTGTCCTCATAAAATGGATGGAGGTGGCCAGCCTCTGGCATAATAACTCTTGCAGCAAAGGAAGAGCAAGTGGTTTGTAAGTTCCTGAGGAGTGTGTAACTATGTGATTCTACTTAGGAAAGTCGAACTGCCACCAGATCCTGTGTTTCTTTTAATAAGCTTGTGAGTCACTTGTTAGCTTTCGTTTTCCTAACAAAGAGGCTTTCTTCTGCCTTAAAATAAAGAATTCTCAGCATTGGCATTTAAAAGCACGCATGTCCCATTTGCAATAGATAGTATTTAAATGGTTATTTCCCTGGAGGAAAATTCTTTGACATTAGGTAAAAACTGAGAAAAACATTGTGGGTGATTTCCTTTGCTGGTAGCTCATGCATGGCAATGGTGGGGCGCAGTGTGTGCCTGCTCAGCCCCTCACAGCAGGAGGCAGGGTCTCTTCCTCACTTTTAGTTCAGCTCATTTCTGGAACGTTAGTAACCTGAACTGCTGGATGCTTCCTTCCAGATTTCCAGGAAATGATGCTCATGCAGCAATAGCAGAGGCCCACTGAGGGCCCAGAAGAACAGCAGGACATCATTACCTTGTCCCCCAGGTAGGAGGTGGGTGCGACCCAGGACGCGCTGTGGATGGTTGCGGGCAGCTCCTGGAGATCCGCCACCATACTGTTGCTGCCTGGGTTGAAAGAGACAGGGATGTCCACTCTGTCTGCTGTCTCCAGGTGCCAGCCCAGCATATCCACAAACTGGAAAGAGGGAGAGAAGCAAGGGATGGAAACGTCTTGGTCGTGGCATCCCTGGGGTGATGGGTGCATGATGTACTACAGAAAGCTCCACGGGCAGCCTCCTTGCCTCAGAGGCCTCCTTTATGCGTCTACTCCTGCACCTGCCCTCCCGAGCCAGAGCCCCGTCTGACCCATTGCCACTGGGAGTTCTGGGAAGGCAGTGGCCTTACATGTGTGGGATTTATCTTTGTAACCCAGCACACATCATTGTTCTTGACATTTAGTAGGTGATCAATGAGTGTTTGAATAATAAAGAAATAAGTGTATGAATAAAAACTAGGACCATGGCGCATTTAATGGCAAGCTCCTTATAAAGAAAAATGTGATGTGGAATTCAGTGGCCTGCTATTATTATTTTTCTCTAAATGGAGCATCAAAATTAAATCTTTTCCTGGTCACAAAGGAAGCCAGTTAATTTTGAGGTAAAAAAAAAAGAAAGAACTGAGCAAGCATAGGATTGGATTAATGCTTTCTGGTTCCCAGGGGATAAGAGACTTCAGAGCAGATTTACAAAGTATTTTTTTTTTCCAATTACTAGCTACACTCCTTTTAGGAGACAGGCAGTAAAAGATATGAAATAGGCAGGCAGTAAAATATATAAAATAGTATTTTTGGGGCCAGGTGCGGTGGGTCACATCTGTAATCACAGCACTTTGGGAGGCCGAGGTGGGTGGATCACCTGAGGTCAGGAGTTCAAGACCTGTCTGGCCAACATGGTGAAACCTTGTTTCTATTACATATAAAAATTAGCCGGGTGTGGTGGGGCATGCCTGTAATTCCAGCTACTCAGGAGCCTGAGGCAGAAGAATCGCTTGAACCCGGGAGGCAGAGGTTGCAGTGAGCCAAGATCATGCCACTGCACTCCAGCCTGGGTGACAGAGCGACACTCCATCTTAAAAAAAAAAAAAAAAAATCTTTTTTTGAGTACTTGTTGGATATAAGACATGACTCACACAAAGAAGGCAAGCATGAGGTTACTGGTTCATGGAATAATGAAAACAAGAAAAGTTTTAGTTTTATGAAGTTAATTTTAAAAATGCCCAAAGAAGGCCGGGTGTGGTGGCTCACACCTGTAATCCCAGCACTGTGGGAGGCCAAGGTGGGAGGACTGCTTGAGCCCAGGAGTTTGAGACCAGCCTGGGCAGCATGGCAAAACCCTGACTCTACAAAAAATACAAAAATTAACCAGGTGTGGTGGTGCATGCCTGTAGTCCCAGCTACTCAGGAGGCTGAGGCAGGAAGATTGCTTGAGCCCTGGAAGCGAAGGTTGCAATGAGCTGTGATCACACCACTACACTCCAGCCTAGGCAACAGAGACCCTGTCTCAAAAAAAAAAAAAAAAAAAGAAAAGAAAAGTGACCAAAGAAAAGATATGATAAAATAGGTGAGAAGGAAAGCAAAACAGAAAGAAGAGAAGTAAAAATGAGAAGTGAGGGGTGTGATATTGTGACATAACAAGACATCATGAGAGATGCGGATTTGGCTATTACTACCAGTTTCTGGCACAGAGCTCCTAAAACCCTTGTAATTTCCTGAATGATAGGGGTGATAGGAGCATCTTTTGCCATAGTAATTGGTCTTAGTCCACAGTTCCTGAGGCCAGAGCTTCTAAGACCCTTGGACTCTGATGTGGTAATAGTGTCTCTTTGTGTGCTAATGAGATAAGTGGTGGCTGAGTCCTCTGGGTAGCTTCAGGATGGGGGCTTGTAGCCAGGAAGACCAAGGTAGGATGAGAGGGTTGGGACTTTCAGCCCTACCCCCAACCTCTGAGGAAGGGAGAGGGACTAGAGATTGAGTTAATTATCAATAGCTAATGATTTAATCAATCATGCCTACATGAAAGAGCCACCAAAAAACAAACAAACAAACAAAAAACCCTAAATGGTAGTTTGGGAGAGCTCCTGGGTGGGTAAACACGTCTGCATGCCAGGAGGATGGTGCGCCCTAACTCCCATGCCTGGAACCCTCTGGACTTTACCCTATGCACCTATTCACCTGGCTGTTGCTCTGTATCCTTTATCATATTCTTTATAATAAACAGCAATAGGAAGGAAAGTGTGTCCTGAATTCTGGGAGCCATTATAGCAGATTATAAACATGAGGAGTGGGCTGTGGGAACCCCCAACTTGTAGCAAAGCACTGGAGAAGTACTGGAGGCCTGGGACTTGCAACTGGCATCTGAAGTGGGAGCAGTCTGGAAGAACTGAGCCCTTAGCCTGTGCAGTCTGATGCCACCTCCAGGTAGAGAGTGTCAGAAGTGAATTGAATTGCAGGACACCCCGGAGTGTCTGGGAGAATCAGAGAATTTTTAGTATAGAAAAAACCCCACACATTTGGTGTTAGAGTGTTGTGAGTATAGAAACAAGGTTTTCTTTTAAAGGGGAAAATGACAAACTCGATTTATTTAATGAGATTTATTGGGCATCTATTATGTCCCAGATCCTGTTCTAGGCACTAGGGGTGTATCAGCGAACTCACCATTCTAGGGATGGAAGAAGAAGGGCAATAAACAAATTTTAAAACAAAATGTTAAATAGGGAGTGATGACTCCTATGGGGAAGACAAGGGTAAGGTCAGCAAGAGTGTCCAAGGTGTGCTATTTTATAGGAAGTGGTGAAGGAAAGCCCCTCTGAACACATGGCATTCGAGCAAACAACTGACGAATTCAGGAAACAAGAATTTTAAAACACTGCAGGCCAAGGAGCAGCGAGGGATATGCTTATCATTTAACAAATCCATGTACAAAATGTTCCCCAGCACTTTCTGTCAATGCATACCTTAGTCCTTCGCTTATGTGAGCTGTGACATTGATTATTTACTCCAAAACAGAAACAGCTGGTACAACCCTTGAGATTGGCTGGGTCCAAATGGAATGAGCCTTCTCGACACACATTACACTCTGTGCCTTCTACATTTTCCTATTGAAGCAAAACATGAAATAAGAGATCACGTGTTCCAAAATTTCCCTAGTTGCAATTAGCTACTTGCACAAATTAAATACCAACACAAGATGTTAGGATGAGGATGTGAGCAAAACATTAAAAGAGATGTTAATTATTAAGCTTTCATCCCATGTTAATTGTTTAAACTTTTATACCACACACAAATGGAGGAGAGAATTCTCTAAATTTCATAAGATGCCCCTGGGGCATCTTGCAAGTAGAGAAATAGCACCATACGGTTCACAGGATGGGGAGACCAATTCATCTCACTCACCACCACCTTAAAACATCTCCTGGGAATTGGAAGGTCTCCTACAACCTGGCGGAACCCCTTGGAGCAGAGATGATCACCTGGAGTCCATGGTCCAGGAATGGGTTTTAGGTGAACCTATGAACCTCATGAAACTGTAGATAAAAGTTTGTGCTGATTTTTCTGGAAAGGGTCTATATCCGTCATCAGATTCTAAGGCGGTCTGAGACCTCTCCAAAAGATAAAAGGGGTCTCACCTCCTAACTATTTCTGTAAAATGAGATCGTGACTATAAAATGCTACATACACTATCAACATCTCTTACGGGTCAGTCCCATTTCCCACATACTTTTCTATGTTGACTCAACATGAAGCACTTTCCTGCTGACCGGCAGCTGTTGTCTGGCATTGCACGATCTCTCTTACCTTGCAGAGGCAAGCCCCGGTCCCTGGGTCACACACTCCTGGCTCAGTCCCATCTCTGTTGCAATTGCAGGGAACACACTCAGGAAAGCGGTAAAACCCGGAAGCACATCGGTCACACTGCCGCCCTGTGATTCTGGGCTTGCATCTGTACACAAAGTAAAGGAAGCAAAAATCATCATCTTTGTACACACAATTTTAAAGTGCTCACTTACACTATAGTGGACTAATTGGTGTGCAAAGCCAGTTAAATAGATACAATGCCTGCTTATAGTCCAAGGCAGAATGGAGAGAGGCAGATAAAAGGCACTTACAGAATGTAGGTCATTGACCAATGGCCATTGTGGATGGTCATGGATGACCGTCGTAGATGGGTCAGGCTTAGCACTAGGTGTTGAGGGCGCAAGAAGGGACATGGCCCCCGAGCCTGGAGGGCTCCCGCAGATGGCCCATAAGTGGAAATGATGACAACCTACACAGAATCTAACTGAGGTTCAGAGGAGTAGCAGGTGACAAGTTTCCCTGGGGGAAATGACTCCTGACCTGAGCTTTAAAGGGCAGAGTCATAGGGTAGAAGTTGGGATGCGCATTCCAGACAGAAGGAACAGAGCGGGAGATCACTCAGTGTGTACAGGGAACAACACAAGCATGGTGCTGCTGGGGCAGATGTCCAGGCAGGGAATGCTGCCCCATGGCCTGAGGAGGTAGGTGGTGTCAGATCATCAGGACAGAGGGGCTGGACACGGCAGCACAGCGCAGTAGCTGAGACCTGTGCATGCAAGGCTGCAGTTCTAATCCAGCTCTGACCATATGAGACACACCATCTTAGCAAGTTCTTTAACTTCCCAAAGCCTGCTTTTCATACCTATGAGGGACAGAACACGGTAGCTGCTGCCTCCTGGGATTGCTGGGAACCCATGAGGCAGTGCATGCAAAATTTCATCCCAGTGCCTGGCACTTGGCAAGTTACAAACAAGGCAACATGAACAGCTGTTAAGGAGGAGAGGGTGTGGTTGGACTTGTGTGAAGGATGGAGCCCAGAGGGTGAATTCCAGCAGCAGCAGCAGCAGGATGTCAAGTCAGGAGAGAGACTGGGGGCTAACCTAGGGCAAAGGTATCCAGATGGGGAGGAGGGATGGGCTCCCAAACTATTTTGGGGTGAGGTTTCTGGGAACTGTAAGATTCTGGATGAGGAGTAGAGGAAAGAAGAGAAGACAAGGAAGACTCCCAATTTCCCTGCTTGGGTGACAGAGTGGATCTTAATGTCCCTTGTTACCTGCAAGGGCCAGAGCTCAGAGGAAAGCACAGTGGGGGGTGGGAGGGTCACTCTGAGTCATCCACCCTCAACCATCTGCAGGTCCTTTTAACTGAAGATCCGGGCAGACAAGAAAACACAAACAGCTGAGCAGAGGCAGAAAAGCAGTGGGCTATGGCTGTGCCTGGAGAACCCAGAACTCGAGGTTGGAGAGGGGAAGAGAAAGTGCCGCGAGCCCTGGGGAGCCAAGCACTGCATTCAGAGCTGGGATCTACCTACACACTGATTCTCTTCTGTGGGACTAAGGGAAGTATTAGAAATACATTTTTATTGGCATATAGGCAATAACACTTTATTGTTCAATTACTACCAAATGTAGGCCATCACCTATCTCCTAATACCTGTGAAAATATCTTACCCCAGTGACCATCCTAAAAAAGTTAAATACGACTCTTCATATCCCATTAAGTTTCTCTTTGGCAAATATCTGCTTATTTCCCTTTGGCAAATATCTGCTTATAAAGGATTTTGTATGTGATTAAGAACATAAACTTGGAACCAGGTAACCTGCTTTGAATCCCAACTCTACCACTTACTGGACCTTGGGCAAATTGGTCACTTTACAACCAAGTTTCTTCATCTGTAAAAATGGAGGTAACAATATCTACTTCACAGGATTGTCGTGAGGATTAAATATTACATGTAAAAACCTTACAGGAGTTGCTTGCACACACGTAAGTATTTGCTATTACTATTCTAGCTGTGACATGGGCTAAGGGGAGGAGACGGTGCCTTTCTGTCCACTCGGCACAACTAAAAGGACCAACTCAGCATTACTTGCAAGACCTCCTGGCAAGTTGCATCTTTCAGCCCCATCCCTCTCACCTCTCCCTACTCGATACCTGCAGAAATGATTCCATAAGGAAGTAGCCTCAAAACCACACTTAGAGTAATGTAGGTATAGAGTGTAAATGTTCTGCTTGAAGTGGATGGCTCTAGTGCAGTGGATTGTAAACTCTGGGAGAGGATCGGAGACGCTTTTGGAAAGCTGGGTAAACTATGGGCCATATTCTCAGAAAAGTGTCCACTAAACTCACAGAAAGACTCATTCTCATATACACACAATTTTGCATTCTCTTATCAGAGGGCTCCTGGCCCCAGGTTAATAACAACTGCTCTCTTCTTGTGACCCTCGGACTAAATGTAATCAGGCAGTCTGGCAAAAATGTAAAGCCTGTTCTCAGCTGATTCCTTATTTCTGGAGAGACAGCGAGTGTGGAGCACAAGGACTCTGGTGGTCTAGAGACCGGAAAGAAGAGAGAGCAGATGACCCCTCCCAAAATAAAAGCCATCAGAGAGAGAAGCCTCAGAACAGAAGAGGGCCATTGGAGATGGCCCGACGTAGGCTGGGTGAACCTTGCTTCTCTTTTCCTGGCAGTGAAGGAAAGAACACCACGCACAGAGGGACAGTGTTGCCATGAAGTGCCAACCTGGCAGACTGGCATCCCAAGGTCTGAACGTTTCTTTTAGCAAACATGCGGGGCTTCTGGCCAAGGGTGAATTAATAAGATGCTGGTGGTAGGTGAGCAACTCACACACTGAACGCCATTGGTGGGCACAACTCAGAGTGTCCCCTGAGCAAGTGATCTGGGCAGGGACCTGGAAAGTGAGGTCACGCAGACAGGAGCCTGTGGTTTTTTTGTGTGTGTGGTTTATTTTTTTAAATTTTTTTATTTTTTATTTATTTATTTTTGAGACGGAGTCTCGCTCTGTCACCAGGCTGGAGTGCAGTGGCGCGATCTCGGCTCACTGCAAGCTCTGCCTCCTGGGTTCATGCCATTCTCCTGCCTCAGCCTCCCGAGTAGCTGGGACTACAGGCGCCTACCACCATGCCCAGCTAATTTTTTGTATTTTTTTAGGAGAGTCGAGGTTTCATCGTGTTAGCCAGGATGGTCTCGATCTCCAGACCTCGTGATCCGCCTCCTTGGCCTCCCAAAGTGCAGGGATTACAGGCGTAAGCCACCACATCCGGCCCTGGAGCCTGCATTTTATGTTTTCTTTTCTTTTTTTATTTATTTTTATTTATTTATTTTTTTGAGACAGAGTCTCGCTCTGTCACCCAGGCTGGAGTGCAGTGGCGCAATCTCGGCTCACTGCAAGCTCCGCCTCCCGGGTTCACGCCATTCTCCTGCCTCAGCCTCCCAAGTAGCTGGGACTACAGGTGCCCGCCACCATGCCCAGCTAATTTTTTGTATTTTTAGTACAGATGGGGTTTCACCATGTTAGCCAGGATGGTCTCGATCTCCTGACCTCGTTATCCACCCAACTTGGCCTCCCAAAGTGCTGGGATTACAGGCGTGAGCCACCGCACCTGGCCACGTTTTGTATTTTCACTTCACTGGAAAGGAAAGGAACAAGAGTACCTGCAGCAAGGGCAGCTGTGGAAGCTGCTTGTCCAGACAAGGAGGAAGGGAAGCAAAATCATGACTGGCCTGTGTGTTTATTTTAGAATGTATGCGAGATGATCCAGTGGAAAGAGAGTGACTGAGAAGATGTGGCCAGTCAGTAATATAGGACCAAGCTCTGAGCCTCACACAGCACATGGGTAGCAGCTGAGAGCACTAAAGCAGATGGGAAAAAAGCCAACAGAGCAGAGGGAGGAGAGCAGCGGCCTGCAAATGGGACCCTGAGTGGCCCCGCTGGGCCTGCTAGGCCAGGGTGAACCAAAACAATATCTATATTCTTGAGTACTGCAATGTTTAGATAATTGAGTTATGCATCCTGTGCAAAGACAGTTTTTGGTGTTGCCAGGACAATAGGGAAGTTTTTGGTGGTGCCATGACAATAGGGAAGGAAGAGGACATTTCCTCTTCAAAGTCTGGCTGAACATCCTTTAAAATGACCTCATGTCGGCCTGACTTGGTATGTTTCTCTACAGCGAATTTATGGTACCCAAGGAACAGCCCTACCAGAATTTCTGGTACCCAAGGAGTAGCTGCAGAATGGCAATTCTGGGGAGGCAGGTCAAGAGAATTTATCTCCATGGCAATGGGGCTCCTGGCCAAACGTTTTGTAACAACATCTGGGCATGGGTGGGTGCTTGCCATGTCTCAGAGAATCAGGCCCAGATGTGTTGGGGTGAGCTGCATCCTTTGGTCATTAAGGGGCCGGGTGCAGTGGCTCATGCCTGTAATTCCAGCACTTTGGGAGGCTGAGGCAGTGGATCACCTGAGGTCGGGAGTTCGAGAACAGCCTGACCAACATGGAGAAACCCCATCTCTACTAAAAATACAAAATTAGCCGGGTGTGGTGGTGCATGCCTGTAATCCCAGCTACTCGGCAGGCTGAGGCAGGAGAGTCGCTTGAACCCTGGAGGCAGAGGTTGCGGTGAGCCGAGATCACGCCACTGCACTCCAGCCTGGGCAACAAGAGTGAAACTCCATCTCAAATGAATAAATTAATAAACACTGTAGGGCCCTTCATATTATGCTCATATCAAAGTCCAGTTTTAACCTAGAGCCCAAAATCTACCTTATTTATTTATTTATTTTTTCACTCAAGAATTATTGAGTGCCTTCTACATACACATTCCTTTGTTAGGGGACATGGGAGGGAGGGGACAAAGTAGAATAAGTCAGTCTTGATGTGGACATGTTTCACTGCGGACACAGGACCTAGAATGTGGAAATTAAGGGAGAAGCTGGCTAAGCAGTCAACTTGCTTTGGCCAATGAGATGATGAGGCGATCTCTGTGGACTCGTAGAAGGCTCCTTGCATTCTTTGAGTCTGTACTTTTAACACAAAAATCCTTGAAGGACAGGCATAATTTGGGGGTAGTAGGAGAGGAGGAGGGAGCCCTTTCACAACTGGAGAACAGAACACAGACAAAAAGTGTTTAGAGGAAGTGAGAAAACCAAGCCAGAGAAGAAAGCAGAAAAAACAAAAAGGTACTAAAAGTTAGGGTAGATAGAAGTCAAATCACGGAAAGTTGGTCTTTATCCTATTAGACAATGGGGAATTAAGGAAAGTTCTTGAGCAAAGAATGTGATGTCATGGAAATGGTGTTCCCATAACAGCCCACACACAATATGGCGCTCACCATGCTGCACTGTCACTCTTGGTTAGAACAGGTGCCCCCACCAGATCACAAACATGTGTGCCTTCCACAGGAAGCACAGCACCCAAACTGGAGTAGGTATTAGATGCACTTTGAGCAACAAAACACATACAAAATAACACTTAAGGGAAAGCTAAAAAACCTCACAAGGAACTGAGATGTTTCATCCTCATTAAAATAACAAAAACAAACAGAAATACATGCCAAGAAGATAAAATCACATTTAAGGGCAGGCTGCCATAAAACAAAAAGAAGATAAAATCATAAACATGTATGCATTTATCAACATTGTCTCAAGTTCACAGACTAATAGTACCATGTATTTGTGAATAAAGTTAAGGGAAAGACAGATATTTGAATCCCAGTATAATTGTCAATTTAGTATATTCTTCTTAAAGAGCCAAAAAAGAAAGAATGAATGAGTAAACCAGGAAAAGGAAGGCCAACTAGGAAAGCATCAATATCATCTGAACATGAAGTGGTAAAAGGACTTAACCAGGCTGTAGACAGCCATGGAAAGGAAGGGGGATAATATGTCCCTTGCCAGAAGTTGACACCTGACTGGCTGTAGGGAAAATGGGTTGATTCTAAGATGATACTCAGATTTCAGGCTTAAAGGACTGGAAAGAGGCTGTTATCATTAAGTAGAATTTTTTTTTTTTAACCCAAAGGGAGAAATGGCTTGAAAGGGAAGACAGTGACATGGGTTTCAGAGATAGGATCAGTATTGTAGAATTCAGGAGTTAACGATTATCCAATCTAACTTTTCATAATACATGTGAGGAGACAGGAGCTCAAAGAGCTTAGGGAACTTGTCCAAGGCTACCTGTGTAAAGTCAATAAGAGAACCCAGGTTGAGTCGATTTGCAATAAAGGTGGAATAGGATAGCCCTCAAGGATCAGGACTGGAGCTGTGGATCTGGGAATCATCCAGGAGTGAGGGTGGCTGAAGCCAGGAGAATGGGTGGAGTCTCAGGGACAAACCATAGAGGGAGGAAGGCAGACAGCCATGACCTTGGCAAATAACCACAACAGCTAATACTTACTGGGTGCTCAGAGTGTATCAGGCGCTGCTTTCAGTGTGTTCACAGAGGATATTTAACCCTCTAAAGGTGCCTCCAGGATCCTTATTTTACAGATGAAGACCTAAGGCCCAGAGGACAGAAGTAATATACCTGAGGTCACCCAGAGAGTGAGCGGCAGAGACAGGACGCAACTCACACCACACATCTTCTTGGTCTGGAGGCAGAAGGAGAAAAATGAAGCCAGTGAAATGGCCAGAGAAGCATCATCAGAGAGGTTAGAAGAAGATGCCAGTATTACAGGAGACGAAGGACGACAGAGGTCGTGCAGGTGAGAACCCTGAGCTCCTTCTGTGTGGCTGTTACAGCCGTCACCACTGTGTCAACAGCACATCCCAGCGCCTGCACACTGCCTGGCCAGCCTCACAGATTATTTGATGAAGTGCATCAAAGAAATTGCCTCTCCAAGTTGTTAGGGCTCAGGAATTGATGCCTAGCTGGAAGCCCTTCTGTTCTGAGAACACCAAGTCGATGACCTTTTCTGGTTTTTAATTTCTCCATTTAACACAAAGGCTTAGTAAATCTGAGTGGAGATAGAGGGAATCCCCAAATCTTTCCTGTGGCTACTACCCTTCTGAAAAGGCATGAGGTACACGTGGCTTCACTGGATGTCCAGGTGGACTGCCATCTCCTTTGATCAATCTGAAAATAGCTTGGACGCGGTCAACAGTACTGCAGCTTTTACTACCAGGGATCTCCAGCTTCCTCACGTCTGACACAGATGGATAAAGTCTTCCAAAAATATTCTAGCCCTTTTGTATGTTCAGAGAATCTGATGGCACATATCTTCCATTACTAGGAGCAGATGCAAATTTACTTTTTCATCGCTATAAATAGATATATGTGCTGTCTTGTTGTGCTAAAAAAAATGAAGTTTTGATCAATATAAGCATCTTTTTGATCTTGATAGAATTGGCCAGAATAATAGACCTTTCGATAATTACACAATATAGTCCGTGATACAATCAGAGATTGAAAAAGAAATGGAATCAGAATTTTAAATTTAGATAGGAAGTTAGAGATGATTTTACTAAACTTCATTTTACAGAGTAAGAAGCTGAAAGCCAGGCAGACAAAATGACTTGCCCAGTCTCATAGCTAGGACTTGCCAAAGGTGAGTCGAAGGCTCAGTTTTATGGTTCCAACTTATTGCCTCTAAAACTACAACACCAGGTTGACTAAGTAAAGAGTGAGTATTGTAGATTGCTAAAATTATTTTTGTAATTCATTTTAAAGTAGATGAATATTTGTAACAGTTTGATTTTCTTATAGTATGATAAAGTTGAATGCTTATAAGTAGTTAAATACAATTTGAGAATTGCAATTTTTCAGCTTTGCAGTTTGTGATGATTTGTACAACTGCAGGACAAGACTGTGAAAGAATGTGTTTTCCTTTTTCTCATAAACTCTAGGTATCTCTGATTATTTCTTTTACATGAGCTTTAGACTCCTCTAAACATATTCTTCATAAAGGAAATTTTCTAAGGAGGAAAAAAATAGTTTTTCCTCTAATATTTATAAAGAAGTAATCCCTTCAGGCAATCAAAAGCTTTTTCAGCATTTACACTGAAATTATCATGGGCAATTTGTGCAATTTACAGTAATGTAAATTTTCTTACATTTTCTGACAAGGCCCTTTTATGACAAATCTACTTTGATCATGGGAAGATGCGTTATCCCATTAGATTATTATAGTCCCTTTCCTAAGGTCAAAGTAAACAGTTTTACATCTTGGTTTAAGTGTAATACAAGTCAGCAAGATTCCATTTCTGTTGATGCTGTCAGGTTTGGGCAAAACTTACTATAGACATGCCTCCATCCTGAGTTAGGAATATTCCAGTCTATTAAATTATCATTGGCAGTGACAGTTTGTTAAAAATAAAATTCTTAGGGATTTTTACATAAAATACTGCAGTAAATCCATCCATCACCTTCTGGTGCCTTAACAAGATTAAAACATTTTTAAAAGCACTCTTGGTTTTCTTTTTCTGTGACAGCAGCATTGAGAAATTGTGTGTGAAGTTCCATTTGCAGCGATTTATTGTTGACAAACCACTCCCTTTGAAAACTCTACTGCTTCTCTTCCTGCCTGAAAACTGATTCTCCATCTCCCCCTTGGTTCCTTTGCTTCCTGTGATTAAACACAGGTATCCCCTCTGGTTCTTGAGTGACTGAGCTGACTCAGGCAGGACTCACACCTGTGGTTTTAAAGACTTGGAATATTTCATGATTTGAGTTTTTCTCCCAGCTTCCTTACAAGGTTCCAGTATTATCAAGGAGTTGGGAGGCACCAGATAACAATTAAAGGTGTGGTTAAGGGGCCTTTCTTAGAAAAGCAAACATTGCTGCTATAGAGAGTTGAATTGTATCCCCACAAAAGATCTGTCCAAGTTCTACCCCCCACTACCTGAGAATGTGACCTTATTTGGAAACAGGGTCTTTAGAGATGTAATTAAGTTAAGATGAGGTTATACCAGAGTACGGTGGGCCTTAAGCCAGTATGACTGGTGTCCTTATAAGAAAATGAGAAGAGACAGAGACACGTACAGAGAGGGAAACGCCACAGGAAGACAGAGACACACAGGGAGAACAGCATGTAATGGCGGAGGCAGAGGTTGCAGTGATGCAGCCAACAGCCCAGGGACTCCCCCAGGAATACCTGCACACCAGAAGCGAAGAGAAAGGCATGGAACAGGTTCTCTTGCAGACCCTCCGGAAGAAACCAACCCTGCCGACATCTTGATTTTTAATTTCCAGGCTCCAGAAATGTGTAAGAATAAATTTCTGTTATTTTAGCGTTGTTTGTGGCATTCGTTAATGGCAGTCATGGGAGACTACCACAGCCACCCTCAAGTGGGAGTCACTGAGGCCTGTCCCCAGCAGCCATAGGCCCTCTTGGCTCTCACACCCAAATTACGGACTCCATAATATCCATGTGCCTGGGGTGCGTGCTGAAGGGAGTGGGGTGCATGGTGAAACTTCTGCTTTCCCCTGCACGCTGCCATCCTGGCCTGGCCTCTGACTCAGTTTCCCCAGCATATCACCACTGATCTAATTCTTACCAGTCTCTCCTTCTAGGAGCCATACGCTTTCTCTGGCCCCTGCAGCCCCCACCCAGTCCTGCTGAGATCAGGCTTGTCACCTGGAACCATGTGACACCGGCCTCCACATTCCAATGCAGCCTCTGAATCAAACCTCTCAGCAATGCAGCATCTGCATGAGCCGAGGTCTCCACCTGTCCCTTAGCAATTAAGTACTGGACTGCTCAGCGATCCTCTGAGGGCAGCCCCACTCTCAGGCCAGGCTCTCCAGCCTGTCTCCTGTTCACCCTGACTCCCTCCTCACTCCCACCAAGCCCTGCTGTGGAGGCCTCAGCTCCCCTTCCAGCCCAAATCAGCTAGGTGGGATTTCAGACTCTGTCACACATTGACCTTAACCACACTGCCAGCGAACCCTAGAAGGAGGGTATGAAGCTCATACCTAAATACAAATGGACAGGTGCTCACCACAAGGCATCCCAGCAAAGCACACAGATACCTTCATTATGCATGTATCATTCTTCTCCCACTTCTGCCTCATGGCACACACAGAACACAGTCCCATAGTGACAGCATGCTGGAGTCAATGGGCAAGGCTGCTGCCGGCCCAAGATGACTGGTAATCTGTCCACACAGGCTCTGCCCAGTTCTGAGCCTAAGGGACCAATCACTCCACCCACTGCAACCCATCCTGTCTGGGAAGCTCATGCCGAGGTCAACACAGGGCACCCCTGGACAGGTGGGAAGTGGAAAGTGACGATGACCAGTGTGTGGGCAGATGGCACGCGACCTCCCTGTGACAGAAGCAGACAGGCTACTCCCCCAGCTCACCTGCACTGCCCGCTGTCCCGGTCACACTCCGGCATGGCAGCCTCGATGGTGCCCCTCCTGGAACAGTTGCAGCCTTCGCAGCCGGCCATGGGGTGGAAGCTGAATGAGTGTGTCTCACACACCTCACACTGGGGCCTGACCGTGCGGGGAGGGCAGCGGCACTGCCCCGTCATCTCTTCACAAAGGCGCCGACCACAGCTGCACGCTGGCCAGGGGATAAAGAAATACCATGTGAGGGTCAAAGGCCGCCTGGGCTCCAGCAGCACTCCACCAACTGCCAGGCTTTCCAGAAGCCTCCAAAGGGTCAGAGAGAAATATTTGGATCTGAAAGGCCCATTTCTTGGAGTCAAGACCAACCACACCAAATGCTCATGGCAGACAGTGTGGATGGGGATTGAGGAGCCAGCCAGATCCAAGAAAGACCCTCCAAGGAGCCCACCTCGCTGCCACTGTGTGCCACTCATATGGGGCCTCTGGACCATTGAAGGATTCTGGAAATTGGTAGGAGGCTGCTCTCAGGCTCCCTGAAGTGGCTCCACATCCACATCACCCCAGTACCCTGTGCGTCCAGAGCCCAGGGTCAGGGCACAACCTGGCAGCAGGGTTCTTGTTCCTTGGCCTCTGCATGGGGACTCTGCACACTGCATTTCTCACTGCAGTCACGTGAAGTGAGCTTACCCTACCCCTCGGACCACAAGATGGTTCTGAGATAAAGGTCCCATGGGTTCTCATTCAGTGAGTAGCACTGCCACATGACCCTGGCTGTCCTATCTCAACTGAGTTTGGGTTGGGCCAAAAAAATGGAAGGGGCTTCTGTGACGAAGGGGATCAAGCTCTCCAAGATTCTGAGGTTTAAGACTTGTCACACTCACCTGCTTTGCCAAGTGCATAGGCCACACAGCAGGGGAGTCACAAATACTTATCTTCTAGAACATTGCTACTTAGAGTGCGGTCCATGGACCAGCAGCATGGGCATCACCTGGGTGCTTATTGGAAATGTAGAGACTCAGGCTCCAGCCCAGTCTCCTGAATCAGAATCTGCATTTCTCCAGATCTCCAGGTGAGTCTCTAGCACAGTGCCACTGAAGAAGCCTGCTCCTGGTAAGCATCATCCACACGGGACCAGAGCAGAACTTGGGTGATGGGAAACGTGCACTTACGCTTGCAGCGTGGGAATCCGTAGTGGCCTGTTGCACAGCGGGTGCACTGCCGCCCGATGACGTTGGGCTGGCATGGGCACTGCCCACCCTCAGGGCTGCAGTGAGGGCCGGTGGCCCCAGTGGGGTGGCACTCACAAGGCAGGGCGCCCTTGTGGTAAAAGGCCACCAGGGACCTGGCGGAATTCTTACAGAATCTGGAGGCTGTCTGGGGGCTGTGGAGACAGAAACAACTCATGGTGATGCCTGGGGAGGTGTGTATGGGAGTGGCCTCAACCTTGCCTTTACCACCTGCTCCACCCAGCAGCATCTGTGGGACGGGCTCATGGTTCTGGAGTCAGGGAAGAGTGGGAAATACCCCACCTCAGACTCAGCCGGTGACAGCCACACCCTCCCCCTACCACCTGCCACAGGAGGAGACATCACAGAACAGGTCAGCGGGAACCTTGCACAGCTGGGATAAAAGAGTAGAAATAGACCTAAAAGATGAACTATATGTTATGTGAATTATAGCTCAATAAAGTGGTTACCAAAAAAGTCGACCTATGTGTATAATAATACAACTAATAAAATGATAATGAGGAGGAGAATCGCTATCATTCATTGAATGTTGTGTGCTGGAAACCTTAGTAATATCCCACATGACCTTCCAACCTCCCAACCAATTAGGCCTAAGCCCTAATTCACAGATAAGGCAACTGAGGCTCCTAGAAGTTAGGTGACATTCCCAAGGCTGCAAGGTTATGGAGTGGCTGAGCAGCATTCACCTCCACAGCTGCTTAAGAGCCTTTGCTCTTAATATTCACTGTACAGGAGGTGTCTGCCTCCCAGAGCTTCTGGAGTACCTGGGCTCTTCAGGAATCTATGACAGGGAAAGGGTGGGTCCACAGAAGAGAATGGCAGGAGCTGATACTCAGGGCCATCCTAGCTCTTAGCATTCAAGGACACAAGGAGAGAGGGCAGGGAAGCCATGTCTCTGGACACTCCCTGCTTGGTTAGATGGCGGAGGAGAGTGGGACTCAGGGCTGATGTCCTTCCCAGTGGAGGGTACCCTGTGTGGTATGTCTTAGGAATCTGTGCTGGCACACAGGAAACAGTGGAGAGGGAAGGAAACTCCTAATCAGCCCCTGAATCTCAGCTTGGGGTACGGACCCCCGTTGAGTTCATAGCTGAGGACAGTCATCTTTCCCAGGCAGCACATGGCAAAGTCTGTCATGCGAGGGTTGGTGTGGAGAAAGAGCATCTTCCCCTGGGACTCACTGACACTCTCTTGGGCAGTGCGGGGAAGAGGACGGATCCATGGGCCAGCCCCTCCCTGGGCCTCGAGCTGGTCAGGAATGTGGGAGTGCCTCTGCATTCCAGAGCCTTCCCACAAAGTGATACTCACTCAAGGTAAAAGCTGTTTTTTCCACAATTGGTGATAAACTCGAGTGACTTGTCCATGGATTTTTTGTGAAGTATTTGGTAGTCATAGTTTTCTGCAGGCACCACTAGAACACGGACCTGAAAGAAATCCACCAGCATGTCTTAGAATTTCCAATGATGACACAGACCTAAGGCTACTTATTATACAGGTTGAGCACCCCTACTCGAAAAATCCAAAATCTGAAATGCTTCAAAATCTGAAACTTTTTGAGCACTGACATGATGCTCAAAGATCATGCTCAAAAGAAATGCTCACTGGAGCATTTTGGATTTGGGATTTTTGAATTAGGGATGCTCAATCTGTAAGTATTATGCAAATATTCCAAAATCTGAAAAAAATCTGAAATCCAAAACACTGCTGGTCCCAATCATTTCAGATAAGAGATTTTCAACCTGTACTTTCTCTTCACTGAGATCAACACCCTTATTGTTAAGACCAAGACCAAATGAATCAGGATTTATGAAAAACAATCACAGGAACAGGCCAAAGCCAGGAGTAAAGGCTCAGTCCACATTACTGTGCAGGGAATGATGAGTTCCCAGGCAGAGCCCTTGGAACTTCTACTCAGAGAAGCAAAAGCCTTGCATGCTGGCTGGGTCACGGGACCTTAAGGGTAAGCAGGGGCCTGCTGGATGGCCAGGGCTCCATGTGACCCATGCCTGATGTCTCCCTGGATCTCCAGGGATGGCTGTTTTGTATTTTTAAAGGGAAACAAACAAAAGTGGCAAGAACAATGCAGAAAGAAGGTGTTAGCTTGTCCTTAGAGCTTTCATCATACTTGGTACCCTATTATGAATAATGGTAGTTTGGTTCTCTGTGCCAGTATAAATCAGAATATGCCTATAGCAAACACTGTAGAAATTTTCAAACATCTTTGTCAACTGCTCACCAGCTCACAGCTTACAGGGAGCTTATTACTCTCATGATATTCAATTCAATAAACGTTTGCTGAGCACCACACACCAGGTGGTATTCCAGGCACAAGGGATGCAAAATGAACAGATGCAGCCCTTGTCTCCTGGGAAGACGACTTCCTCAGAGAGGAGGAGGCTCACTCAGAGACCTGGAGGGCCACACAGAGAGTCTGGGCAATGCTTCCTGGAGGGCTTTGCAGAAAGACAAATTAACTCTGAGCTGGGTGAGTGGGTAGGCTGGACTTATCCAGGTAGAGAAACAGACAGAAAATGTCAGAAAAAGGGACAGTGTGAGAAAGCCTGGTGGCATGAGAGGACATGGCATATCTGGGGGTTTGAGAACGGATTTGTATGGCCAGAGCGTGAGGTGTGGGAGGCGTGGAGTAGGGCAATGGCAGAGAGAAAGATAAAAGATGAATTAGGGGGTCGTGAGGGCCTGAGTGAGGCACGTGGATCCTAGGGAAATACATGGAGTGTATCCCATCAGTTGTTGGAAGCCCAGAGAAGTGGCTGGGTCACAGGGCATGCTCTAATCCCTCCAGCCAGGTAGGTAATGGCCAGGAGTGCGGAGGAGGCACTGGAAGGAGGTGGAACAGGAAGGGAGTGCTGCCAGGAGGCTGGCCCTGCCCAAGTGAGAGGAAGGATGGTCAGTGAGGACAACGGGGCTAGAAGAGAATGGTTGCCTCCAGGAGGCACGGCAGAGAAAGACTCTGGGGTGTGGTAACAGATGTGGGAGCAGAGCTGCTAGAGAAGGGGGGTCAGCATGACTCCAGGCACTGGTTGTCATCACTCAAGGTGATGAAAAGGGTAGGCACATCGGGGCTATGCAGGGTGCAGACTAAGCAAGGGACTTTCAAGATCTCTGGCCAGGCAGATACGCAGGAGATGGTGGTCACATACTGGAGTTCAGGAAAGATCAGAGATGACCTCACAGATGTGGGTGTCCTTCCCACAGTGGAGAGAATAGAATCGATGGGCACGGAAGATGTATCCAAGGAGAAATGACACAATGAGGGGCTCGGTGTCAAATCGGAAGGAACGCCAACACACAGTGACAAGTGGAAAAGAGAAATCACCCAAGGAGCGCTAGAGAAAGCAGGGAAAACAGAGAGAAAGCAGCTGCAGGGGCCAAAAGAAGAAAGGAGCGAAAAATGCTCCAGAGACTGGTCAGATGAGGAAGCAGGGGCTGGTGGAGAGGGGCGACGCCTACTCTCTTCTGTCCTAGTTCCCTTGACTTTAATTGTCACATGCTTTATTTATTTATTTATTGGGGGGTAAAAGACAGCTGTAAAATTTAAACATTTTTCTACAAATATGACTTCAATTCCTTGGAAGAATTATTTCCATGAGCTAAACAGACACCCAGAATGGCCAGCCAGGCAGGCATGTGAGGAGCAAGTTGAGGAACGAGTGGAACGCACCAAAACCAAGGACTTTCCTTCTGGAACCTTCACAGTTGCGGCCACTTCAGGCTCTGAGATGTCAAACTCAATCTGGCCTTCGGCAATCACTTGATCCCGGCAGCCAAGCACATGGGGGCAAAAAGAGGCATGGAAGGAGCCTGGCAGAGAGAGAGAGAGACTTTCTGTCATGCACCGGACTGTAGATTCAGCCTGAGGCAGGCAGCAGGGCCTGCTCACTGCAGCTCACCTGCCCGTGGCCACCCGCCATCCACCGACACCTGCGCGGGAAACGTCGGGTGCGCTGCTTGGTAAAAATGGATGACAAAGACGTATCGGCCCAGGTGTGGTACACGTCCTCTCAGGGTCACTTGATTCTAAGAGGAAAAAAGAGGAGGAAAAAAAATTAAAAACCCTCAAGCTGAAGAGCTATGAATAACTGGAATCATAGAGTATTCAAAGGTTAAAAAACAAAACAACCTAAGTATTTACCAAAGTGAAATGACAACCCATCTTCACCCAGAAGCCTTCACACATACATTTACAGTAGCTTTTTTGTTGTTGTTGTTATCACAAAAACTGAAAACAAACCAAATGTCTCTTGGTTGCAGATTGGATAAACAAACTGTGGTACAATCATACATGTTGGAGGGGGTATAATTTGGTAAGTCAGGTTGGAAACCTGTTTGGCAATATTTACCAAAGTTGAACACATAACCCAGAATTGGCCTTCTGGGTACATATCCAGAAGAAATGTGTAATGTTTGCAAGAAGGCCATACTTATATGTTCATAACTGTGCTATGCATAATAACCATGCAATAAAGAGTCTGACTCCATTTTTTTTTTAAGGGACGAGGTCTCACTCTGTCACCCAGGCTGGAGGGCAGTGGGGCAACCATAGCTCACTACAGCCTCAAACTCCTGGGCTTAAACGATCCTCCCACTTCAGCCTCCCAAGTAGCTACGACTACAAGTACGTGCCATCATGCCTGGGTAATTATTAAATTTTTGTAGAGATAGGGTCTTCCTATGTTCTCCAGGCAGGTCTTAAGCTCACGGTCTCAAGCAATACTGCCGCCTTGGCCTCCCAAAGTGCTGGGATCACAAGTGTGAACCACTGTGCCCAGCTCTGACTCCATTTTTGATGTTTGCCCACTGACAGCTTTCAAGCCCTATTATACCCTTGTCCCTTTTGTCCCACACCCAAACAAGCTGATAAGACATCTCAGGGGCTCCCAGCTCCCTCCTTTGTCATGAGTGGGGAGTTCTCATCACATAAATTCCAGCCCCTGGGAGAGGGAGTCCTCCTGGATGGCCCTGGCTGGCCCTCCCTCCACTCCCACCATGAAAACGAGTGTTTTTGAGGGCTAAAAGCTGGAGCCCACCCTCCTTTGGCTCAAGCTCGAGTACAAGCCCTCTCTCCCCAGAAAGCCTCACTTTTTGAGTAATGAATCTTTTAACTCACAAAAATCTTCAACAGCAACAACACAATAACAACTAAAGCTCATCCTCATTTTTCAGATGAGACCCATGACTCGGGGGGGTAAATAGTTCATGGAAAATGACACACTAATTTCATGACAAAAGCAGGACTAGAACTCTTGTCATCTTGATTTCAACTCATTTCCCCCTATTATTCTGGACTGCCTTTCCCATATGGGATTTTATTTGATTCTGTCGCTCAGATCCTGTAGATTCCCAAATCCAATGCACTGTGAACACATGCAAACCATCTTTGAGATTATAAGGACATAATACAGGTTGGACATCCCTAAACTGAAAATCCAAAATGCTCCAAAATCTGAAACTTTTTGAGCACTGATATAACGTTCAAAGGAAATTCTCACTGGAACATTTTGGATTTCAGATTTTCAGATTAGGGATGCTCAACCCATAAATATAATGTAAATATTCCAAAATCTGAAATTCAAAACATTTCTGATCACAAGCATTTTGGATAAGGGATACTAAACCTTGTAATATCATAATGTAAATTATATTTTTATAATGCAGAACTTTAAAAGTCCTGTGATTTTTTAGCTTACGGAATGCATTACTTTATTATATTTCACCTTTGTGCTCTAGATGATTGATTAATAAATGTTTATGGATAATTTCCTACCTGCAAGGTGCAGTGGGGGATACAAAAAAGTTTACTGGTTCGAGACCAACCTGGGCAACATAGCAAGATCCCACCTCTACAGAAATTTAAAAAAAAAATTAGCTGGGCAAGGTGGTGCTCACCTCTAGTCCCAGCTACTTGGGAGGCCGAGATGGGAGAATTGCCTGAGCCCAGGAGTTGGAGGCTGCAGTAAGCCATGATCATGCCACTGCACTCAAGTTTGAGTGATAGAGCAAGAATCTGTCTCAAAAAAAAAAAAAAAAAAAGAAAGAAAGGTTCTTGGCTACAATAACTATTCTAAAAGTCTTATGATCCAACTTGGGAAGAAAACTAATAAACAACTATATTAAACAGCAGCAGTCCACAAAAATATAAGCTATCACAATATGGGCCATGAATAATTGCCAAATATCTAGTGGACAAAGCCCAGGAGGGAAAGGGCATCAGGCAGGGGTGGTCCTAGGCAGGATTAACCAGATGCCTGCATTTCTGGGACTCTTCACAGAAGACAGTAGAGGTTCTCAAACTTCAGGGGCATCAGAATCACCTGGAGGGTTTGTTAAAACACAGATTCCTGGGCCCACCCCCAGAGCTTCCAACTCAGTAGGTCTGTAGTGGGTCTGTGAATCTGCATTGCTGACAAGTTTCCAAGTGATGTGGATGCTGCTGCTTCAGAGGTCATACTTTGAGAACCACTGGTTTAGAAACAGCACACTACCTGCGGTGCCTTCAAGGTGACCCCAGGAAGAACATCAACAGAAGGTGACGACTGCTGGGGCAGGTGAGGGAAAGGCCTGCCACTTAGAACATCCAAAATTAATGCTGTTGGAGGAGTTTCATGGGCCAAGGAGACACAGGTGGCACTGAAAAATAGAATATTTAAAAATCTGATTTTTAAAAGAACCCAAAGCTACAGAACTGACCATCAGTGAAGAGACAGACTTGGAGCATAGGACTGCATGGGCATCAAAAGGATCCAGTGCTGGGGGAAGCACAGAACTCTAGGGATCTTTATATAATGATACTCATGCCAAGTGTATTCCAGCCACCTGTTCCATTGAACTAGTTGAAACAGAGAGAATCTTAATTTTGAAGTAAAGTAAGTTAGATAGAAACTTATGGAAACTTCCCTTTCCAAAACTAAAATTAATTGTTAAAATGAGATCAATACAATAAAACATTATTCACCTCTAAACATAAATATTGACAGAACACTATATAAGAAAGAAAAAATATACATCGTCTCTTTTACGCACAACCAGAATCACATTGTGTTGGTAGTTCCTACAGTCCTAACTATGCACACCAGATTTCATGACCATGCCCATAAGCTGTTTTTGAATCTACAGCAAAACAACCCTACCAAAACCCCAATAAGCATTAGTTAGCTGATTCTCATCACATAGTTATGAGATAGGTCATTATTTTCATGGTTTTCTAAATGAAGAGTCTCAGACAGAAAGATTAAAAGATTGGAACAAAACGAGTCTTTTCGAGGGCTCAGAATAGAACTCAGCGTTCCTGCCCTCCAGGGGTAGGCTTAACCATTTCCCTGGTTGTTCCTGGGTCAGCTTCCTGATATTACGGAATTCTGGAAAAACTGCTGGGGTAAATTATTTAGCTGGTTTTTCTTTCTGTTTTAAATCCACCACCAGACTTTAGCACCTTGGCTTATGATCATTTCTGACGTTGAGTATAAAGTTTCAGCCTTACACTCATCCCAGTATCACTCAGAACATGAACGGGGAGACAGGAAGGAAACACATTACCTTTGATTGACAAATCGCCCATAACTGGCAATGCAGTGGACTTGTGGTCTCACATACTCAGCTGAGAATTCTTCAATAGGTATGATACAAACTTGATGCTAGTGAGCAAATACAATGCACAAAGGCACATTGCAGTTACCAGCAAAACAAACGGTATGGCCAAAAACACCCTTTTAAAAAAGCTATTAAGTAAAGGATTTATCCATAATAATTCTAATCGTTATTTTAAAGTAGTAAATATTGCAGGATGGCATGTCCTCAGGCATCATTATGTGCAACAAATCCTTTTTATTGTTTTATAGAATTACTGACTGAATTACTGCTGAAATACTCACATAAATAGAACTGAGAACAAAGCCATAAGGAAGCTCAGAAACTACTCTTTTCAGTGACTTCCAGTGCCTGTTTTTTTCTGTCTTGTCTTGCGCCAATCCTGGCTTTTCAGGCCCGTTGGGAGGAAGATAGGGGATGTGGTGTGGGCCAGAGAGCCTGCTTTTCAAAGTGAGGGCTGCCACTGCTAGAAATAACCCTTCTTAATAAAGAATGACTCCCATCTCAGGCTAATTTGGCCTTTGTTGAAGGAACTGTCTCCAGAGCTAGTTTTTGAGTCACACAAAAAAACTTAGTCATTAATTTATCAATATACTTCATTTTAAATCAAAACTGTATTACCAGCTTGATTGCAAAGCTATTCAGTAACAACAACAAACATTTTTGGTGAATACCACTGAGACTAGGGGGTCTTACAAGTCCAAGATGGACAACACCCCTGCCTTCATAGAGCTTATGTTCTAGCCAGCCTTGACTCTGAATGGCATTTGACTACTTCAAAAAGGGAAAACTTACCCTTAAATGATGAAGATTCAGCTCCATTATAATTTCTAAAGATGAAGAGGTTAGATTCCCTCAGATTGTTATGTTTTAAGAAGGAGTCATAATTTTATAATTATAATTTTTTAAAAACTGAATTCCAGCTACTTCTTAAGAGCAGGCTCCAAGTTTTTAATACTATCAGGCACAAATATTTAAAACACATTAGTACAGGCTGGCCTGGCATTTCCCAGGGTGTGATGCATGCGTAGTATCAGCAGTAACAGGAAGTTGCTTCACACTTAGAGAATCTTAAATTCCCTGTGATATTCATTGTAAATCTGGCCACCTCCTTTCTAGTGAGATCCCACTGGCTCTGTTTATCAGAATACTCAATGTTCAAGTCATGACATTACAAGGGTGGGCATGAAGATTATTTAGTCTGCCACACTTGATATTTTAACTCTTAATAACATATATATATATATATATATATATCTGATTAACTGAATGATATTCTTTTTGAAATAGTTTTTTAGTTTTTTTTAAACTAGGTAATTATAAGCTTTAAAATTTTGATAAAATTTACCAAGAAGCTAATAGAGATAATAAAATAGTAAGATGGAAAAGAAAATAAACAATAAGCAATGGGATTTCTAAACTCTGGCAATAATGGTAAACTAGGAAATATAATAACAGAAGACATTTTCTTTATAATAGTAGAAATGAATAAAAACTAATGAAACGGGATTTTGTGAGAGGTGCTTAAATATGACTAAATTTTATTAGGCCATATCAAAAAATGCTCAAACAAATGAAGAGGCAAGTCAGGTTCTAGATGGGAAGAATAAACATTAAACTGGCAATTCTTCACAGATTATAGGAGTAATACAACCCCAGCCAAAATTTTAATAAGCTTCAAAAAATATAGATATCAGCAAAATGCTTCTAAAATTCAATGGGCAAAACAGAAGCATACCAGAAGGAATCGGGCCATGTGTCCCTTGAGCTGAATGTCTGCATCTGCCAATAGCTCATACATGGCGATGCGGCTCATGTGATCAATCACAGCACTCCGGCAGAGAACACTGCAAGAGAAAACAGAGTTTTCTTAGCCTGACTCCCGGCATCTCCCTCATTCTGCACATCCTTCTGGGTTGGCTGATGGCTCTTTGGTTTCACCTGTTTATAACTGAATGAATTATAGTGAATTTTCCTGCATGATGAGTTGAAGAAGGATGCAGCTCGCAGTCTCTATGGGGAAAATAACCTTCCTGCCGTGGCCAGTGTTGTACCTCTCAGGGCTAAAGGCCCCATTCAGTTTTTCTGCCTGGCTTGATGAAGTACTAGGTTTAGTCCTCGAGAGAAAGGGCCCCAGGGTCAGTAACTGCAGATCTCTAAGACACAGCCAACATTCTCGGGGCTATTCACAATTAAAGTCACCCGCTAGCCTCACAGCCACCATCCCACGCCAAGACAGTGAGCATGCTGGCCTTCCTCCAGCATGGAAAGACCCTGAGTTTGCCTCTGAAACTCAGTCTGGTTCTCCTCCTTCTTCCTTCTTCATTTCTACCTGTGGTATCTCTTCCCTCCATCACATCAAGTGAGATACAGAGTTCAGGGGCATTTAAAAGCTCACAGTTTTGAACCAAATAACTCTAACGTTAAAACCCTTAGAGGAGGTACTTTTTGAGTAATGTTTCTGACTTCATACTCTGTTGCAAATTTTCTGTCTGTAAATATAATTTGAAACTACTGTTATATTAAAACAAAAGGACTATTTCTGAGAAATATTTGAAATAATTTAGGCAATGACTTTTTGGTGAGGATTAAAATGAGATAAGTTATATAAAAAGCCAAGCCCAGTGTGTATTGTATATTAGAAACTTAATAAACTGTTGTTTTCTTTCTCACTCCCCTATGTGAGTGTGTGTGTGTGTGTGTGTGTGTGTGTGTGTGTGTATCCATTAAAACACATTCTTTTGGATTTAGGCATAATCCTAGGGTTAAATATACTAAGTAATTTACTTAGTTTTATCCTTATCCTATATTAAATTCCTCCTAAGAAATAGCCTAACAGTAATAACCAGATTGATCTAATCACTAATGATCATCTCTCTTATGGAGAGCAGATTAGATTTATCACAGCACTACTTTGAAAAGTGGTTTTCTATTAGCACCACTGCTATTCTGCTGGGATTTTTTTTTTAACATCGTTAGAACTCACTTGAGAAATGCTGGGAAAAGTTGAAACCTCAGCAGAAGATGCTGCAACACTGAAAGGGCCTGTCATTTAACATAGGTTTTCATGGGTCAAATATTTTCCAGTTGCGCCATATTTTTTGGACTCCCATACTTGTAGCCTGTTGATTTTCACTCATCCACATGACAGGCAAGGAAGAGAAAGAGGAAGTATTTTAGCCACGTGAAAAAATAGAACGGGACACTCCTTGGAGGGATTAAACACAATGAAAGTGTTTCCTAGACTGAAACCATGCTGTCCTGTGTTTCTAAGGATAGAAACTCCTAAAGCAGGACTTTGGTGTTGTCATGTTCAGAGCCAAAATGATCTGCAGACTGACATGCAGTTCACTCTCAATAACTCCATTCAGACTTAGGTCATGAAACAACACCCATGGTGCCCAGAAAGGGTGTCCTTTCTTTCTTTGGTTTTGAAACCACTCCTCTCCTTGGCATAGATATTCTCAGAGCTCTTCTGAGATGATTCAGAGTCACCAGGGTTGTTATGAATAGTTCCTCCTGCCCCCTTAGCCATCTCCACTTTGTATCCTGAGCAACAGTAGTCAAGCCATGGGATCTGGAGGTGGAAGGAGCTGGAGAGCCGAACTGGTGGGTGGGCGTGGACAAATGGGTATGGAGAAGCCCTGGTCCAGGCCCTGCGGCTAACAGTCTCCAGGCCTCAGGTGAGGTGGCAACCCACCCATCTGGGAGTGGACATTCCAGTGGTTGCTGATTTCATCTATAGACAGATACCGCTCATATCTTCAGATAATGACAGAACATCCCTGGAGAACTCTTTTAGGCTCATTTTGTGCTTCTGTTAAAACTCCAAATACAATTACCTTCTTTGGTTCTATCATCATTCAAAGACAAAGACTTCGCAGCTGCTTGTTTAGCGTTACTGAGGGCATGATGTTGATTCAATAGCCATTTCATCGATTCTCATAAAAGTTTCCATTCTAAGCTACTAAAAGTAACTCTTTGGATAAGTTTTTGTTTATTTGTTTATTTGTTTTCATTTTCACAACAGGGAAGATGTCCATTGCTTCAGGTCATCTTGGGTTTGACAAAAAGCAACATGAAAGTAGTAGTAATACAATGTTCAAGGCCATGGCCAAGAACTGGATGGGTTTACTGCAGTGCTCCATCTGCTGTTTCAAGGAACTCTGACTTCCAGTCCCATTTAGTATACAATTAATTTCATGTGGAAACACCCCTTGTGCTGATTCTTTAATTACAGCATGCTCTGAACATTTGCACACATCTTGAAATATTATGCAAACAAAACCATTTTTAATAAGCCCTTGTCAGTTAGTGCTCTTGGAAGAGAAGAACTTCATCAGGGCAAATTTTGAAGTCCTTTGTTAATTTTTTTTTCCACTTGACAATCATCAAACATTAATTATCCCCAGTTCTGAAGGTGTGTTGCAAAGGTAGGTGTGCACCCCCTAACATTACTGAGAATGAGTCTTTTTCCTTGTGCTATGCACCCAGGTACTTGACACAGCCTTTGAGGTGAGAGCAGTGAGTTCATTGCATCGCACCTGAGTGATAGAGAATCAAATAAAAAGGTTGTGCTGTGCCATGTGAATCTGAACCAAATTGCTAAGTACAGCATACAGCTTTTTAAGAAAATGCCACATTTTTACACTGCCCATAGAGAGGACTCCCAATACCCACACTGGTGATGACGTTGGGCCACACAACTAGTCACCTGCTTGTTTTCAAGAGCTGCCTCAAAAAGAAAATAACCTCCCAATGCAAGTAACAGCCAAAGTTCCTAAGGCAGATTTCCTAATTGTTCCTTTACAGAGGAATTCCCTTGGTGGGGCTGAGTACCTGTAGTTGCAGCTGTAAATGTTCACCTGGCCTGCCAGAACAGACCCGGAGCTCTTCACATTCACATCAACCACAAACAGCTGAGCTGCCTCCGTGGAATACTCGACCACAACCACGTAGTGGCCAACCTGTGGGATGCGCAGCCGCAGATGCAATTCCACCTGTCACAGAGGCCAAGCAGACAGACTGTGATCCAGCTGTGACATGTACAGGCCACACTTGCATCAGCAATGGTGAAAATAGAGCCCAGAAGACACCCTGGAAGTATTTTTATATGTCATCCCAGTAAGGAATATGGTCCTACAGGTTGAGATGCCAGATAAAACACATGGTGCCCTGTTAAATTTTAAATGGAAATAAATAACAAACAATTATTTATTGTTTATTTGGACAATTTAATGGGGCATCCCGTATTTTCGTTTTCTAAATCTGGCAGCCCTACTTAGAGAAACTTCTACTATTTCTACCCAGGAGTGTTTTTGCTGCTTGTTTCTCAAGGTAAAAGACATTCTAAAACTTGAAGTAAAAATTAAGTACTGATGAGGAATAAGGGGAATGGAAATGTGCCTTTGGGCTCTTTAATTGTTTTTTTTTTAATAAGTTTTAAATTGTATCAAGGGAAATAATGTAAAACACACACACATCTCGCTCCTGGGATAAGGAGTGTTAATAAGGACTGTTAATGATTTTCATACCAAACCATTTTCTATGCCCAAATATGCACACACGTTTTGTTTCATTAAGAAAAACTGTGATCATAGTAGACAATTCGGGATGTCTTTGTGCTATGATGACAGAGACCACAGGGCCTGCAAAACCAAAAATATTTACTATCTGTCCCTTTACAGAAAAAGTGTGTCCTCCCCTGATATCACCTACTGGTTAGGAGCTTGGGGTCTGGAATCAGACAGCCTCCAGCTGTGTGATCTTGCACAAGTTACTTAACATCTGTATGCCTCGGTGTCCTCCTTAGTAAAATACAGATAACAATAGTACCCCCCTCTTAAGATTGTTCTGAGGATTAAGTGAATACATACAGAGCTCTCAGAAGTATATCTGACATATAAAAAACACTATGTAAATATTAATTATTATAATTTGATTATTGCTTTTTACTATGACTTGCTTTTTTTACTCAATGGTATTTTACATGTCTTTATTGCAAAAATATATACATGCAAATACACTTACATGCAAATATACTTCATTTTTTGAACAGCTGCCTACCATTGTGTGGTATGAATATAAAACTATTTAACAAATCCGTTATTGAGGGACACAGGTTGTCTTTAATTTTCCCTACAACCTATAATGGTATACAATCATCATGCATATATCCTAATGCTAGTATTTCTGTAAGATTCCTAGAAGTGGAATTGCTGGGTCAAAGTGTGTACACATACTTAATGCCTGGGCCAATATTAGAACTTTATTCCTCAGCAGTGTAACCCACCTCCGCCTGCAAGCTCAGGCCCAGGCAAGATTTACCACACTTAATTAAAATGGTCCTCCCTCTCCCTGCCTTAGGAAATTCACATTTGGTATTCCTTCTGAAAGGCTCTGAACCACGTAACTGCTATTTTCCACAGTGATTTTTTTTTCTGTCACTTAAATGACAGAAAGATTTCCCTCTGGGAAAGAATGTGGATCAGCCATACCAATGTTGACTCCATGTTCTAGAGGGAAATATGGCTCTGCCACTGCTCCGTGTGGCGAGGTTACTGCCAGCATTTCTCCCCTGGGCATCTCCAAACAAGGGCCTGACTGTCATTACCCCACCACAAAACACTCACAGGTCAGTGATGTACCAGGTTTTCGCCCAGAAGTTATTACTGGCAGCAAGTTCTATCTAGCACTCTATTATAAATTTCTACTACTCTTTCCACTCTAAATTATATGGATTACCTGTTGGAAGACTTGTTTGAAGAGTTTAAGGTACATTTGATGGGCAAAGTCAGGTTTGAGAAACTCAGATAAAAGACATAAAAGATGGCACACAGAAACTTTACTGCTTGCTGTTATGATTATTTATGTGTGTTATTTATCTTTAAAAAGGTGAACTTTAATGGAATCAGTGTCAAACTGGAGGAATATTTCTGGTTCTATGGCACAGAACTGACCTCCACTAGTTATTAGTGTTTTAGGATAAATACATGGAAAGTGGGTTTATCAAATCTGTTGCCTATACAAACTAAAAGGGATAACTAATATGTCTGATGTCAAAATGAGGATTCAAATGATTTGGTCAGCAAATATTACTGAATACCTATGCTATGCCAGTCCACCAGCGAGGTGATAGGTATACAATGGGAAGCAAGACAGACATACCCTCAGACAGACTTGAATCAAGTAATTAGATAACTAGACAAACACAGCATAAAACTACATGTGAATAATGTTCTGCAGAGGTGTAAGACAGGGGCCTGAGCTAGTCGAGGAGATGAGGGAGAGCGGAAGGCTTCCTTGAAGAACAGCAACTTAGTTGAGTGTGGAGGACAAGGAGAAGACAACCAGGCCATAGGGGAGAGAAGAGTGTTTGGGTAGAGGGAACGGCTTGCAGTAGGAGGCTACATACAACATAGAATGCTGTAGGGTCCCATAAAATGCAAGCCCAAGAGACTGAAGGTAGGTCAGAGGAGCAGAGAAACAGAGAGCAAGAGGGAGTATAATAAAATTGGGAAGTAGAAAGGGCAGTTTTATAAGCCATGTTAAAATCTTTGTCTCTATCCTAAGAGCAGTAAGTGTTGATCAAATATTCCCATCAGAATGTGAGTGCTGGCTATAGTCTGGAGAAAAGATCAAGAGGTGCAATGGGCAGAGCAGACGTGGGTCAGCTAGTTAGGAGGCTTCTACAGAGATTCTCACAAAAATGATTGTATTTTGGACAAGGGAGATGGAAGGAGAATGCCAAGAAAAGTTCGGGATGTACACTCACAGATAGATTAGTTTGGGTGCGGGAAAGAATTGGAGAAGTCATGGATGACCCTAAGAATTTTGGCTTATGCAATTAGATGGATGGTAGCAGCATTAATTTAGGTAGGGAATACCGAAATGGAGTTTGAGGTTGCTTTGAAACATCAAAGAGGTAATGTCAGGAAGGAAGGTAGACTTGCTGGTCTGCATATAAAAGCAGAGGTATGACTGGGCATAACAATATGGGAGGTATCTGTGTGGAGGTGGGTCTGATACAATTGCCATGGATCAGACTCCTCGAGACAGAACATAGAGTAATAAGGCCTAGGACTGAGCATTGACAAATTCTAACACTTAATGGCTAGACAGAGGAGGATGAGCCTGCAAATGATATTTTGAGGAAGCGGTGAGAGAGGCAGAAAGAGAATCAGGTTGTCGTTAATTTTTAAATTATTAAGACAGCTCTTAAATTATGAAAAACAAGAGAGAGTTTGAGAATTCAGGGAGTGTCCATCAGGCATCGAAAGCTGCCGAGAAGTTAAACCGATGAGGACTGAAACATATCCACTGGATTTAGTGACAAAGATCTCATCGGAAACCTGGCAAAATAAATTTAATGGAGTGGGAGGTGAAAGCCAGACTGAAGTGGGTTGAGGTGTGAGTAGGGCATAAAGAATTAGAAACACAGAGTGTAGACAATATTTTGGAGGAGTTTTGTTGTGAAGGGGAGGAGTATGGTGTAGTGGCTGAGCTGAGGGAGAGAGAGGAGGATTTTAATAAAAACAGGTTAGCATTTTTTAAAGATGGGTGACTTCTGGTTCAGATGGCACAGAGAATTCACATTCACTATACTCCTGCTCCAAGAGAGACCAACTCTGGATAAAACGTTTTAAAAGAACAACAAAAAGATATATTTAGAATCAAAAGTAATAGGTGATAAAACATAAGTTAAAGAAAAACCCAAAATGGCACCAGGACTGAAGTCACAAGCCTGTTGTCCTCTAGGTCTGGAAGCAGATTATTTTGGTCAGCAGTTTAGCTCATGCAGAGTTAAGAGAATAAAACATGTGCCATAGGAGACAGCGGCCAGATCGAGGCACATTTTTTGAAGACAAGGATGTTCAAATTTAAAAAGAAGCTAAAAATTGCTTCCAATCTGCCTCCTGGGTTATGGATTTATAAGAAGCTGTGTGAAGGTCAAATACTGCATGTTCTCACTTATAAATGGTAGCTAAGCAATGGGTACATATGGACATACAGAGTGTAATAACAGACACTGGAGACTATGAAAAGTGGAGGGATGGGAGGGGGTGTTGAAAAAGTACCTATTAGGTACAATGTTCACTATTTGGGTGATGGGTACACTAGAAGCCCAGACTTCACCACTATGTTATATATGCATATAAGAAACTTGTACTTGTACCCCTAAATATATAAAACTAAATAAATTTTTAAAAGAAGCTATGGAATTTGGGAACCAAAAATCAAATATGTGGCCTCATGACCAAGAACTGAGCTATGCCATTCATGGGGTCAATGTCTGAATCTCCTATCTTCAGTGTCATAACAATAGAGAAGGCACACTGTAATGCCTGCTCCTGGGCTAAGGATCCAGTGGACAGCTAAGACAATGCAAAATTAGCAGGCTGAAACAGATGCGAAAGAAGGAGAGGATAAAAACCTCTCATTCAAAATAAGCCAATATGCCTGTAAACAAAATTCAAAACACATAAATTGAATATTAAGAAAGACAGGTAACAAAATAATCAGAGATGAGTTCACTTCAGATGAGGTGAATTTTATGGAATAGTCTGAGAAAGACTTTAAATATACTGGCCCATGATCTGAAATCCCCAAACTCTGAAAAGGAAATAGGTTTTGTAACTGTTTTGGTGGCAAACCTAACCTAACCAATAATCATTTGCTGGCAAAGTCTGAACTAAACTGATATAAGTCTATGTATATAGTCAGTTAGTGTCTCCCTAGGTGTGCCTATTCATGCTTTTCACTGGAGAAATATTAACCTGTTTGATTATAGGGTATTATCCCAGACCTCACTGGAGATGTTATCTTTTTTCAAATCTTAAAAATTTTGAATTCTGAAATACACCTGGCTCCAAGGCCTTTAGGATACTAAAAAAGCTAAATGAAGAAGTAACTTCCACTTAAAAGTACATGAAGTTTTGAAACAAAAACTGGCAGAAAAGACAAGAAAAAATAAATATGATAAAGAGCCAATTGAAAAGTTTTAAAAGTATAAATTAAACTGAATCAATAAGCTGGATAATTTCTAGACCAGAGATAGTGAAATAAAATATTTCCGTATTGTAAAAGAGCCTTGAGGTCCTGCTGACTAGCTCTGTGCTATAGCTCTGGGTTAAATCAGAGGTTAGAACCTCCTAGATGAGTCATCAGCATCACTTCCTGGTGGTTGCCCCTTCTCAACGGTACCTCTTGTTGTCTAGGGAACACACACACACAAATACACACACACATACATATACCTGTATATGTACGTGTATGTGCATTTTATGTATATATGTATGTATGTACACCTATATACATGTATGTGTGTATGTGTGTATACACACATAGCATGTGTAGGGAGGGATACAGCAAACTTAGTATTAGAATGAAGTAGAGGGAAGATCATTTAGGTTTTTTATGCATATCTATATTGTTTTACTTGTTACAAGTAAATATTATTTCGTAGCATGAAAATTCAAATAAAATGAAGACTTTACTTAAGAAATATACTTAAAAACCTTTAACTGCTACCTTCAAAATGTTAGAAATGTAGTTTACAAAAATGTACACATCTAAAAGTTCAGTTACAATTAACTCCACATATATTTTCATCCCACAAATTTAATCCCCCAAATGAATATTTTCCTCAAAAGGACAAAACAGAGAATGTTACAGAGAGCAAAGAATAAAAATATAGTGGAGGAAGTCTTTCAGTGTCTTCATTTTGAAGTGTTGTGTATTCTTATTGTTATGGTTGATATCCTATAGCTCTAACTCGAATCTGAAATCAGTATGATCTTAAATTTGGTTCTGAAGTTCGAAGAACTCCTGGAAGAAAAGTAATACCAAGACCTGTAGTAACCTGTCCTCCAAGCCATGAGGTAGGTGCCAGGGGATGTAGAAGTTCCGGATTCTGAGCTCAAGGAATTCAGCTGCTACAAATTGCTTAGCCTAAGGGGTTGAACAGTCAGTGAGTGTGGTATCCTTTTAGGGTAAGCTGTGTCATTTCTGGACGCTTACTAGATTGAGTCTCATCTGTCTTTTAAGAGAAATCTTGCCCTGAATCATGTAGAACAGGATGCCCCCTTCTAAGTCCAGATAACCAAAAAGAAAGGATTCTATAGATGCCCACATCCCCTGCCATGTCTAGAAAGTGCTCAAAGAACAACCTGAACATGGCTCCATGTAGCGTACCATCCAGCCCCACCCTAAATCAGATAGTTCAGCAAATGTTGATAAACACCTCTGAGAAATTCTTCCAGGTTCCCCTGAATTTGAGAAGCAACTGTGGCCAAGTATTTTTAGCAGATACAGATGGGGAGGTAGTAATAACTTTGATAATAAATAAAAGGCTGGCCCACCTCTCTCCCGCTGAGGTCCACCATGACAGGGTGTGCAGGTGTGGGCTGCCTCACTGCCACGGGTCTTGGCTCCCCATCAAGCAGGAAGTGTCTGGCCTCACAAGCCAGGGTACAGGGGAATCTGGTCACTGGCAAATGCTGGTAGAGTAAGCAACTTCAACAACAGCAACAACAATGGAATCAATAGTTACAACTGAGAACATCAAACGGAATATCAAAGTACATCCCCAAAGACTCTCAGTCATTCAGTTCACTCATTCATTCATCATCCTTCAATAAACTCTTATTAAGTGTCTGCTACAAGAATTAAGCAATAAATTTTCATCTGCATGGGGAAGAGAAGAAACAAAGGTCCACAAACCTGGCTTCTATTTTAAGCTCTTCCTCCCACCAGATGTATGACTGACCTTGAGGGCATTGACTTGGGCATGCATCAACATTCCCACATGCTGGAGGGTGGTAGCCACTCCTAAGCCAGCTATGGTGTGCAAAGTGCTTTGTGAATCTTACTTGAAGAACACAAGTAAGACATAGAGGAAGATAACAACTAATTATCCAGAGCATCATGCTGTCGTTGTGATCCTGAGACACCTCATGAAAGCTTGCATTAAAGGCTCCTAATTTAGAGGACCCCAATGATGCGGCTGCACCTTCTGCCCCACACTGACTTTTCTTGGGGAGGTCCTGCGTAGGCACATGGTTCTGTGACTGGCAGCTGCAGTACAGAGGCTTCATAGTAGTCCCTGGGGAGCAGCACCAGGTAATCCTAGAAAATAAAGACCAAAAGGAGAATCATTCATTTTGATGGTAGCCCTACTTTGGATAGAAAATAATCAAACATACTAGTTAAATCAATAATAACCAGGTGAAGTCGCTAGTTAAACTCTCCATATCAACTGCTTTGTTCTTCATCCCGACTCACCGAAACACAAAGAACCACTCATCAAAGATTCTTTATGTATCAGAGAGAAACTTGTCAGTGTGAACAGTTTTATTCTTCAAGTTTCAAGAGAGATTTTACTGTCTCTCCTTGGTTGTTTATAAATTCACAAATTAACAAAGATAATAAATTGTCAACTGATGAAATGTTCTGTGGAAATGCTGGTTGCCTTCAGCAGTACAGAACACTGAATGTGGATCACTTTCTACTCCCACACCCGAGTAACGCTCAACTGGCACGGTATAAAAAGCAATGCCTTGTGATCTTGGTGATTCACAGAATGGAACTGGCCTACTGCCTGTCCCAAGAAACGAGAGGAAGAACATGTTCCACTGAGTGTGCCAAACAAAGCCCACAACGTAAATTCAGCTAAGCAGCTCTTCAGGAAAGAGCAGAGCTGCAGGCTTCTGGGAGGTGAATGATTGACAGCCCCTAGCCGTCCTGACAGCAGCACATATCTGCAGAGGGAAGAGGGGAGGGCAAAGAGCTCATACACAGACCACAAAGCTTTTTCTCTCCTCAGACAGAAATGTATAGGAGGGGAAAAGTAAGAGATTGTGGCTGAGGGGACTCAGTAGGTTTAAATTTTAAAAGGGTTACTGTTCTACTAGTAAGTTTGCTGAGTTTGGGACCATGTCTCCTCTCTCCTCATGACTTTATAGTCTCACAGATAATAGAATAGTAAAGGTTGATCATAGGCACCCTTATGATGCCTAATGATAATGTCATTAGGCATCTTCCATGCCTAAACAGTAACTTTTATAATGAACTTCTACTTTCCGTGAGTCCAACTTTGTACCCGTTACTAGTATCAATGGAATTTTCCTCTGCCTCATTTCTACCATCTGTGAAACATTCTTGAACTTTTTTTTTTTTAAGCAATAAAGCTTCCTACTAAGAAGATGCAAGAAGAGCAGAGACCTTCTGATGTTCCTTTGTTGTCTTGAATGGAAAGAACAATCCCTCATGTTATCCTTGTAAGATCCCAATTTGGAAGGACCTATTAAGATAAGTATTGTCCCTGTTGTATGGAAGAAGCAACTGGCAGGACTGGAAGAGACAGGATTGGAATTAAGCGACTTTCCTAAGATTTGCTAACATGGCCAATAAACAGGGTTGTGCCTGAAGGAAAAGCTTTATGTTTTCCACTTGAGAGCATGAAATCAAGCTTTTCCCAAGGACTCTATTTTGAAAAGACCTTGCCATGAAGCAAAGCAGGCCTTAAAGCACATAGCAAAGAGGGCTGTCTCAGAGAACAGGTTTCATCCTTCCAACTCCCCATGGCTTCTCTGGCTATTCTATTAGGTGTTTGCAGACAAAGCCTTTCCTGAACAAAGAGTTCTCTGTTGTAGGCAATCTGTTTGGTGGGAATAAACCTGCTTTAGGTTTAACACAGAAGAAAGCAGAAAGAGTGTCATGGAGAAGCAGTGGCTCCTGTAGCCTCTTGCTTCTCTTTCCACCCCCAAGAACTTTACTGAAATCCATATCTGCTTGTCTTCTAGGTTATTCTTCCTTGGTTCTACACAATCTCCAGACAGTGTAGACAATAACCAGGTGAAGTTGCTAGTTCTTATGATGTGAGGCAATGAGTGCTAAAGTCTATACTTCTGACTCATGCTGGAAAATCCCATACAAGCTTTGGAAGGGTGAAGCCACATACTCATGAAGGCTTCGCATTTGTTCTGATAATTAAGAGTCTTTAGGAGACCTTTTTTATCTTTTATTTTTTTTGTCCAAGAGAAGCTAGCTGAAAGGATACAAAAGATACTTCAAGTTGATTCCTATGTCATTTGAGGGTGAATGTCACCACAGTTTCCTTAGGTTGGGGCTGAATTGTTCCTGTGTCTAAAACCACCAATGATTGTGATATTTTATGGTCGCTGTGGATTGTAGTCTTGGATGGAACCACTTCTGAGGTAGGAAGAATCCCGCAGGAGCTCTCCATTCAGAACTAAGTCTTACCAGAAGGACTCCTTCTGCCTTAATACAAGCAACCCATATTCCTGGTGTGATTGAAAATGGGTCTGCAAAACCATTTCCAGGGACAGTGACAAAGGCTGGCTCCTTACTCGGCAGGAAGATGATCTCTTTGCTTTGAGCAGCACCTATCAGAAATACAAAGAACTGCTTAAGGCATTTTTCTATCAGTCAGTGTTATGATTTTAGATATTCAGTTTTGAACATTCAGTTTACATCTCAAAAAGTTTAAGATGATATGTACTGATCAGATTTACTGATCTTATCTTTAAAAATTGTACTATGCAAATACATATGTATAAAATAGGCTAGAAAGATACTGATAAGACATCAGCAATGGCTATCTACACTGGGATTATGAATAATTGTTTAACTTATTAAATAAGTATATTAATACTTGTAAACAGTTTAGGAAAGTGCCTTGCATATAGTAAGTATTCAATATATTACATTAGCTACTAAATTATTTTTTCCTTTCTTGTTTATATGTGAGTTTTTTTTAAAGCCAGGGTCCCACTATGTTGCCCAGGCTGGAGTGCAGTGGTTATTCACAGATGCCATCATAGCTCATGACAGCCTCAAACTCCTGAGCTCCAGCAATCCTCCCACTTCAGCCTCCCAAGTAGCTGGGACTACAGCATATGTGATTTTTAAGTTTTAATTTTTATTAATGAACATGCATAAGAAAAAGTTTTACACTTCCGTTTGTTTGTTTTCAGGAAAAAATATGTTTTCTTCTGCATTAAACAAAGAGAGGACCTTCTACAAGAGGTTCAGAAAGAAATAAACTATTGCATCTAAGTTCAATTGAGACTTTTTCTTTCAAAGAATTATCTTCTCCAAATCTTTGGGTTCACTCTTGTTCTACATACATTGATGGGGGCCTACTATGTGCCAGGCTTGGAACTAAGTTCTGGTGACAAGGCAGTAAACACAGTAAGCATGGCCTTTGCTCCCTGCTGGTGAGGACCAGAGAGGAATAAGGACTAGAAGACAGGAAAATGTGGTACAGTTTGGACAGTGGTATTTGGGAGGAGGCACCAGTTACCATGGGACATAACATAACTAGGGCTCCCAACTCAGACTTAGGGGAAAGGTGTCCCGGAGGACAAGGAAACGAAGCAAAATGTATTCCAACTATTTGAGTTAACAGAGAACAAACTGCTGCTGTTATTGTCACGCAGGAGGCAGAGGGGCCTGTTAAGAGTTTGGAATCTGAAGACTTTGTCTACAAACATCCAGCTGTGGCTGGCAATTTACTAAACCTCTCAGCTCTGTTTTCTCTTCAACTCTCCTCAGTTTGCCAAGTTCTTATGATGTGAGGCAATGGGTGCTAAATTACTCTGTGAATGATGAAGTAAGCCTGCTAGTTCATTCAATGGGTTAATCAACCTCCAGCCACGCAAGTTGGGTTGACACAACTCGGAAATGACATCATTTCTTCCCCCATTCTGAATGAACCGTGGATGCTTAACAAAGATGGCGTACATTTTGATCCTAAATTAGATTTCCATTGGTGCCATTTTGTGTCCTTGTAAAATTCCAAATGCTTCTTGGAATCTGTTTCCAGGACAGGTAGAAGCCCTAATACCTTGAAGAACAGACCTGCGGGCCTTCTCTCTGCCTGTGGCGAGGCTGTGCTCTCTTCTCTTGTCCCTCTGCCCTCAGGAATTCCTCATCCCTGAGTCAGGTTTGCAGCTCCCTCCTGGAACTCATTTGGGCTTCATGCTTTACAGCATTCATAGGAAAAATTCCCATCCTCACCCATTTCTCCTCTGACTATTTGGTTGGTTTGAAACAATGGAAGAATTTAGGGCAGCGGGCCAAAATCTCTCAAATAACACCAAAAAAGTGACACCCTCGTCACTGTGAATGAGTTATAAATGAGCTCTGCTCAGTGAAGACATCATAACCCATGGGGTTCAGCCAAGGTACATAGGTTGTTATATCGATTTTTAAAATGACAGTTAAGGACAAATTCAGTAGCAAAACTTAAGTGATTGTTTAGAGAATGCAAGGTAACAAACGACAGGGCTCCTAGAGAACCGTCTAACCAGACCATGAGCCAGGCTTGACATTTTCTAAGGGTGATCAACTTTGTGAAAATCAGAGAAAGTGTTTCACTATTTATTTCTTAATTGAAAAGAGGCTTGACATTTTACCTACGTGCCTTACCCCAGGATGGATAAATAGTTATATGGCCAGATACTGCTTCAGTTCCAGGGTTAACGTATCTCAGAATAACACGAAACAAGGAGCCACTTGACTTCCCTACATTCAATGTTATTCTTACATCATTCTGAAAAATACCGAAACGCCATAAAGCATAGAAAAAAATGGTTAAAAGACATGCTAGCCAAACAGTGACTTTATTCTATTCAAGTGTCACTACTGGACTTGTAATGTACACACATACACACACATACACACTCACACTCAGTCAACGAGCACCGAGTAACTTGTGAAAGATGGAAATAGGCAAACCTAACAATGAATTAAAATCACTTACAATCAAAATTACAGTGAAAACGCACTCCCTCAGCAACTGAGATCCTCTTTTGACCTTTTTGTAATCAGGCAGACAGAGTGGAGTATTAGATGGGCTAGTTTAAGAAAGCCACAGTGACGGAGCAACCACCACTGGCTAGGAAAAATAAAAAGGCAGAAGAGAAGGAAAGGAGAGGGTATTATTTCACACCACCAAAGAGAGACTGCTTCAGAGTCCGCTTCACATACATAAAGTCTAAATGGTCACAGAAACCAACGGTGGCCAAGGAAAGGTTAAAGACTCCAAATACAATAGTGGTAACATCTGGGTGTAACTAAAATATGCCTATTAAGTTGTATGATGTTTTATCTCAATTCCTTATGCAAAGAAATGATGGCTTTTCAACCTAGAGGAGGGGTTCTGTTGGTCCCCAGGGCCTGGGCTCACACAATATTCTGTAAACATTGTGGAGCCTGGACCCTTGAAGGAAAGAGTAGACTATTTTAATTCTGAACCACTGACTGCATGTCCAGATTGGGCTGTGGCCCAAGGAAACTTCATGAAACTTGGAAATTCCCAAATCAGTGGTTCTTTTAGCATTTCCCCCAACTTCTTTGTTTAAAAGGAAGGGGATATTTTTTTAAGCGAGATATTGGTGACAATAAAGACTGACTTTGTGCAGAATCACTTGCTCTGAAAGCAGGAGCTACAGGTGACCCACACTGAGGAACTCCTGCTGATCCTCACAATTCGTCTGAATTCATCTTTAAGTGTTAGTTTCAGATGGAAAACAAATATGCAAAAATCTATTAGGAGCAGAGTAAAGTAAGTGGTGATGCTGGGGACACCATCAAGGTCCTCTGACCAAAATAACTTTATCAGAAAATGCGTCATTAGAGATGAATTCCTTTGTGTCCACCAGCTATTGTGTGAAACTGTAAGCACCTGTGAGAAGGTATACCCTTTGATTGGGTTGTCAGTCATTCACATCTTATTATGACACAATGGAATTTACTGCTTGTTTTCTGAATAGTGAAGTAATGTCAGGGAACTAAAGAAATTAAATAGCTGTATTTGGGGAGTGGGGGCAAAGAGTGAAGTGTCTTAAGATCCTAGGTACCATTTCAGAAAGGCCGCTTGGATGGGGGACTTTGGCCAGGTAAAAAACAGCATTAGAATCAATGAGGGGAAGGGGTCTGAGAGTACTGTGGCCCTGTTCCAGCTTCTCTACAGGCTGACTGGGGTAGCAACAGCAAGCAGCAGTCTTGGATGCGCTAATGAAAAAGACTGTGTTACCATGATCGTTAATTTACCTCTCATATTCTGAATTTCTCCACTGAGAAACAGCTTGAAGAAACCAACTCAAAGACAAATTCTGAGGACAAAGCTACTCAATGGCTATACAGAATTTTTTAGTTATAAGTAGCAAGACGTATAAGTTCTAAAGGTAAACAAAGAATGTATAAATTCCCCTACTCATTCTAATACAAAGCCAAGATAGATGGATGCAGTAGAGAAGAATGAAGGAAAGAGAAATATGGAAAAGAAAAATGAAATAGCACTTAACTAACAAACATTCATTATTTATCTTAGTTTCCACGTACATAGCAATTCAAAGTTTAAAAAAAGCATCAGCCAAAAATTAGGAACACTAGCTTTACTGGAATTACTTAAGCCAACTCATTTTTGTTTTCCACAAATGGCTTTAAAGAAAACTGTCCCTCACATTCTAGTACAGCCTAACGTCATTTAGGAAACTTCCCCCTTCTATAAAAAGTCTCCAGAGATAAACACTATTTTTCTTTAATCTCTTAATTTTCTGATTTGGTAATCAAATTAAAGTAACAATGAACTATGAAATCCACACATATGCTTATCAGTTAATATACAGCCCTACCCCAAACCCCAGGTTTAACCTAAACTCCAATGCCAACCCATAATATAGAGAAAAAGAATCGTGGAATCAGTTCTGGGGACAGGTCACCTTTCAGGGGGCTCCCTGAGACTGGTGTGGGGAAGTATCTGAGCTACTCAGCCATGAAGCTGCTCTCTTCGGGTTGCGTACCTGTACTGAGGTCATTTGGGCATATCCTCTCCAGCTAAACTCAGGAAATGCCAGCGGATCAAATCCAAATCGAAGGTCTCTCCCATTAGGTGTGCTGCCGTCTTCAATCTCATACTTCATATGATGCAAATCTGGGAAATAGTAGTTGTTTTCAGGCCTTTCATAATTAAAAAGTAAACACATACAGGAGGTTAGGTCCATAGATCATCTGAACATCTTTTAATCACAATAGTTACTATGAAAGAACTCCACCACATTGACAGAGTACATTAAATAAAGGACAAATGAGAAAGATCTTCTGCTCTTTCTCCAAATTATTGCTTTAATTCACATAAACATTCACATAAAACACACTCAACGCCTACTAATTCCAAGCATTAAGATGAGAAAATCGTTTAGCACAAGCCATAGTGGTAGCATCCTTTAGTATGTTCTAAATAGTTGCCAACAATTTAGCAAAGTCAGATTAGGTTATTTACTGTTTATTTATTTAATCACTCATTCATTTATATATTCATTCACTCATTACATAAATATTAATGTCTATGTGCCAGGCACTCTTGCTAAGGACCATAGGTATAATGATGAACATGACATAAAATATTTCATATGCTAAATTTACAAGTTAGATATATTTTCTTGATATGTTATTTTTTAATCATTAGAATGACTCTTCTATGCCTTGTTTTCTCTTAAACTATATGCCTATTAATGAATTCTTTTCAAGAGCTCAGCTGTGGTAGGCACAGAGAAGTATCCAAAATATTCCAACATTGTGTGGCATTTAACAATCTACTTAAAGTTCTCAAAAAAAAAAAAAGACACTTCGCCAATCCAGTCACAAGCTAATAGCAGTTAGTGGGATTAATGCCATAAAGATGAATTTGTTTAAGGAAATAAAAGGCCATGCTCCTATACTGCAAATAGAATTAGGAATGCTTACAACTTTTCTGGAAGCAATTTACAAAGATCCTTAAAAATGTTCACACATATTGACCCAGTAATTCTACTTCCAGGAATCTGTTCTAAAGAAAGATTTTGTAGATAGTCAAAGAATTAACATAAAAGAATGTTTAAAACAGTGAAGACCTGGAAACAACATAAGTGTACAATTATGAGATAAATTATAAAAAAAAATACATAACCATTTAAAATGTGAAGGCTAATGATAATAGGAAATATTTACAATATGATGTGAAGTAATGAATGTGAATTATATGAAAAAATAGAATGCTAATTTTTAATTCATAGACAAGGTCTAGAAAAAATACACCAAAAATATTAAAAAGGGGTTATCTCTGGGTAGAGAAATGAAGATTTTTCTTTGCCTTTTTACTTTGATGAATTTATTAAAATTTGTTCACTGGACATATATTACATTTATCACCACAAGAATTATTCAGAAAATAAAGCAAACGTGAATTCTTTCTACACTTGTCAGAAAACCTAAAAATTCTCTGATAAAACCAGAGCAAACATGTGGGGGAATTTAGTACAAAAGGATGCAAGATTGTCATGTTGGAGACAAGGTGCTCCGGCATCCACACTGTTGGTTTGCTAGCCTTTATTTCAGTTATAATTTACCACTAAATCCAAGGACACGCTCTAAACTTGAAGATATATGTATGTGTGCATGTATCATGTAAAAAGTTAATATTCTTGCCTCAGGCTGGGTAACTTAATTCCTATTTGATTGCATTATTTTATGCTGAAAATCAGTCAATCACCTACATAGTTGGAAGAAGAAAAAATGTTTGCTGGTTAAGTAGCGGAGAAGCTCATTTTATCAACACCAGGGTGGAGCAAGATGAAACACAGGTGGAAAACATTTTTTTATTTTTTTAAGACGGAGTCTCACTCTGTCACCCAGGCTGGAGTGCAGGGGCACTATCTTGGCTCACTGCAACCTCTGCCTCCCAGGTTCAAGCAATTCTCCTGCCTCAGCCTCCAGAGTAGCTGGGATTACAGGTGTGCGCCACCATGCCTGGCTAATTTTTTGTATTTTTAGTAGAGACAGTGTATCACCATGTTGGCCAGGCTGGTCTTGAACTCCTGACCTCAGGTGATCCGCCCACCTCGGCCCCCCAAAGTACTGGGATTACAGGCGCGAGCCAGGAAAACGTTTTATGCAGGCATTTACAAAGCTCCCCTGGCCCATGGGGAGGCTCAATGGTCTTCAGGAAAACAAACCTACAGACATGCCCTCTTCACAGATCTTTTACTCCAAGCCCCCAACTGAGGGAAAGTGCGGCTGGGTTACTCTGACTTTTTTTGTTTTTATTAAAGACAAGGTCTTGCTCTGTCACTCAGGCTGTAGTGCAGTGATGCAATCATAGCTCACCGCAACCTCAAACTCCTGGGCTCAAGCTATCCTCCTGCCTCAGCCTCCTGAGCAGCTAGGACTACAGGCATGTGCCACAGTGCCTGCCTAATTGTTGTATTTTTTTTTATAGGGATCGGGTCTCACTATGTTGCTCAGGCTGGTCTTAAACTCCTGGCCTCAAGCAATTGTCCCAACTGGGACATCACTCCCAGCCTGCTCTGACTTTTAGAATTCAAATGTTGGAAACATTGAGGGAAAGGAGAGAATCACCTTGCTAAATACAATTTACCTCCACGACATAAAAAATTTCTTTATAAATCTGTTACTAATGCAAGTAGTGAAGGGACCTGAGATTCAGAAGTTACTTTTTTTCCCTTCACAGAGGAAAAATCATGGATGAAACATCAAGGTTTCAAAACGTTTATAAATGGTAAAATATAATGGCTTAAGAGATGGAACAATACCATAGTTCCTATAGTTCCCCAGTCTCAATCTCCACCTCATTCCCTCGCTCCTATAGTTCATTGTCACCTGCTTCTGCATGAGACAAAGTACTTCTTCCCCACTTCCAAAGTTTTCTTACCCTCTACCCCCACCGCAACCCTGGGGAACAACTTTGGCCTCTCTACTTCCTCACTCCTGGGTCCCAAGAGGGAAACAGGAACTGAACCTTATTAGCCCAGGCACCTGGGTGTGTGGTGGCACTCCCTCTTATGCCTTCTCTTATTGACCCAAGCACCTGGGTATGTCGCACTGCCCCCTCTTATTCCCTTTCTTATTGGCCCAGGCAACTGGGTGTGTGGCACCACCCCCTCTTATTCCCTCTCTCCCTGGAGCGGGCCTATCTGTGGGCTCCTCCTGCTCCAACTTGCACATGGAAGTTGAGCCCTGAGAACCCACTTCATGCTTCCAGCTCTCGTCTTGCCCACCTGGTTTTTGTACCTGTGGGAATTTTCAAGCGAAAGTACTTCATGGTCTACACAGTAGAACAGGCTTTATGGGCAAAGTAATCTCCTGTTTTAAACAACTCACACACAAATGTCCAGATTTCAATTGACATAGGACAGCTTCCCCTGACCTCGATCTTTAGGGCTGCTTCTCTCTTCTCCAGAGCTGTAGCACAGGCAGGAATGTCTAAGACCATCTTTCACACCCTGAACATGGGAAGAAGCCTCCCGAAGACTCACCGCTGGCACACCTTTCCCACGACATGCTCTCGGCACTGGCACACTCCCGAGGGCCCACTGCACATGGAGGACAATGCCCCACCAATGTCACACTGACACCCTGAAAGCCAGGAAACAGCAGCAGTTATACCTTAAACCATCTCCACACTGAGCGCCTCCCCTGCTGTACAAGAAAGGAAAACTGACCATCCCAGTGACACAGTGCCTGCCTTCTTTCCTCTGCCACATCTGTCTGGCAAGTGTTTGAAATCTTGGAAACTCCCAAACCAAAATGGTGTGTCCGCGCTTGGAAATCAGATTCAACCACAAAAACCAAAACCAAAACCAAAACAAAAACAAAAACAAAATTAAAATGGTGTCTTTCCAAAGGTCTGCTTCTAAGTTGGAGGCGGCTACTATAAGCCAGCTCAAATGCTGTTGTCCAATGCAAAGACAACAGCAGCCCAGGAGTAAACGCGCTTCAGAAACAGTGCTGTTCTAAAGAACATGTGATAACCAGGGGCCGAGCGAGAGATTCAAGAGTAGCCTTGCGGGGCACCTGTCCTGCAATTTCATTATTTAACACAACACTGTCTCTAAAAATCTGATGCTAGCATTTTTGATAATATAAAATATATCTTTAAAATTACTAAATATTGATGTTATTTATAAAACTAACAGATGCCCTCCCATCCCAGTTATGTTTCTTATCATTAAACCCACAGTGTGCTGGTAGAAGAGAAGTAGAAACAGCCCCACTTGCAATTTACTAGTTTCAATGTAATCAATGTTTGGCCAAATTCCCTGGACAGAATGTTTCAGGGCCATTCCATCAGAAAGTCTGCGTGAAGATGACAAACTCAGAAGAAATGTTATTTAGACCATCTTTGTCCATCAACACTGTGCTTTGCTCAGGGCCCAATGGACTTATTTACCTTGACACCCAAAGTAATTGCTCTTTTCCAAAGCAAAATATCCATCTTCACAGGTGTCGCAGGAATCGCCACCCACATGGGACTTGCAGTGACAGTCACCATCTCCCTGCAGAACAGTGAGCCAGATGACAACATTTGATATAATTACAGAATTCACTAATCTTCAAGATTGAAAACTGCCTCACTGTATAATAGGAAGCAGTGTAGCCAGGATCTGGAAAGGATTACCATGCACTGTAGAATGACAGAAGTACTAACACACGCCCCCAGAAACCCCACAAGCAGTTGCTGTAGCATTCTGCTGTTGTCACATGAAAACTCAGCCCACTTTACCTGCCTACACTCTCCAGTTCCACTCACTGTTCCCGCCTTATGGCACTTGCATTCTGTGGAGATAAGAGAGCATCCTTGAACTAAGGGAGACACAAAAGACAGTTCCTGGCTCTGGGAACATTACACAGCTGCAACACAACGTGTGCAGTTGGCCTTGCCAGCGCAGTTCAACAGAATGAGAGTTTGCATCGCTGAGGCCTAAAATTAGACTGCTTTCTGAAGTTGGCAGAACAGACCAATCCACACTATCCATTTACAAAAAGTAACAGCTAGTTCATGGCTACTTCATGACAAAAGCTGCAACATCATGGGATTTTTGAATGATTCCAATGCCGAGGTCATTACTGATATGCATGCATGAAAATACACTCTATTCAAGGTTATTCAGTATCCTTAACTCGGTGTTTTTAAGTCCTTATACTGGCTCTGATATAAGCATAAAATTAAAATTAAACCAGAAAAAGTAAATTATAAAAACAAGGACATAAAAACCATTTATCAAGTAGCTGCCTTCTCAAACAACAAAATACATACAGAAACAGGATAGAAATCCCTTGCTAAGATTTTGAAAGTGACAGAAATTCTGTCAAAAGTGGGGGGAAAACATCAGAACATTACATAGAATCTTGTCAAATTGAAGTGATTCAACAAATAGCTCTTTTGTGGATTTAGTCACTGAGGCAGAGAAAATTAAGAGAACATTATAATATAGTAAATTATGACATATAAGAAACCTACCTGAACATCCACTGGGGTTTTCTTTGTCCAGATTCCAATATAACAGTTTGCAGCGGCTACAAGTAGGACCTTCAACATGAAGCTTGCATTGGCAATACCCCTTTGAATGAAAATCAAACAAACATTTGACATCTTGGAATTAAGACATGTTTTCAAACCTGTGCGTGAGCAAAGACTTGTCACAGAAACATATTTTGGTCATGAAAAGTAATTAAGTGTATCCAGGGGGAAAAAATACTGGGTTGATTTCAACAGTCTGCTAATTGCTTTTGTTTATTTTTATTCATTTATTTGTTATGCATGTAATCCGCATTTGTGGTTAAAAAGAAACTGGAAAATAAGGAGAAAGAAAATTTAAAAATCACTCTTATTTATAACATTGTCAGTGTCTGTTGATACTGTTACAGCATAGACTACCAATTTAAATAGAAAAAATGTCTGAATATTTAACATGTTGAAAATCAGTAAAGAATTGTTTATCTGAGAGTGCTTTTGTAATATGCAAGATTCACAGCCTTGCATCAATGTCATCAAGGCTTATGGGAAGGATGGCAGAACCTCTTTCACTCCATCCATTCTGTGCCTGGAAGTCGGCATCTCTAGGCTCTGAGGCCAAGAAGACAGACAATTTCTAAATTATCTCAGAAAATTGTTCAGAATAGGCCGGGTGTGGTAGCTCACGCCTGTAACCCCAGCACTTTGGGAGGCTGAGGCAGGTGGATCACCTGAGGTCAGGAGTTCGAGACCAGCCTAGCCAACATGGTGAAACCCCATCTCTACTAAAAATACAAAAATTAGCCAGGTGTGGTGGGGCGTGCCTGTAATCCCAGTTACTCGGAGGCTGAGGCACAAGAATCGCTTGACCCAGGAGGCGGAGGTTGCAGTGAGCTGAGATCGCGGCACTGCACTCCGGCCTGGGCGACAAGAGCAAAAAAAAAAAAAAAAAAAAGAAAGAAAAGAAAAGAAAAAGAAAAAAAATGTTCAGAATACCATGGTATTGTGCTTGGAATAATATAAAATAAATTGTAATTATTTTGTACACAGCCAACTTTATTTAATGTGTCCTTGGCCATTGATTTTCTCAATGTTATTAATTATGTTTGTCAGACTTACATGCAGGGCTCCACAGAGGCAACACCCTCTGAGTAACCTACAAACCTGCAGTAAGAGTTAAACTCTAGGACTCCAGAGTAACAAGTTTAACTAAATCTTATTCTTTTGTTTTTGAAAAAAAAAATCACAAAATCACATATGCTCTTTGAAAAACAACAATGACCTCTTTAAGCAATTTAGCCTTGGGTCTTATTTTAATTTCTGGAAGTGCCCACACTGTTAGTCCTTAATATGCATGAGAATAATAGAGATAGTTAGAATTGCAACCCTTTTATAGTCTACTTACCAAATTGGAGTTGATGGTACCAGCTGGGTCACAAGCACTGCTGGAACCTGAATATGATTCAGAAATTTTTAAATTATCTGGTAGTTTGTTTTTCTCTTTGTTTTGATGTTTCAAGTTTTAAACGTTTTGTTTTCAAAAATAGTGTATCTACATTTATATTTTCGATAGATGTGTGGCAAAGTCTGCATGCAATTCATAGTCAGGCATCTTGAATGACATTTATGGTCCTTAATCCCCAAATTACCTCTTTTGCCACTGAACAAATCCCTATCCTGTCTACTCATGACAGTTCACTTCTAATTGATGATGAAGGAGGAGATTAGGGAAAGATTCTAAAATTTTGAGCATCATTAGTATTGTCCAGAAGAGGGCAATATTGTACCAAGAGACTTTTAATTGCCCATTTAAAAGACGTTCTAGAATTTCTAAGTACATCTTTAATTATCACACCTCCTTGTTCCCACCCGTACTAAAGTTATTTATAAAATCAATTGGTTTGTTTTCCTGACTTAGTATAACACTACAAACCAAATATAATCTCTCTTCAATAAATTGGGATCTTGCAATGTTTCAGTATTACAATTACACAGTGTTTGAACTGGGTAAGTCTGTTCTGAGTCTGGTTTTTCAAATCATTTAAATAAATCCATAATAGGATCTTGTTTGCTTATAAATTGTTCCTTAACCCTATTGGCTTTGTTTGCTTCTGTCTGCCTCAGCTTCCCCTTGATGATTTTCATTCTCTCTCTCACTCTCTTTTTTGAGACAGGGTCTTGCTCTGTCTTCCAGGTTGGAGTGCAGTGGCACGATCATAGCTCACTGCAACCTCCAATGCCTGGGCTCAAGTGATCCTCTCACCTCATCCTTCTGAGGAGCTGGAATGACAGGCATGCACCACCATGCCCGGTTATTTTAAAAAATATTTTCTAGAGGCTGGGAGTGGTGGCTCACGCCTGTAATCCCAGCACTTTGGGAGGCCAAGGCGGGCAAATCACGAGGTCAGGAGATCAAGATCATCCTGGCTGACATGGTGAAACCCCATCTCTACTAAAAATACAAAAAATTAGCTAGGCATGGTGGCACATGCCTGTAATCCCAGCTACTCGAGAGGCTGAGGCAGGAGAATCGCTTGAACCCGTGAGGCAGAGCTCGCAGTGAGCTGAGATCATGCCGCTGCACTCCAGCCTGGGGGACAGAGCGAGACTCTGTCTCAAAAAAAAATAAAATAAAATCAAAAATAAATAAAAATTCTAGAGACAGGATCTCATTATGTTGCCCAGGCTGGTCTCCAACTCCTGGCCTCAAGCAATCCTCCCGCCTCAGCCTCCCAAAGTGCTGGGATTACAAGCATGAGCCACCCTGCCCTCTCTTTCTTTTCTGATGTTCTCCTGTTCCCTGCATTTTTCCGTAATACCCAACACAAATTTCCAGCTGTTTGTTTTCCATGCCCAACCTCGGGTTCCTCTCCAGGACACAAACATTGCCATCTAGCCCTGGGATGACTGTGGCTGCTCAGCTTCTCTGCCAGGCAGCCACAGCACTTCCTTCTGCTCCTGAGGCCCATGGAGGTGAGCAGACCCATGCAGGATGCCCTCGCATCCTAGGGACCTTCAGGCCTTTTGAAAGGCAAGCACCCACCTCTGACTGCCTGCTGCAACTTCCACCCTCAAGGAAACCTGGTCTCCAGAGGATTCTGGTTAGGAAGATTCTGGGAAATGAAGTCAGTCCTGTCTTCAAAGCGCAGGAAGGGGTCTGAGAAACCACATTCTCCTGATGGATAGTCTGGGTCAGCCTTCCACAAACACCTCTTCACAGTAGCAAGAGTTCTCCGAAATTGACAAGAGCTACTGGTCTGCTCTCTGGCTGCACACACCAGGGAGCCCAGGGAAATTTGTGGACATCTCATTTCTGTCCCCTCTGCCATGGTACATGGGCAAGCCTTAATCTCTCATATCAACAGAGGGATGAATACCAACCACGTCCCACAGCTGCAGGCTTGGTTTTCATCTCCCCCTCAGTGCACTCTCTCCAAACTGCATAGACTCCAGTGCATCCCACCCGCCTTCCCCAACACTTGGGCTGAAGTACGATGACACGGTCCCCCAGAAGGCCAGAGGAGGGCAGGGAGAGAGGCCCGAAACACAGCAAAGGTCCTGCTAAGCCTGCTGGCAAGTGGATCTGTTAGAAACATTACAGTGCTGCCAGCATTAGCACCACAAGCTGGGAGCGAAAGAAGGCATGATGCCTCGGGACAGAAGACAACAAATGGCCCCTTTAACTCAAAGGAGTCACCTATGCCACAATGCTATCCACAGAAAACTGACATGTGAACCAAGAAACCCACATGTATAGCACATGGAAATTTACATTATTTTTAGTTAAAAAAATCATTTCTGGATTCCTTTGAGGGTACATATATGATATACGTGTTTTCAAACCAGACTTGAACAGGTGAGGAACCAAGCAGACTAGATCTGTGAAAGCAGGATGTGGGGGTGGCCAGTGGTGAGTCTGTGGGGGATTTGCAGGCTTCTCTGGGAGGCTGGCTGCACACACTTCAGAGAGGAACCAGCCCTCTAGCAATCTGCTGACTTTCCTACCTTGGCAGTGGGGGAAATCATAAGCTCCTGAGAGACACCTGTCACACCGCTGTCCTGTAACTCCTGGCCGACATTCACACTGTCCAGTCACTGAGCTGCAGGGCATCTGGTAGGATCCAAGGGCTGAACACCAGCAGGCTGGATGAAAGAATTCAATCAGACTTAGGCGGGGGTTGCAGGTATGGGAGGGGGAAGAACCACGTCCCGGAGCAGAGCATGAGGGTGGAGCCAGAAAGACCCAAACACAAATTCCAGCTCCACTTCTTATGAGATCGGGAACCTGAAACAAGCCACTCAACTGCTCTAAGCCTCAGTTTCTCCTTCCTTAAGTGGGAGTGACACTAATTTTTATTTGATAACTTGTTGTGAGGATTGCATAAGATAATACTTAAAAGAGCTTGGGACAATGCCTATCATAGCGAGCACTCAATAACTGCTAGTTTTTATTGCTGTCATGAATTTCATATTCAGCAAGATTTGCAGGTGCTGGGTGATGGTTTTGGGGATTCTGCTCACCTACAGAAACCAGTATTTGTAGGAGGAGGATGCAGGGAACAACTGATGGGGGATGTGACTCACTGGAGGGCCACTTTAATTCCATATCCCACTTGATATTCCATATCAAGTGCAAGCCATTCCAGGCCAGATCAGCCTACAACTGTCCCTGATCTTCTCTTTCCTCCTCTCTTTATACCTCTTTTCTCAATGTCTAGTGTAGTTAAGTAGTCATGGAAAAAATGGTGCAGGCAACATTGAAAAGGATGGGAAAGGCATCCTAGTTTCCTCCCTCCCCCAAGCTGTTACCATGATCTTTGGCTAAGTGATGAATAAACACGTGTGGATGGAGAGAACAGATGCTGGCCATTCATTCTCCTCTTGGCCCCCTTCCCACTGGATCAGGTCCCTACTAGTCTCTATGAGACTAGACTTCTATGGGCTGGAGTTGCACAAGGTCGTCCCCATTTGCATTGCAAAAACCCTTCTTCTGGAGAGGGATGAGCAGTGGAATTGACCTGACTGACTTCTCCGGCTGAAGAGTTCTACATCTTAAGAACTGAAAGAAACTAGAGAGAGCATCTCATTGAATCCCATTATTACATGGTGAAGTTCAGAAGTTAAATGGCATTTTTAAAGTCAATGGATTAGTCTCTAATAAAGGGCTTCAGTCTTTGGAGTCAGACACATCTGGATTCCAGTACCAGCTGTGCCACTTAACAGCCCTGCAATCACGGCTAGTTGCTTAGCTTCTTTAAGCCTCAGTTTCCTCTTCTGTAAACTGGAGCTGATAATAGCACCTACTTTATGAAGTTATCAGAGAATCATCAGCAATAAGGCATTGAGCACGATGCTTCGCACAGCCGAAATGCTCAGGAAGTGTTCACACTTATTAACATTATTATTCTAATTACCCAAGTCCCCCAGTGCTTGGGGAGGTGCTCTTTACACTTTCCCACACTGAATTAATGAAAATCAATGAATTAGTATATCTGACTTCCAAATTTTTATCCAGTGTAGTGTACACAGTAAAAGATACAACCTTGTTTGCAAGGTTTCAAAAATTCCATGCTAGTTGGAGCCTTAGGAAAGAAAAGATTCATAAGGTAAAGCCCCAGTTCTGGTAATTTATTTACAGGTAGCCTTGGAATCTAAGCCTTGGCGCATGGGGCCCCCACAGGGACGAGACCATGTTATTTTCATTCTCTGTGACAGCCCAGCCCATGTATGGTGAATTTCTCTGAAAGTGCTTTTTAGTAAATGATGGTGAACGACAGAATTTACCTGTGTTGTCATCAGAAACGTAAAAGAAACTCTCACTGATGGAGGGGAACTCGGCTAGTTTACTCACTTACAAATTACCTGGGAGTTTCAACAGGCTATGTGACTTGTTCAGAGAGACACAAGTACTTGCAGACCCAGAGAATTTACTATCATTTCACTTTCCTATTTTACAGTCATCCATCCAGCAGACATTGATTGAAGGCCTACTGTGTTCCAGCAGCACCCTTGCTAGGTGTTACGGTGGAGGTAAATACAAAAACACATATAGTTAGCCTTCCATATCTGTGGGTTCTGGATCCATGCATTCAAACACAGATCAAAAATATTCAGAAAAATACACAACTAAAAAATAACAAAAATAATACAAATAAAATAATAATGTAATATAACTATTTATGTAGCATTTACATTATATTATGTATTATAAGTAATCTAGAAATTTAATTTATATAGGAGGATGTGTGTAGTTTATTTGCAAATACTGTGCCATTTTATATCAGAGACTTGAGTATCCTTGCCTTTTGGTGCCCATGGATGGTCCTGGAACCAATCCCCCATGGATACTGGGTGTTGGGTGTTGACTGTATTCCCTGATCTCTAAGATCTAAAAATCCAGAACAAAGACTAGAGAATGACTGACATAGCATAAAGCACCCCCACAAGACACTACCCACTCCATATAAAGCGTGTCTAATGCTCCCCTAGCTATTGGCAGACAGAAGGACAAACACTCAGATCTCCTACTGCCATTTCCACCTGTCTTCTCTCATGGCCCATAGTCCCAGCTGGCCTGTCTGCAGAGGTTAAGTCTCTACCTAGTGGTAGAATTCTGAGGAAATGTTCTTGGGTTCTACAGTGGTTAATTTTGTGTCAACTTGGCTAACTATGTTGCCAAATGGTCAAACACTAGTCTAGATGGTGCTGTGAAGGTATTTTTTAGATGAGAGTAACATTTAAATCAGTAGACTTTGAGTAAAGCAGATTATCTTCCATCATGTGAGTGGTCCTCATCCAATCAGGTGAAGGCCTTAAGAGAAAAAGACAGATGTCCACCAAGGAAGAAGGAATTCTGCCTACAGATTGCCTTTGGACTCAAGATGCAAAATCACCTCTTGACTGCATCTCCAACCTGTTAGCCTACCTTGCAGATTTTGGACTTGCCAGCCCCTACAACTGTGTGAATCAAGTCCTTAAAATAAAACTCTCCCCATCCCTACACACACATACACACACAGACACACACACATACACACACACACACACACACTCACACAATATATATTATATGTACATAGGTAACTAGATAAGCTCTATCTACGTACCTATCTATCTATCTAGAGAACCCTGACTAATACAGATTTTGGTACCAAGAGAAGTATTCTTAGAGGACCAGAATTTTTTAAATTCATAAATACAGGTAGGGTCTCACTATGTTGCCCAGGCTGGTCTCAAACTCCTGGCCTCAAGTGACTGTCCCACATTAGCCTCCCAAAGTGCTGGAATTATAGGCATAAGACAATGCCCAGCCAGGAACAGAATTTTAAGAATAAATTCTCTGAATTGGTTTGGGGGTTTCTGGAATTGGTTCTCTAAATGACTAGATTTAGAAGCACTAATGACTCTAGTTCCAATAGTGAATAAAGCACTGATAGTCATCGGTGTGATGTGGTAATAGAGATACACAAAAATATCACTATTAGATACTCCTAATCAAATAATTATGATAGGCAAGGTTCTGGGTGACCACGTATTTGATAACGTAGAACATTTCCGTCAAACTAATGGGCATAATGAACTTGGCTGGTTGCTCCTAATTGGGCTGGACAAAGTGGGAAAGAAAAGGAGTTGAGGGATTTGAATTCCCACTCAGATGCAGCATAAATGACCTGAAAGTTTCTATGCCTTCCTAGAAAGAAATCCTTATCTCCTACAGCCTCAGAGCTGAGACTGCAGAAAACCAAACCAAGAATCTTCATCCTGCGAGGTCTGAATTGCAATGCAAGTTAAATTCCAAACCTTGCAGAGTATCTGCTGTTAAAGTGGGGGCATAGATTGGGAAGGAATAGGACTTTGAAAATTGCTTTGGGGACATATGGGAAGATCATGACGAAGATGGGGACACTGAACCCCTAAATTCCAACGAGTCTTCTTTGTCAGAAGAAGCAACTGCACCCCCCAACCCATGTTTGAGCAGGTTAACCCTGCTTTGCCCGAGAAAACTGTAATGGCCTCCCCTGAGGCAGCTGTCATGGAAGACCCCACTGATTCTCTTCAGGACCCACCCCCATCCCACTTTCCTTATCAACTGATAACTGGACTCAAATCCCAGCAAGCCCTGAAAGGTGAAGTACAAAGTATGACCCATGAGAAGGTGCGCTACACTTCAAAAGAACTAAATGATTTTTCCAATTTAAACAGACAGACAGCAATTTGAGGAATATCTGTGAGAATAGATGTCAAGGATGTGGAAACTGCTGCCATCAAGTTGGAAAACCTAAGTGCAATGGGGGTAATTGGGCCCCAGGTTGGTGGCAGCCAAGTGGTGGCAATAAACCACCAAAAGCAAGGCGGGTGTGGTTACCATAATGGACAATGGAGTTGAAACAGCAGTCAAAATAGTCTGACTCAGAGACCTATGCTGACTAGTTGATCATGGTGTTCCTGGAAGTGAAACAGCTGGGAAGTCTAGCAAATTCTGACTTGCTTTGTAGAAGTGGAAGAGTTGTAGGTCAAATGAACAAGTCTAACTTGAAACATAAAAATAGAGTCATATCCCCTCAATCAATTACCAGACCTGAGCTGGTTTACAGACCCAGAACTCTTTGAATGAAGGGGAGAGTAGGTACTATTGTGGAAGAACTCCACTCCACCGCCAAACATTTATAAGGTAAATCTTTCTCCCAGCCTTTTCCAAAGGGACCTATGGCCTTTTACCAAGGTGACTACACACTGGCAAAAAGGAAATAATCAGATCTTTCTATTCTTTCTATTAGTGGACATCAGCTCTAAATTGACACCAATTCTAGAAGACCCAAAATGTCACTGTGGCCCTCTAGTCAGAGTATGGGTTTATGGGGGTCAGGTGATCAATGAAGCTTTAACTCAGGTCCATCTTATAATGAGGGCAGTGGGTTCCTGAACTCAGCCTGTAGTTATTTCCCCAGTTCTGGAATTCATAACTGGAATATACATCCTCAGCAACTGACAAAATCTTCACATTGGTTCCCTGACCTATGGAGTGGAAGTTATTATGATGGAAAAGGCCAAGTGGAAGCCATTAGAACTGCCTCTACCTAGGAAAATAGTACAACCAAAAGCAATACAACATTTCTGCAGGAATTGCAGAGATGAGGGCTACCATCAAAGACTTGAAAGATGCAGGGGTGGTGATTCCTACTGCTTGCCCATTCGATTCATCTATTTGGCCTGTACAGAACATAGATGTATCCTGGATAATGACAGTAGATTATTATAAACTTAACCAGGTAGCAACTCCAATTGCAGCTGCTATACTAGATGTGGCTTCATTGCTTGAGCAAATTAACATATCACCTGACACCTGGAATGCAGCTGTTAGTCTGGCAAATGCTTTTTTCCTTCACACCTTTAGTAAAAACCAACAAGCAGTTTGTTTTCAACTGGCCAGGCCAGCAATATACTTTCACTGTCTGTATTAGGCTATTTTTATGTTGCTATAAAGAAATACCTGGGGCTAGGTAATTTATGAAGAAAAGAAATTTAATTGGCATAGTTTTGCAAGCTGTACAGGAAGCATGGTGCCAGCATCTGCTTCTGGTGAGGGTCTCAGGGAACTTACAACCCATGGCAGAAGGTAAAGGGGAGCCAGTACATCACATAGCAAGAACAGAAGCAAGGTAGGGGGAGGTATCACACACTTTTAAACAACCAGATCTCAAGTGAACTCAGAGAGAGATCTCACCCACTATCAGGAGGACAATACTAAGCCATTCATGAAGGATCCATCTCCATGATCCAAACACCTCCCACCAGGCCCCACCTACAACATTGGGGATCAGATTTCAACACGAGGTTTGGAGGGGGCAAACATCCAAACTATATCACTGTCCTACATCAGGGGTCTATCAACTCTGGTCCTGTGTCATAATTTAGGTCACAGGGATCTTGATCACCTTTCCCTTCCATAAGGCATCACATCGGTCTATTACATTGAGGACATTATGCTAATTGGAGCTAGTGAACAAGAAGTAGCAACTACTCTAGACTTATTGGTAAGACATTTGGGTGTCAGGAGGTAAAAATTAAATGCAATAAAACATCCAGAGTCTTCTACCTCAGTTAAATTTCTAAGGGTCCAGTAGTGTGAGTCCCAGAACAAGGGAAGGCTCTGCAGCAGGTCCAGGCTGCTGTGTAAGCTGTTCTGCCACTTAAAGCATATGACTGAGCAGATCTAATGGTGCTTTTAAGTGTCAGTGGCAGATAGGGATGCTTTTTGGAGCCTTCAGCAGGCCCACATAAGTGAACGACAGTGCAGACCCTTAGGATTTTGGAGCAAAGTCCTGCCACCGTCTACATATAAGCCATCCTCTGCAGATAACTTTTTTTTGAGAAACAGCTTTTCACTTTCTACTGGGTCTTAGTAGAGACAGAAGGCTTAACCATGGGCCATGAAGTCACTATGTGATGTGAGCTGACCATTATGAACTGGGTGTTATCTGACCCACGAAGCCATAAGTTGGGCAAGCACAGCAGCATTCCGTCATCAAATGGAAGTGGTATACATAAGATTGGATCCAAGCAGCCTCTACACAAGTAAGCTATGCAAAGAACGCCACACTCCACACTCCTGCTACATTCCACATCTACAGCATTATGGTGAGTTCCTTGTGATCAGTTAACAAAGAAAGAGAAAACTTAGGCCTGTTTTAGACCAGGTATTGCAAGATATGGAGGCATCACCTGAAAGTGGACAGCTGCAGCACATTTGTGCCTTTCTGGGACATCCTGAAGGACAGTGGTGAAGGGAAATCCTCCCAGTAGGGAGAACTTTGAGCAGTGTGCTGGTTGTTCACTTTGCTTGGAAGGAGAAATGGCCAGATGTGAAATTACATATTGATTAATGGGCTGTGGCCAATTCTTTGACTGGATGGCCAGGGACTTTGAAGGAACATGATTGGAAAATTGGTGACAGGAAGATCTGGGGAAGGGTCTGAGTGAAAACCCTCTCTAAATGGCTAAGAAACATGTCCTAGGTGAATGCTTCCCAAGTAGACAGGAGGATCTGTTCTGTGGATACCCGGCAGCCTCTGTCCCATCCACTTCTATCATTGTCCAGTGGGCTCATAACAAAGTAGCCATGGGGGCAGGGATGGAGTTTATCCCTGGGCTCAGCAAAATGTACTTCCACTCACCACAGCTGAGTTCCCAGTCTGCGAGCAGCAGAGACCAATACCAAGTCCTCAATATGGCACCATTCTCCAGGGTAATCAGCTGGCTACCTGGTGGCAGGTTAATTACTTTGAACTGTCCTATCATGGAAGGGGAAGTGTTTTGTTCTTATTGGAATGGACACTTACTTGGATACAGAAATTCCTTCTCTGCATGCAATGCTTCTGTCAAAACTACATTTGTAGACTTACAGAATGCTTTATTTACTGTCATAGTATCCACATAGTATTGCTTCTGATCAAAGAACTCGCTTCACAACAAATGGAATGCAGCAGTGAGCCCATGGTCATGGAATTCACTAATCTCACCACTTTCCCCACCATCCTGAACAGGTGGCTTAATACAACAGTGGAATGGCCTTTTGAAAACTCAGTTACAGTGAGTTTTCACTGTAGGTGAAAACTACTAGGTGGCAGTACCTTGCGGGGCTGAGGCAAGTTTCTCCAGAAAGCAGTATCTGCTCTGAATCATTGTACAACATATGGTTTCTCTGATAGCCAAGATTCACGAGTTCAGGAATCAAGAGGTAGAAATGGGAGTGGCATCACTCACTATAAACCCTAGTAATCAACTAGCTTCCAATCCCAGCTGCCTTCTGCTCTGGTGGTCGAGAGGTCTTAGTTCCAGAGGAAGAAATGCTTCTACCAGGAGACGTGACGATCATTCTATTGAACTGGAAGTTAAGACTGCTACATGGTTTCCTCATTCCTCTGAATCAACAGATGAAGATAGAAGCAATTGTGTTCCACTAATTACCAAGGGGAAAATGAACTGTTCTTCAAAAATGGAGGTAAGGAAGAATATGTCTAGAATACAGGAGATGACTTAAGGTGTCTCTTAGTATTACCATGTCTTGTGATTAAAGTCAATGGAAAACTACAACCCAATTCAGGCAAGACTACTGATGTCCTAGACCCTTCAAGAATGAAGATTTGTGTCACTTCACCAGGTAAAGAACCATGAGGTGCTTGCTGAGGGCAAAGGGAATATGGAATGGGTGGCAGAAGAAGGTAGTTACAAATACAGTTTGAGTATCCCTTATCCGAAATGCTGGGACCAAACATGTTTTAGATTTTTTATTTTTTCAGATTTTGGAATATTTGCATTATACCTGATTGGGCATCTCAAATTTGAATATTCAAAATCCAAAATTTTCCAATGAGTATTTGTTTTGAGCATCGTGTCAGCACTCAAAAAGTTCTGGATGCGGGAGCATTTTGGATTTTTGTATTTGGGATGCTCAACTTATACCAGCTATGACCATGTGACCTGTTACAGAAATTAGTATTTGTAATTGTAGTGAGTATTTCTTCCTATTTTGTTATGAATATGTTTTTTCTGTATATGCGTATGTTATATGTATGTAAAACAAAAATCTTTGTTTTCCAACTGAACAGCAAAAAATCAAATAATGTGATTTAAAAGTGGGCAAAGGATATAAATAGACATTTCTAAAAAGAAGACATACAAAAGGCCAACAAGTATACGAAAAAATGTTCAACATCACTAATCATCAGGGAAATGAAAATCAAACCCACAATGAGATATCATCTCCGTTAGAATGGCTATCATCAAAAAGACCAAAAATAGCAAATGCTGGAAAGGATGTGAAGAAAAGGAAACTATTATACATTATTAGTGGGAATGTAAATTGGTACGGCGATTATGGAAAACAGTATGGAGGTTTCTTTAAAAACTAAAAGTAGAACTACCATACAATCTAGCCATCTCACTACTGAGTATCTATCCAAAGAAAAGGGAATTTGTATATGAAAGGGACACCTGTGCCCCCATGGAGGTTTTTAGGCTCTAAAATGCAGGTAACATTTTTTTTCAACTTTTAATTTAGGTTCAGAGGGTACATGTGTAGGTTTGTTAGTTATATGGGTAAACTGAGTGTTGCTGAGGTTTGGTGTATGAAACCAAAAAATCGCCCAGGTACTGAGCATAGTACCTGATAGGTAGTTTTTCAGCCTTCACCCACCTCTCATCCTCCTCCCTCTAGAAGTCCCCAGTGTCCTCCAGTGTCTTTTGTTCTCATCTTTATGTCCATGTGTACTCAATGTTAAGCTCCTACTTATAAGTGAGAACATACGGTATTTGGTTTTTCTACTCCTGTGTTAATTTACTTAGGATAATGGCCTTCAGCTGCATCCATGTCACTGCAAAGGACATGAGTTCATTCTTTTTTATGGCTGCATACTATTCCATGGTGTATAAGTACCATATTTCCTTTATCCAGTTCACTGTCGATGGGCATCTAGATTGATTCCATGTCTTTGTTATTGTGAATAGACCTGTACCCCCATGTTCACTGCAGCATTATTCACAATAATCAAGATATGAAGTCAACCTAAATGCCCATCAACAGATGAATGGATAAAGAAAACGAGGTATATATACACAGGGGAATACTATTCAACCATAAAAATGAATGAAATCCTGTCACTTATGGCAACACGGATGAGCCTGAAGGACATTATGTTAAATGAAATATGTCAGGAACAGAAAGATAAATTCTGCATGTTCTCACTCATATATAGAAGCTTAAAGAATTTGAGTTCATAGAAGTAGAGAACAGCACAGTGTTTAACAGAGGCTCAGAAGTGTAGGAGCGGGGACAGGGAGAGATTGCTTAATGGATATGAAACTACAGCTAAATAAGAATACATTCTAGTGTTCCCTAATACTGCAGGGTGAATGTGGTTAACAATAATTTAGTGTATACTTTCAAAAAACTAGAAGAGAGGATTTTGAATGTTCACAAAACAAAGAAATGAATGTTCGAGGTGATAGATAAGCTAATTACTGACTTGATCATTACACACTGTATCCATGTATGGCAATATCACTCTGTACCCCATAAATATGTACAATTATTATGTGTCAACTAAAAATAAAAGTCATCTTTTGTTTTCTTCCCTCTCTCATCTCCTTATCATTCAACCTAAGATGTATTGACTTAATACCACAGTATTGAAGTTACAGGATATCAAGGGGAAGCTCGAACATCACCCGAGGACTTTATTTCTTCTTCTGGGGAAAGGGTTAGTGTATTTTCGATTGTATACAGGATAGTTGTATCATGTTAGTCAGAATTGTGTCTTGTTATACTCTTTATTGACGATTAAGTACTGTTTCAAGAAATGTATATGAGTGCCAAGTTGGCGAGGCAAGAACTAGTGTTGGGTAATTTTACATGTTAACTTGACTAGGCTACGATGCCCAGATGTTTGGTCAAATGCCAGCCTAAATGTCACTGTGAAGGTGTTTTTTAGATGAGATTAACATTTAAATCAGTAGACTTTGAATAAAGCAGATTATTCTCCATCATGTGGGTGGGCCTCATCCAATCAGCTAAAAGTCTTAAGACAAAAAGGCTAATGTCCCCTGAAGAAGAGGGAGGAATTCTGCCTCCAGACTGTCTTTGGACTTGAGCTGCAGAATCAACTCTTTTCTTGGCCTTCAGTCTGCCAGTCCAACCTACGGATTTCAGACCTGTCAGCCCTCGCAATCGCATGAGCCAATTCCTTAAAATAAATCTCTCTCTCTCTCTCTCCATACGTACACACACACCTCCGATTGGTTCTGTTTCTCTAGAGAACCCTGGCTACTACAGGCTTGTTCTGCTATTTCTGCCCTAAAGGAAAGTCAATGCAGAGGAAAACATCCATGCGGGCATTAGGGTAGCTGCCTGGAGCGCAGTGGTGGCAGCTCCACAGCATAATGTGGGTGACACAGACACTGGCCTTAGGACCACAGGGGTTGTCTGGGGAGCGAGAAGACCCAGTTACTCTTTGGAGGTAAAAACAAAGACTTGAACTTAAAAGCATTTGCAGTGTTTTAAAATTGTGAATTAATCTGGCAACACGCTTCTCATTTCAATCCAACTATTAGTAAAAACTGCCAAATCCCAAACACCAACTCTAGCATTGGCAGCCCTTTTCTCACTCTTGGAAATACTATAAGGCTTTAAAAATATTTCAATTCTGCTCTTTCTTTTGCTCTAGGTCCCTTGGAGTTTCCGGAGTATTTTATTTCTTGTCTACTCCTCATTGTTTCTGCTTTAGGAAACTTACTCTCAAGAAGAATACAAAATAAGGATCACCAAAAAAAGTCTTTGAAATAATGATCACAAAGGTCCTAGAGGACAGGGGCTTGTCTGTCATGCTCTTGAATACCTTCCAGGATTAAATGTAGTCCTGTTCCACAGTACCTGCCAAATAGCTGGTTGTTATATGAGAGCATGAGTAACTATTGAAATCCTTCTTCGGGTCCAGCCCTGCATAATTCTTGATACGTGTTACTTCATTGTATCTTGCAACATTGCTATCAGACAGACATTGCCATGAATAATGCCTTCCTCTTCACCTGCAGTAATAAGCTCATGAGCGAAGCAACACTATATAGATTCTTGTAGATGATGGCCAAACAGAGCTCCTTAGTGCTTGAGGGATGCTCTTATTGCCCATGATCTTGTAGAAAGGCCGATTGGCACCTTGATCTTCAGTCAAAGCCAAAAGCCAGCCATCAGTTCCACAGTACTTATCACTTCTCTGGCACTGGGCTTTGGATGAATTAAATCTACAGAAAATCCTTAGCCTTTTCTGACCAATCACCTCAATGTTCTCTTAAACAAAAATGAATTACAAGGAAGGGCCAGTTCAAGGCAAAACTGCACAAAACTTGGCTTCAGGCTGCTTCCCACTGCCAGCCCAGTGGTCTCTGGTTTTGCCCTGGAAAGGCTGGGAGCTTCTCCCAGGAGCATCACGGCCAAAACCTTCCCTGGCACCATTCCTCGTCAGCAGGGCACTTCTCCTCCCCGGCCGGTGTCTGACTCAGGAGAGTATGTTAACAGGGAGGAGGAGGTTAATCTCTCACTGACAACATATTTATAGGACTTTTCTAAAGAAAGACCGGATACCACAACCCAAAGACTACATCAGACTCTAATGGGGATGGTTCTGGGCCCTGGGTCAGGTCATGTCGGTGGGGTTGGGGGAAGCTGCACTTCCGGGTGCCTTCAGTTCATGTCATGAAAGGACCACCCGTTTCCGCATTCCTGCCTTCCTACCCTCTGTTCCCAGTACTAACTAGCTGCTGCCTAGCAAGCTGCTCCAGAAAAGGAGGGGAAAGGGGAATAGAAAGGAGGAAAAGAGGAAGAGGAAGAGGAAGAAAAAAATGAAGAATAGCGGAAAAAAGGAGGAGACGAAGGCAGGAATGAGGGATGGGGAGGAGAAAGAGGGAAGAGTAAACCCCCTAAATAACCAAATTAACAGTTGTATTCTGTGGTTGAAGATAGAGTCAAAAAACCCACAAACATAAATATATATTTTATATACATATAGACAGTTCTCAAATCTGATCTCATATATATAATTTGATTAATTCCCCAAGAAAGAAAACCATAGGGCACTTCAGTGAGTCAAAGTCAAAATGAAAAAAATACTGCATTGTACTTAGGAAAGTCTGGAGTAAATTAATTTAATGCAAAACATAAATCCAGGACTACAGTTGGCAAAAGCAGCTTAGAAGGGTTTTAAAATTCTCTTTAAAGAAGATTTTGAATTTTTTTTTTTTTTTGAGACGGAGTCTCGCTCTGTTGCCCAGGCTGAAGTGCAGTGGTGCGATCTTGGCTCACTGCAACCTCTGCCTCCCGGGATCATGCAATTCTTGTGCCTCAGCCTCCCGAGTAGCTGGGATTACAGGCATGTGCCACCACGCCCAGCTAATTTTTGTATTGTTTAGTAGAGACGGGGTTTTACCACATTGGCCAGGCTGGTCTAGAACTCCTGACCTCAGGTGGTGCACCAAACTTGGCCTCCCAAAGTGCTGGGATCACAGGCATGAGCCATCACACCTGGCCAGATTTTGAAAGTTTTTAAAGCAAGAAAGAGCAAAGCAGTAAGAACACTTTTTGGCTAGAATATACTGGGTCAGCTGATACACCATTGTGGGCCATGGTGATTGGTTGTAAATTTCAGTGGGTCAAGTAATCAATTCCCTCTAAAAAAAAAAATCACAATAGCTATCAGAAAAAAAGGTAGTTACAAGACAAGGAAGGCCATCACAGACAAAATGTTGCATCCTCCCAAACTCTTACCAGAATGGTTCAAACCCAAAACAACAAACTGCAAGGTACACCTCAACAGCACACGAGGCAGTGAATTTCTTGCACAGCTCAGAAAACAGCTCTTAAGCATGGGCAGGCTTCTCCAAGGCTGGATGTGTATGTATTAGTCCTTCACTTGAGCCACGACTTTAGACCACAGAGAATCCAGCAGAGGCTGACCCCAGACCTTCACCCACCGGGGCCAGAAGCATGCCTGCTGGTGTCCTCCAGTCCCTCTCTGAGAGGCTTGATAGTCTTTTCCCTCTCATGCTTCCGGTGAGGTCAGAAGAGTTTGGTAGACCTTTAGAAGCAGAGGTCCAAATCAACTCTACCAAAAATATCAATGAGGCCAGGCATGGTGGCTCATGCCTATAATCCCAGCACTTTGGGAGCAGAGGTGGGGGAATCGCTTGAGCTCAGGAGTTAAAGATCAGCCTGGGCAATATAATGAGATCCCATCTAAAAATTTTAAAAATTAAAAAAAAATCAATGGGAAGATAAACACTTATTTTTAAAAGGGAGTCCTGGCTCCAACCATTTAAAATAAGAGATAAGACATTATATTCATGTACTGCAGCTGATTAAAGAGCTTTTTATGTCAGATGTCAGTTTCTTAAGGAAAAGAATGCTACAGTTAGACCTCACAGGGTTTCCCAATCTTTCTTAGGATTGGTCACTTTGGGGAACTATGTTTTCTCAAAGAGCTGAGGATTTTACTGACACATAGTTTTGCCACCCTGTCTTGGCTATGGCACCTTGATTTTACCATGGGGGTACCTCTCTTCCCTTGCTCCATTCATGCTGTTCAGATGGTGTTGACCCCACTTCTAGTTCTGTGGATATGGGGGAAGACTCAGGTTTGGCCAGTCAGAGCACTGAATTCCACGGCCACAGGACTAATTCCAGAACTGGCATGTGGTCCAATCAGAACCAGATGTGTCCTGGTGGAAAGTATACTCTTTTCCTAGTCTTGAACCTAGAAGGATACGTATTAGTCACCTTGAGCTGCCATAACAAAATACCATAGACTGGTGGGCTTAAACAATAGAAATTTATTTCTCCAGTTCTGGAGGCTGGGAAGTCCAAGATCCAGGTGCTGGCTGGTTCAGTTTCTGCTGAGGGCCTGCTTTCTGGCTTGTAGATGGCCACCTTTTCACTGGGTCCTCACATGGTAGAGGGAGAGAGAGAGAGTGAACGAGCTATCTTGTGTCTCTTCTTATAAAGACATGAGTCCTATCAGATCAGGGCTCCACCCTTATGACCTCATTAAACCTTAATTACTTCCTTACTCCAAATACAGTCACACTGGGGGTTAGGGCTTCAACATATGAATTTTTAGGGACACAATTCAGTCCATAATAATGTGTGTCTAAGAGCTGCTGGCTGCCATTTTACTATCATCTGAGGCCTAAGAACGAAGCCAATATACAAGATAGCAGAGTTTATAGATTAAAAAAAATATATATATTTTAAGCCCCTAGATCAAGCTATTCCTGAAACCAAATATGCCCGGACTTTTCTATTACTGCCAAGAAGTTATTTTTGCCTTAAACAGTTTAGGTCTAGTTTTCTGTCACGTGAAATTGTAAGGAGTCATAACTGACTCTCTAACCACCAAACTATTAACTATTAGTTAACTATTTCATCTAGTACTCATTTTAACTATTAACATTTTCACTATTTAATCTCATACTCTTACTCAAATGTATTTTATACTTTCCTTCCCAATGAAGCAGGTATATTAGACATAATTTAACTCTTTTTCATGATCTACAGCTATCACTATAAATGCCCATTTACTTAATCTAATAGTGATACCCTCAGTATCTTCAGAATTGGGTTAGCTTGTTTGCCCTTCATTCAGTGGCCCCAGGCTGCTATACATCTTAAGTTTCATATCTGCCTGTCTGTTTTCTCCCTTGCTATGAATGTTTCGCCTCAGTAATCTTTTCCCTGTCTTCTAATTTTATGTTTCTAATTTGCCATGCAATTGGCTTGCAAAACAAATAACTAAATTTAAAACAATTATTTTTAAAAAAGGGAGGAGGAGACTAGGCTGAGAGTGGGCCTATGGGATTCCTTCTGTGTGCATCTTTGGAGCTGCGCTTTTCCACTTGACAGAGGTTGTGGGGGTGGGGACCTAACTGCTTGGTTTTTACCTTTGCTCCAGATACATGGCCACATAACCAAATTCTAACTGGATGGAATAATACTCTGCTGAAGGTCAAAGAATTATAACATACATTTAAAGATATGGTTTTTTGTGAAAATAATGTCGAGAGTTTGTGGTTTTTTAAGAAATCTACGTTTATATAAGCAGAATATTAAAAATAATAGAATTCCCTAGAAACAAATCAAAATCATGGAGTCCCTTTAAGGAAGCCATGGTAAATGAAGCCACATGGAGATGCAACTGACTGTTAGACAATTAGTGTATTCAACAAGCACAACTCCTGCTGTCAACTAACTCCCACGGCCCTTTTCAATTTCACGTAGTGTGGGTGACTGTCTCCCTGCACCTAGATGAAAACTCTAGGAGTTGCAGGGTTTGTCAGCACACTCTTAGGTAAGAGAACAGAAAGTAAGTAGAAATCCAGTTTAAAGTCGAATCTCCTGTCCTCCAGCTCAGACCTGATTCAGGCCAAAATCCCACAGTAGGCAGGAAAGGTGGAGAGGTGAGTGGTAGGAGTGGGCTGGGGGTGGGAGTGGGCATTCTTTCCCCACAGCTGGCTTCAACTTGGTGGGGGAGGAAGAAGAGGGAAGAGGAAAGAACTGTTGTGGTATCATGATATATAGCGGTTTTCGCCCACAGTTTCTGGCTAGTAACTCCCATAGTCCTTGTTACAGTCTTTTGTTATAAGGTTGGGTGTGTTAGGCCTTGGGACAGGCCTCTGACCTTTTCCTGCCCTCTTTTAACCTGCCCCAAGGCAGGACTCTAATCTTCCCCCACCTTTGTGATTGTGGGTCTTAAGACTCTCCCCAGAGAGGGTCAAGTCTATACCCTGGAGGAAGGAATGCTGATGTCAGGAAGCTTCCTTAAAAACCCAGGAGGACAAGGTTCAGAGAGCTTCCAGATAGCTGAACATGTGGGGAGGTTCCTGGAGGGTGGGGCCCAGGGAGGGCATGGAAGCTCCCAGTCTCTTCCCCCATATCTCGTCTTATGTGTATCTTCATCTGTATCTTTGCAACATCTTTTATAATAAACCAGTAAATGTAATTTGGTGTTCTCCTGAGTTCTGTGAGCCACTCCAGCAAATTAACTGAATCCAAAGGAGGTTTGCGGGAACCCCAACCTGAAGCCGCTTCGTCAGAAGTTCCAGAGGCCCAGGCTTGCAACTGATGGTGAGGGAAGGAGGGAGCAGTCTTGGGGACTGAGCCCTCAACCTGTGGGATCTGGCACTGTCTTTAGGTAAGCAGTGTCAGAATTGAATTGGAGGACACTTGGCTGGTGGCTGCTGCTTGGTGATGGGAAGAGACCCCCACACATTTGGTCACAGACGTTTTCTTCTGTGTTGATGGTTGTTGTGGTATGAGAGTAGAGGAAAAACACAGTTAGAGGAAAGAGTTTTTCCCCACACAATTGTTCTTGGACCAGCCCTATGCTAATCTCAAACTGGCTCTTCTTCCAAGGATGCTGTCTAGGGCCTCTTGGTGGTCGTCTGCTGAGCACCTCTCTCCTGCCATTCCCTTGTCCCCCAGGGATGCAAGCCTCTCCATTTCTGTTGCTTGTGACTCTCTCCTCAGCCCACAACTGCTTCAGCCCCTGGGCTTTGGATTCACCATTTCTTTTATTTTCTGTTTCTGATGCTTTGACATCTTGGGGCCTTGCTGACCCTGGAGGGACTGCCCCTCCCAGGGTAAGCCAATTCCCAGAGATAGTAAACAACCCTCCAGAGAGCTGCTTTTGGAATGCACACCGACCAGTCCAGAGCATGGCCCCACCACCTCCTCTACCAGCTCTCACACTCTGGTATTCCCTGCCCTAATCACCCCAGGGCCAGGTACCAGACAACTAGGGGTAGCCCCTATGTCCCAGCACCCACTGAAATATTCAAACTAGCCAATCCTAAACCTGCTTATCCCTGCCCATTCCTTAATGTGGAAGTGCTCTGTCTACAGTTCCTTCCCTTCCCTCTGCCTCCAAACCGACCCTGATGCTTCTCCATGTGGCCCCTACAGCATGACCTGCCCCTCCTCTGGGAACTGTATCTTCTCAATAGCAGTTGTCTCCCGGTCTGCTGTCCTTACTGAACCCCAAATTTCCTATTAATACACTCTATTATAAAACAGGCATCTGGACAAATACTTCAGCTGCTTTGGGTGGGATCTCCTGATGTCTCTGAGCAGACCTATCGGGCAGGAACCAAGACACTCACCTGGATTCCCCCATATTTGGCTGTGGGAAACACCTACACATCCCTTGCCCCAGTACACTAAGTACAGGCCATTCCCAATGCGGCAATACTCTCCCTGCTCTGCCTCAAGCAAAAAAGCATCCAGCTCTTAGCCTTTGGGTTTCCAAGCCAAAATCTGGCCACAAGCACCTCTGCCCCTCCCGAGGCTTCCCATATGCTATGGTTTGGATGTGGTTTGTCTTGCCAAAATTCATGTTAAAGTTTCATTGCCAGTGCAGCAGTGTTGGGAGATGAGGCCTAGTGGAGGTGTTTGGGTCATGGGGGTGGATTCCTCATGAGTAGATTAATGCCCTCGGATTAGTTACCGTGAGAGTGGGTTGTTATAAAAGTGAATCTGGCTTCCTGGACTCTCTCTCTTGCATCCTGTCTCATCGTGTGATCTCTGCACATGCTCACTTACTGCTCCACTTCACCATGTTTTGCCCCAGTATGTGGCCCTCACCAGAAGCCAGCCAGATGTGGCGCTATGCTCTTGAAGTTCCCAGCCCGCAGAATTGTGAACTAAATAAACGTCTTTTCTTTATAAACTACCCAATCTCAGGTATTCTGTTATAGCAATACCAAATGGACTAAGACACATCAGAGGTCCCTCATGTGTTTTGAGGCGAGGAAGAAGGGTAAGGAGTTCACGGCAACAGTTTCCTCCATAGATATCCACCCCCTCCCAGATTATCTCTCCTCCACTCTCCTAACATTTTCATAATCCTTTGAGTGTGAGAGTCGAAAGTGTCATAAAATAGGCCTCTGGACATTTATTTTGAAAATCTGCACATGGTGACTTGGCCTTGGAATTTTGTATATATCATTGTTCAGGGACAATACTTCAATGTTAACATTTTCAAAAAGAGTGATATGGGTGGTTTTTAAATATTTTCCTTGTATTTACTTCTAAATTCAAGAAGTTTTCTTTACCACTCACATGAAGAATGTCAGATGATTTTCATTTGAAAGTGTGACTCTAATGAAAGGCAGATTGTCATACACATTTGTTTGGTTTTTTGGGGGGTTTTGTGGTTTTTTTTTTTTTTTTTTTTTTAGACAAATTCTCAGTCTGTGATGTTCAGGCTGGAGTCCAGTGGTGCGATCTCAGCTCACTGCAAACTCTGCCTCTCAGATTCAAGCGATTTTCCCACCTCAGCCTCCCAAGAAGCTGGAAATACAGGCATGCACCACGATGCCTGGCTAATTTTTGTATTTTTTTAGTAGAGACAGGGTTTCACCATGTTGGCCAGGCTTGTCTTGAACTCCTGACCTCAAGTGATCCACCCACCTTGGCCTCCCAAAGTGCTGGGATGACAGGCATGAGCCACTATGTCTGGCCTATCATACACATTTGTGAAATCCCAATTATCTATCATTTTTCCCCCCACAAAAGATCCCAAGCTCAACCTATTAATCAAAGCCAAGCATCTTTAAAAAGTAACTGTATCTGCTGCTTACATTTCTAGGTAGCTTGCTGGTAAGGTCAGACTGAAGTCTCCACACTCTGAGTTATGTAAAGATTATAGGACTTTGAAATTTATACTGTCCTTTCTCTTTGCAGGGTTTAAGGAAGAATAGTAAAGACAATATCATGGATTAAAGATAAAACAGGAAGCCAGGCGCGATGGTTCACACCTGTAATGCCAGCACTTTGGGAGGCTGAGGCGGGCGGATCACGAGGTCAGGAGATTGAGACCACGGTGAAACCCCGTCTCTACTAAAAACACAAAAAATTAGCCGGGCGCAGTGGCGGGCGCCTGTAGTACCAGCTACTGGAGAGGCTGAGACAGGAGAATGGCGTGAACCCAGGAGGCGGAGCTTGCAGTGAACCGAGATCGCGCCACTGCACTCCAGCCTGGGTGACAGAGCGAGACTCTGTCTTAAAAAAAAAAAAAAAGATAAAATAGGATATGCATCTCAAACTAGTTCTTCATGTTTATCTCTTTGGTCCTTGCTCTTTATAGATAATGGTAAAAAATAAGACAGAGTGCTTTCTTGCCCTTCAAACAGGGTTGGGAAGGAATTATGCAGTGTATACTGGCACAGGAATATCTTCATGGGGAAAATGGATTCATCAGATTATTGCTGCAATTTACTGAGCAACAGTTTCTAGCTGAATGAGAGTAAATTCACCCAAATGTTCTATGACTTCAGGTTATAACTATTTGAAAGTCCGAAGCCGCAAGAGCAAAGAGCAGAATAAAAGAAAAGTGACAAACTACTCAGAAAAGAAAAGTGGCAAACTACTTCCCATACTCAGAAGCACAGATAAAATCCTTCAGGATCTTTTAGCACAGCAGTTTCCAAACTTTTTGGCCATGTTCACAGTAAAAAATACATTTTACATTATAACCCAATAAACACACACACACTAATAGATGATAGAGATATCTAGCAAAACATAAATAACTATGAACAAGAACTTTGCAAGAGATTTATTTTCTCTACACTTATGATGCATTCTAATAATTTCTAGTCTATCCTATTTCATTGTAATGCTGGCCCATACCCTCTAAATTGATTTCTCTATCCACTAATGGACAATGAACTGCAGTATGAAAAGCTCAGCCTTAGAAGAATAGCCCTCATGCTTCTTGATGTCCTAGATCACTAGGTGATGAAGGGGTTTAAAGAATACAATAGAATTCCTGCTGTATACCAGGCTGAGAGTAAAGAAATGTGGGTGCTACTCACCACCCTGCAACTATCTACTCCCTACGTATTCTCCTGGGTCTCAGAATGGTTGCTGTAAAATAAGTACTTGTGATTTCAATTCCTTTTAACTCTAAAATTCAAATGCACATTATGTGATCATCACTATAAAAACATAAGAGAGATGAGCGTCAAATTTACAGAGATAAGGCTGACAAGTGTCTGGGGAGGAATAACCCTTCTTTAGTGTGTTGGGATTCCACCTCCCACCTCTGCCTTATTTTTTCAAACAAGTTTATTGAGATAAAATTCATATACCATACAATTCACTCATTTGAAGTGTAAAGTGTGCAACTTAATGTTGTTTAATATATTCACAGAGTTGTGCAACTTTTGGAACAATCTAATTTTAGAACATTTTCGTTCCCCCTAAAAGAAATCCCATATTCATTAACAAGTCAATCCACATTGTCCACTACCTTCACTCCCAACCACAAATCTGCTTTCAATCTCTATAAATTTTCCTATCCTGGACATTTCATATAAATGAATCACACAATATGTGACTTTTGTGACTGACTTCTTTCATTTAGCGTAATGTTTTCAAGGTTTATTCATGTGGTAGCATGCATAAGTACTTCGTTCCTTTTTATTGCTAAATAATATTCTATTGTATGGCTATCCCACATTTTATCTATTCATCAGTTGATGAGCATATGGGTTGTTTCCCCATTTTGGCTATTTTGAATAATGCTGTTATGGACATTCATACACAAGTTACTGCGTGGATGTGTTTTCATTTCTTTTGGATATACACTGAAGAATAGATCTGTTGGGTAGCATGGTAACTTTATGTTTAACTTTTTCAGGAATAGCAAAACTATTTCCAAAGTCACTGTACTATTTCACATTCCCACCATCAATGTATGAGGGTTCAAATTTCTCTACATCCTTGCCAACGCTTGTTATTGCCTGCCTTTCTAGTGGATATAAAATGGTATTTCATTGTGGTTTAGATTTGCATTTACCAAATGACTGGTAATGTTGAGCATCTGTTCATATACCAGTTGGCCATTTGTATATCTTCTTGGAAGATAATGTCTATTCAAATCCTTTACTCATTTTCAGGTTGCCTTTTTAATTATTTTTAATTTTTAAGTATTGAGTTGTAAAAATAATATATCCATATATATGGATTATTTTATAATAATATATCCAGATTTTATATATTATATATATGTGTGTATATGATACTAGTGCCTTATCAGATATATGATTTGCAATATCTTTTTCCATTCTATGATTTATCTTTTCACTTTTTTGATAGTGCCCTTTCGAGTGCAAGAGTTTTTAACTTTGATGAAATCCAATTTATCTATTTTTTCTTTTGCTACTTGTGCTTTTGTTGTCATATCTAAGAAACAGTTGCCTAATTTATGGTTATGAAGATTTATGCCTATATTTTATTCTAAGAGATTTATAGTTTTAGCTCTTACGTTTAGTTTCTTCATACATTTTGTACTAATTTTTGTTTATAGTATGAGGTTGAATCCACTCATGTTTAATGTTATTATTGATAGTGTTGGATTTACCTTGGCCCTTTTGCATTTTATTTTCTGTATATCTCATGTATTTTTTGTTCCTCTATTCCCCCTTTATTGTTTTCTTCTGTATTAGATATTTTCTAGTGTAATTTTTACTCTGTTTCATGACTTTTTAATCATTTTTGAGTTACTATGTTAGTGGTTGCTCTAGGGCTTACAAAAAGAAATCTACATTAGTATCATATTGATTTAGTTCCAGTAAAATAGAGAAATTTTACTCTTATTTAGTTCTATTCCCTCTCCACCATTTTTGTACTATTGTTATTATACATATTATGTCTCTCTATATTAAAATCCAGCAATACATTTTTATAATTATTAATTTATATAATCTATGTTTTCTAAGGAAGATAATAGAAGAAAGGAGATCAAGCATATATTTATAGAGTGTCTTTATAAACTCTATTTATCCTTTCTAGTTCTCTTTATTTCTTCCTATAGATTTGGTGTCATTTTCTTACTCCAATACAGCTTTGTTCTCACCTATCTCCTTTGTGCTACTGTCAAACATATTACATTTTTATATGATATAGGCCCCATATTTATGTATGTATGTATGTATTTGTATATACAGTTCGTATACTTTCTGTTAAAATCAGTCAAGAGAAGAATGTATAAAAATATTCAATTATACTCTCTTTTGTAATTTTTACATGTTATTCAAATTATTATTTGATGGTACCTGTTTCAGCTTTAAGAACATCCTTTATTATGTCTATTATTTCTTATAAGTCAGGTTGGGTGAATTCTGTTAGTTTTTGTTCATCTGAGAAAGTCTTTACTTAGCCTTGATCATGAATAGTAATTTTGATGGATAGGAGATTCTTGGTTGACAGTTTTTCCACTTTCAGCACTTAGAATATACGCTCTCACTGCCTTCTTGCCTCTATTGTTACTAATGAGAAGTCAGTTGTTATTCTAACTGGTGTTCCTGTGTTCATAATGAGTCTTTTTTTTCCTGCTTTCAAGATTTTCTCTTTGTCTTTGTCTTTCAAAATTTTAATTATGATTTTAACTATAATATGTCTGGCTGTGTGGATCCCTCTGTATTTATGCTATTTGGAGTTCATTAAGCTTCTTAGCTGTATAGATGGCTTTTCATTAAATTTAGTAAGTTTTCCACCATTATTTCTTTGGCTATTTTTTTCTATTCCTTTTTCTCCTCTCTTTCTGATGCTCTCATTACCCATATGTTGTGCTTAATGGTATCCCATATTTCTTTCAGGTTCTGTTTATTTATTTATTTATTTGAGACAGAGTTTCACTCTTGTCACCCAGGCTGGAGGGCAATGGTGCGATCTTGGCTCACTGCAACTTCTGCCTCCCAGGTTCAAGCAATTCTCTTGCCTCAGCCTCCCAAGTAGCTGGGATTACAGGCGCCTGCCACCATGCCTGGCTAATTTTTGTATTTTTAGTAGAGACGGGGTTTCACCATGTTGGCCAGGCTGATCTCAAACTCCTTACTTCAAGTGATCCACCCCTCTTGGCCTCCCAAAGTGCTGAGATAACAGGCATGAGCCACTGCCCCCGGCCTGTTTATTTATTTTCATTCTTTTTTTCTTTCTGTTTTCAGACTGCACAATCTCTATCAATCTGTCATTAAGTTTGCTGATTCTTTCTTCTGCTAGCTCAATTTACTGTTGAGCCACTTTAGTGAATTTTTCATTTCAGTTATTATACTTTTCAACTCCAAAAGTTCCATTTGGTTATTTTGTAAAACAATTTCTATCTCTTTATTGATATTCTCTATTCAATTAGATGTTGTCATCATACCTTCCTTTAATTCATTAACCATGATTTCCTTTAGTCTTCTATACAGATTTATAATAGCTGCTTTAAAGTCTGCTAAGACTACCATCTGGCTCATTCAAAAGTGGTTTCTATTGTCTTCTTCTTCCCCTATGTATGGGTCACACTTCCCTCTTTCTTTGAAATTCTGCTATGCTCTACAAGTGGACACAGGTGGAGGTGGCGCCATGGTCTTCTCAGTTTTCCTCTCCCACCATAGATCCCTACTCTATGAGCCAGCTTGGGTAGGGTTGATTGGGATCCCAGAATTCTCAGCCTGAAGTGCCTAAGTTAGAGCTACTACCCTACAAGTGGAGGGGTGGTGGGTAAGAGAGAGCTGGTCCTCTTTGCTGAGCCCACCTGGAATAGGGCTTCTGCTATACAGGACTGCAGAAGGTTGAGAAATATCAGTGGCCTTCCCCTCCCAAAATGAAACAAACCATAGCCCCAAACTGGGGCACAGGATAAAGAGAGTGCCCATCTTCTTGGCAACACATATGGGTAGATCTTCTATAAAACAGATTTGGGGATGGATAATGAAGGGGGTCATGGCTGAAATGTCACAGAGACTCTCATTTCTTACCTAGATTCAAATTTTCTTAAGTAATTGTTTCTTCATTTGCTATATGCTCTTATGACCATTAACAGAGACTTCAAACAATTTTTTAAAATATTTTCACTGGTTAATTTCTGTTTTACTGAAAAGAGTATCTACCAACCTCCCTCCTCTGTTGTTATGGAAGTCCTTCCTCCCCTCTGCTTTGTCATGAATACATTCATGCATTTTCTACCTACCTTAAAATAAATTAGCTCTAGTAGTGGAGAAATGTGGAAAAGAGCATTCTTAAAGTGTTGTATTATTTATTCATTATCTTTGTATCCATAAACACAAGCTTTGTCCATATGAATAAGTTAGAATATTTGTAATTCATTCTACCAGAATGAATCTGAAGTTGTGGCTGGTAGAGAGGAGGAAAAAAAGAAACCCTTTGATATATTTTCAGCCACAAGAATGTTTTGCACACCAGGAGCCAGCAGGTAAAGGAAAGGTTTGGGGTATGGGATTCAGGCATTTAAACAAACAGGGAGATGGCTGGAAATGGGACTACAAGCTCTTAAAATGATGCAGAGGGAAGTATAGGTCAGGAGAAGAAAGGTGCAAGTGAATAGCTAACTTATGAACAATTACTTCCTCAGTTCTAAGAGCTTTACCTGTCAGTACATATGTAACCCTCACAACAATGAATTATGAGACAGGCACTATTTTTTGGAAACTGAGGAACAGAGGGGTTAAGTAACTTGCCCAAGTTGATAGCTAGTGCCACCCCTGCTCTTCACTACCTTGTCCTCCAGCTTAGGGGAGGGAGTTTTTCATGCTTACAGTTCCTTAGTGTGGCTGACCTTGCAGGTGAGATGACCTAATACCTATTCTAATATCCTCCAGTGTTCAGAGGCTGGAAAGCTAAAGACAGCACTTCTCAGACTCTGTTGGGGCAGGGCTCTGGATGCCAATTGGGTTTGCAAATTGGAAGTGTGTGAATAAGATTAGACCGATGGGAAATAAGGAGGAGGCTGCATCCTGTAGCTGGCTGAGCATTTATGCAGCTGTGCTCTGACTCTGGCTTCCTGGATGCCAAGAGATGAAGTCACCAACCATGGGCTTCCCATCCTTGCACTGGGACATAGCAGTCTGGGCTTAAAACCCAGCCATTCCATTGGAGGCCTCCTTGGAAGCCCAGCCTAGAGCCTGCTGCTCTGGCTCTTAACAACTCCTCTGGGCTAGCACCTAATTACCTATAATAAATCTCTTTCTTTTTATAGTGTCTGAAGTGGTGTTTTATTTCCTGCCTTGATCCTGGACTGATAATCTTCTCCTCTTTCTCCTCCCTTCCCCTACACCATTGTCTGCAGAAAGAAGAATAATGTCAGACAGTAGAAAGGAGGCAGGGGAGAATAATTTGGGCAAATTCATTCATTCATGTGTTCACTCACCCAGCATTGAGTGCATACCTGCCATGCTCTAGGGACCGGACCAGACACTTCCTCCTCCCACCTTCCATCCCCCCTTCAGCGACCCTTGCCGGGATGGGATACTAGGATACAAACAAGTGGGGAGGAGGGGGTTTGTGGTCTCATGTCTCTATGGTTTGCATGTGCTGTCCCCTCTCTCTAGAACACCCTGCCTCCTTCTGTCATCCACCTTCCCATCTTTCTAATCTTATTCACACACTTCCAATTTGCAAACCCAACTGGCATCTGGAGACCCGCCCCAACAGGATCTGAGAAGTGGTGGCAGGTTCCTAAATGCTGTTCAGATACCACCTCCTCTCCAGAGCCAGGATTTGAACCCAAACAGATTATTTCAGAGTCCATGTGCTTAACTACCAGGGAGGAGGCAGGGTAAGGTTGGAAAGAAGGGAAGTGACAAGGTCCAGGTAGGACCATCACATGTAACATCCATATATAAGCCAGGGGCCCATTTATTAAACTGCAAGCCAGACAGCTCTGCCAGAAAGATCTGCATTTCCTCAGGAGGAAATTTATCTTGAGGGATTGATTATGAATATGCTATGTTCTGCCCACTTACCTTGGCAAATAGGGAATGAGTAGAAACCAGAGCGGCAGGTATCACATCGAGGGCCCTCAACCCCAGGGCGGCACAGGCACCGTCCGTGGGCATCACATATTTCAGGGAGAACACCTTCCAGATTACAGTCACACCCTGCAGAAGACAGGAAACTTTCAGAAGGGGTCTCCATCTTCCATCACTTTCTTAATTTCTCCCTTCCCCTAGGTTTCTATCATGGGAATATAGATTATTAATTATCTATGGCTGTTAAACATTCTTAACGCAGAAGACTACACTGCGTTGAAGGGAAATTTTTAAAAATTCACAAAAGGTCAGAGATATCATTAAAAAAAACACGTAAGGATGGGCATTCATTTGCAAACCATTCTTTTAACATCTATTCCTGTGGAAACATTTTATTTTCCCTCTAAAGCCGAGCTTTGTAAAGTATAACTTCAATTTAATAGATTCCCATCTCATGACAATCGTGAATTAAATGTATTTCTTCCTTCCAGTTTTTAGAAGGAAAGAAACTAACATCAATTCAGCCCTACTACATATCAGGCATTGGGGGCTTCCCTTGGATCATCTCACTTAATCCTCCCGGCACTGGCCTTCCCCACAGCCAGGCTGCTTCTAGTACCTCTATCCAGGGCTTTCCCACCTCAGGACCTCTGCTCAGGCCAATCCCTCTGCCTGGTATACCCTTCCCTTAGCTCTCAGCACAGCCAGCTCTTTCTCATCCACCAGGTGTCAGTTCAAACATCAGCTCCTCAGAAGGTCCCCCTGACCAGTCTGTATAAATGGCCCCCCCACTTTCCTCCTTTTATTCTCTATCTTAGCTGTGTTTTTCTTTCACAACACTTTCATTTTTGGGATCACATATTGGTCTGTGACTTGCTTTGACCACTAGAATGAGGTGTAAGTGTTGTTGTCATGCAACTTCTGAGTCCAGGTCACTACAGGCCTTGCCGTTTCCATTCTTGCCCTCCAGGAATCCTGAGACCACCATGGGAGGGACCAGTCTGGCCTCCTTGAGGACAAAAGGCCACAAAGAGGGATACTCCCAAATGTCCCAACTAAATCCAGCCCCAGAAACCCTCCAGCAAGTCCAGCAGAAGACCCGCCCAGCCAACCCACACAATTGAGAGAAATAACCCTTGTTCTTTTAAGCTACTAAGTTTTGGGGTGACTTAAGACACAGAAATAGATAAGTAAATCACCCAGCAGACTGGACACTTCATGAGAGCTCACCACAGGCCCCCAGGGCCAGCACACATTATTCCTTGGGAAATAAATATTGCTCAAAAATAATAATGAAGTCAAACAAGAGCCCTGTAAGACAGGTAAGTATTTTATAGATGAAAAAAAAAAAAAAAAGATGCTCAGAAAGGTTAATTAACTTCCCCAAGTTCACACAGCCAGGGAAGCAGAGTCAGAATTTGAACCCAGAACTGCCAGATTTCAAAGCCCATGGTCTTTCTATTATACTAAAAATACAAGTTGAGAATGATTTTAAAAGCAACTTTCAGAGTGTGTCCTGGATTAGCATATATATTCAAATCAATCTCATATTTAAAGCATCTATTTCTTTTTTCTTTTTATTTATTTATTTATTTATTTTAGACAGAGTTTCATTCTATCGCCCAGGCTGGAGTGCAGTGGCTCAATCTCTGCTCACCATAACCTCTGCCTCCTGGGTTCAAGCGATTATCATGCCTCAGCCTCCCGAGTAGCTCGGATTACAGGCGTGTGCCACATCTGACTAATTTTTGTATTTTTAGTAGAGACAAGGTTTCACCATGTTGGCCAGGCTGGTCTCAAACTCCCGACCTCAGGTGATCCGCCTGCCTCAGCCTCCCAAAGTGCAGGATTACAGCGTGAGCCACCATGCCTCGCCCTGAAAGCATCCATAATTCTATAAATTACATTAATATCTAAATTTGCAACAGGTCCCCTAAGGAAGATCGTAAAAGACTCAAAGATTCAGCTGGGTCCACCCTACCTACCAAGGAAGGAAAGTCTCATGCATTTTGGAAAGATTTTCTACATGGGTTAAAATAGTAGTTAATATGAAAAGTAGCCAAATCCCTTTGCCCTAAACCCTTAATTTTTCAAATAAAACGTTAGTAACTAAGTTGTGGAATTATTTTTTTCTAATACAATAATTAAGAAAAAAATCACAGTAAATCAGAACAACTTTATAGTCTTTACATGATTTTTAACTTGTTCATACTTCAACCAAACAGTTGCCTAATTTGACAAAAACAGCATTGGAAGTGAAGGGATTTAGAATATGCCATTTTAGCATACTGACTGTTTCCAGCAAAGGCACTTTAGAAGCAGCAGATGTAGGAAGGGTTCTCTGATCTCACCCTTTCTACCTAAAAGCAGGTCATAAAATTTCCCAGGAGAAAGGTGCCTGCCCTCCTTGTACCAGGAAGACAGCATTCTTATCACCGGAGACTGGGAGTCGACTGGATTGGATCTGCACCAACAAACCCACTAAAATAACACTTAGTTTCTCCCAGTGCTTCCTAGCCAGGGTCCCACAATGTAGTGCCACTAGCCCAAGCTCTTTTGTCTTGTCACACTTCATACTTCATTGTTCTTTGTGTAAACATGTACAATACATAGGCTTTGGGGCCTAATGGCTTTTTTGGGTCTTGATTTTCCTTCTAGAGACTCTCATGTACATGTAAAAATATTACATACATTTGTATGCTTTTTTACTGTTAATCTGTCTTAGGTTCATTTAATTCTAGGCCCAGCCATGGTACCTAAGAGGGTAGAAGAAAGTTTTTCCTCCTTTTCAGAAGTGGCAAGGACACATTCATGACAAGGGAAGCCTTGGAACCCAGGATGGCATGAGCACCACCCTGTCCGTCCATCACAGCTGCCATACAAGGTCCTAATGCCACAGCCCTGTAGGCTGAGAACGAATGTCACAGGGAAAGGGAACGTTTTTACCGTGAATTACAGTCTTGGCGTTAAACGAAGTATTGAGATTCAGTGAAAAACTTGGACTTTACCTTGGCATTGAGGCTCAAAGAATTCTGATTAAAATAGAAAAAGAAAGAACATCCCACACCTCATTACGAAGTCACAGTGATTATATCTCAAGAAAATCCCTTGAGTCCGTCTCTACTGCCAGAGTTCCAGACCTCATCTTTGTTTACCTGGATTATTTTGAGAACTTCCTAAGGAGGCTCTCTGCTTCCTATCTTGCTCCTTCTAATTCATTCTCCATGCTGGTGTCAAGAGTGATATTTCAAAAATATCAACCTTTTCATATCACTTCCCAGTTTTAAATCCCTTGACAGTGACCCAATGCCTGCAGGACAGAATACGAAGTCCTTCACATGTGACAGAATAGATCCTTCAACATTTTCCAAGCTATCAGCAACCCATGGGGCATCTTTGTGCAAATTAGAAAAAGGTGCCCCTTCCTCAAGATGCTTTCCTGTCACCTGCTATAAAATCATCATCATCAATATGCAAATCTGCAATGTCTTCCATGATTGTGATGCCCCTTAGATGAGGCACAGCTGTGCCTTGCAAACCTACACATCTGAGCTGGCTGCCCGCTCAGGTCTTTTCTTATTCCTCTAGGTCCTCTCCTTGAACTTCCTCTCTCTATCCCATGCTTCAGCCTTAATGACCTGTCTGCCATCCCCTCTCTCCTAGCCCCACGGCTTCTCTTCCCTGCCCCTCTGCCTGGCTGACTCCTCTTCACACTCCAAGACTCAGCTCAGATACCTCCTCCTGCTGCTCTGGGGAAGCCCTTCCAGCACTTCTGTCTCTCTCCTTTCTCCCCTCCCTCCCTCCCTTCCTTCTTCCTTCCTTCTTTCCTTCACCCTGGCTGTAAGGCTGCCCCTCCCATATGCTCTCATGGCACTTAACTCCTGCCATTAGAACTGTTGACCTTTCTGTCTCAGACTGGGAGCTCCCAGGCAGGAGGAACCATGTATCAGGCAGCTGCCTGGCAGTGACTAGCACAGCACAGGCACTTAATAAAAGTTTAATGAATGAAGAATATGCTAAGTATTCAAGACTGCAATTCTCCTCAGTAGTCACCATTCCTTAAATTCTCCGTTACTGGCATCTATGCAGAGCCTCCAAACTGAGCTATCAGAATGTGCCTGGCCCTCTCTGAGTCTTAGCGGGCAGGTCTCTAAGCCAACGTGACTGCCCCATCCTGTAGAGCTGCTGTCCTCAAGTGGCCCAGTATCTGACATGAGACAGTCCCACACACAGTGCAATAATGCACAGCACCATGGTTAGACTGAGGAGGAGTGTGGGTAGGGCAGAAGCAGGGAATGACGTCAGGAAGGTAACTGAGGTCCTGTTATAACTGACCTCCAGGGGGCCTTTGGTGCCACCCAGCAATCCCATGACTTTCCCAAGCCCATCCTCCCACCCACATTCCTGGATGACTCTCATACCTTCTCCCTACTCAACCCCGAGCCCTCCTCTCTTGCTTCTTGCTCTGACCTTGTTTGTTATTCCACAGAGAAAACTTTCAAAAACAGCCAGAAGAGAACATCCACGAGCTCCCACCACTGCCCCCACCCACCCCGCCTCTGGCCCATGTATTCTGCTTTCTCTTGTTTTAATCTTTCCCTCTCAACAAAGAGCAACTTCTTCCTTCTAACTGCTCAGCCGAAAAGCCTTGGAGTCACCCCAGAGCCCTCTCTTTCTCTAATATTCTACTTCCGGTCTAGCAATCCCTCAGCAAATCCTGTTGGTTCTACCTTCCGATGATATCCACAGTCTGTCCACTGCTGTCACCTCCGCTGACACCACCTGGGTCTGAACCACCATCATCTCTTCCTCATGGATTATGGAAAAACTTCCCATCAGGCCCCCTTGCTTCTTCTCTTCTCTTCTCTTCTCCTGAGATTTTCTTTCAATACAGTAGACCCAAAGAGCCTTCTATATAACATCATTTCTCTGTGCAAAACTCTCCATGGCTCCTGTCTCATTTTGAGTAAAAGAGAAGGCCTCTCTAGTGGCTGACGAGGGCCTCCATCCAGCCCCTGATGCCTTCCCTTCCTACCAGTCTCACCTTCCCTCACTCCACTTTCACACACCTGGTCTCTTTTTGTTCACTGAACACCCTTGGCCCAGGGCTGCCCCTGCCCCAGGGACTTTGCACTTGCTCTTTCCTATACCTGCTTCAGTGAGGCCTTCTCTGACTGCTCTAATTTAAATCTGTAAACCTCACATTCCCTAACCTCCTCTCTGTCTTGTTTTTTCAGCAGCGCTTATCACCAAGGCTGCCTCCAGTCCATACCTGAGTTACTATGTTGCTGTAGAGCCTGAACTTCACTGCCAAGGAGAGCTCTTCAGAAACCATCTTCTCTGCTGGCCCACACCGTGGCGCTGCAGGAGGAGGGGCACTCGTGCTCACACATGACTGGCACTACCTCCTCCCCAGTGACCACCAGGCCTCTGCTGGCGCCCTGGGGTAGGAGAGGCAAACTCAGGAGATGTGAGCATGAGTCCGATGGTGCCCAGTCGTGGGCTGTGTGCGTGTGCTGTGCCCTTCCTTTGGTGCAGGCGTGCCCTTCTGAGAACCTGTGCCTCCCTGTGGATGCCGTGATGGGTTTATGTAAGAAACTCCCCATGGCTCTGGAACCCAGCGCAGAGGCCTGGAATCTTCTCACATGAGTTAGTTTATGCCTATGATGTGAATGGCTCCCCCTTAAAAGTGGCACCCATGTTCAGAATACAACTCTGCCTCTCACAGTCTAATGAATTAGCTATTTTCCTTGCTTGGGTTTCTATATTATGTATGTTATTATCTGGGTTTCTCCACAGGAATATAAGCTCCAAGAAAGCTGGGAATTTTTTCTGTTCTGTTCTCTGCTAAGTCCCCAGCAGCCAGAATGGTACTTTGCACATAACAGGGAATTTTAAAATATTTATGGAACAAATGATTTGGTAAATGTAACACCCACATCCTCTAGTACTCACCCCTTCACCCTCAGAGACAGCTTACTGCACACCACTGCTACTCTCTGCCAGGGGCTTGTTTTGGGACTGCAGAAGCTCCTCAGCCTTCCTGAAGGCCAAGCTGTAAGTGCCAGAGGGTGAATGCCCCAGAAGCATTAATGCCTCCACTAATGGCAGATAACTGCCATTACCTGCCATTGCACCTTTATCATGGTTCCCTTCACTCCCTGACTCTCTCCCTTCCTGGGATCACCTCCCAAATAAATGACTTGCTCTCCATTCCTTTTTCAGGGTCTGTTTTCGGGGAACTCAAAAAAGACAACAGACCACTGGCTGCCATTGAAGGTCTTTGAGCAAGCTGGTGATATCTAATACAAGCTCTGCACAGTTTCCTACGTCAGGTAGTGCCCTTGTAAAAGACAGGCTGGAGTGGGGACTGATGGGTGGGGAGTAGGTCAACTAGGAGACACCTGCAAGGCACCTACCATGCTCTAGGAAGGGAGACTTGGCCTTGGATGTGGCAGTGCACACAGGAAGTAGGAAAAGAATAAGGGCATAACATTTTCACTGGAGTTAAACCAAAAGGGAGGTTACTTGCCTTTTATATCTCCAGCTACTGGATCTTCTGAACTTGGTGTAGAAACAGGAAAAATGGGAATTCCTGTAAAAATAGTTTATTAAAAAATACAGAGGATGATTAAGGAGATAGTAAAGTAAAACATTAAGTTGTACTAACTAGGAAGACACCCTCTGTCACTTAGTGAAAAGTAGCATATAGAGACTAATTTAAAGAAAGGCGATATTGCTATATCTCAAATGTGTTTAGTAACTGAAACCAGACTGGCCAGACATTCCCATTTGTATAACGATGAACAGAAATGAATGTTTCGTGCTCACAATAGCTAAGTCTCAGCCTGAGCAGGGATGAGTTTGGCTTCCTTAGCTTTTTTATTGTTTTTTTTTTTAACATAAAATCAAAGCTTTAAAGAAATATTTTCTTTCATTTTTTTCTCCTGACATTTTGTTTATGCCATAAAACTACTTCAGGTTTCTTCCTCTTCTTTTCACTAAAAAGGCAGGCCGAGCGCAGTGGCTCATGCCTGTAATCCCAGCACTTTGTGAAGCTGAGGCAGGCAGATAATCTGAGGTCAGGAGCTCAAGACCAGCCTGACCAACATAGAGAAACCCCATCTCTACTAAAAATACAAAATTAGCCAGGCGTGGTGGCACATGCCTGTAATCCCAACTACTCAGGAGGCTGAGGCAGGAGAATCGCTTGAACCTGGCAGGCAGAGGTTGCAGTGAGCCAAGATCGCACCATTGCACTCCAGCCTGGGCAACAAGAGCGAAATTCTGTCTCAAAAAAAAAAAAAAAAGGCAAATACAATTTCTGTTCAGCCTTCTACCAAGACTCACAGATATAAAATTCTGATGTGGTGTCTCATCAACCAAAGTAGGACAGTCTCCACAGAGAAAGTGGGTGCAATTTAAGCAATTACCTGGGGTGGGAGGTGTGAATGAGAACATATAGTTACCCATTCATGTGAGTCCTGCCCCCATGTCCCCACAACTCAATATGCTTTTCCTATGATGGCTCTGCAGGAGTCAGGAGGGTGGGGCCAGGAAACATCTGATAGAGTGATACAGAGAGACAGGCTCTCCTTGTGACAGTGTTTCTTTGTCCTAACCCCAAAGTGCAGTTTTCTCACTGCTGCACAACAAACAGAGCCAACACTCATCACAGTTCGCATAGCTGGTTTCACAGATTCTCCTGTTTCATGCTCTACAGTGTTTCTGACAGATATGTATTTTTTTCTCTTGGTGATGCTGAGATGTTCACTTAGATCACTGCCGTGGGGTGGAGTCTGGGTGCTTATAACTTGGCCTCTTGTACAGCAGGAGAGAGGAAACGTTTCCCTGGGCTCCTGAAACACAACACACACTATATGCATGCAGATAAATATCTGGAAGCCCATGATATTTCTCCTACATTTAGGAGGAAAAATCACACACATGGATTATTAAGTTAAAATTGCCAATGTTTGACTTTTTGACCTACTGAGATGGCAATTTCTGTGGCACAACATAACACTTTGGAGATAAATAAGACTGTAAAATGTACCAATATAAAATTTATATTCCAAACTTTCAGAAACACTTTTACATAAATACAACCCACCTGGCCCCATTTCTGTCTCTCCTTCCCTACCTGTCCACCATGCCTCAGAGGTTAGTGCACAAAAGCCAGCTATGGACCAAAAAGGGTGGCCTCTTGTTCTGCAGTGGGTACTTACTCAAGCAAAATGGGAAATTGTAGTATCCAATTGCACACTTCTCACAGTTGTCTCCGTGGAAATTTGGCTTGCAGTGACAGCGGCCTGAACCCTGTTCACAGCCATCCGCATGCTCAGGGTCACAGCTGCAGGCTAAGAGAAATCCCAGTTTTCAAAGGATCCGTCCTTCACTGCACTTAACAAAGCAAATATGTTCCAACACTTCCCAGGCAACGTTCCATACTTGATCCTTGGTCTATAGGTATTCTTGAAAGGGCACAGCCTATTTCCCACCTCACACCTGATTGATGGTTCTCACTGCCCGAAGCTCGTGAGCTGTCAGAGATCAGCTGTAATGAGCGTCCACACAGAAGTTCTCATGGATGTCATTTATCCCACTGAGCATTGCCCAGCTCACTGAGTCAGAGGCAAAGCCTGCATGCTACAGTCAGAGGGGTTGGGGGTGGGGGTGGGGGTATTTGCCTTAGTTCTGTTGGGCACAGCCCTTTCTAGCTATGAACCAACTGTGAATGCCCACAAAGTGGTCATCAATACACAGTTATGATACAGATGCAAGTGTGGAGTGCCTAGACATGGAGATAGAGTCTGTGGACAGCAGACCAAGACCCATAAAAAAAATGTTAATCTGAGTGAAATGGCTTACTGAAGGCAGCTTTTGCAACCAAAAACGATTATCGGGCACGATTATCAGGCTTGCACTGGAGTAAGGCATAGTGCAAGTATAAGAAGATTGTCGACCTCCCACTTGGGGGCCTCCCTTGACCTGGCAGGTGCACCCTGGACAGGGAAAATACTGTCACAGCTCATCTGAATACATCTCCTGTAAAGACCTGGGTGACCTGGCATCCTGGTGTCCTTTGCTTAATTTAGTTAGGATTCATGTGTCCTACTGATCCTTTACGCCAAGCCTCTAATACCTCTGTGGACCACTTCAATGATGAAAAAACTAGAAAGGTGATGAAACAGTGAGGCTCCTAATGAGGTACAATTACATTGGCAATGTCCTGTTTTCCTTTCCCAATGCCTATTCTTTGTAGGCACAAGACAGGTGATAGACATACTTTGCAGCATGATGTGGAAGAAGGAAGAAAAGTGAAAACACATTTTTTTTAACAACTAAGAATGCCCTAGAGAGAAGTAAATCCATCTACATATTCCCTGGACTTTAATACCCACAAATGTTAATGGTATGATTAATCATGGAGTGGGCACAGGATTGACTTCAGGACTGGAATTGCTTTCCAACTGTGACAACCAGACAACTTAAAAGAACCAAGCATTGAATAGGGTATAGGTTGCACATGTAGGGAAAAGTCTGTAAATCTGACCCAAGATTCATAATTCTACAAGGAAAAACTAGAGGCATTCTTCTGTATAATAGAAGAGTTATGGCACAGTCATGTCAGACAGAAAAGAACTATATCCTGGATCTAGCAGTTAGCGGTTTTGTCACCTAGCCTAAATTATATATAACTACTCAGACTGTTTGGTTTCTCCGTATCTAAAAATGAGGACAATAATACAATGTCCTATTTGTTGTAATAATTAAACAAGACCTTTGTGAAAGTATTTAGGTAATGCCTCATATATGGCAAGTACTCAACAAATATTAGCTATTTTAAACAATGTGACTATTATTAAATCCTTATGAACTCATTACTGTGTTGTCTTGTTCTAATTCAAGTTGTTGTTGTTGCTTCTGAGACAGAGTCTCACTCTGTCATCCAGGCTGGAGTGCAGTGGCGTGATCTTGGCTCACTGCAACCTCCGCCTCCTGGGTTCAAGCAATTCTCATGCCTCCACCTCCAGAGTAACTAGGATTACGGGTGAGCACCACCACACCTGGCTAATTTTTTTCTATTTAGTAGAGACAGGGTTTTTCACCATGTTGACCAGGCTTGTCTTGACCTCTTGGCCTCAAGTGATCCACCTGCCTCAGCCTCCCAAAGTCCTGGGATTACAGGCCTGAGCCACTGCCTCCAGCCCAAAAATTGAAATTATTAGAGATCATAGAAACATGTCAAAACAACAGAAAATGGAGAAACTAACATTTATCACAGGCCTAATATGTGACAGGCCCAATGGTAAGTATTTTCCTACATGCTTTTGATTGCATTTTATTTAATCTTATGAAATACATTATCATTTCCATTTACATGCAATAAATCCAAAATTCAAAGAGACTGTGTAAGTGACTGAGGTCACATAGCGAGCACAACTAATACTCTGAAGAGAGAGGGCATGAAGGAAGTTATTAACTGATCCAAAGTTAGCCTGATGACTTCGCTGAGGCAGTACACACAGGCTAAGATACACCAACTTGAAATGAAACTTACGGATGCAGCCATCAGGGGCATCCACTGGAACCCCATAAGGGCGGTAATAGCCCTTAGCACACTGTTCACAGTTTACTCCAGCTGTGTTGTGCTAGAAAGAAACAAAAGAAACTTAAAGGAAGGGTTCTGGGGAAGACGATTCTCCTTATTTTGTGCTACTCACCCAGAGGAATAATTCTGTCATATACAATTGTAATTTTGAAGTCACTGAAATAATAATTTAAAAAAGCATTAATCTTGACCTTGACCAAAATTTACCATAGGATTGGCTTAATCTTGGCTCTGGAATTTTTTTCTTATTGGGAGAGGAAAGGAAACATTCCATCAACTGGACAAGCCCAGGCTTTATCCTTGATCGAAGAATTTGCTTTAATGAAGCACCTGACATGTGAGTGAGAAAACACTGAAGAGGACTGTTCTCGTAGCCTCATTCAGAAGAACTGACGAATGGATAATGAATCGCACAGTTTAACCCAAGGGTCATGTGTGCATTTACACCTTCTCCAATTTTGGAAGGAATAACATATACAGATCCTTGTCTCTCTTCGTTCTAATTTTATCTGTGCTTTAGTCATAAAACCCTTTTCTGAATACCTCTGTTTCATGAATGGAAAATGGAGGCATGAGTCTCATACACGGAGCTCATTTTAAAGTACAATACTAGGCAGCTCTTTCCAGTTCATGGTTAATCCTTGTAATTGCCACATAATTAAATTACCCAACATGCATCATCAGTTTCCAAAACTATGGATCTAGCTCATTTCTGCCTCTTTTGCTCTAACTTGGGAATAATTAGGAGGACAATGTTCTTTCACTAATGAAAAGAAAGGCAATAAGAAGTTAACAAGAACAAAAACACAATTTGACCCACACAAAAGTCTGCACAGAAACACAGAGGGAGAACAAAGACCCATTCTGTATCCTCTCCTGTTTTAGATAATTTTATTAACTACAGACTTTTCTTTATTACCGCTCATTTTCCCATAGGCTAAAATCTGAATTCACTTTAATGTTGAGGTCTAAAACCACATTGGCCACTTCTGTGACTTGAAATTTACATGCATAAACATGGTGGGTAAATCAGAAACAGCTGTGGCCCACCTTCCCATCCGATGTCAATTAACCCTCAAATCTGTTGTTTGCCACTGTTTCTTACCATAGACAGAGGACATCAGGTTAACTAGACTGGAAATAGTGAAACCAACATAACAACGACACAACTAGGGAGTGAGTTTAAGACTTAGATCAGCCCAGGTGCAGTGGCTCACGCCTGTAATCCCAGCAGTCTGGGAGGCCAAAGTGGGTGGGTCACAAGGTCAGGAGTTCAAGACCAGCCTGACCAATATGGTGAAACCCCGTCTCTGCTAAAAATATAAAAATTAGCCGGGCATGGTGGCACACACCTGTAATTCCAGCTACTCAGCAGGCTGAGGCAGGAGAATTGCTTGAACCCAGGAGGCAGAGGTTGCAGTGAGCCGAAATCACACCACTGCACTCCAGCCAGGGTGACAGAGCAAGACTCCGTCTCAAAAAAAAAAAAAAAGACTTCGATCAGAAGTCACATCTCTGTGGAAGAGGTGAAAGACTTTGTTTTAGTTCATGGAGATAAAGTATCTTCATGCATCATCTCAAACAATGGGGATAATCTTCAATCTTAGTTAAGAGCATCAATATTTAAGGGAAAAGAAATCAAGAAGGAGTCAATCCAAAAATGTTGTGCTCCTGGCTTTCTTCTTTCATTACTCTTTTCTTTCAACATTTTATCTTGAAAAATTCCCAACTTTACAGTGAACACCTTTACACTCCCCCACCTACAATTTACCATTAATATTTTACCATATTTGCTTTATCACATAATTATCCATCCATCCATTCCTCTATCCATCCACTAATTCATCTTATCTCTTACGCATTTCAAAATAAATTGCAGCTATCAGTCACTTTCCCCTAAATACTTCACCATGCATTTAACTAGCTGGAATTCAGTATTTGTTTACAGTTTTTTTCTTCTGTTATAAAATTTACAAGTGCAAAAAACTTATAAGTGCAAAACTATTAATTGTACATCCACTGAGTCAAGACAAATGCATACATCTGTGAAATCCAATTCCTTATCTAGATATAGAGCAATATCATTACCCCAAAGTTCCTCTTTCCCCTTCACAGTCAATCTCCATCATCAACTCTTCAAAGTCAACCACATTTCTGACTTTCTCCACTATGGACTACTTTTACCTGTTTCAGAATTTCATTTAAATGGCCCTGATACTTTTGGGTGTGTGTTTTTTCAGTCGTCATTCACTGAGCATAATGTTTTTAAGATTCTTGCATGTCGCTGCATCCATCAGTAGTTTCTTCCTCTCTGTTGCTCCACAGAGTCCCATTCTATAGTTATGCCTGAGTTTCTTCATCCATTCTACTATTGTTGGTCACCTGGGCTATTTCTAGTTGGGGGTATTTGCATAAAGCTACTATAAACTTTTTGAAAACAAACATTTCCATTTCTTATGAATAAATGCCTATGAGTGGAAATTGTGAGTCATGGGATAGGTGTATGTTTAGCTTTATTTTTTTTAAATGGCCGTTTTCCCAAAGTAGTTGTACCATTCTGCATTGTTATCAACAATGATGAATAGGTGTGGTTATTCCACATTCTCACCAAAATTTGATGTTGTCAGCCTTTTTAATAATAGTCATCCTTTAAAGCTGAGGAAAAAATAGCAATCCTGGGGAGTATGTAGTAGTATGTCATTGTAATCTTAATTTGCATTTCTCTGATGACTAATAATGTTAAGCTCTTTTTTTTGTTTTGTTTTGTTTTGTTTTTGAGACAGAGTCTCGCTCTGTCGCCCAGGCTGGAGTGCAGTGGCGCGATCTCGACTCACTGCAACCTCTGCCTCCCGGGTTCACGCCATTCTCCTGCCTCAGCCTCCCGAGTAGCTGGGACTACAGGCGCCCGCCACCATGCCCGGCTAATTTTTGGTATTTTTAGTAGAGTCAGGGTTTCACCGTATTAGCCAGGATGGTCTCAATCTCCTGACCTCGTGATCCGCCCGCCTCAGCCTCCCAAAGTGCTGGGATTACAGGCGTGAGCCACAGCACCCGGCCTTGTTAAGCTCTTTGATGTACATTTATTGGCCATTTATATATCTACTTTTGTCAAGTAGCTATTCAAATCTTTTGAATTTTTTTGAGGTTTTTTTTTTTATAACTGAGCTGTGGAAGTTCTTTGTATATCCCAGATACCAACCATTTGTCAGGTTTATGTTTTGTGAATATTTTCTGTCTGTAACTTGCCTATTCATTTTCTTAATAGCATGTTTTGTTTTGAGCAGAAGTTTTTAATTTTGATAAAATCTAAATTGTCAATTTTTCATGGTTATTGTTGATGTTTTTGTCTAGTTTTATAAATTGCCAATAGGATGGTATTTAAATCTCCAACTATGATCATAGAATTGTCTATTTTTCCCTCTAATTCTGTCAAATTTTGCTTCATGTATTTTAAAGCTCTATTGTTAGATGCAAACACACTTATGATTACTGTCTCCCTGATGAATTTACTCTTAGCATTACGAAATGTCTTTATTTGTGTTAATGCTCTTTGTCTTAAAGTTTACTTTGCCTGATATTTTTACTCTATCCTTCTAATGTTTATTGTTTACATAGTATATTTTTTCCCATTCATTTACTTTCAACTTGTCCTTATATTTAAAGGTAAGTACTTGTGAACAATATAGTTGAGTCTTGCTTTTTTATTCATTCTTATTGCTTCTGCCTTTGAATTGGAGTGTTTAGTCCATTAACATTTAGAGTATTTTTTATAGAGCTGGATTTGGGTCTACCACTATTTGTATCTATTTTCTGCTTGCCCCTTCCTTTTGTGTCTGGTGTGTGTGTATGTGGTTTTGTGTGTGTGTGTGCTTGCGCACATGCATGCACTTCATCCCCTGTTCCTTCATTTATCTATTTTTTGGATTATTTGAATGTTTTTAAAATTACCTTTAGAAGTATCTATTGGCCTTTTAGCTGTACCTCTTTGCATTATTTTGTCAGCAGTTGTTTTAGGGACTACAATATATATCCTTCACGTCTCACAGTCAAATTAGAGTTAATATTGTATTATTTTTTATGCTATTGTTGCATATGTATTATATTTACATGCATTTTATAAATACCATGAGACAATGTCATAAATTTTGTTGTAAGCGGCCCTACATACTCTAATTTTTTCCAGCTATATTGAAGTATTATTTACAAAATATTCTTTTATTTTCCTTTTCCATTATTTATTCTCTCCTCTAAAACATTTACAAATGGGATTGAGTAAAGGAAAATAATTACAGATCATTGTATTACCATAAAAGGGCAGAGATTTGGAAATAAAGAGGGGTTGGGAAGGTAGGTAGTTTCCTAAAATTCTTTTTCCAAAAAAAAAATTCAACTCTAATTTTAGATTCAGGGGGTACATGTACAGATTTGTTAGCTGGATATATTGCATGGCGCTCAGCTTTGGTGTATGATTGATCCTGCCACCCAGGTACTGAGCATAGTACCCAATAGTTAGTTTTTCGACCCTTGTCGCCCTTCTTCGCTCTCCCCTCTAGTAGTCCCCAGTGTCTATTGTTTCCACCTTTATGTCCATGAGTACCCAATGTTTAACTCCCACTTGAAAGTGAGAACGTGTGGCGTTTGGTTTTCCGGTTTTGCATTAATTTGCTTAGGATAATGACCTCCAGCTGCATCCATGCTGCTGCAAAGGGTATGATTTCATTCTTTTTTATGTCTGTGTAATATTCCATCATGTATATATACCACATTTTCTTTATCCAATCCACCACTGATAGGCACCAAGGTTGATTCCATGTCTTTGTTATTGTAAATAATGCTCCAATGAACATATGAGTGCATGTGACCTTTTGATGAAATAATTTATTTCTTTTGGATATATGCCAATTAATAGGATTACTGGGTTGAATGGTAGTTTTGTTTTCTTTGAGAAATCTCCAAACTGCTTTCCATAGTGGCTAAAATAATTTACATCCCCACCAGCAATGTATAAGTAAGTGTTCTCTTTTCTCTGCAACCTGAGCAGCATTTGTTGTTTTTTGACTTTTTAATAATAGCCATTCTAGCTGGTGTGAGATGATATCTCATTGTGGTTTTGACATGCATTTCTATGATGATTAGTGATATGGAGCATTTTTTCATACGTTTGTTGGCCACTTGTATGTCTTCTTCTGCAAAGTGTCTGTTCATGTCTTTTGCCCATTTTTTAATGGAGTTATTTGTTTTTTGCTTGCTGAACTATTTAAGTTCCTCATATATTCCGAATATTAGACCTTTGTTAGGTGCACAGTTTGCAAATATTTTCTCCCACTCTGTAGGCTGTCTGTTTACTCTGCTGATAGTTTTTTTTTTTTTTGTAGTATAGAAGCTCTTTAGTTTAATTAGGTCCCATTTGTCAATTTTTTGTTTTGTTGAAATTGCTTTTGAGAACTTAGCCATAAATTATTTCCGAAGGCCAATGTCCAGAATGGTGTTTCCTAGGTTTTCTTCTAGGATTCTTATAGTTTGAGGTCTTACATTTAAATCTTTAGTCCGTCTTGAGTTAATTATTGTATAATATATGGTGAAAGGTAGGGGTCCAGTTTCATTTTTCTGCACATGGAGAGACAACTATCTTAGCACCATTTATTGAATAGAAAGACCTTTCCTTGCCAGGCACGGTGGCTGACACCTGTAATCCCAGCACTTCGGGAGGCTGAAGCGGGTGGGTCACCTGAGGTCAGGAGTTTGAGACCAGCCTGGCCAACATGGTGAAACTCTGTTTCTACTAATAATGAAAAATTAGCCAGGCATGATGGCACACACCTGTAGTCCCAGCTACTTGGGAGGCTGAGGCAGGAGAATTACTGGAACCCGGGAGGCAGTGCAATAAGCCCAGATCGTGCCACTGCACTCCAGCCTGGGTGACAGAGCAAGACTCTGTCTAAAAAAAAAAAAAAAAAAGAAAAGAAAGAAAAAAGAAAAAAAGTCCTTTCCTCATTGCTTATTTTTGTTAACTTTGTTGAAGATCAGATGGCTGTAGGTGTGTGGCTTTATTTTTGAGTTCTGTATTCTGTATAGTTTGAAGTCAGGTAATGTTATGCCTCTGGCTTTGTTCTTTTTGCCTAGGGCTGCTTTGGCTATTTGGGCTCTTTTTTTGGTTTCTTCTGAATTTTAGAATAGTTTTTTATAGTTTTGTCAAAAATGACATAGATAGAAATAGCGTTGAATCTGTAGATTGCTTTGGGCAGTATGGCCACTGTAATGTTACTAATTCTTCCAATCCATGAGCATGGAATGTCTTTTCATTTGTTTTTGTCATCTATTATTTCTTTCAGTCAGTATTTTGTAGTTGTCCTTGTAGAGATCTTTCACCTCCTTGGTTAGATGTATTCCTAGATTTGGGCTTTTTTTATTGTTTGTTTTTTGCAGTTACTGTAAATGGGATTGTGTTCTTGATTTGGCTCTCAGCTTGAACATTATTGGTGCATAGAAATGCTACTGATCTTTGTATCCTGAAACTTTACTGAAGTTGTTTATCAGTTCCAGAAGCCTTCTGGAAGAGTCCTTAGGTTTTCTAAGTATAGAATCATATCATTAACAAAGAGAGATAGTTTGACTTTTTCTTTTGCTATTTGAATGTCTTCTATATCTTTCTCTTGACTGATTGCTCTGGCTAGGACTTCCAAGAATTTTTTTTTTCTTTGAGACAGTCTTTTTCTGTCACCCAAGCTGGAGTGTAGAGGCATGATCTTGGCTCACTGCAACCTCTGCCTCCTGGGTTCAAGTGATTCTCATGCCTCAGCCTCCCGAGTATCTGGGATTACAGGTGCACACCACCATGCCTGGCTAATTTTTGTATGTTTTAATAGAAGCAGGGTTTCACCATGGTGGCCAGGCTGGTCTCAAACTCCTGACCTCAGGTGATCTGCCCACCTCGGCCTCCCAAAGTTCTGGGATTACAGGCATGAGCCACCACGCCCAGCCAAGAATTTGTTTTTAAATAGTACTTTATATTTGCCCAGACACATACCATACTCTTCATTTCTTCCTAAAGATCTGAGTTTCCATCTCGTATTACCTCTCTTTAACCTAAAGAACTTCCTTTAGCATATCTTGTAGTGTAGGTCTCTTAGACAATAAATTCTCTTAGTTTTATTTTATCTACCAAACAATTTTCTTTTTGCTTTTATTCTTGAAGGATATTTTTACTGAATACGGAATTCTGGGATGATGGTTCTTTTTTCTTTTAGCACTTTAAAGATACTATTCCTTCTGTGACCTCCAGTTTCTAATAAAAAGTCCACAGTCATACTATGTTGTAATGTTTTCTCTGTCTACTTTCAAGATTTTCACTTTGTCTTTGGATTTCAGCAGTTTGACTCCACTAGGCCTAGGAATTATTTTCTTTGTATTTCTCCAGGTTAGGGTTCATTAAGCTTTTTGAATCTTAGCCTATTGCAAAATTTGAGGTATTTCCTACTATTATTTCTTCACTTTTTTTTCTGATTCATTGTCTCTTCTCTGCTTCTGGGAGTCCAATTACATGTTCCTTACATCTTTAGCTATTGTCTCACCAGTTCCCAAATCTCTGTTCATTTGAAATATATATATTTTTCTTTCTCTTCTTCAGACTAGATAAATTCTACTAATCTATCTTCAAATTCACTGACTCTTTCTTCTATTACCTCCTTTCTGCTATTCGGCCCCTCCAATGGATTTTTTATTTAACATATTGCATTTTTTAGTTATAGAATTTTCATTTTGATCCTTTTACAGTTTTTATTTCCCTACTGATATTTATTATCTTTTCATTCATTGTGACTATATTTTAATCTATTCTCTTGAGCATAATTATAATAGCAGCTCTAAAATCCTTAACTGCTAATTTCAACATCTGGGGCATGTCAGAATTGGTCCCTATTGATTGTCTTTTCTCTTAAGAATGGGTCACTTTTTTTGAATCTTCATATGTTACAAAATCTAGGGTTGTAGCCTAGACATTGTGAATATTGTGTTGTAAGGATTCCAAATCCATTAGCATTCCTCTAAAAAATGGTTTTTTTTCTTTATGAGACAATTAACTTTACTCAAGCTGCACATTCTGACTCTTAAGTGGTAACTAAAATGTCAAGTAAGTTATTTCAGTCTCAGATGAAATCCATCCTGTGCTTGGATTGTATGGAAAACGGACTGAGGGGTCAGTCAGAAACTTGAGAAGAATTTATATACAGAATTAGGGATTTCCCTGCTCTTGACTTCTCTTTTCCTGGACTCCCCACCAACTTTCCACAAGTTGGAGTTGTCCTAAGCTCTGCTCTCTGGTTCCTCAGAGAACACAGCTTTAAGACAAAGGTTCCATATTTCTAGAGAAATTTTAGCCAGACCACATGGGACCAACTTTGGCCTCCCCTCTGGGTAAAAGTCATAAAAATATGTAACTCACCCTATGCTGATCTGTTTTGCCAAGTTGCAGCTCCCCTCCAGTATCTTCCTGCTTATTTTTACTCTTCAGTGCTTTCAGATCATGGTTTTTGTGGTTTTGTCATTTGTTTATTTGTCTTTTGTATTTTGCCCATAGTTTATCATATGAACACCTAAAATATGACCCATTCTTAAGAGAAAAGACAATCAATTGAGACCAATCCTCCATGGGAGGGTTCAGTCCTGCAGCAGCCACTAAACCATAAAAGAAGCAGAACTCTTTCCTTGTCCATTGATTATCAATATAATATAAAAGTTAATTATGCTGCTAAAATGTACACTTAAAAATGGTTAAAATGGTAAATTTTATGTTATGTCTATTTTACCACAATAAACATTTTAAAGTTAATTACGCTACCTAAATATCTAACTGAGTAAAAGGCATTTTAAATTTAAGTTGGAAAACAAATGCAGTACACCCAAATAACAGTTCAGTAATTTCATAAGCAAAAAAAAAAAAAATGTTTTTGCAGACCCACTATGAAAAAAAAGACTACATTGATGGTTTCCTGGAACAGCAAAGTACAAAACATAATATCACTGAGAGAATGATGAAGAATAACAAAGTATTCTAAAGACACATTGAAGGGGCTTGACCTTTCATCCAGAGAAAAGATTCTACCTACACATTCTAGTCCAGTGTTTCTGCAACTTAATATGCACACAAATCACTTGAAGGTCTTATAGTGCTTAGCCTTATCCTGGGATTTCTCACTTATACATAAAACCTTGTGATTTGTAACAAACCTATTTTATATTTTATATTTTACTTATATTTTAATTATCTGCAATAACAGATAATATAAAAGTATGGAGGGGGGAGACAAATGAAGAATGGTGGCTCTCTCTATGGGTATGTAGCCCTGGTTTCATATTAATGGGCATCTCATGTGAAGAACGCCTCTTCAGTGGTAACATTAACAAAACACCTAAAAGAACACAAGAAAGAATGACAATGTAGACCAAATTCATAAACATTTGACAGGACTGTTAATGAATATCTCAATGAAGAGATGCCCTCTTCCGCCATACACTCCCTTAACTAAATTCCAGTGAAACCAGTTGTCCTACAGAAGGAATGAAAAATTAGTGTTTCATATTTGATGTCTATGAAAGACATCATTAATTGATCATGATGCATTTCCTCACTGAGTCTAGACTCAGAATCTGTCTGAAAACAGGATGTAGGGTCAGCACTAACATTAATAACTACTTGTCCTCCTATCTTAGAGTTTTTCTATCACAAGTTGGATAGCAGCCAGAGATGATAACCTGGAATCCTCCTCTCCATTTAGGCAAAATTTAAATCGAGAAACTGATCAAAGGGGTGTGGGTAAACATACCTCAGTCCATTTTCCTTACAATCCCTAAATTACATCCAGCTAACAAGGCCTTGTGTGAGCAACAGTGGAGAAATGGTCTCAGAAAACTCTTACGATTGCCTGCCACTTTCTTGACATCTCTTCAGGAGCAGAGCTTACTGAATACTCATTCCCCATGACAACACATCCACTTTGATTTAAATAGTGCCTCACCTGACAGTTAATGCAGACCCCTCCACCAGCATAGATGCCCTGGGTATTCAAGCTTGCCTGCTGCCGCTCAACATCTGGATCATAGTAACAGTTGCTGGCATGGCCGTGGCAGTTGCATGCTGAAAAAAAAGCATAATAAGTCAATATTCTCATTATTACTATCAGACGCTTAGTAAATAGCGTAAATAGTATTACTGCTAATTGAGCTATAAAAAAGTATATTCTGGAACACCCAGGACACTCTTAGGGGAAAATTTTTAGGGATCTTTACACAAAGACCAGGATATACTAAGATACAGTTTAGAGCTCCTTTCATTTGATATTCCATGAGCGAAGTTTCTCTTTTTTTAAAAAAATACTACTTGGGGCTAGGCATAGTGGCTCACACCTGTAATTCCAGCACTTTGGGAGGCCTAGGCGGATGGATCACAATGAGTTCAGGAGTTCGAGACCAGCCTGGCCAATATGGTGAAACCCTGTCTCTACTAAAAATACAAAAATTAGCCAGGCGTGGTGGCATGTGCCTGTAGTCCCAGCTATTCGGGAGGCTGAGGCAGAAGAATCGCTTGAACCCAGAAGGCGGAGGTTGCAGTGAGCCAAGATCTCGCCACTGCACTCCAGCCTGGGTGACAGAGCGAGACTCCATCTCAAAAAAAAAAAAAATATATATATATACTACTTGGGAGGCTGAGGCAGGAGAATCCTTGGAACCATGAGGCAGAGTTTGTAGTGAGCCAAGATAGTGCCACTGCACTCCAGCCTGGGTGACAGAGTGAGACTCCATTCTCCCTGCCACCGCCCCCACTCCCAAAGAAAGATATATAATCATATCTTCAAAGGAAGGTACACTGAAATGCAGGAGCACTGCCCAAGGCAACTTGGAAGTGTGTCGGGGCAGCTATCCTCATTTTGGTTCAAGTAAATTTTTTTTTTTTTGGTGACAGTCTCGCTCTGTCACCCAGGCTGGAGTGCAGTGGCACGATCTCGACTCACTGCGACCTCTGCCTCCTGGGTTCAAGCGATTCTCCCACCTCAGCCTCCCAAGTAGCTGGGACTACAGGCACCAGCCACCACACCCAGCTAACCTTAGTATTTTTAGTAGAGATGGGGTTTCACCATGTTGACCAGGCTGGTCTTGAACTCCTGACCTCAAGTGACCTGCCCGCCTCGGCCTCCCAAAGTGCTGGGATTACAAGCATGAGCCACCTCGCCCAGCCATTAAGTAACCTCCTTAAAACTGTATTTTGTGCCGCAGCATCTTCCTTTAGGTCAACAACTTGAATAATATATTTATTTTATTTATTTACTTTTGCAACAGGATCTCACTGTCACCCAGATGGAGTGTAGTGGTGTGGTCACGGCTCACCACAGTCTCAACTATGTGGGCTCAAGTAATCCTCCCACCTCAGCCTCCCAAGCAGCTGGGACCACAGACACGTGCCATCATGACCAGCCAATTTTTAATTATTTGTAGAGACAAGGTTTCACTGTGTTGTCCAGGCTGATCTCCAACTACTGGGCTCAAGCGATCCTCCTGCCTTGGCCACCCAAAGTACTTGGATTACAGGCATGAGCCACCCACCCAGCAATATATTTATTTTAGTTGGAGTTTTTATTTAATTGCAATTAAACACTAACATTATTATTTATTACTGTGAAAGACCAGTATGTAGCTCTAATTTTTCCCTTAACAACTAATGTATTTAAATAGTATTAATTCAAAAACTTTTGTATATAATCTTTGTTTCATTATTTCTTTATTTTACTGGCATGTTTTATACATACAAAATTCAATAAAATAAAATTTCACTGTCAAAAAAAATACATCCAAATGCCAATTAAACTTCATGCACGAAGAGAATATTATTACTACCACTATTACTACTACTAACAATAGCAATTGAGCTCTTAACACACTGTGAAAAGTGCTTTACATGAATTATCTCATTTAATCTGTGCAGTAACTCTCTAAGGTAGGTACCATCATCCCTATAGTCCAGATTGGAAAACTGGGGCTTAGGTTGAGGAATATGCCCATCGTTACATAGCTTATAACTAGAAGAGGCGAAATTCCAACCTGTCTTTGTTTGACTGCAGAACCTATGCTCTTAGCCAACACTCTAAACCTTTCATTTCAACACTATATGGTAATCGTATGGGAATAATCTTAATGTTTAATTGTAGGGGAATGGCTCAGCAAGCAACAATATATTTGTTTGACTTTAAGTTCTATGACACCAAGGGCTGTATGTGTTTTGTTTGCAATAGAGCATAGTTCTCAGCACACAGTGGGTACTCAACAAACACTTGGAACAAAACTCTGTACCATCAAAAATGATGTCAAAGCATTTTTAATGATTGGGAAAACATGGGGAAATAGCTAAAAATATCAAGTGAAAAAATTAGGATATAAAATTATGTAGATTATATAATCTTGAGTATTTAAAGTATGTATAAAATACTACGTATCTAACAAAATATTAATAGTAGCTCTCTGCTATGGTCCGAACGCTTGTGCCCCCCCCACCCCAAATTCATAGGTGAAACCTAATCACCAGTTATTAGGAGATGGGCCCTCTGGGAGGTGATAAGTGCCCTTATAAAAGAGGCCCAGAAAGCTTCCTTGCCCGTTCCACCACGTAAGGACACAGCAAGAAAGTGGCATCTATGAACCAGAAAGCAGGCCCTCACCAGACACCGAATCTGCTGGTGCCTTACTCTTGGACTTACCAGCCTCCAGAACTTTGAGGCTATTGTTTATAAGCTACCCAGACGTTACAGCAGCTGAACAGACTAAGACACTGTTGGGGTAGTTAAATTCTTGGTGATTTTACTTTATTTATTTTTTTAATTTCCAAGTTATCTACAAGTAGTATATAACACTTCTAAAATTACAAAGTATAATTTAAAACTCATTTGGGATTTTCATCTTTGCCACAATGAAAAATATTTAACATGAGTAAAATTCTTATTCTTTCTTAGGCAGACTATATATTCATTATATTCTAATTACATCAAAATTTCCAAGTCTTGTTAGTAATTTGTATGTTTTAATCAATTTCCCAGGTGACTATGTGAAGGAAGACTTAATTAGATATTACACAAATTACCCTATAACTTGTAAAACAGGCTCAATGCTTTCTTATCTTCATTTTCTCTGTGGTGCCATGATTTTAAAAAATCAAGACATTTATATTTACTACATCAGTTAAGAAGTCTGTTTATTTTGAATTGTATATTTCAAAGGGAATTTAGAAAGCACCTAATAAATGGATCCTGATAGGTCTGATTTTCATGCACTATTTTTGTAACTTTTAACAATTTAATACATTTTAAAAGGATAAAAACTTATTAAAGGAGATTTAAATTTTTTTTGTATGTGTTGGAGTGAAGCATGTTATTTACAAAGGGTTCCATTAGTCTGGAAAACTAATCAGGTTGCAAATGCTGGAATTCATGTAATAATGGTTAATTCAATTAAAAATATCCTAAATCAGTGTTTGAAAGCAGCAAAAGAAACAACCCCTGGTTACTTTTATTATACCTTTCTCTCTCTCTGGTCCCCTCATCTGGGGTGAGCAATGGAGAAGTCATTGAGAAGGAACCGATTAGCTGTGACTATAAAGTGAGATGGCCATCCAAGCAACACCTGGGACTCAGAGGTGCGCCAGAGCATTTCCCTGAGATGGCCACAAGACCTTCCCAGAACTTTAGCATCTCTCAAAACTCCCTTGGAAGACCACTGGGAACACCTTTTACATAAGTTTACTGGCCATAAGAGATCATCAGTCTTATCTCCTAATAGTTACAAAAAATATTTGGTCAAAAAGTATAAAGTCCTATAATCCCAGCTCTTTGGGAGGCCAAGGTGGGTGGATCCCAAGAGGCTAGGAGTTCAAGACCAGCCTGGCCAACATGGCGAAACCCCATCCCTACTAAAAATACAAACAAACAAGCAAAATTAGCCAGGTATGGTGGCAGGTGTCTGTAATCCCAGCTACTGGAGAGGCTGAGGCAGGAGAACCGCTTGAACCTGGGAGGCAGAGGTTGCAGTGAATGAAATGTTTTCTGCAACTGGAATAAATATGTAGCTTCACAAGGAGATTTATTTAGAAGAAAATCTATAGTTGGATGTCTTAGGGTTTGTTTGTTAAAAATAGCAGTTGTCTTTCTTCTTTTTTTTTTTTTTTTTTGACAGGATCTTATCCTTTCACCCAGGCTGGAGTGCAGTGGCAGGATCAGAGCTCACTGCACCAACTCTTGGGCTCAAGCCATTCTCCCACCTCCACCTCCCAAGTAGCTGGGACTACAGGCCTGCACCACCACCTCTGGCTAATTTTTCAATTTTTTGTAGACAGAGTCTCACTATGTTGCCTAGGCTGGTTTCCAACTCCTGGCCTCAAGCAATCCTCCCACCTTTGCCTCCCAAAGTGCTGGGAGCCACCACATCAGGCCTAAAAAACAAAAACAAAAAAAAAACGCTTTTCTTACTTTATGTTACACTCTTAAAAGCAGTTTCCCAACTTTTTTTATTCCTTCTCTGGTCCTCTCCATCCTCCTCAATCCTACCATGTTACACTTCCCAGCACTCCATACTCCAGTACTCCCAGCTCCCTGTTTAGACTCAACCTTGCCGTCTTCTCTGGACCTTGGTCCTCAAAATAGTTGATTCCTATCCAGTATCACGTCCTATGAAATGGATAAGATGTTAAAATTTTATAGTGGTTGCATCATATTTATGATTGCTAAAAAAAGAGGTCAACGTATTAAAGCACGGAGCCCCATCATGCATGGTCATCATCATTATTGTTCTTTTTCTTCTCAAATGTACATCTGAATTCAGAGGAGGGCACTTTTCCCTGCAGTCTGAGGTTCTTATTACAATAGACAGACTTGAGCCCCTAACACTGACATGACCACAGCCTCTTCTCTAGCATGGGGAAAATAGCCTCAGCCCCCAGGGAGAGGGGGGAGAAGGCCACGTGTGGCCCCCACCCCATCCCCACACCCACCTTCACACTCGTGGCTCTGCTCCCAAGCGGCGGGCCGCCAGCGCCTCTGATTGTACCCTGTGCAGCAGCGATCACACGTCTCCCCACAGGTGTGGTGCTGGCATTCACACCGAAACCTGGGCATGTGGGCGAAGTGCATCTCAGTTATTGAAAAGTTTTGATGAGGATCAGTTGATCCTATAGTGCGAACCTGACACACGAGTCATCACGGTCATCCACGGCACCATTCATTGAGGAATTAGGAGAACACAACACTTCGCAAGTATTATTTAAGCCTCCCATATCCTGCTTATTTATTATCTCCATTTTACAGATGGTGAGACTGAGAATCAGAGGTATTAAGATACCTGCCAAGGGTCAGGCAGTGATAAATGGAGAGCCAGACTTCCAACCTCACTTGGCTCTGAGGCCCCAGCTCTGTCTTCTCTACCCCATTGTTACAATAAAGGAACACAGGAGCACTCAAGTGCTGACTTTACTGAGATGTGTTAAGTATCACACCTGCATAAAGATCTGGAGTCCTACGACTAAGATCTGCTCAAGTTTCTTACTCTCAACCTGTGGTCATGCTTTACCCAATTCAAGGACCAGCTGCTAATAAGATCCCAGAGGGCTCTGCTTCCAGAGGCTGCGCCAGCTCCATCATGGGGCCAAAAGCTGAGACCACTCAGAGAAGCAAAGGGTTAAAAGTCTCATTTCAAAAGGGTGTACATCTGCCTTAACATTCCAAGTTAAAATGAAATTGTTTCAGCCTTGGCTTTGGGTTGGAACTCCAAGCTTTGAGCTCCCTCCTTCCGTACTTGAAAGAGGATTCAAAACCATTGTCCAGCCCTGGTGTGATTCCGTCTTGCGCAGCTGTCTGTGGAGCAGGAGTCGTTCCTCTTTGTCTGCCTTCTCTCTCTCACCTAAGATCGCGCCACCACTCCACAGAAGATTCGATGGATGAGCCCCCTGAGGCCTCAGAACTATCTTTTTGGCAACTGCTGGGGGGAGCTGGAGCGAGGCCAAGAAGGGTCTAGTGGCAGTGAGGGTGGGGGCTGGGGAGGGGACTGGGGAGGAGGAGGGGCTGGAGAGGAGGAAGGGGAGGGGAAGGGTTAGAGGTGGGAATCCGGCTGCATCCCGGGCTGCTGGAGAGCGCCAAGCAGGCTGGAGGCCTGAGGGAAGTGGGAAGAGCTGCTGGATCTGGAAGGATGGGAGCCACGAGGCAGCCGGGGGCATGAAGGGGTGGGAAGACGGCCTGAAGCCTCAGGAGCGTGAGCCAGGCGAGGCCCAGGGCCTGAGGTAAGGTGGAACCAGCCTGCCGAAAGTTCGGGTTGCTTGGAGCTGGGTAGTGGTTGTTTTCCTAGGAGCGTGCGTCAGGTGGGCGTCCTAGGCTTCTAATTCCGGGCTGGGTTGGTCCAGGAGGCTGGGTTTGCGGGGAAGCACGCGCCTCCCTGTTGGAGGAGGGCACAGACGCCCAGCCTGGCGTTGTTCTCCAGTCCCCAGGCCTCAGAGTCTGGGGCTCCTGGACCCAGAATTCACCCTGGTGCTTCAGCCAGTTACTGGGGCGGGGCGGGGCGGGGCGGGGGAAGGGAGTGGGGGGCGGGGGCAGGGAACGGGGAGCGGGGAGGCTTGGAGGGGACTGAGGAGGCAACCACCACTGGGAGCACATGGTTGCCACGTGGTTGGGGAAGGACTGGGTGCAGGCGCCCCATCCAGGGCTCCCTGAGTCTTGGCACTCCCGAGCCTGGGATGCCGTGGCTCAGGTGAAGTGTGCTGGTAGCACCAGGATTCTGGAGTTCTTCGTCCGGCCCTTACAACATCTACTGTGATGGCAGCTCTCAGTTTTGGAGCCCCTTTCCTGTCTCACTGCGGTAGATGGAACTTGCCCCACTTTGCAGATGACGATACTGGTGCTCAGAGATAAACTCACTTGACAAAGGCCGTGATTGTAGGCAGAGACTAAATCTAAACCAAGATGCTTGACTCCGTAGCTGGTGCTTCCTGAATATCGTGAATATGAAAGAGGCTTTGGGTTTGGGTTGTGGGGTTTTTTTGGGTTTTTTTTGGCGGGGGGGTGGGGGCGGGGGAAGCGGCGGGGGTGTCCCCGCATGCCGTCGTTTGTGCGGCATTGAGCAAACAGCTTTTTTTTTTTTTTAAATATGAGAGACGTGCAGTGTTCGGTTTGAGTCAAATAAAGACCCGAGACTATTAAAAGAACAACAGCAAAATGCCTTGTCTAAGAAGGCTCTTGGCTGTGCCTGTAGGGATTCCATCAACTCTACTCTAAGGGAAGGTGGCGTGGCATATATTCAGTTTTATTCCCAAGAGAGGGTGTCATCCCTCTCCACACTCAACTGCCTGTTAAAGCACATGGACATAGATCTACCTGGCAGCACAGAACAAGTGGCATCCAAATGGGCCCTTGTTGGAGAGGCAATTTCAGCTCATTGCCAATTAAACATTTGACATTAGCTAGACTACAAGATTATTTAGGGAAGACTGCTTCAAGAATATGTAGTCCAACTCCACACATAGGGGGATTAAAATTGAGCATAGCAAAAAAAGGAGCTGGGTACCCATCTGAGTCCCATTGGCACTGCCAAATCACTGCTTTTCCTCTGTTGCAGCCCAGACTGATGGTTAATAATACACCTGCTGTAAATATGTTATTTAAAGATGTCATTGATTAGAGAATTCCCTTCGTGATGACCACTCTGCCCCACCCCTAGGGAAAATTGTTATTTGGCACTAGTGTCAACAATCATGTTTTTTCTAAGTAACTTATTACTTTTTAGCTTATGATCATAGTGAAATATGAAACCAAGCAGATTTCCCTTTTTGAGTTGGCTGCTAGGAAGCTCAGAATTAAATTTGAGGTCCTTCCGCTTATCCATGCAGCAAGGTCAACATGGTACACATGCTTGGTTAAACCCCTCTTCTTGGGTTCTGCCTCATTAGCAAGTAATTTTTCTGATTGTCCAGGCTTGGCTCTACCCATTAAGTTTCTGAATCCCTTTAAATTGTTATAAGATTTCTACCTCATCATGGATGTGGATTTCATCAGCATTTGTTCAAGTTCAGCCTGTTGGGCAGAAGCAAACCAGCAGACAAGGAAAGGCAGGCAGTCATGTTGAAGTGGATTGCTGCCAAACTGAGCCTTTCACCAAGGCTTGGGGAGACCTCCACACATGTGTATTGGGAGAATTAACCACCCAGTGTAGAACTCCTCCAGTTCTCCAGGGTCTCCAGGGTTCAGTAGCCTTTCTAAGCAGGAAGCTCATGCCCTCTGTGATGGCGTGTACTCCTTTCCCACATGGCAGTATTTTGTTCCAGGCTCAGGGACATTAGCTGGACCTCTTCTCTCCTCTCTCCAACTCAGAACTTATGTGACCTGATTTCTAGTGTCTTAGGGAGATAGGAGATTACAGGGTGGAAATAGATTAACCATTAATAAACAAGTCATTTTCCACTAAAGTTTAATCATTTTGTGCGTAAGCTCTCTCAACAGCACTGCCGAATCCTTGAAGGGGGAACAACAACATTAAGGGTTATGGCTGGTCAAGGAGAAGGGCCCCACAACGCACATCACAGACCTTGAGAACTAGCAATTCTGCCTGAACACAAAGCTAGACCTAAAGAAGCACAAGCCTGAATCTGACTAAAAGTGAAATACATCTCTGGTAAATGCTGCTCATGAAATATTGTAGACTTTAAGTTAAACATTGAGATAAAATGATTACTATATCTGGCATCCGGTAATTTCCAGCCCTTTAAAGTATCCCTCTTGCAGTGGTAACACAAATGTATGGCTGAACCTCAACATTTAAGACTCATGCATATTATTGTATGCAAAATATACTCAAACTAAAAACAAAAAGGGTACATTCATGTTCACAGCAGCCTTATTCACAATAGCCAAAAGGTGGAAGCACCCCAAGTGTGTATCCACGAATGAATGGATAAACAGAATGTAATATATACATATATACAAGGAAATACTGTTCAGCTTTGAACAAAAAGAAAATTCTGACACATGCTCAATATGGATGAACCTTGAGGACGTTATGCTAAGTGAAATAAGTGATGACAAATTTAATAACCCAGTATTTGTTGCAAAAGGACAAATACTGTATGATTCCACTTATATGAGGTACCTAGGATAGTCATGATGGTTGCCAGGGGCCAGTGGTAGGAGGAAACAAGGAGTTGTTTAACGGGTATAGAATTTCAATTTTGCAAAACGAAGAGTTCTGGAGATTGGTTGCACAACAACGTGAACATAGTTACCACTACTGAACTGTCACTTTAAAATGGTTAAAATAGTAAATTTGATGTGTATTTCACCACAATTTAAAAAACAAGGATTTGAAATGTATACCCTGATCCCATTAAACCAGGAATGACAAGTTTTATTTCTCTTGCCAGCTCTAATCAATTGGCTGCCTGAGGTATGTCTTGGGGGTGATCTGGTGGCTGGGACACAGATTTTCCAGAGTGCTGTGATTGATTAGCCGTGTCTGCCAGGGCCTATAGGGGTTATGTGAAAGAAAATGGAGAGTTGGTGGAGAGGAGGCACACACCCCCCACCTATTCATTGATCCTGAATCATTCCTATTGAGGACAGGAACCTAGAAACATTTAACGGGATGCAAACATCCACTGAAATAATTAGACTTAATCATAGTAAGGCTGAAAAAAATCTGTACAGTGTACTTACAGTTTTTCAGGATTGTTTATATTGCACACTTCAGCATGGCCATTGCAAACACACTGCCCACCAATGCTGATGTCCTTTATGCTGTAATAATACTGCACAACAGAACACAGAACATGCAAGTTTCACTGAACAGTGACAAAAACTTTCTCTTACTAGTCTTTAACCCACATCTGCTGCCTCTGCTTCCCTTTTAAAATTCCGTATTCTTGAGCCCTACATTGGGATGTAACATGTCTTATAAAATAAACACATTCCTCAATAAAATGTAATAACATACTGCTGAATTTGTGCATTTAAAAAAATCAAATGCTTGAAGTTCATGAAGGGAAATTGCCTTAGAAAGGAATCATACTTTATAGCCTATAGGAAAGGGATCAATTACTTCCAAGTTTATTTTTTATGTAAATTAAAATAATTTTTACATTATGTTCTTTACAAATGAATTTTATACATTGAAAATATTTATTTATCAAAACTAAATTTTTATACCAAAAAATGTTGCACTTGCTTTGCGCAAAATACTATCCCAGGTTCTGGGAAGGGAGATAATATTTACAGAGATGGATCCAATACATCCCTGAGACTGGAGGGGCCACCAGTATTTGCTGAAGACTTCCTAGCACAGGGTCAAAAAGGCTAGAGTCAAAGTTTCAAGCTCCAGAAAGGCCAGACAGAGCCAGCTCAGATCCAGCTGAGGATTGGCCCCTAAACCAGGCCACAAATATGTGTATACCCTCTCATTGACAAGGCCCCTCTCCAATATGTTGGAGGCCTCTGCAGTGCTGACAATAGGCAGCTCCTCCTGCCAGCTCCCTCTGCCAGCAACCTTCCTTCTCAGACTTGGCAGGAGACTGCCCAGGATTTGGGAGGAATGTGAGGACTGTAGAACAATCTTTCTCATTGAGGCCATGCTGCCAGTGAGAAGAATATCTGTCAGCAAGAAGTCTTTGAATTCGCAAGGACAAGAGGGTTTTTGTCCCTTTATTGTTGTTGTTGTTGTTGAGTGTGGCTGCCTTAAAGAGCTCTATTGATTTAATGTTGGGGTTCTGTTCTGGTTCCCTAATTAAAACCTGTTAAAGTATCAATGCTTCCTGGAAACATCTTAGTCTGAAGGCATTAACAGCCCCCCTTGTTAATACAGATAAAGTCAGTATTACCAGGGCTTTCTGTGACAAGTTAACACTCAGGGGCTTTCCTGCTGGCCACTGTAAAAGTTCCCCTCCACACGTATTAAGGGCAGCAGCAGCAAGAGAAGCCCCCAGTCAGCCTTCACCCAGCAGCACACGTGATCTGTGTCATAAGGTAGCTGGTATTATATTCCTCCATGAAAGAAGCAACCTAAACTTGGGGGGTTAAGATTATGTATTATGTGTGTGGTATACTCCATAAAACAATTATTTAATGGAGAGGCCTGTATTCATCTAAGTGAAAAGTAATATACATAGATATATATGACTGCAAATCTTGCAACCCCCAAAAAGACAATTTAAGAAAAAAAAAATTGGTAGGGTACATTTGTGGCAGTGCTCCAGGGCACATGGAGGAACAGAAACACAGCCCGGCTATAGTTTATGAGAAAGTCCAGCCCTCCCTTGTAAATATCCATCCTCAGATTCAACACAGTCCCCAACTACACAGAAGCTCAGAGGGAGCTGAGGAGAGCAAAAAAATACAAAAGATAGGCCACCTACACCCAAGGTGCCTGCCTTTCTGGAAAATGCTCAAAACTGTGGCAATACTTATACTTTTCCCTCCCTTCCTTTCCCAGCTCTCTGATGTTACCTATATAAAAAGCCAAACTCTATAAGGTGCACTGGGCATCTTCCATTCACCCTCCAGATCTGCTCTCCACGTTCTCCACCCTGTCCTGTGCCCAGGAGCTGAACTTTATGGTTGCAACCAATGGACTGTCTTTCTCTCTGGCTTCTTGTTTGCTTTGGCCAATGGAAGGCACCAGTAGATCAGAGGGTGGAAGAAGAGTGAGCTCAATGTGTTTATTCTGTGGGCTCCCTCTGTGCCCAGGAGACAAGTGTACTGCCCTGACACCTGAGAGTGAGAGATGTTCATGGTGTACCTCCAACACAGGAGAGGGTACTAGTGCTCACCAATACCTATGTGCCTCCATTTCAGCTAGATGACATCACCCAGCCTCCTTGCATCTAAGTGAGGCTATGATATGACCAGTTCTTGCCCATAGAAGTAACCTCTGATGAGAAGCAGGTAGATTTTTCTCTATACTCTCTCTTCCCTCATCTGAGGACCAAGAGGTAGGGGATCCAGAGGAGGACTCTGAGGTCCTACAAAATGGCTGCACCTCTGGATAGAAAGAACCTGCTTCCCTGAATTACTGTGTGGAGCCGATCCTACCTGCTGACCCATGTTAAACTGTAATAGGAGCAAGAAACAAAGCTTTATTTTGTTAAGCCACTGAGATTTGGGAATTGTTGGCTGTAGTATTAATTATCCCATCCAGACTAGTACCAGGCTGACTATAATCATTTGCCTTTCATCTTCTTTGAATATAATGATTTTTCTTCAAACAGCCATTTTTATAAGTCATTAGATATAAACTCCTAATTATATCTAGTATTTCAGATAAGAACAACTCCCACACCTACATCATTACAGGCTATAAAGGTTACTTAAAAGAGTTCAAGGCAATTAATTTGGTAAGCCAAAAAAATGAATAAATAAAGTAACAAAACAAATGCTCTGACTACTCACCCGCCGAGTGACAGTTGGATCTCGCTGGGCTTTGGAGATGAGGTGTCCAAGAAGCGTATTGGTTCTAAGAAAACGCAAGCGGATGTTTGTTGCCTTGGTAAACTCCCTCAGGGTGTGAGAGAAAGTAAAATTTTTTGCACCTGGACGACCGTTTATCAAGGACACCACAACCTAAAATGACCACACACACATAAAGGGGGAAAAAGTTCCTTTTATCAAAATTTAGCAGCAAGTAAGTAAAAATAACTCACATGCCCCAAGGCACTTGGTTTCTTTGAGCCATTTGATATTCGTAGGGGGTCTTGGGTCTTGTTTATGTCTAAAAACATCATTGCTAGTCCCATCTTCCCTCACACTTCCTGGTTCCAAGGTCTGGCAATACGTCTTTGAAATCTGGGCTCTCGGGAGATGTTATCATTACGTTTTCAAAGCCTTTGTTCTATCAGGGTAGTTGTGGGACTGTAACACTATGAAATGTTGAAAACATAATGTTAAAACCTGTAAATATAAGGACACAACTTTCTTAAGCTGCATCAAAGAAACAAAGCTAAAGTAACCCAAAAATCTACATGAGGTTGAAAAAAGGAAATCTCTAGATATAAAGTTTGACAGTAATGGGGCAAAAAAAAAAAAAAAAAAAAAAAAAAAAAAAAAAACTGTGTAAACCCTCCATTTTGTTTTAAAGCCCAAAGTGATGAAGCCCAAGTGTCAACCATTGGAAATATGAACCACTCATGAGCTGTCAGAAGATACCGCATACACATGCTCAAGTAAGATCTCTCTACTTAAAGAGAGGGAGGCTGACACCTTTGAAGGAAGTTTATTTGAAACTCAGTTCATATTCATTATGGCCTCACAATTTCCATGGAAATCTTCTCTGATTGTTTCACCTTTGTTTGCCCATCTCCCTTAACAATAGCCAACCTGACTTTACAAGGGCCAAATGCAACCCCACAGGGACAGCAATTTTTTCTCTCCAACAGATTACACCCATTCTACCAAAAGGGATCAGGGATCACGTAGGATCGGCTCCATGCAGTCATTCAGGGAAGCAGGCTCTTTCTATCTAGAGGTGCAGCCGTTCTGTAGGACCTCAGAGTCCTCCTCTGGATCCCCTACATCTGGTCATCAGATGAGGGAAGAGACAGTATAGAGAAAATCTACCTGCTGCCACCTGTCCTTCCTCTCCTCACTCTTACGGGGTATCATGGGATCATAGGTGAAGAGGTAAGGGGTCATCATTTCAGTTACCAGCAACCCACTTTATAAATACATCACCAGAAAGGACAGTTCAAGACCTGCGGGCTTTGGATCAAGAATCCTGACTTTCTGGGGATAACTGAAATCCCCCAACAGAATTTCCAACCTGGCTCATTCTGGGAGCCCTCAATGTGATTCCTTTACTGTTCAGTCCCAAGCCCTGTTTCCATCTTGATCTATGTTAGATGTCCTTGAAAGTGCAAGTTTCGCAATTATGAAAAATTGGATATCCTCATGGTCATTTCTGAGTCTTATCTCTCCCAGTCTTCCAAATCTACTTACCTCACCATTTTCCAAAGGTACAATACGGGAATATTCAGTAACACAAAGTACATCATCATCCCGGGTGACAGCCATATTTGCCTCCCGCCCAAATTCTTTTAAACAGTCTACTTTAGAATCTAGAAGGAAAATATTTTAATATTATAAAACAAAATATTATCATTTTGTTGCAAATCTCTTAAGAAGCCTTATGTTTCCTTAAGAAAATACACAAAGAAAGAAAAAACAGAAAGGCATTTAAAACTTTTAGAGAAAGGCTGATAATGGAGTTTTTAATTCATGAAAGAAAATACCAAGCCATTTCAGGCCAGTTGACTTTCAGTGGCAATGCTTGGAGATGCAGTGCTAACTCCACGCTCATACTTAGGCAAGTTTATCTTCTAAGGAAACCTAGTGGAAAACCCAATGCCTTTATAAGCAAAATTCTTGTCCACCTCTGTTCATCATAGGGTTCAGAAACCCTGACATTCTTCATTAGTGAAGATAACAGAGTTGAGGTAAGTAAAGCACAGCACAGGAACTATAAAGATGGAACTTAGTTTCTAATTCTGCATAAAGGGGAAAAGATTGGAGATGACAGTTATTAAAGTCATCTCATCAATTCACAGCTTCTACCATCTTACAGGTACTCCCAAATAGTGCCAAGAACTGTTATCATAAAAGGAGTTTCTACTTCATTTCTGCATGTAGTATCCTTGAAATTATTGAACACATGCTTGAAAAATGGGGATATTCTTTTTTTTTTTTTTTCCAAGATGGAGTCTCACTCTGTCACCCAGGCTGGAGTGCTGTGGCACAGTCTTGGCTCATTGCAACCTCCGCCTCCTGGATTCAAGTGATTCTCCCACCTCAGCCTCCCGAGTAGCTGGGACCACAGGTGCACACCACCACACTTTGCTTATTTTTGTATTTTTAGTAGAGACAGGGTTTCACCATGTTAGCCAGGCTGGTCTCAAACTCCTGACCTCAAGTGACCCGCCTGCCTTGGCTTCCCAAAGTGCTGGGATTACAGGCATAAGCCACCGCGCCCAGTCAATGTTCTGAGAGTAATTTAGAGGTTAAAAGTGACCAGTCCCTAACTAGTCATACTGAGAGATTAATTTTCTTTTCTTTTTTTTTTTTTTTTGAGACAGAGTCTCATCCTGTTGCCCAGGCTGGAGTGCAGTGGTACAATCTTGGCTCACTGCAACATCTGCTTCCTGGGTTCAAGTGATAATCCGACCTCAGCCTCCCGAGTAGCTGGGATAACAGGCATGTGCCTGGCTAATTTTTGTATTTTTAGTAGAGACAGGGTTTCACCATGTTGGCCAGGCTGGTCTCAAACTCCTGACCTCAGGTAATCCACCCGCCTTGGCCTTCCAAAATGCTGGGATTATAGGGGTGAGCCACCACACCCAGCCAAGATTAATTTTCTAATTAAATCCATAGTCTTTATCTGTTCCAAGTAATTAAAGCCATGCATAACATGGTAGGCAAGATTACTTACGAGCAAAATATTGCCATGGTGAGTAGGTGCTTCCAAAGTCTACAGATCTTTCCAAGACCCAAAGATCAGGGCGAGGAGAATTTGCAAATTTGATTAAAATATAGGCCACATGGAAGAGCTGATAAAACAAAAGAGATACAGTTATTAATGTCATCTCATCGATTCACAGCTTCTACCATCTCTATGTGATGCTGATTCCCAAGGCAACACGTCCCACCACAATCCCTTGCTCAAGATCCCGATCCTGATTCCTGTCTATTGGACATCTCTACCCAGCTGCAGCCTCTCAAGCTGATCAAATTCAAAACAAAAATCATTATCTTTCTTTCTCCACCAAATATACACATTGATCATCATCTTTGTCACACCTTAACCAATATGCCATTCCATTGCAACCAGTCTACAGTGTATCTTAAAGTCTATGCATTCAGAAAAGTCTGATGGCAAGCAGTAGTCATTACGTGCTAAACCCTCCCAGGGCCAAGAACCAGGAGAACAGCCCAGAGTGTTTCCCAGCAGTGTCCTAACCCTGGTTCCAGGTTTTGGAGAGATCACAGCTGCCAGAACTGAAACCCAAGCAGCCATTTGATGGAGTGGTAGCACTCCTTCCCTGTGGATCTCCTCCGGCCTCATCTTTTCCTGATTGTTCTCCCTCTTATTGGCTTTCTCATTCGCCCTCATCACTCTTTTGCCCATGGCCAGGATGATGCAAAAGTATGGAAGAGATGAAGTGGGGCTTCGGTCCTTCTTTCTTCACCTCCCACTCTTCAACTCCATGGTGCCTCATGTGTGAATCCCAGGAGCCTTTGCAGTTTATTCCCATTCCTTCCCCCAAAACTTATCTGGCTTGAATTTTGAACCCTGAGGTCCTATTTCCCAAAGAGCCTGGTACGACATTGAACACGGTGTTAAGCAAATCTATGTTAATGTGTTAATGAGTGAGGATTATCCCCACCCCCTTCCAGGCTCCCTGACCCCCAGGCAACAGATTTCCCGGTGACTGTCTGAGGAGCACTCGCCTCTAGCCCAAGAATGCCCTTTGAACCACAGGCTCCTCTAGTTGGGGAGTAGGGAGTGCTCAGACCCTGTGGGTTCCTTTTCTTTCCCAGAAAAAAAAAATGAGTTTCATCTTAATATTTTTCACAAACAGTAGTATGGTAAGTTGTTTTTTTTTTTTAAGTCTGAGAACTGCCAGCTAATGTAAACATTCCAAACCCCAAAGCAGAAGCCAAAAAATCTAGGACAATGAGACTCAAACTTTTTGGTCTCAGGACCCCCTTTATATTTTTAAAAATTATTGAAGACCTAAAAAAACTTTTGTTTGTATGAGTTCTATCTATTGATGTGCACCATATTAAAAATTAAAGTTAAAAAACTTTTAGATATACTATTAATTCATTTAATATAACAAACATTTTACATGTTAGCATAAATATATTTTATTAAAAATTACTATATTTTCTAAAACATGAAATTTTTGGTGAGAGCAGTGGCATTGCTTTACATTTTTGTTAAGCTCGCTGAGTTTGGGGCTTAATAGGAGAAAGCTGGATTCCCACACCTGCTTCTTCATTCACTCTGATGTGATATGTTGTTTGGCTGAAGTATTTGAAGATCTGGCCTCACATAGATCTGTAATGGAGGAAGGAGGACCCCTGGCCTTGTAGACCTCCCAAAAGGTCTTGGGGACCCTCACAGGTTCTCATCCATACTTTGAGAACCACTCCTCTCAGGCACAGAGATTTACCCTTTGCTCAAAGAAGCCCCTTTGCTTATCTCTGAGGAAGGAAGAATTGTCACACTGATTACTGGAAACCCTAAGCTCAGCCAGTTCTGTCCCTATCAAACACTTGCTCTTTGATCTTGAAAAAAGTGCTTATTTGGGCTCAGATTAACACTCCCGAGTTGTCTACCAACACGTGGAAAAAGTGATCCAACCTCATAAAAACTAATTAGGAATTATAATGTACTCTGAAAATCATAAAGCAATACTCTAAACGTAGGTGTAACAATTTCCAAAGACACATCCCATTATTATGTAGTGAAGGAATTCATAGGAAATCCAAGAATTCATGTTTGGAAAATCAGAGCTAATATATTTCGCTAAAAACTCTTTGCACATCTCTCTCAGACCACATCAAAATAAGGCCACTGTTAATTATGTGAGTTTGATAGACTACAAATGAAACTTTTTTGAATACAGTAATCATTCAAAGCATTCTTAATCCCTTCCACCAAACTCCCACAATCATAGCACACATAACCCTCTAAAAAACTATTTATCTAATAGGTCATGATTTAATGAATAATGAATACTGTCTTTCCACATACCATGTTAAGCACTTCACAAACATTCTCTCATTTAGACCTCATAATAAGAAGCGGAGTTTTATTAACCCCACTTTAAAGATGAGGAAAGTTTGGCCTAGAGAGGTTAAGTAACAAACCCACACCTTGCAGGTATAAAAACACTCAGCCTAAGTGTATTCCACCCACTGAGTGTTTGCTATGTCACAGGACCTAATAGGTACTGAATATTTGACGTGTTTCATCTTGGGGGGAAGAAGTTGTCAGAGAAGTGCCAAACATTATTTCCCAATATGCTAAAATTCTATTCTAGAGAGCCCAGGGGTGGGGAGCTATGTTATGATATATCTCAAGTGTTAATTCAGGGCATTGGTTTTCTAAAGTTGTACTTTCTGCTACTACAAAGCTATATGAAAGAAGTAGCTTCAGTGGCTCAGAAGGGAGCCTCTCTGTCCTCTCCTACAGGACAGCTCAAAGAACAATACAATGAATACTCATATGCTTTTCACCTAGATTCACCAACTGTTAACAATATACCATATTTTTTTGTTCTCTACACACACACACACACACACACACATTTTTGATTCTTTGAAAGGAAGTTACAGACATCATAATACTTTCCTCCTAAATACTTCAGCATGTTATCTTCCAAGAACATGGATATTTCTTCTACATAAATTCAACATTTTCATGTGTAAGAAATTTTACCATATATTCAAAATTGTATTTAATACATTGTCCATATTCAAATTTCCCTGATCCTCTCAATAATCCCCATTGTATTATTTTCCCATTTCGGAATTTAATCAAGGATTACATATGGCAGTGAGTCGTCAGGTCTCTTTTGTCCCCTTTAATCCACAAGTTTCATCTTGTTTCTAGGTAACGTTTGATTTTTTTTTTTTTTTTTTTTTTTTTTGAGACAGAGTCTTGCTCTGTCGCCCAGGCTGGAGTGCAGTGGTGCGATCTTGGCTCACTGCAAGCTCCGCCTCCCAGGTTCACGCCATTCTCCTGCCTCAGCCTCCTGAGTAGCTGGGACCACAGGCACCTGCCACCACGCCCGGCTAATTTTTTTGTATTTTTAGTAGAGACGGGGTTTCACCGTGTTAGCCAGGATGGTCTCGATCTCCTGACCTCGTGATCCACTTGCCTCAGCCTCCCAAAGTGCTGGGATTACAGGTATGAGCCACCGTGCCCGGCCAGATTCTTTTGAAGCATTATGACACTTAAAAATCCCAACTCTAGCAGCAATTGATGTGCCCCTCTGCCTGTTACAGTATCCTGCCACCCAGGCCTAACTTAATAAGTCCACTGATGGCACCAACTCATCTTCCAGCACTAATTAGCTAGAACATGCCACTTTTCAATGTTTCCCTCCCATTTTTGTCTCAGGAATTATTTCTGAGGTTCCCCAATGTATGTTTATGTGCTCTGAATATTGGTAGGGTGTATCTCTTTGGTTTGGATCCCATTTGCACCAAGCGACTATATGTGTTATTTATCACCACCCCTGCTGTGTAACATGCCCTGGAATCTTGCCAAGGTCTCCAGCTCTGCAGCAAATCTCCTCTGACACTTGCAGATTCAAAATGTCATAGTGAGGCAGAGTGAGTGGTCTCATAATTATGTTCACAGCCAGGTTCAGGCATGTTAAGCCAACAGGTAGGGATTTATTCTGTTTTGGTTGGTAATTTTAAATTATATGCTTGTTGAATCACTCCTTCTGCTACATTCCTTTTTTACTCTCAGTACTTATGTTTACTCTTTGGCCACTGAAAATACTTCAAAGCACACATGAGTGCTGCTAGAGATTTGCTGATATAAACGAGGACCCTCTGTGAGACTAGAAAGCACCAAGCTATGGAGCCACTGTAGGTAGAAAGGCAAAGTTGTGCATTTTCAAAGAGATCGTATTTGGGGGTCAGAGATAAGGGGAGAAATGATGGAGAGGGACTGAGTTGTAATCTCTCCACGTGCTTTTGTAATAAGCTAAAGATAGCTTGAAGTGTGTTGGTGATTGTTTAGGTAGAGAAACAAAGTAGTCTTTTAAATAATGTTTTAATAAAGCAGATAATGATCATAAAAGGGGGAGTGTGAGGCACTTCAACTTCAAAAGACTTCAGGGTGAGTAGGGAAGACAAGAGGGTGTCCTCTGATCCTTGTTTCTCACCCCAGTGCTGCATGCTCTGAAGCCTCTGAAATTATAGATTGGTACAGCCTGTCCTCTATTCATTTCAGGGCCTTCCTGGACTGACTGCATGTAATAGGTGTTCAATACATGCTATGAATGAATAAATGAGTGGATGGATGGATGGATGGATAGTAAAGCTGTGTAGCTGCTACTGAGTTCAAGGGGCAGGTACCATTTGGCAAACACAGAGACAGAGCTGAACCCCGAAGTGGTCCTACCCTGGTGTCTAAGCTAAGTTGTAGTAGAATCAACTCCCCTGGGGGGGATATCTCTGCCCTGTCACCCACTGGCTATGTGACTCCAAGTACATGACTTACCTACTCTGAGATTTCATTTATTTGCTCATAAAATGATCAAAAAAGATATTTAAGAAAATGAAGAATAATATCTACTTCATACAAATTTGATATTCTCCTTCTAAAAGAGCACCTGTCATGCACTGCGGTACCTGTTTTCATCTGTCATTCCCACTAGGCTGCACCATCTTTGGTCTTAATCACTCCTATATCCTCAGAAAAGAGGCTTAATACATGTTGTTGAATTGAAATTAAACTAACAGACGGGATTGTGAAAGTGCAAAATACTGTGCAAGTACACTTAAAGTCACATACAAAATAAGCTTCCTACTCAACTAAATAGTACTCCCTGTGCCAGAAAACTCTAAGTTTATAATAAAAGTGAGATCAGTCTGTCAATAGCTTTATAATTTAATAAACATACTATTCCACAAGGTAGCATTTCATAATTTACTTCTCCCAACTTTTTATTTTGCATAATTTGTAAACCTACAGGACAGCTCAAAGAACAATACAATGAATACTCACATGCTTTTCACCTAGATTCACCAACTATTAACAATATACCATATTTTTTGTTCTCTACACACACACACACACACACACACACACATTTTTGATTCTTTGAAAGGAAGTTACAGACATCATAATACTTTCCTCCTAAATACTTCAGCATGTTATCTTCCAAGAACATGGATATTTCTTCTATATAAATTCAACATTTTCATGTCTAAGAAATTTTATGGATATTTCTTCTATATAAATTCAACATTTTCATGTCTAAGAAATTTTACCATATATTCAAAATTGTATTTAATACATTGTCCATATTCAAATTTCCCTGATCCTCTCAATAATCCCCATTGTATTATTTTCCCATCTCGGGATTTAATCAAGGATTACATACGGCAGTGAGTCGTCAGGTCTCTTTTGTCCCCTTTAATCCACAGCAGTCCCCCAACATGTTTTGTCCTTCCTGACACTGACATTTTGAACAGTCCAAAATGTCCCACAGTCTGTTCTAAGTCTTAATGTTCCATCATAGAATTGGTCACAGAATCACAGAACGTCCCACAGTCTGAATTTGTCTGCTTATTTTATCATAATTTGACTCAGATGGAGCATTCTTGTTTGTTTGTTTTGAGTCAGAGTTTCACTCTGTCGCCCAGGCTGGAGTGCCATGGCACGATCTCGGCTCACTGCAACTTCCACCTCCTGGTTTCAAGTGATCCTTGTGCCTCAGCCTCCCTAGTAGCTGGGATTACAGGTGTGCACCACCATGCCCAGCTAATTTTTGTATTTTTAGTAGAGATGGGTTTTCTCCACGTTGGTCAGGCTGGTCTCGAACTCCTGACCTCAAGTGATCCGCCCGCCTCAGCCTCCCAAAGTGCTGTCAGGTGGGGCATTCTTGGCCAGATCACTAAGTGGGTGGCACTTCCTTCTCATGATGTCACCAAGAAGCACGTGAAGCCAAGCTGTCCTATTATTGATAATGCTAAGTTTCATCACTTGCTTCAAAAGATGTCCATCATATTTCCCCATCGTAAGTTACCTTTTTTACATTTGTAATTAATAAGTAACCTGGGGGAGACACTTTGAAACATTTATTTTTATTAACTAAATTATAAATGCCCCTACTACCCAGGTACAAAATACAAATACAAATTATGAAAAATAAGTCACTAAATATAGAACCAAGCAATTACATTTACTTTGTGGTTGGTGTCCATTTGAAAAACTGATCAACTGAGCCAATTTTATAGAGTTTTTTTAATTGAGAAGAAACGATGGCGATTAAAATTCAACTGCAGTTTATTAACCTGGTTTGACATTTTTTTACAAAATGAAGTACAATCCTCACAGAACAACCAAGGCCAGGGATGAAAATACAACCCAACCAGTCTGAAAAGGGATCCTTTTAATCCTGGCCCAAAGAGTCCATCTGCCAATAGTTCAGCAAGAACACTTCTTTCTTTTGGGTTTATCATCACCCTGTGCTGAAAAACTCAGGCCCTGGCACTATCAGAAAGAGTATGCTTGGCTCTGGGAGGCCAAGGCGGGTGGATCACAAGGTCAGGAGATCGAGACTCTCCTGGCTAACACAGTGAAACCCCGTCTCTACTAAAAAAAATACAAAAAAAAATTAGCCAGGCGTGGTGGCAGGCACCTGTAGCCCCAGCTACTCGGGAGGCTGAGGCAGGAGAATGGCGTGAACCTGGGAGGTGGAGCTTGCAGTGAACCAAGGTCGCACCACTGCACTCCAGCCTGGGCGACAGAGTGAGACTCTGTCTCAAAAAAAAAAAAAAAGTGTGCTTGGTTTAGGTCTAAGGAGTACTGACTCTCAGCTCCTCTTACTGGTTCCCAGAAGTACCTGCTCACCCAGAGGAGGGAAGGTGGATCACTCCAGAAACTTAGAGGAAGGGCCTCAAGAGGTCCCTAAGTCCCCTCCCACACTAGCATCTCATTCTGAGGGGAACTCACTGCATTGCTGACAAGTTCTGGCCATTACAGGTTTCCTCCATGTTTGTCAAAAACTTTCTCTCATCAGCCCTCTTTCCCCTGTGGAGTAGCACAGATGTCTACTCTCCATCCCACATGGCAGCCTGCCCAGAATTTAAATGCCCACACCCTGTCTCCCTAGGTTCTTTTAAAAAAATCGAGATTCAAGTCAGCAGGAGGCAAAGATTAGGGTGGAAACTGGAAAGGAGAAGAGAGAGTGTCTCACTTTCTAATATAAAAGAACCACAGGAGCCTGAGAAATAAAATCCCTACACCAAAACTCAGTCTAAAGATTTGGGTCACCACAACAACTTGGAAAATGACAATCTTAATGAAAGATTTCAGGAAAAAAAAAAATGGTAAGACAAAGGGGAAGTTGTTAGGCATGACACATAGATTTTATACGTATAAACTTTGAACTCTAGGGGAGGAAAGAGAAGGATTGATGACATATGGCATAATTTTCAGTCCTAGTGGTCTTTAATCATTACTCCCTAAATAGACTTGCAGAACTTGAGACCAAACTGTTACTCAAGAGCATTTTATCCACAACTAACAACTTACAAATAGATTTGGTGGTGACTATAAATAAACTGAGGTCTGCCGGAACCCAACAGCTCTGAGCTCAATTTCATAACTGAGTCTTGTCGTTTATCCTACTCTCTGTAATGACTTTCAACTGTCATGGATTTGTTTTGTCTCGGACCTGGTTCTCCCTGTAAAACTCACTTTTTCTCATTCACACTTTTTTGCTGAACTGATGAGTAGCCTAAGAATGTGTCTGACGAACTTTACAGAACAAAGAAAATTCTATAGTCATGTTCTTCCAAAACAAAGAGATTTAACTAACTCAACTTTAATAACCAGCAACCAAGTTACCTAAATCCTCCTTCAATCTATTTATATTTTTTAGACCAAACAACTCCTAAAAATATATGGATTTTTATAAGTGGCTTACACCAGAATAGGCTTCAACAAAATATTTCTCAGTGATGATAATTTGTCCTAAATTAGATTCTAAATGATGTTATTGTTGTTTTTCATAAGTAAGTTCATACCCTCCATAACACTCCAGTTTCCTCCTCTTGGCCAATATGCTTCTATCTAAAGAGTGTTAACATTTCTGGTCTGCACTCATAATGGTTCTTTCCAACTTTTAATTGTCATATCTATTCCCTTCTCCTTCTGTTACATCTTTCTTAAGATTCAGCATCCTTGGCTAACTCAGAGTTTTACTTAAGGCTGAAATTATCCTTTGCTGTTTTTCCAATGCCCTTACTCATGTCAGGACACTTCAGAAACGTTTTTGACTACATTTCTAAAGGGCATAACGAAGCTCACTTAAATTGGCTCAGTATGTTTAATTTTATTAGTCAGAATATTTATTTTGGGAGTGAGCTTTATGTCGGAGTGTCATTTCAAATCAGCTGGGCTACAGATTAAATATTCTTCTTAAAACTTGCCCTTTGCCCAAAAGCTGCCTTTGCTTTCTGAACACTATATCCCTTAATTTGGTAGTTGTCGTACCGTGGTCTGGGGTGTCTGGAAAATTGAAGGGGATATTTTATTGGTTGTCACAATGACAAGCCCAAATAAGGTAAGAGGCTGTGCATCTGCAGAGGCACCAACCTGCACTCTAAGAAGGTCACAGTTCCAGGATTAGGAGGCCACTCTCTGGGTGCTTGGGTGTAGCACAAGGGACACTGGGCAGCTGTCCAGAGTAAGGCCAGAGAGGAAGCCATGGTGCAGGTATCTGTCTTTTGTTTCCTTGACTTCCAAGGATCTGAATCCCCTTTCCACCGTATGAATCTTGCTGGGAACAGAATGCAACTCCAACTTTAGAAGCTGAAAATACCAGCTTTTTCAGCTCCCCTGGCAGGTAAGGCAGCAGGGATGCACCCGCTGGGCTCAGTGAATTGCATGATTCCTTCCAAGAGTCTGCATCTAGAGCAAGTGATGCAAAAAGGCAGAGACACTGAAGAATTCTTTCTGGAAGTGGCTGTGATGGCAGCACCATCTCACTTCCAGGGACAATGGCTGATCCCAGCAGGGGTGTCCTGAGTCCCCTGTCCAGGCTCAGGGCTGACGTGTGGTCAGGACTAGCCACGGCAGGTAGTGTTCGAACACAGCTGTGTCCTCACAGGTGGGCTCTGTGCCTTCTGCTGCTGTGGTCCTGACTATGCAGCCTTCTTCACTTCTGCTCATTTTCTGGGCCTGATTCTCCATGCTCCTCAAACTCCCACCACTTCCCACCTATGCTCCCTCCACCCTCATTGAGTACTGTTTTTCTTTCACTAGCAAAATCAAAACCACAAAAAAGGAACCGCTTCCTTTACTTTCCCAAGTCTACGAATACATTTGCATCTGCACATCCGCTCCTTCTTCTCTCCAGAAGGAGGGAGGGAGGAACCTCCTCCTGTCAAAAGCCAATCCCTCCCTCTGCTTGCTAGATTGCACTTCCCTGCCTTCTGTTGGACCCACCCATCATCAGCTTGCAAGTGTCTCTCCCATCCCAAAGAAAACGCCTCTCCTTCCATCCAGATCCTCTTCCAGCCCTACCCCACCTCTCTTCTCCCCACACATCCACACTTCAACTGCTGTGCGGGGACTCACTCCCCTCTGCTCTTGCAGTTCTCTCAGAGTTCAGGTCCCAGTCCAGGCTTGCCTCCCTCCACACTCTACTTCCATCTTATACCACCGACGATTGATTTAAATTTCCAGCCCAGACTTCTCACAGAGACTTCAGAGCCGGATTTCCTGGAGGCACGGCACTTCCACCCCAGCTCAGCGTGACCCAAACTGAAGCCTGACCCCAGCCCCCTGGAGCCTGATAACTCCTACTTAAGCTCAGGCCTCCGCTGAGCGGTCCCTCTGGGTAGTTGTCTGCATTCTCTGCTTTGTGCAGCACTGCACTTCTCCTTTAAAACACTCCTCACAAGAGTGATTAAATAGTCAAGTCTAGAATGCACGTGGCCTTGTGAATACAAAACACGCACTCAGTCTTCTGGCTCGCTTCTCACCTGCAGCAGGAATCCTCTGAGCCAATGCTGCTGTGGGCCAGGGCAGGGCCGGTAACCTGCCTGGATGAGGGCGATGCTGAGAGTCAGCCAGAACCCTAAGGATTCCACTTACTTGGCGTAAAACAGGACAGCTCAAAGTCACTTTCACTGTGATGAGAAGGCACATCCCAGGTGAACTCTTGGATCAGGATGTCAGAACTTCCCTTGAGTTCCAAATGCCCCCACATAAATGTTCTGGCTCTTCCAAGGACCCCAGCAGGCATCTTTCATAGCAGAACAAATGTGTGGGTCAGAGTGACATCGCAGGGCAGGGGGGCTATGAAAGGTCACCACGGAATGGGGTGAGGGAAGGTGGCTGGGAAGGGGAGTGAAGTGCGGGTGGATTCCATGCCTGATGCACAACAGAACTGGGTTTCCGCCCCATCAGCATAGGCTGGGAGCCAGGTGACTTGATTGGAATGTCCCTGAGCCTCAGTTTCCTGAAATCCAGCTCTGGGATGTCACTGCTGGGAACTAGGGCAGGGATGGCAGCCTACCCCAGAAGGGACATGGAGTACAACAGGAGCCAGGGAGGTGGACAGGTAAGCCAGACAGATCTGCCTCAGAAGGTGTGGATTAAACAGAGAAACTGGAGCCAGCAGTCTTGGCTCTGGGCACACCCAGCGAGCCTGGGGGCAACATATCCTACTCTGCCCACTGGAGGAGGGGACTAGTGGTGGGGGTGGGGGAAGCATTTTCCATGCCAGCAAGGACAATCCCACTAAAAACAATCCAGCTACTTCTAGGGGAATGCAGTCTGGGTCTTAAGAGGGTAGGTGGTAGTGGCTGAGCATTCTGGAGAGGGGCCTCTGGGCTGGAGTAAGGGAAACCCCAAGGTCCCTCATCCCCAGCGTCCACACAATGACAGGTCTTCCCCTGCACACCTTCCTTGGACCCAGCTCCACCCCCTTCCCTTAATCTCTCATCCCTTTGTCTTCCTTCCTTAAGCTTTTCCCAATCCTGGGAGCCTTCTGTGCTCCCTGTAACCCAAATACTACACAGAGAGGATTTAGGATTTTCCCCCAAAATCAGTATTGGCTTCTACCACTCTATCTTGCAAATGTGAAATATTAAAGCTTTTATAACTACATGGGACTAGTTGAGTTTTTTGGGCATAGCTTAAGGGAGAATTCTAATTTGTAACAGTTTTATTGGAAAAAATGCAATTTAAGTTTGAAATATCTGATGTAACTTTCGGTACACACCTCATTTATACCTGTATATGATTTCCCCCAAGGCAATATTATATAAAATAATCTAATGTTGAAATGGGACAATATGATCAATGTGAAAGATAGTCTCACTAATTGACCATACAAATACCACCCTATAGTCATCAAAAGCAAAGAAATAGATGCATATCCAGCAATATGGGTGAACCCACATAATATAAAGCACAGGAAAATTGAAGACGTCAAACTAGATGTGATAGCACATTTATACAAAGTCTAAAAATACATACATTAAAAAAGCACTTCATATTTTATGAGCAGTGTATTGTAATGGTTTAGAGTGCAGAATCTGGAGCCAGAATGTCTGGTGCTAGCTTCCAAACTGTGCCATCTCTTAAGAAATTAAGCTTTGAGATTCACTCAATCTCCTTGTGCCTTACTACACTTGTCTGTATAAAGAAATAATAATAATACTTAATGTTGAAGTTTTTGAAAGGGCCCAATAAAAACCATCCCTCATTCCTATCTGGTTCTGAACCAATTAACAAATAAGAAAGAGGAGCAGGGCAGATGAGGGCAAAAGACCATATTTCTGGGGAAGCGGGTCTTAGAGGATGCAGGTTGTAGTTGCTGATACACCCTGTGGCCGGGCAGCCCATGTGGCTCTTCTCTGCTCAGGGTGAAACAGAGAAGAGCACTGGGCTGCTCCCAAGGGATGAGGCAGAGCTGTGCATGCCCAGCTCTAGACTCCACACTCACCATCTGGAAAAAAGTAAGCAGAGAAAGGCCAGGAGCATGCCTAGGGGGACGCTCTGCATTGAAAGAGACATTGGTGCACATGTAACACGCAAGGTTGGCGTGAGGAGTAAGAGCCCATTCCTGCGGGACTCTTGACACAGAGCACAGCACACAGTAGGTGCTCAGCCCACAGCAGTGAGCGCACCTCAAGGGAGCGTGTTTAAGGATAAGTAGCAAAGAGGTCAGAGCAGATGCTTATGAAGGAGAAGGGATCAGGAATGGGGATCTTAGACAAAGGAGGAAAACAGAAATAAAACAAGAGACAGGCACAGCTCACAACACGCTAGGAACGAAGACGTATGAGCAGCTCACTCCTAGAAGCCTACACGCATAGCTCTACAACTCTCTAACAACTTCTTCCTGTGGAGACAGAATGACTCAAAACTAAATGGAACAGCAGTCTCTAGTAATCACAAAATATATATTGCTGCATGTTCTGGTCAAATGACTTGGCAAAAATCCCAGGGAATCTTTTGAAATGTTGATAGCCCCTTGTCCTGGTTCCAGGCCAGCCTCAGGAGCCACCTTTGGTTCAGGGTAGAGAGAAGATGGCACAACGGGGAGAGCCTCATAAATGCAATTGCCAGTGGGCACATGTACCCAAGGGGGAGTCACATGCAGTCTACGAGGAACCCTTTCCTTCTTGTGGTTTTGGCAGTCAGTACTTGAGATTATTCTTTAACTCACTCTTGTTAGCTAAGAGAAATAGGTATATTAACCGCCTCACTGGTAAAGAAAGAAGACAGCTTCCACTTGAATTGCAATTCAATTGCCCAGGGACTAAGTCCATCCCAAATTTGGGAAAACTTTCTGAGCTTTAAAATATCCATCTGGACGGCCAGGTCCTGCTCCTGCTGGCCGTCCAGATCCCACAGCTCTGCCTTGTATCTCCATGACCCTGTAAATTTCTGGCTTCTTCTTTTCTTGGCATTCTACTCAGGCTGGAAAGACCTTTCCATAAACCAAACCCAGGACTGGTTGCTCCTTGAAACTCCTGGTGCACAGGCACAAAGGCCTAAGGATGGCCACGTGGGGCTATCTTTTTATTGTAGTTCGGTCAGAATCTCAGTTTCTGTTCATGGAGTTCTAAAAGGAAATCTTTGCTTTTTTTCTGCTCCATTCCAGGGAATCTATTTGGAAAGTTCTGTCCATCTGCCTTTTGTCCTACAACTGAGGAACTGAGGATAGTTAGAGGCACACTCCGTTAGAGTGGAGTTTGTGTCTATCATGGTAAGTTAGCTGTGGTTGCAGTGACCATGCATGCCAAAACCTCAGTGGCTTCAAATAATGTTTGCATCTCACCCATGCCCCATGTGTACTGAAGGTGGGCTCTGCTCCATGCTCTTCTCACCCAAGGACACAAACTGATGGAGGCTGTATTGTCCGGAAGATCCCTGAGGCAGAGGGAAGGAACTGTGGTGCATGGGGAACCAAAGCAGGCCCCATGGTCCCGTTTTCTGTTAAAGACACAGGACATTCAGAATACCCTGAGCCTGAAAGGAGACCTGGAAATCCTGGTGAGCCAGGAGTACAGACAATGATGTTTAGGCGACCCCACTGCATACCAGTTTGGCCCCACTGTCCTGGCTAAGTTGGAAATCAGTGGTGGTAGAAGTTGAGACGGCAGAGATGTTGCGTCACTTTTTCTCCACTCACGTGTCCCACGCTGGCCATGGAGGATCACCGTGGCTGAGAGAACACAGAGTGAATCCCTGATGCAGGGAAAATGTCACTGCAGCACTCTGAAACTTCAGTGTACATTAGAAGCAACCAGAAAGCATGTTAAAATGCAGATTCCCAGGCTATAATTCTGGAAATTCTAATTCAGTAGAAATTCAGAGAGCTCAAATTCGGTAGATCAGCAGGAAGTACTGATGATCAGTACTCATGACCTTGACTCATGATCAGGTAGCCCTGGTCATGACAGACTAGTAGAGATGACCAACCATTCCAGTCTGCCTGGGACTGTCCTGGTTTTAGCACTAAAAATCCTGCATCTCCAAAACCCCTCAATCTCAGGCAAACTGGGATAACTGGTCACCCTATGAAAAGGGCCCAATAAACTCCGATTTATCTTCTAAAGACAAATGGAAAAGCTCCTTCTTTGCGAAACCTTCCTGAAATGGTTTGGCTATGTCACCACCCAGATCTCATCTTGAATTATAGCCCCCATAATTCCACTTTGTATGGCAGGGACCTGGTGGAAGATAATTGAATCATGGAGGGAGTTTCTCCCGTACTGTTCTCATGGTAGTAAGTCTCACAAGACCTGATGGTTTTATAAGGGAAAACCCCTTTTGCTTGGTTCTCATTCTCTCTTCTCTGCTGCCATGTAAGACATGCTTTTCGCCTTCTGCCATGATTGTGAGGTCTCCCTAGCCATGTGGAACTGTGAGTCCATTAAACCTCTTTTTCTTTATAAATTACCCGGTCTCAGGTATGTCTTTATCAGCAGCATGAAAACGGACTAATACACTTCCTAAAATATTCCAAGCAAAGATAATGCCTCCCTCCATGGTAGTTACACTTATCAGGGATACCCTAATCTTTGTGCATGCATTTGACTCTCCAAGAAGCATGTGAAACCCCAGAAGCCAAAGCTGCCCACTGAACTAGAAACCTAGGCCTCCTCTGCTTGGCTCCCTGGGCTGCTGATTAGTCCCAAACCTGGAGCTCTATCTGCTGGGATTCTTCAGCTTGAGGAAATGCAGGTCAAGAGAGGATAAGTGGGCAGGTGATTGCAGTAGCAAGTAAAAGTCAAAAACAGTGGCACCTGCCAGAAGGATTAGTCAAGCAGAATTATTAAATTAATAGTAAGAAGGACAAGAAAGAGGAGAACTAGCACTTGTTGAGGATTTAGTTTGTGCCAGGTACTAATGCTTACATGTTTTGTGGCCTTTACAACACCCCTAGTATGTCAGTACTATTATTATCTCTAATTTATAGATACAGAGGCTGCAGTTTGGAGAAGACACATGGCATGTTTACAGTTACCCAGTGAGTAGGTAACAAAGCAAGGATGTAAACCTACATCTGTAGGATTCCGAAGCCTGTGCTCTTAAGCAATTAGCTTCCCTGGTATCTCAAACAGCTACAGGTTGAGATAGAGCCAATGCGAGGGAGTTTGATGCTGAAAACCTGCGCACCCTGCAGGTCCCTTCTTCAAGGAGCCTTTCCTCCCTGGGTGGTTCCGCGAGGGATTGCTGCACAGACTGATTTTGCAGCACCCATGTGAACATACCCAAGAAAGCCAATTTCTGTTTACTGATCAAACAGAAGGAATGGAAAGAGTTAGCTGGGTGTGAGAAGTTTTACCCCAATCTTTGAGTCTGTGTGTCCCTAACATACCATGTTCATTCCCACCCTCAAAGTCACTTGGGAGGCTTTGCCTCCTCCTCCTCCTGGATCTCATCTTTCTGCACCAAAGCTCTCGCCTCTTCCCTGCTGCCCATCCTACTACTAGCCCCAGCCTTTGCCTCAGCTCCTCTCTTCCCTCTGAGCCCTTCTAGCCCCTGGCTGCTCAGAATGTGGCCCACAGACCAGCAACCTTGACCTCATCAAGGGGCATCTTAGAAATGCAGGATCTACCGGCACAGCCACACCTTGTGAATCAGAATCATCATTTTAATAAATGATCCAGATGCACACTAAGGTTTGGGAAGCACTGGTTCAGCCCATAATACACACCCTTGTTCCATCAGAATCACATTGCCAGGGCTGCCCTTTCTCCTAAGGAAAGCTGATCTCATGTGACTCTGAAGTCAATGTCTTACCTCTCCTAAAGCCATTAGCCTTTTATTTTATTTTTTATAATTTCAACTTTTACTTTAGATCCAGGAAGTGCATGTGTAGGTTTGTTACATGGGTATATTGCGTGATGCTGAGGTCTAGGGTACAACAGATCCCATCATCCAGGTAGTGAGCATGGTACCCAGTAGTTTCCCAACCCTTTCCCCTCCCTCCCTCCTCTAGTAGTCCCCAGTGGCTGTTGTTGCCATCTTTAAAGACATGAGCCTTTTAAAAGCTTTATCCTCAGCTAAAGGAATTCCAGGCTCATGGGAAACCTACTCTTACCTCCTGAAATTACACCATGCCAACAGCTGCCAGACCATCTCCCTGGAAAGCTGGCCCTGTTTTCCTGCCTGTGAAGTGTATGTCTTCTTCATGCCATGACTGCACACCAGTTTGTGGGGCAAAGTAAGTGTCTTCAGGTAGATAGTACAAAGTACAGTATATTTGTGCAGGTCTATCTGCCACAAGATAATACATTGAGCAAAGAATTTCACTGTAGAGCACACTTTAGTCCCCAGCTGTCCTCCAAAGAAGCAATAAATCTTAACAAGAAGAGAAAAAATGACTAGGAAGAAGTACAATGTGGGTGGGAGGGGTGTTTTAAAAGAATGCCTCAAGACATTATATGTCATGTTCTAGATGCTTAGGATGAATCCCTGTATATTTAGAATCCCACTCTTAGCTAGCAACACACATATTATTATCCCACTGTCACTGGAAACATTTAAGAGCAAAAGAAAAAATTCTCTGGGAATGAAGTAGTACAATAGCTCATGAGGTCTTATAATTAAAGGATATATTTGCTCAAGGGGAAAACAACCAAATCAATTTTAAAAGGCAACAGCTGAGTAAAAGCAGGTTCTTTGTCCATTAGGGGTTGTAAAAGGAAAATTATAACCTGGCACCGTCTTCAGACAGCCTTTGATGTTCAGTCATTCTGCTTGCTGTTGAGCTTCTCTGTAACAATCCACTTAGAAAAAACCCAAGAAATAAGCCTTGGTAAGCTCATAAAGTTTCAGAGTCTTCCGCAGAATTGCACTATACTTCTCAACATGACTCAGAAATATTTAACAATGTAAAACAAGAAATACTTCTGTATGAATATACAAATTTTTCAGGCTTAGAATAATCATAAAGGTAAAATATGCCCGGACAGCGTATTCTAAGTAAGAAAAAATGTATCACTGAAATGAAAACAGCAATTATATTTCACTGTTTCATCAATATATTGCTTGTATTCATCTACATCCCATTTTGTTTAAGAAAAAAAGAGTGAAGCCTGGGCACGGTGGTTCATGCCTGTAATCCCAGCACTTTGGGAGGCCGAGGCAGGCGGATCACCTGAGGTTAGGAGTTCAAGACCAGCCTGGCCAACATGGTGAAACTCCATCTCTACAAAAATACAAAAATTAGCTGGGCGTGATGGTGGGTGCCTGTAATCCCGGCTACTCAGGAGGCTGAATCAGGAGAATCGCTTGAGCCCGGGAGGCAGAGGTTGCAGTGAGCCAAGATTGCACATTGCACTCCAGCCTGGATAACAGAGCGAGACTCCGTCTCAAAAAAAAAAAAAAAAAAGAAAGAAAAAGAAAAAAAGACTGGGGAGGAGATTGAGGGCAGTGTATAAGGATGGAAAGAAAATGGCAATGTGAAATCACCAAAAATCAAAAACAAAAAAAAGGAGTAAAAGCAAAATTACAGATAGGGATGAAATGTTGGAACCTGTAATGAGGTTTGCACACAAAATAATGCAGGCCATGAAGCTGTGTCCACCTGCATGGTGGAGCCATACATTTGCCCCTATGCTTCTAGTAGCCAGCAAAAAGAGGGAAACTTAATCCCAGGGTCCATACATTTTTGTTTTATTTCGTTTTTTAATGTCCTAAAGAAGCACAACTATTCCGGGACTAAAGGGATTGTCCAAATGGATCTTTGCAGGGGAACACAGTGGGCAGTGATGAACAACATCATGACAGCATCCTGCGAGAGGGACAGCAATTATGACCAAACACCCACACGGGCCATGAGCATTCCAGCTAAGCCCAGCACAGACAGGACGGGAGCGTCACGTACATTGCCATCACACAGCGCCTAAGGCTGGCTCTGGTGCCAGACTTGGGGGAGCAAATCCCGGGTCTATCCCATACAACCCTGTGAGGCTATGAAACATCTCTGGGCTTCCCATTTCCCCTTCTAGAACGTGGGGACCCACCTCATAAGCTTGCAGTGAGGATTAAATGAGTTAATAATGGTAAAGTGCTTAGGTCAATTTCTAGCATGTGAATTATGTTAACAGTAAATTTATGTTATATCTGCCATATATATATATAATCATTTTTAAATTCTAAATGATTACCTTTTGAAGCAGATGTTGAAGAGTTTTCGAAGACTTACAAGATTATCTACCACAAAAGAGCAACATACTTTCTCCCTACCATCTATTTTTGAAATATTTAAATTAATACAATTAATACTCTAAATGACCAAAGATCCAACCTTTTCATTATGTCTTCAGTGTGTTCCAAGTTATAAAAGACAAATATTTTTACTATCTGTTGCATATGTATGGCTTTGGTATGTATATGAGGGACATATGAGAATAGGGCAGACATAAGTAAGGAAGTCTCTGTATCTTCATTCATTCATACACGAAGTATACATTTGCTGGATTATTTCTACATACCAGACATTCTCCTAGGTGGTGGGGATACAGAAAGGGACAGAATATTATTCTGTACTCCAGTCATAATTCAGTTGAGATCTCTCTGTCTCTCTCTCTCTCTACACACACAAACACACACACACACACACACACACACACACATACACACACAATACATCATATGCACTTTTTAAAAACTTCAGTATGGTCACCCCTCAATACTTTCCTTCATTCTTTTTTTTTTTTTTTTTTTTGAGACGGAGTCTTGCTCTGTTGCCCAGGCTGGAGTACAGCGGTACGATCTCCGCTCACTGCAACCTCTGCCTCCCGGGTTCAAGCGATTACCCCGTCTCAGCCTTCTGAGTAGCTGAGACTATAGGTGCGCACCACCACACCTAGCTAATTTTTGTATTTTTAGTAGAGACAGAGTTTCACCATGTTGGCCAGGCTGGTCTCGAACTCCTGACTTCAGGTGACCCGCCTGCCTCGGCCTCCCAAAGTGCTGGGATTACAGGAGTGAGCCACTGCACCAGCCGTTTCCCTTCATTCTTTAAAAGATGACAACTGGAGAGCTTTGGCAAATTTCAGCCAGTAGAAAAGCAAGTCAGAAGGCTGCGTGTCACTCATAGTCCCAGGGATAGACACTTCCTTCCTACTAGAAGGAAGTGATTGAGGAGAGCTTAATAAAGCACCTACAGCATTGACAAAGGCAGTGGCAGCAGGAGGGAAGCCTTCTGGTAATGGGGAAGCATCTCAGAGCTAAGAAGATCTGAGGACCTCTCCTACCCTGGGCTGAAGGGGAAGGAGAGGGAACAGATGCTGGATCCCAGACAGAGCTGGAGCCTTACAGTGAGTTGCCTGCCAGGAGCCAAGATCCTCCTTAGGATGAAACAGCTGGGATACTGCAGCCTATGGGCCAACAGAGGCAGCTGGGGGACCAAATGCCCCATTGTCCTTGCCCTCCTACCCCCTGAGCACCTGGGATACCTCCCCCCAGCCTGTTGCTGCTGTCCAGGAAGGTCACCAGCCTGGGTCACTGGGCACAGAACAGGCGTAAGTGGACAGATAGGAGGGAGACTATCTGGGTCACAAGAGGGCTTGGGCTGTTTAAAGTTTCAAATAATGAACAAATGTATCTTGAACTACATCACCAAATCTGAGCCAGAGGAGAGACTTGAGGTAGCAGAGAAGAGGAGGCCTTTTCAGGATGTATCTGAATAGCTCTGAAGCTCTGAAGAAAAGGTTCAGTAGGCCAGGCACCAGTGGCTCACAGCTGTAGTGCCAGCACTTTGGGAGGCCGAGGCAGGAGGATCACTTGAAGCCAGGAGTCCAAGACCAGCCTGAACAACATAGTGAGACCCTATCTCTACAAAAATAAAATAAAATCAATAGTGGGGTGTGGTGGCACGTGCCTGTGCTCCTAGCTACTGGGGTGGTTGAAGCAGGAGGATCACTTGAGCTCTGGAGTTCGAAGCTCCAGTGAGCTATGATCACGCCACTACATTCCAGCCTGGGCGACAGAGCAAGGTCCTATCTCAAAATAAAACAGAAAGAAAAGAAAAGTTACAATACATGGCCTAGAGCAGCACTACTCAAAGTGTGGTCCATGGACCAGTGCTGGTCCAGGAACTGTTTGTTACTCATTCACAATAAAACAAGGGGCCAGGGGAGGTGGCTCATGCCCATAATCCAGCACCTTGGGAGGCCGAGGCAGGCAGATCACCTGAGGTCAGAAGTTGGAGACCAGCCTGGCCAACATGGCAAAACCCCATCTGTAGTAAAAATACAAAAATTAGCCAGGTGTGGTGGCATGTGCCTGTAGTCCCAGCTACTGGGGAGGCTGAGGCAGGAAAATGGCTTGAACCCAGGAAGCAGAGGTTGCAGTGAGCCGAGATCATGCCACCGCCCTCCAGCCTGGGAGACAGAGTGAGACTCCATCTCAAAAATCAATCAATCAATCAATCAATCAATCAATCAAACAAGGACAGAAATTGAGAGTCAGCATTTAGAAAGCCTTAAAACAATTTAAAAGAGTAAGCTGATATCTGTTAAATCTGATTTTTAAATGAGGCTTATATTTTGTATGTCTTTAGGTTTTATTTCCAACTTTTCTGGACTTTGGCCTAGGCAAAGAATTCATGACTAAGACCTCATAAGCACAAGCAACAAAAACAATAATATATAAATGGGACCTAATTAAACTAAAAAGTTTCTGCACAGCAAAATAAATAATCAACAGAGTGAATAACCTGCAGAATGGGAGAAAATATCTGCAAACTCTGCATCTGACGGGACTAATATCCAGAATCTACAAGGAACTAAATTCAACAACAACAAATAAATAGCCTTATTAAAAAGTGGGCAATGGGCCGGGCACGGTAGCTCACTCCTACAATCCTAGCACTTTCAGAGGCCGAGGCAGGCAGATCACTTGAGGCCGGGAGCTCAAGACCAGCCTTGCCAACATGGTGAAACCCCGTCTGTACTAAAAATACAAAAATTAGCCAGGCGCAGTGGCGGACACCTGTAATCCCCGCTACTGGAGAGGCTGAGACACGGGAATCGCTTGAACCTGAGAGGCAGAGGTTGTAGTGAGCCGAGATCATGTCACTGCACTCCAGCTGGGCAACAGAGCAAAATCCTGTCTCAAAAAAATAAAAAATAAATAAAAATAAATAAACAGGGGCTTGTGTGAACACTATAGCCACCTGCCCTCAGAAGCAAGTAGGGGCAGCCCAAGCCAGGTGTCAGGCCCACCTGCTCTAAATACCAGGCACCTTCAGGCCCAGCCCTGCCCAGCGCCTGAGCCAAAAGACACCCAATCCTGGCAGTGCGGGTGCAATGCCTTCCCCATGAACACAGGGATTTACAAAACAGCCGTCCACACAGTCTTCCTGCCCTCGCCTCACTCCACAGCAAGGAGGCTGGACTCTGCTCTCATGTGCTTTATCTCACCTGGGCCAGGCTCTGGCTGGGCGCTCTTGCCCTCATGAGAGCTGTGCCAGCTGCTCTGCCCACCTGGGACCCTGTGCTGGAGACACCACCTGGATTTCAGCTGCCTGGGCCCACCTGGATGGCAATTTAAACTGATTCCAAAGAGGGGAGGGGTGCTGCATTTCCCGGCTCTGGGCTTCCTTGCCCCACTCACCCTCCCCATCTCTTTGGGAGCTCCCAGGATACTTGGTGTAGGAGGTGGCTCAAGGGATGGTGAGAGTCTGCCCAGCAAGGATGACTGTGAAGGGAGGGGAAAGAACTGAATGTTCCATGCTGGTTATGCTGGTTACTCTGTGATGCTGAGGAGTGATAAAGGTAAACATACAATTTTATCACTCAAAGTGCTTAAAACCTATGGAACAGAGTATGTCATGCATGGTGCGCTGAATCTGGAATTCCTAAGCCATAGAATGTTTGCATTTGTGGTTTAAGAATTAAAGAGAGAAGTGCAACAGCTCAGAAGTTTGCTCTCAAATGAGAGAGACACAGGCACATAAAGCACCCTTATCTGGAGGCTACAAGACCAAAGGGAACCTTGTGAGGAAGAGCAGCAGAAGCTGCCAGGTGGAGGAGACAAAACCTGGCCCCTCTGGTCTAGAGTGAGCTGCGCAAGTCCTGGGGAGGCAGGATGGTCACATTGTCTGTGCCCTGAGGCCGCCTGGGGACCCAGTACAACTGTACTAGACAGGCAAAGAGCTTGGTCTTGCTGGAGCCCCCCTTATGGGGAGCCCCAGACCTCCTTAGCTCACTCCCCACCCACCTCCACTCCCCTCTCTGCACACACACCCCCAGTGACTCAGCAGGCCACCACTCTGCCAAGGACACAGCATGGCACCCTCCTCAAGGCTGGCAGTGACCACCAGAAAAGAATGGTGGGTTAGGCCGGGCGCGGTGGCTCATGCCTGTAATCCCAACACTTTGGGAAGCCGAGGCAGGTGGATTGCCTGAGGTCAGGAGTTCAAGACCAGCCTGACCAACACGGTGGAACCCCGTCTCTACTAAAAATACAAAAGATTAGCTGGGCGTGGTGGCCCATACCTATAATCCTAGCTACTCAGGAGGCTTTGGCAGGAGAATCACTGGAACCTGGGAGGCGGAGGCTGCAGTGAACCGAGATCGTGCCACTGCACTCTAGCCTGGGTGACAAAGCAAGACTCTGTCTCAAAAAAAAAAAAAGAATGGTGAGTTATACTGTTATACTTAGAAAAGGTGGTTTGGTTTGGTTCTTGTTTTTTCCTAAAGTAAGGAAATGCGATGGGAGTAAAAAGTGAAAAAGAGAGAGAGGGGAATCACAGAAACAGGAATAGAGAAAAAAGAAGCATCAGGAAGGAAAGAGTGAAGGAAGACCATTTGGTGGTGCAGGAAGGCTGCAGGGTCACAGATATGAGAAGGAGCAAGGGCTCTGTGGGGGCTGGGCAGGTGCCCTGAGGACAGCAGGCAGAGAAGAGGTGCCAGGCACAGTGACTCCCCTGAGACGCCACATTTAACTCAAGCTTCCGTGAACTGTCATGAAGAATTCATGAAATTCAGTTTTTCCTTATATATGCTTGCCATTAATAGTAATAGGAAAATGGCCATGATTTAAAGCCCAAGTGTGCTTGAAATTGCAAAAGTTCCACAAGGGAAGAAGCATATAAAATAGTTTTCAAGATTAGCTAAGGAATGAAATATGCTCTTTTTTAAAAAATCAATTTCCATTTACTGAGTATTTTTCTGATTCTGTTGGCATTGAAAGATCTCTAGCAAACCAGCCTCATTCTGAGACAAAACAGTCAGAAGCTCATATCAGGGGGACGGGGTGGCAGGGGGTGAGATAGGGCATGGAGGGCATCAGGAAATAGTTCATACTGGGGAGACAGAGGACATCAGGAAAACTCCAAGGAAGCTTTTTCATTGATAACTCAGATTCTACCAGAAATCATTGTTCCTTTTATCCTCTTTCTATAGAACCCTTTTATTTTCTCCAAAGAGAAAATGGCTTTATTGATTTTCTAATTCTAAAAGTAATACATGCTCATTGTAGAAAATAAAGATGTATACGTACATACCATTGACTATTACTCAGCCATAAAAAGGAATGAATTAATAGCATTCGTAGCAACCTGGATGGGATTGGAGACTATTATTCTAAGTGAAGTAACTTAGGAATGGAAAACCAAATATCGTATGTTCTCGTTCATATGTGAGAGCTAAGCTATGAGGATGCAAAGGCATAAGAATTACTCAATGGACTTTGGGGACTTGGGTTAAAGGGTGGGAGGGGGATGAAGGATAAAAGTCTACAAATTGGGTGCAGTGTATACTGCTTGGGTGACGGGTGCACCAAAATCTGACAGATCACCCCTAAAGAACTTACTAATGTAACCAAACACCACCTGTTCCCCAAAAACCTATAGAAATAAAAATTTTAAAAAAAATACAGATAGTATAGGTAACATGGATTTAGTTCTTACAGCATGTAAGGCACTATTCTGAGAGCTTTTTCTGTATTATCTGATTAATTTCTCACAAGAACCCTCCTAGGTTGGTACTAGATTTATCCCTGGATTTCAGATGAAGATACTGACCCCGAGACATTCGTTAGACCATCCAATTACACACAGCCAGGAAGCTGTGGAGTGAGATGTTTACCTAGGTAAAAACCCAGAGCCAGCAAGCTGACATACACTGTGAGATTTACAGAAGAAAGTAAAAATCACTGATCTCCCCATCCACCGAGAAGCACTCTTAGCATGTTCAAGTATCTCTTTCCAGACTTTGTTCTTTGCTTATATAGGCACATTTTTTTTTTCCTACTAAATGTGATCATTCCATACAGTCTAGCTAGTTTACATATAGTTTTGGTCTGTTTCTTCACCATATAGCACAGACACATGTTGTGTCGATAAAGACCATTCTATGGCATCATGTGGTGCCTATTAATCCACTAACTGAGTCAGTCCCCTTTTATTGGACATGAGATTGTTTCCCACTGGATGCTATTTTTATAATGCTTTGGTGAGTATCTTGCATCAGACATTAGAGCATTTATCTCATGAATTCCTTTGGATAAATTCAGAGTAGTAGTTTCATGTCAAAGATAGAAATTTTTTTAATGCAAATATTCTGGGAAGTAACATCAGTACTGAGTTCCCAGAACTTTCGTGTGAATGTGTTTATAGATACTTCACTCCCCAGAAGACATAAGGCAGCCTAAGCTCATTAACAGGGAGAGTGAGAGGATCAATGACAACTTCTCTAGGTAATAATAATAAAATTCCATATCATAGATGATATGTAAATGTAAAGCTCTGGTTCCTCTCCCCAGCCCACAGACTGCCCTTTCCCATGTGATGCCAAACTCTGGTTTTCACCCTTCATGATGAGAAAGATCCCTCTGACGACTTTACAATGGCCTTAATCCTGGGAAGTGGCCAAATGCTGGTCATAATTGTGTGTTGACCCAAAGTTGCATCGTAAGACTCACCAAGGAGGTCACAGTGACCTCCGTTTATCATTTTATCATCTTAACTTCTATCTGTATAGACTGAGAGAACATTCCAGAAGAAAGTGTTTTGTTTCCTAGTGTTGCTGTTCCCTAGTACAGTTTTTATCTTTCTTCCTATTTCTTGGATTTATGTTGACTGCCTACAGCCTACTGAGTGTTTTGGAAGGAAACATATTTAATTCATTTTCTGTTATGTCTGTTATATTTGTGGTGCTAGTTTTATGAAAACCAACAAATGTAAATGTTAGCTTAAAATAGAGCAGAGCTGTCCATGATGATAGCAAGACATATAATTCAGTGGAATAATAAGAAAACAACAGTATTGGAATTCACATTTCCATTTAATTCCATCTTAGTGGAGGACACAGTATATTCTGGGACTTTTAAGCCCCATGGATACAAAAAGAATATGTTCACACAGCTGCTGAGCTTAAGGAGCACACGGTGGATCAGCCTTTACGGCACAGCTTAGCAAGTGCCTCTGAGTAAACAGAAACAGCTCAGAGGGAAGCAGGCAGCCAGGAAGGGTTTCCAGCAGGCAATATTTGAGTTATCTCAGAAAGAAGATAGCCAGACCAGGCAAGGTGGGAAGGAATTCCAAGAACTGTGAATAGCACCAAAATAAGGCCCAGAACCAGGGAACATCATGGAATATCCAGGGAATTACAGTTAGGTCTCTACTGACATAGCATAGGTCTTGCAGGAGAAAGTGCCTTTTAAGATGAGGCTGGCAAAAAGTCTAAGGGCTAGACTGAAGGAGCGTATGTGACATGTTAAGAAACTTGGACCTTATTCCAAAAGTAATAGAAAACCACTAAAGGATACTAATCAGGGAGAACAACACACTGAGATCTTTGTTTTGCGCTGGTAGTAATGAGAAGATTGATTGATAGGTAGACCCTTGGAAGACTGCCAACCTGATTGTTTCTAATCTTTCTCAGCTCACCACTATGGATTCTGTTCCTTTCAGGCTGATTCTAAAACAGGGTAAGCTGAGAGTAGATGCTGGGAAATCAGTTAGAAGACTGGTGGACTAATCATGGGGAGAGCTGCCATGGGTTCCACTACAATAGTGCAGTATCAAGGGGGAGGAGGAGCCAGACTCCAGAGATAATACGGCACAAGACATAATGAGTTTACTAAATGGTAAGTGGGGAGGGAGAGGGAAGTGGAGGGATATGGAAGAGACCGAGAGAGATATTGGGTAAACTGGCTCTTGGAAAGGAGCAGCCCTGATTTGTAACATTTGCTGATTTCCATAGTGTAAATGCTCCCACCATGGCCAATATGAAGCTACTGAGCTGATGTGCCACTTCTAGTCTTGCCCACACAAACCTCCCACACAGAATCTTCCATGCTCTTTCCTCATTCGGGCTGGTTAGAATAAAGATGACCCACGGGGCAACATTGGGAACCCATGTGTTGAAAATGGCAGACCCAATTATGGAAGGAGTTTACGTCTTTGAACCACTGTTTGGAGGGGAACTGCTTAACCAGGATCAGCTGTGTTTGGACATGATGAGAAATATACCTTCATTGTATTTAGCCACAGTATTAATCAGCGTTCTCCAGAGAAACAGAACCAATTGAATGTGTGTATATATACATATATACAGAGAAAGAGAGAGAGACTTTTTTTTTTAATAGAGGCAGGGTCTTACTCTGTCACCCAGGCTGGAGTTCACTGGTGCTATCATAGCTCACTACAGCCTCCAACTCCTGGGCTCAAGCAGTCCTCCCACCTTAGCCTCCTGAGTTGCTAGGACTACAAGTGTGTGCCACCATGCCTGGCTAATTATTTTATTTTTTTATAGAGAGGGGCTTTCACAGTGTTGCCCAGGCTGATCTTGAACTCCTGGCCTCAAGCAATCCTCCCACCTTGGCCTCCCAAAGTGCTGAGATTATAGACATGAGACACTGCACCCAGAATGAGTTTTTCATGTATTAAAAGAAAACACCTGATTTCCAGATTCTTCCTAATGTATAAATTACTTCAAAGCACCCCAAATTAACACTTTGAAGTTACTAAAGGACCATAAAGGATAATATTCTATCCCTAGTAGCCCAGAGGATTTTATTGGCACCTGTTTTTCTACCCACTAATGAATTGTTTGACTTCAAGGGCTGTGCCTCATGATGATGTTCATTAATAACACATTTATTGGCTCATGCCTGTAAACCCAGCACTTTGGGAGGCTGAGGTGGGTGGATCACGAGGTCAAGAAATCAAGATCATCCTGATCAACATGGTGAAACCCCATCACACTAAAAATACAAAAAAATTAGCTGGGTGTGGTGGTCCGTGCCTGTAGTCCCAGCTACTCGGGAGGCTGAGGCAGGAGAATCACTTGAACCTGGGAGGCAGAGGTTGCAGTCAGCCGAGATTGCGCCACTGCACTCCAGCCTGGTGACAGAGTGAGACTCCATCTCAAAAAAAACAAAAACAAAAACAAAAAAACACCATTTATTAATAGCAAAATTGTTCTAAATATAATCTTCTGTATTTTCTAATTTTGTTATAGCTATAAAATACTCTTAAAATGTTGCAGAGAGACTCAAGTGTCATAAATGGAACGAACCGTAATTAATTACAGAGCTAAAACTCTTCCACCCTCACCCAGAGATTTGGTCTCACAGCAATATGTTTCCATTACTACTATACCCTGGGAAAGTTCAGGCTGATGCTGAGTCATCCTTGGTTCATTCTACATTAACTCAGCAAATATTTATTAAACAACTATTGTATGCTAAACACTGTGCAAGATGTTGGAAGCAAAACATCATGTAGTGAACAGAACACAGTGAACAAAACAAGACATAGTCCCTGGCCTCCTGAAGCTTATAGTCTACACAATTCCTCAGGAATCCAGAAAGACTGGGTCAAAACCAAGAGCCATCCACCTTCTGGATTGGGCTGTGTCCACCCGGGGAACCAGCTGAGTCACCCTCCTTAGTGACCTCATCAGCCAACCATCTGTAGAGCCAAGTTAATCTCCAAAGTCCTCAAGCCCCAAAAGTATCAGAAACTAGCCCAGGCTTCCCTCCACATCTGAGTCAGCTACAAAGAATGTTTTGGATTCACCCACCAAAGTCTCATAAAAGTTGAAGGGAATCAGGAAAAAAAAAAAAAAAAAGATTCTAGAATGCAACTACATACTGAATTCACTCTCAGATGATTGGATCCTGTATTTGCATCTGGCTCCTGGGGAGTTCACTGTCTGTGATGAATTCATGAAAAATTAGAAAGGTAGAGTAATGGGGCATTTCTCCTGTGACCTATTAATATTTTTCCTTAAAATTTATAATGCAGTTTCCCCTATTACATTTAACCTTGGAGCTTTAGAAACAATTTCTGAATTTTCTATTTTTTGCATTTTAAATAACATTTTCATAGTATTTGCCTGTGTTAACACCTGCAGGGGGTTTCAGGGTCTCAATCTAGGCTTCCTTTCCTTATTTGTTTATTTATTTATTTAGAGATGGGGTCTCACTGAGTTGCCCAGGCTGGATTTAACTCCTGTGCTCAAGTGATCCTCGTGCCTCTGCCTCCTGAGTGGTTGGGGCTGCAGGTATGAACCACTATGTCCATCTGGACTCTCTTTCTTCTGTCTTAGTTTGGGCCCTCTCTAAAGCCCTGAGGCAAAGACTTGAGTAGAGGTAGTTTATTTAAGAGTTGACCTCAAGAAGCACAAACTGGGAAGAGAGGAACATAAGGGAGGGAGAAAAGCCAAAAATCAATGTGTTAATGAGTAGGCTGCCACCAGAGCAACCCAACCACGGCTCCATCCTACCAGGGACACTCTGAGGAATTATGTAGAAGGCACTTTAGAACTGGCCCATTGAGAGGCAGGGAAATGCGGTATTTTCCCACCAACTATCATCCCTCTTGGGATGAGGATTGCCCCTTGGGGCATTAAGTGCTGGGCTTGCAGGCTGCTCTAGACACAGCTTTTAGAAGCCTCTGTAAATCTAGAAAGAGCCTTCAGGCAGGAAGCAAAGTCAGATGCAGGCCCTTGAGATGGGACAAGGGAACAGGTGTGGGAACTATCCATCCCAGCTGCCACTCAGAGGGGGACCAGGGAGCTGTGGACATCACAGCCTTTGCCTCTACGAGGCCCAAAGGACCATCTCAGCAGCTCTGCTCCTGCAGCCACATCTGCTGTCTCCAGGCCTCACTCCCCCGCAGCCCTGCAGAGCAGGGGCAACGTCACCTTCTCTCCTCACACCTCCATCCTCTGAAGCCAACACTCAGTCCTTTTCAGGGCTTGATGTTGGGGGTGAGGGATTGTCTTTGTTTATTTTTACTACTAACAGGTTTAAATAACAAAATAATACTCTTGGAAACATTACACATTGCATACAAGCCTCAAAATTCTTCAGATAATTTTGTTGTTGTTCCCTGGAACACAATGAGTCAGGCTTGCTCTGCGGGGGCTGAAGTCATGGACCATAGGAACTCCCTCCGCACCCACCTCCTCATGTTTTTCTCTATACCTCACCCTGGGGAGGGAGCTGGAAGGTGAACATAGGGAGCCCATAGAATAGAACTCTGGAGTTTGGATTCTGGAGGAAGTCCAGAGTGTATATGTAGATCCCACCACTACACCTTCCGATCTCACGGGAGAGATCTCCAAAGCCCATGCCCTACCAGGAATCCAGGCAGAACAAAGCTTCCTAGATTCCAAAGATTCTCCTTTTAAAAACTGGACATCTACATGCTTTAAATGTAAAAATGAACTCATTATATCTGGCCAGATGATACAAAAGCTTCCTGAAAGACATCGTGTTCTCATTCTATAGCCTGAAACTACTGCATAATGTATAATTAAATGAACTTGAACAACCCCGGAAAGTATGATGCCTCTAGTGAATCACAGAACTGTCCTACATTTACCACGTTTTAAGGGGAAACTGTCCTTTAAGATCAAGTCTGTGGACCAGGCACGGTGACTCATGCCTGTAATCCCAGCACTTTGGGAGGCCGAGATGGGTGGATCACAAGGTCAGGAGTTCGAGACCAGCCTGGCCAACATGGTGAAACCCTGTCTCTACTAAAAAAAAAAAAAAAAAAAAAAAAAAAAAATTTAGCCAGGCATGGTGGTGGGCACCTGTAATCCCAGCTATTTGGGAGGCTGAGGTAAGGCAATCACTTGAACCTGGGAGACGGAGGTTGCAGTGAGCTGATATCACGCCACTGCACTCCAGCTTGGGTGACAGAGTGAGACTCTGTCTCAAAAAAAAAAAAAAAAAAAAAAAAAAAAGATCAAGTCCAGAAGGTAATGTTTTTATTTGTCAAACTTATTGGCCAAAAAAATAACAATGAAAAACACCAACTAGTCTAAAAGAAAACAAGACCCTCACAACAGCATAAGCTGTCAAATTGACAACAGCACATCAAAATCAAATTTCAGTTCTTAGCAGGTGAAGTGATTTTGTAGTAACAAATTTATGATCTGCATTTTATTTCTCAACCATGCCTCAAAATTCCCACTTCTCTCCCTCTAAGGTCTTAATGTTACTATTAATTATGAAATCTAACCTCTCAGTGACATTCTCATGGTTAATTCCAGCAAAAGGAAGAAAACACAGATCTTACCAATGGGGCAAAAAATAGGAATCTTACAAGACACAACATGCTTGTTAAAACATGTCATGCTCCAACACAGAAGAGGAAAGAAATGTCTTCAGTCTGACATAACTGATCATGCTTTTCCTGCTCCTAGACTTTCTTAGAATATTTTCTACAGTATTATAGGTAGTGTTTTCTAGAGGCACAAATGTGATCAGTCTGTTCTTTTTAATGAGAGTTTATTAAAGTTCACTTTATTTTATTAAATAAAAAATACGACTGCTCTAAAGAAGTTTTAAATGAAGCAATTAACTCATTTAGAACTCATAATAATCTTATGAGGGATGCACAATTATCTCATTTTATAAATGAGGAAACTGAGGCAGGGAGCAGAAAAATATATTTGTTAAGGCCACACAGCAAGTGAGCAGAGCAATCAGGACAAACTGGCCAGGCTGACTCCAGAACCCACATTCTCAGCAGCCTCGCAGAGCAGAGCGGGTGGGTGGACACAGGCCTTATGCATATGCATGCCATGACTCACGTTTGTCAGCAACCAGCAAAGTACTGAACTGTTCCTATGTTGATGTTTTCTTAATTGTCTTAATTAGGGAATTTTTCAGTACATCAAAAGGAGGCTTTTAAAGTAGGTTTAAAAAAAAAGTTCTAAAGAAAAAAGAACAAGCCAGCAGACATGGGTAAGTTCAGTATGGGTCATTTTGAAGGATTAAAATTCCCTGTTACCTATAAAAACCCTCAGTTAAATAAGCGATATAGGCCAGTCACGGTGGCTTACGCCTGTAATCTTAGTACTTTGGGAGGCCTAGGTGGGCGGATTGCCTGAGCTCAGTAATTCAAGACCAGCCTGGGCAACATGGTGAAACCCTGTCTCTACTTAAAATACAAAAAGTTAGCCAGGCATGGTGGCACATGCCTGTAGTCCCAGCTACTTGGGAGGCTGACGCACCAGAATCACTTGAGCGTGGGAGGCAGAGGTTGCAGTAAGCCGAGATTGCACCACTGCACTTCAGCCTGAGCAATAGAGTGAGACCCTGTCTAAAAAAAAAAAAATCGATATGGTAGGTAATTCTTGGTTAGTATTGTCAGAAGCTACTGAATGAATGCTAGTGGTTAGGTATCAGAGGGATAAGACTAACTTATAGTTGAAAGGAGGCTTATTAGAGTCTTTTGAACCATGAAGGCTCTCTGTGAATTCCTGCAGACACAAATTAATGGTGAAAATATTCTCAGGAGAGGTCTAATTTAGCACAACACATGGACTAAAGAGGTTGAAAGCCCTTCTGTCACAAAACTGCCCAATCGAAATGAAAAGAACACATTCATTCTAAGAAATCTCAGTATCATTCCATTTCTATGCTATGGGATGCATTTACCTTTTTCTTTCTTTCAAGTAGTATTTTTTATATGAACTGTACTCTATGCTTAACTGTTCCCAGCAAAAAGAATAGTATAAACATTAATATTAGTATTAGCATTAGTTTTAGTATTAGTATCAACATAACAAACTCAGTTATGAAAATGTTCTAATAATAGCTACAGTCTTCTTCCTGCTGTTTACGTTACCATCTGCACACAAGCACACAAGCATGTTGCTATCTCTATCATAAACAAAGAAATCTCTTTACCTGGCTTTTCAATGATTCTCCTCCATTTCTTTTTGCCCCATTGAGCAGAACTCTTAAAATTGATTTCTGTATTAGGTACTTCAATTCCTCTCACATTCTCTCTTAATTTCCCTACAGTTAACTTTTCAATGCTCTCTTATCAAAGTCACCAGTGATCTCCACACTGGCAAATCCAATGGTCATTTGCTGCTCAGTTATCAGTGTTTTGCTATTTGGCTTATCAATGGCATTTGACACAGTTATTTTCTCCCTCCTTTTTTTTTTTCTTGAAACACTCTCTTTCCATGAATCCTTTTTTTTTTAACAGTTTTATTGAGATACAATTCACATACCATACTGTTCACCCATCTAAAGTGTACATGCCAATGGTCTTCGGCATATTCACAGAGTTGTCCAACCATCATCATCATCAATTTTAGAACATTTTCATCACCCTCTCTCCAAAAACATACCTATTATTAGTCACGCCCCAATTTCCTCCAAAACCCCTAGCCCTAGACAACCACTAAGCTACTTTTCTCTCTATAGATTTGCCTATCAGGACATTCCATATAAATGGAATCATATAAGATAGTCTTTTATTTCCAGCTTCTTTCACTTTCCCTGATGTTTTCAAGACCTTAAAAAATCATGCCAAGTTAAAGAAGCCAGTCACAAAAAGACAAATACTATATGATTCCACTTATATGAGCTTCCTAGAGTTGTCAATTCACAGTAAGAGAAGTAGAATGTTGGCTGCGAGCGGCAGGAGAAAGGGGAATGGGGAGTTGCTGTTTAATGGGAACAGAGTTTCAGTTTTGCAAGATGAAAAGGGTTCTAGAGATGGATGACGGCGATGGTTGCACAATGATGCCAATGTACATAATGCCACTGAACCATATACTTAAAAATGGTTAGGATGACAAATTTTATGTTGTGTCTCTTTTACCACAATTAAAAATAATAATAAAAATATCTTTGCCAATGAAACTATTTACAATTATTTTTTAATCTCATTTAATAGACAGGGATGGGCATCTATCTGCATGCTGCCAGGCACTGTTCCGGGCTTTGTTTTTGTTTTCGTTTTGAGATGGAGTCTCTCTCTGTTGCCCAGGCTGGAGTGCAGTGGCGCGATCTTGGCTCACTGCAACCTCCACCTCCCAGGTTCAAGCAATTCTCCTGCCTCAGCCTCCCAAGTAGCTGGGATTACACGCATCCGCCACCACACCCGGCTAATTTTTGTATTTGTAGTAGAGATGGGGTTTCACCATGTTGATCAGGCTGGTCTCAAACTCCTGACTTCAAGTGATCCACCCACCTCGGCGTCCCAAAGTGCTGGGATTACAGGCATGAGCCACTGTGCCTGGCCTATTCTGGGTTTAAGGGAAGCAAATGTTAATGTAACAGGTTTAACAATGATGAGGGGATTAAAACTGAAGTTTGTTTTTTTTTTACAATAATTATTATATCAGAAATCCCCATAGAAACAGTGATCTAAGCTCATGTTCCCATTCCAGTTAAAAGTGTAGCTCACCTGCCCCAGATCCAAGGTGAGGTTGACTCTGTTGTACTGTGTGCCTGAGGACAGGGGAGGGCTTTGCCACCAACGTTCAGATCCATCGATGGCATTGGTGACAGGATGTGCTTTCCTGGGGTCTTCAGAATTGCAATAGTCACAGAACTGGCCCTGAAAAAAAAAAAGTGGGTTTTTTTTGTTTTTTGTTTTTTATTTTTTTACTTTCAAGTAATTTTTTCTTATCCATATAGCAAATACAGGGAACCAAACAAAGACTATCTTATACAGCTTAGAGAAGTCAGCTGTTAAAATTCACTGGAATGTATTCTGAAACAGTAGTAAGGCTTTCTCTTTTTCATTTATCTTAAACCTTATCACCGATTTATGCCTCTGATTATGGTGTTTTTAGGATATGGGGTCTATTTATCTTCCATCTTTACAGCTATGTTTTTGTTTCATACAACACTTCAAGAAGAGCCTGTTGTATTTGGGATGAAAAGAGGTTTTCACTTCAACAAATCCACTTCACTCATTAAGTCATCCTCTGTGCAATTCTGTGTGCGGCACTGGGGTACAAAAAAGATCCCTCCCCACAGTCCCAGTGGTGCATCAAGGATCCAAACAACCATCAGGGAAGGGGTGTACAGCAAGTGCCTCCATGGAGTAGATGGCTGTGGCCAATGGCGGTAGATATTCCATGGTGAAAGAGAAGGCATGTCCAGTGCCTGGGAGGACGGATAGGACTTTGGTAAGTGGCAGTGAGCACAAACAGGGAAAGCATTCCAGGTAGAGGAACCAGCACGAGCAAGGGCACAGGGGCCGGCTGGTCTTGTTTCACCTTTGAGGGCAAGCATTGAGAGACAAGGCTTGCCAGGTACATGGAGAGATGTGGCTGGCTGTGAATACCAGCACTGAGAAGTCAGTATTAATTCAGTAAGTAAATGGGGATCCATTTTTACCTGTGGTGATAATCTGTTTGGTATTATAATCTCTAACTTCTTATTGAATTACTCTTTCTTACTAGGCAGATTCTTTTGATTCTGGTTTTTGTTTTGGTTTGGTTTTTGCATAGTTTTGCAGCCATTTACTATCTAAAACCTGAACATAGGCCTTTCTTCTATGTCGAATGTATTTTAAGTGGGTCAGAGGATCATGCTTCCCAGGGATGGACTTCACATACTGAACTATCTGCTCCCAAACTAAATGCTCTTAGGGTATAACCATCACATAGGAGGGGGACAAAGAGGCAAACTTATACCCACAGCCTCCCAAGGAATGTGCTGTGACAAAGAGGTAGCTCTGCCCCTAGCCAGCATCTTAGAAGTTAATTCTTAAGTGTTCAGAGAGAAATTTGATCCTGGTATGTAACCAAAGGTGTGACCACATGTTTTCATCTAGTATGCAACTCATGGTTCTTTCATGCATGGTGAGGTATCTGTGTAGATCTTTATCTTTCGACATTATACAAAAATGGTTCTATAACTCAGAAGCAGTGCCTTGGGTGTATGTGGCCCCGCCACTTCCTGAGGTCGGAGGCCATATGTTTCCTGCTCTTCCCTCTATCACTTCAACCCAACACACTGCCTTGCACCCCCTAGAAACTCAACCAAGGAATAATTCCATCAGCCATTTCTCAAAAATGTTGATTCTTTCTATAAAATGCATTGTCATAATATGGTGCTTAATGAATAACTTTTTTTTTTTTTTTTTTGAGACGGAGTTTTACTCTTGTTGCCCAGGCTGGAGTGCAATGGCATGATCTCAGCTCACCGCAACCTCCGCCCCCAGGTTCAAGCGATTCTCCTGCCTCAGCCTCCCGAGTAGCTGGGATTACAGGCATGCACCACCACGCCCGGCTAATTTTGTACTTTTATTAGAGACGGGGTTTCTCCATGTTGGTCAGTCTGGTCTTGAACTCCTGACCTCAGGTGATCCGCCTGCCTCGGCCTCCCAAAGTGCTGGGATTACAGGCATTAGCCACCGCACCCAGCTATGAATAACTTTTAAGCTAGGACATCTAAACACTTACTATCAGTATTTTCCCTTCTATGATCTTTATTTCTCCCTAGAGAACATTTTACCAGAACATTTAGTTATTTGATGAGGGAATTTAATTATTATTCCTCAAAGTTTAGAAGATTTACATCTGGCTAGAAGCAAAATCTCTCCCCAAAATGGGAATGCTTATGATTTACATTTATCTCCATCTCCACATTATTGATGTGAGGAATGCAGAAGGTGCTTTCTAGGTTGTTAGAGTGATTCTCAATTTCAAAGTAATAATAATAATTAAGATGAAGATTTGTAGAGCACCTATTATGCACTGGGCACCACCCAGTTTATATTTTCATACTAAGATTATTATTATCACCTCTATTTTACAGATGAGGAAAGAGAGTGGAATGTTAAGTAATTTTCCCAAGAACCACACCACTGGTCAATGGTAGAATCAGGACCTAAGTCCAGAGTCCAGGGATAACAAGTTAACACTACCCTGTAACTCTCTAACAGCTACAACTCTGGTTTATTATACATCCATGCATAATCACTAACATACGTTATTTCCTGTAATTTGTTTTAAATGGTAGCCTTCACAGTAGCCTGAAGGTCTCTTTCATTTAGAATCATCTTAGCCTTTCTGCTGATATAGCAGTCCCTCTGCAGCTCCTGTCCATGTCATTCAGCAGACTAGGTAAGAACACAGGCTCAGGAGCTTTAGCACTCACGTTAGCCCTTGATCTCACAATTAGTAGGCACTAAAAACTATATATATCAAATATATATTTCAAGTCTGAGCAATAAATAATTTGAAAGCACATATTTAAAAAATAAGTGTATAGGCAAGACAGCATCACAGGTGTCAACACTGACATTTGGAAGTCTGACTGATATAATAGATACATAAGTTAAAGGTGAATTCCAAGGAGCGAGCTTTGCCCAGGTAATAAAAATGAGTCAAACTTTCTGTTTATTTCTAAGGACTATTGGAAAAAACCTTGACAGACAGCAAAGAATCTACAAAAACAACTTGTCAAACCAGTAATGCCCTAGATGATGGTTTTTCTGGATTAACTTTGTATTAGCCAAGTTTAGGTGATAAATTTTTTGCCATATAAAATAATTTCTAACAAAGAGTCCACAAGCTTAAGTTAAACATTAACAAGCAAAAGTGTAACATACACTTTCTGTTTGAAAAATAAAAAGATCAGTGTAAACATTGACTTTAAAAAGAAAGAAAAATTTATTCTAAAAATTTAATAATGTATTTAAAAATTAATAATTAGAAAGTTTGGCTTCTTTAAGTTACTCTTAAACGGTCAGGGTGAAAATTTTTTATTCAAATCGTTTTATTAAAGTATTCCTTGTCCTTTCTTTCATTTGTTTTACTCCTGAACTTTCAGTAATTTTTACCTTACATCTCAATGTCATATTTACTGCAAATCAACCTATATGAAGAATCAAAAAGAATTTAGTAGTGCCCTAAAGGAAATCAGACTGTGGATCTAGAAGTGAAAAAAAAAATCAGAAGAATGACTTTCTTAAGTGTTAAAACTCTTTGCAGCCTTCTTAATCATTTTTCTTGAGCTCTTCATGGAGAATTAAGTCGACGTGGACATGCTACCTAGATAAGTAGACTTGCGGTTGAAGAACTTTCTCAGGGAGGCCAAGGTTATGACTAATCCTGCAAGTAAAGCCTTGGCACCAAGCAACAAGGTTTTGAGAGAAGATAACCTCGTGGGGCTTTTTAAAAGGGCAATACCTGACAATACTTTTGAAAATCAAACTTGCGGTCTTTTCACAAGATGGCGCCGAAGGCGAAGAAGGAAGCTCCTGTCCCTCCTAAAGCTGAAGCCAAAACGAAGGTTTTGAAGGCCAAGAAGGCAGTGTTTAAAGGTGTCCACAGCCACACAAAAAAAGATCTGCACGTCACCCACCTTCCGGCGGCCCACGACACGGCGACTCCAGAGGCAGCCCAAATATCCTCGGCAGAGCGCCCCCAGGAGAACAAGCTTGACCACTATGCTATCATCAAGTTTCTGCTGACCACTGAGTCCGCCATGAAGAAGATAGAAGACAGCAACACACTTGTGTTCGTTGTGGATGTTAAAGCCAACAAACACCAAATCAAACAGGCTGTGAAGAAGCTCTATGACATTGATGTGGCCAAAGTCAACACCCTGATTAGGCCTGATGGAGAGAAGAAGGCATATGTTCAACTGGCTCCTGATTACAATGCTTTGGATGTTGCCAACAAAATTGGGATCATCTAAACTGAGTCTGGCTGGCTAATTCACCAGAAAAAAAGAAAGAAAGAAAGAAAAGACAATCAAACTTGTGGAGCAGAAGAGAAAAGAATCCATGGGACTTCTCAGATGGAAGATCATTGAGGAGGCTCTTTCCTTCCCATGAGTATCACTGGGACAGGCCACTTTATTTTTTCTGTAGCCATATCTTCCAACAGACGCTTATACCAACTTTACTGCTTCATGGTCATACACAAAATAAAAGGTCTTATATATTTATAAGTCTCTGCTATTTCTGACTCAACCTGGTGTTTTCCACAAGAATTGAAAGTAAAAAATGGGCAAGAGACAAGAACAAGAAGGATTTTTTTAAAGGCAGGAGAAAAAAACAGATGTATAACATTTGGAATAAACGAAATAAAACTGTTATTATTTATTTAAAGATAAAATTATTTACATTAAAACTCCACATGAGGCTGGGCACAGTGGCTCACGCCTGTAATCCCTACACTTTGGGAGGCCAAGATGGGCAGATTGCTTGAGCCCAGGAGTTCGAGAGCAGCCTCGGCAACATGGAGAAACCCCGTCTCTACTAAAAATACAAAAATAATAGCTGGGTGTGGTGGTGCCTGCCTGTAGTCCCAGCTACTTGGGAGGCTGAGTTGGGAGGATCGCTTGAGTCCAGGAGGCTGAGGTTGCAGTGAGCCAAGATCATACCACTGGACTCCAGTCTGGGCAACAGAGCAAGACCCTGTCTCAAAAAAAAAGAAAAAAGAAAAAACCTCCAAATGAAGCCAGGCACAGTGGCTTACACCTGTAATCCCAGCACTTTGGGAGGCTGAGGCAGGAGGATCACTTGAGGCCAGGAGTTTGAAACCAGCCTGGGCAACATAGCAAGAAAAACATTTTTTTTTTTTTTTAATTAGCCAGGTGTGGTGGTATGTGTTTGCAGTCCCAGCTACTTGGGAGACTGGGATGGATTGCTTGAGCCCAGGAGCTTGAGGCTGTAGTATAGTGAGCTATGATCACACAATTGCACTCCAGCCTGGGCAACAGGGTGAGAACTTGACTCTGAAAAAAATAAAAATAAAAAATAAAAAAAGAAAATAAAGACCCAAATGTATCTGCTAAAGAGAATTTTAGAAATACTGGGAGATTTTTAGCAAGGTAGCTGGATGTGACATTAAAATAAAAAAGTCATTGCATCTCTGTAGAGTAGCAGCAAACAACTAGAAAATTTAATTAAAGAGAAAATGCCATTTATAATAGTCTCAGAGAACATCAAGTATCTCAAAAGAAATTTGACAAATAAAAATTTTAAACAGTATTAACAGAATTTTGAAAATCTACATAAATGGAGAGTTAGCTAGAAGATAATATCAAAAACTTACCAATTCTCCCCAAATTAAGCTATAGAGACAATATTATGCCAGTGAAAACCTGAATAAGGACTTTCTTAAAGTACAGTAAGATAATTCTAAAATTTATATGAAACTTTAAAGGACCAAGATATTGCTGAAGAAGAAGACCGGGAGGAGGAAACTTGCCCTTCAAGGAATCGGGGCTTATTATGAAGCTATTGTAATTAAGGAAAGGCAAAATGAGACAAACAGACCTATCGGACAGAACAGGCAGCCCATGCATTTAAGAAGCTTTAGTATATAACATAGGTGGTATGTCAGACCGCTGGGAAAGGAAGGAATATTCTAGATCCAGGGGGAAATAATAAAATCAGAGTTCTACTCAAGTCGCAAATGCAATTCAACTTCAGATGAAGTAAGGACTTATATGTGAAAAATAAAACTTCAAACTCTCATAGTAGAAAAAAAGGTGTCTACCTTTTAGAACTGAGAGCAAGGAAAGGTTTCTTAACCAAAGATACAAAAAGCGTTGACTACAAAAGAAGAGATGGATAAATCTGACTATGTTAAAATTAAGAATTTTGCTTCCTTTAGCTGGGCATGGTGGCACATGCCTGTAACTGAGACACGGGAATTGCTTGAGCCTGGGAGGTGAAGGTTGCAGTGAGCTGAAATTGCACCACTGCGCTCCATCCTGGGCGACAGAGCAAGACTCTGTCTCAAAAAAAAAAAAAAAGAATTTTGTTTCCTTGAGCCCAGGGAGTTGGTGACAGCCTGAGCAACATAGTGAAACCTTGTCTCTACGAAAAATAAATAAATAAATAAATAAAATATGTATAAAGAAGTTTGCTTCATCAAAGACACCTTTAAAAAGTGAAAAGTTAAAACTAGAAGATATTTACAATGCAAAAGTGATAAATAGTCTCCAATGATGACTGCCATCAATTCCTTCTCTCTCTCTCTGTGCCTGCCATTTCACCCATCAAAAGGTGGATGCTGTTTGCCCTGGAGGCTAGTCTCTGCTCTTGAATCCAGACTGACTTGATTGTTTGCTTTGTTATAGCAGATGTGTCATTCTGGGACATTCAAGCTTAGGCCTTAAAAGGGCTAGAAGATTCTGCTTCCTTCCTCTTGGAAGCCAGCAGGCAAGAAGTCCAACCACCCAGAATCACCATTCTGTGAGAAAGTCCAAAATAGCCAACTGGAGAGGACAAATGGGAGAGCACCAAGCTACCTTGTATGTTAGCGAGGCCTTCTTAGGCCATCCAGTCCATCCTAGCCACCAGCTGAATGCAACTAAGTGAGTTACCCCAACTGACAACCCATGGAGCAGAAGAATCAACCAGCTGAACCCAGTCAACCCACAGAATTGTGAGAGAAAAAACTGTTTTTGTTTTTGTTTTTTTTGAGACGGAGTTTCACTCTTGTTGCCCAGGCTGGAGTGCAATGGTGCGATCTTGGCTCACTGCAACCTCTGCCTCCAGGGTTTAAGTGATTCTCCTGCCTCAGCCTCCTGAGTAGCTGGGATTACAGGCATGTGCCACCACGTCCAGCTAATTTTGTATTTTTAGTAGAGACGGGGTTTCTCCATGTTGGTCAGGCTGGTCTCGAACTCCTGACCTCAGGTGATCCGCCCACCTTGGCCTCCCAAAGTGCTGGGATTACAGGTGTGAGCCACCGCACCTGGCCAAAACTGTTGTTGTTTTAAGCCCCTAAGTTTTGGGGGTAGTTTATTACACAAGAATCAATAACTGATCAAAGAACTTAAAATCAACGAAGAACTCTCAACAGAAATACATACCAAATTCCTAACAATCCTACAAATCAATAAGAAAAATATAAATAGTTCAATGGGAAAACGGGCAAAAGTAGGCATTTCACAGAAGAGGAAACACATATAAACACAATAAACATAATAAGCATTTCAAGAAATGTTCACCATCACCATCATTAGTGATCAAGGCAGACCACAATGCAATATTATTTTATACGTATTCAGTAGACCCAAGTTTAAAGTTTGATGATAACCAGAGTTAGAAAAGACATAGTAGGAGTATAAATTGGTACAAAAACTTTGGAAACTGTTTTAGTATTACCACCTAAAGTTGAAATTCACATTTCCTATGATACGGCATTCTACTCTCAAACTCATAAACCAAAAAGAAACTCTTGCACAAATTTGATGGTATTATATTCAACACTATTCACAGCAGCACTGTTCATAAGAGCAAAATCCTGGGAATAACCTAATTGCCCAGCCACAGGAGGGTGGATGAACTAACAGTGGTATATTCACACAATTAATAACTATATAAGCAATAATGAGTAAATGAATATATACAATGAAACAATATGGATGAAACAATATTGATGAATCTCAGCAATATAATATTAAGTGAAAAAAGCATGATATACTTTTTATAAAGTTATGAGCAAGCAAAATAAAAAGCACCTACTTTTTCGAAATACGTACAGATGTAATAAAAACTATACTAAAAAAGCAAAGTATTAATAAAAGATTTGGGATGATTATTTCCCCAGAATGTAAGAGACAGAGGGAATGGGGGTGGGCAGACCATACATTTAGACATAAATTATTATCCAAGCTCTATGTTTGGTTTTGGTAGCAAGTTCATGAATGCTTATTACTATTTAAAATACATATATAGGCCAGGCACAGTAGCTCACACCTGTAATCCTAGCACTTTGGGAGGCCAAGGTGGGAGGATTGCTTGAGCTCAGGAGTTCAAGACCAGCCTGGGCAACATGGTGAAACCCCGTCTCTACAAAAAATACAAAAATTAGCTGGGCATGGTGGCATGCATCCCAGCTACTTGGGAAGCTGAGGTGGAAGGATTACCTGAGCCTGGGAAGTCGAGGCTGCAGTGAGCCATGATTGCATCACTGCACTACAGCCTGGGTGATGGAGTGAGACCCTGTCTCAAATATATGTGTATGTGTGTGTGCATATGTGTGTATGTGTATATATATATGCATATATGTCTGTGTGTGTGTGTGTGTGTGTGTGTGTGTGTATGTCATGATAATACATTCCCGAGCTGGGTCTCTTCCCATACATCTGGTAGTGGGCAGATGTATGCAATATATATTTGTGTATATAAATATCTCATAAACTGAGTGTTATGACTAATCCATAATCTAACTCCGTGCCTGATGTCCGATATTTTAAAAACACCCATAAATAAATAAAGCAGGGCAAAAACTGATAGAAGTCAGAGAAGAAAAGGAACAGAGAACTCCCATGTTCAATTATTCATCCATCCATGCAACAAACCTATGATGATCATCTACTCTGTACCAAATGCCATTCTAGACAGAGAGATGAGAACACTGAAAGATAAACAGAACAAGGGACTCACACTTGGAATTGCACCAAGGCTATTATATTATTAGCCTATTCAGATGGGAAACAGAAAATGTAATGGAAGGGGCTATGAAGAAAGGAGATAGGACTGTTCCCATAAACAACTAAGCAGAGTTGAGCTCCAAATTTGGCAGTCTCCAGAGAATAAACCAGAAGCCCACAGAATGACCTACCCTTTTTCAGAAGGATGGAAAAAAGTAGTCTCTCCTAGTTCCTAACATTTTTTATGATCTTTCTTAACTAAAAAGCCTTTAGAATTCACAATGTAAATACTATATTCCTCCAAGAAGCTAGAGGATGATTATAGCAGTGCTCCCTAACGTAGTTTCTGGGGGTTTTTGTTTGAACATTCATTCATTTATTCAACTTATCCAAATTACCTACCATGGGTAGAGCACTATGTTAGATACTGTGGTAAAAACAAACAAACAAACACTAAGAGCTGGATCTGTCCCTAAAGAAAGTTAGTGGGAGACAAGAGAAGTAACTCAACCACTGCACATTACCAAAAGATGCTGGGGCAAGCTAGCACTGGGGTGTGGGAGCCCAGCAAAGGAACACTGTGCTTTACTTTGCTTAATCTCCAGAACACTGTGAACTTTATATCAAAGTATTCAAAACTTAAAGATGAAGAAACAGCTCAGAGAGGTGAAGTGCTTCATCTCAAACCACACAGCTAGGTCGTGCTGGGGCCAGGAACTGCGTGTGTGCCTGATAATGTTACTTATGGCCTGGAACACTTTCCTCCTGGCCAAGCTGCTCTTGTGAGCTACATCAAAAGGTGCTGTCTTAGATTTGGACGGTGTGAAACAGCCCTGGAATGACAATTATATGACTCTATATACACCTGCCCACTATCAGATGTATGGGAAGAGACCCAGCTGGGGAGAGAAATCTGTCTGGCAGAGGTTCAGATGCACGCCCTTGTGGCAGGCACAAAAAGCCCGGCAAGATAAGCATTTAACCAACGTTCATCCATCAACAGCCCCACTACAAATTACCACATTCATGTTTCCACGAACCTCTGCTCCTATAGCCATCACTCACTAAGGTTCCGGAGGCCATGGTGTCTCAAGTGCCCAAACCCAAGCCAGCTGGAGGCCTGATGTATAGGACATCCTGGGCTCCCTTCCTAACTTGGAATTGCTCCTTTGCAAAGACCTTGTTCAGAGCATTCTCCCTTTTGAGAGTCACAAAGGCATTTAGGTGTGGTTACTGAAGATTTGGGCAAGTGTTCTGTGAATTTCCTGAACGTATCCTAAATATACTGGGGTGAGTGGTGAACACCCAGCTCTGCGACTCCCACACACAAGGTTTCATGGCACCAGGGGGTGGAAGATGACATCTCTAATGTGCCTGGTTCCTAGAGATAGGGATTTGGGAGAGAGCTAAAACAAGGGACTCAAAGTTGGTTCCAGGTATTTAAACACACACACACACACCTTTTTTTTTAATTATTATTATACTTTAAGTTCTAGGGTACATGTGCACAACATGCAGGTTTGTTACATATGTATACATGTGCCATGTTGGACACACCCCTTTTTAAAAAGAAGCAGTTAAGCAATTGTCTGCAAAACTCCAAATTCTAGGTGGGGGAGTCCTTTGAATTCATTTCAACTCATTCCATTTAACTCATTTAACTACTCTACATTTTGGAGTAGAATAGATGGAAATTCAAATCCTGATGGCTACCAGTCACAGCTATGGAACGTTAGTTGAATTATGTAGACTCCCTTGAGCTCCATTTTCTCTTTATTATAATGGGTTAATACTGCCTATCTTACGCAGTGGTTTGAAGATTAAATGAGATGTCATCCATGAAGTAGACACCAGGTGGTGTGATCATACCACCATTGGAACCACTGGAGTGCTTGCTGGAAATGCAGACGCTTCTGGACTTAGAATCAGCATCTCTAGTGGGAGCTAGGCATCAGAATTTTATAAAAGCACTCCAAAGGATTCTTCTGCCCACTGCAGTCTGGGAACCTCAGAGGCAGTGACGACTGGCACATATGGGTGCACCACTAGCCATAGACAGTGCTGCAGCAGTCATAGAAGTAGCTACATTGATGGTAGTAATGACAAAAGGAAACATCCATGTGCCAGACGTGGCCCCTTGCACTTTATATGCATTAACTCAATTTCCATGACAAATCTACAAGGTAGACACAAGCATCAGACCCTTTTATAGAGAGGGAAACAGACACAAAGAGGTGGAGCAATTGGTCTAAGTGGTAGAGCCAAGATAGAACCTGAGAATTAGCCCAAGAGGGGATGCTGGAGAAGGGAAGACAAGAGACAAGGAAGAGGGGGAATAGCTGTCTAGCCGTATGAGGTGTAGCATCTGAATCTGCGGGTGCCTCAGAGATTTGGGCACCAGAGATTTGGGCTTGGCCAGAAAACATGTATCTCCCCTGCTGGGCACCACCAGCCTGTGAGTCAGACACAACCAGGTAAGGAGGATATTTTTAAGCTAGGCGTGGTGGCTCACACTTATAATCTCAACACTTTGGGAGACCAAGGTGGGAGGATTACTTGAGCCTAAGAGTTCAAGACCGGCCTGGGCAACAAAGTGACACCCCCTTCTCCACACACACACAAAAAAAATTAGCCGGGCATGGTGGTGCACACCTGTAGTCCCAGCTACTTGGGAGGCTGAGGCTCCCTTGAGCCCAGGAGTTTGAGGCTGCAGTGAGCCATGATCACATCACTACACTCCAGCCTGGGCAACAAAGCAAGACGCTGTCTCTAAAATTAGAAAAAGAAGAAAGAAGCTTCCTTTAGAAAGGAAGATGCTTGCCGTTAGTCTTCTCCCTCCATAGACAACTGAGAACTGTGTTTTTCTATATTGATGTAATATTTCACTATATTTACTCTTTCACTCTCCTGGAAGTTATTTCACACATTCTCCTTGCTCCTCAAACTCCCACCCCCTTCCCCTCACCTCGTGAATTTGCTTAACTTGCTCATCTTCATAATCTACAAACCTCACAACATCTGTACCCATATACCTGCCTACCGTTGGTATGGAGAAGCTCCTGTCCCCTGACACTCACTCTCTCTGTCTCTCTCTCTCCTCTCTCTCTCCCCACTGCATCTCATTTCTTCTAGATCATTCCGATCAGGATTAAAACAAATGTGCTTGAAACAACCTCGCACTTTTCCCCCACTCACTCCATTTGACCCACACTGACTCTCTGGCTGTTTCTCAATCACTCCAAGGCTGCTCCTGCCTCAGGGTCTTTGCACATGCTGTTCGCTCTCCCAGGAACACGCTTCTCCCAGACTGAAGTCTCTTTTCGGCAGTCTTCCTTAGCAACTCCATCTAAAGCAGTGCTGCCCTCTATCTCCGTGTCTATTCCCCTACCCGCTTCTCTTCATCCTCAGCGGAAATTGCAAATCATTTCCTTTTTAAATTATCCTCTTTATTGGATTATAACTGCTCTGAGGGCAGGGCTTCATCAATTTTGCTCACTACTATAAACCTAGATTGGTATCTGGCACAGGGTAGGCACTCAGTATTAGTTGATTTGATTCATAAATTAAAATGGCAGAAACTATATTTAGTTACTCAGAAGTTTTTAACCAACCACAGGAAGGAAGGCAGTAATTGCAGACTGATACCTGTGTCACTAAATTCAGCTATTAGAAAGCACAGTCTAATGAAATCTAGACTCGCTTCTTCTACCCTAATGGAAATCCATGTGTTCCATGAGCAGGGCCTCCCCAGAACCTATTCTCAGCTCCTAACTTCTGACCACTTGCCCGCTCTGGCCAGAAAGCTCCACTCATGCCCAACTCAGCTCTTCCATCTCTGGGCAGAGTCTCACCAGTTTCAGAGACTTCTCAGGTACTCACCTTCCTTGCTTATCATGGCCAAATCAGAGAGGAAAAAGGAAGTGAGAGTTATTCTTTTGGTCACAATATATTTCTTCATTATGATTTATTTCCATTCAAAAAGAGGTTTCCCAGGCAACAATGCCTCATTCTCCTAATCTCCGCACCTCATCACATCTGACCCCTTTTATCAGTGTCTTATTATTTTGACTTTCTTACCAAAATAGATTTCTCAACAATATTTAATTAGAGTTACCACTTATGACAGGGCGTGGTGGCTCATGCCTGTAATCCCAGCACTTTTGGAGGCGGAGATGAGAGGATAGATTGAGCCCAGGAGTTTGAGACCAGCCTGGGCAACATGGCGAAACACCAACTCTACAAAAACTGCAAAAATTAGCTGGGCATGGTGGCACGCCCCTGTAGTTCCAGCTACTCAGGAGGCTGAGGTAGGAGGATCACCTGAGCCCAGGAGGTAGAGGCTGCAGTGAGCTGAGATCATGCCACCACACTCGAGCCCAGGCGACAGAGTGAGATTGTGCCTCAAAAAAAAAGAAAAGAAAAGAAAAAAGTTACCATTTATTAAACACTAACTGTGTTCCAGATGCATTATGATTTACCTCATGTAATCCTCATAATAACTGTATGGTGTCCCCATTTTACAGATGATGAAACCAAGTCTCATAAAAGTTAAATAACTCACTCAAGGTCATGTCTTTAGGAAGGAATACATTTAAAGCCAGCTCTATTAATTCCAAAGCCCATACTCTTAATTATGACACTGTACATCTACTTTAGGCTCCTGGTACCAACTGGTTCCCTCTTGAAAGAACTCAAGAAGTTCTTTCTGGAAGTCTTAAAGCCCAATTTTTCAACGGTTTCCATGCAATCCTCTTCCTTCTACTTCTCTCGCTATTTTCCTGTTCCCTATGTGTAGTGTTGGCATGTTACTGTTACAGGAAAGGGGGCCCAATCCAGGCTCCAAGAGGGTTCTTGGATCTCGTGCAAGAAAGAATTCAGTGCGAAGCAAAAGCAAGTTTATTAAGAAAGTAATGTGGTGAAGGAACAGCTACTCCATAAACAGAGTAGGGCATTCCCGAAAGTAAGAGGAGGAACATGTCTTACCTAGGTAAGGTAAGGACAAAAAAAGATCATGGATCTTTAGATAAGGATAAATAAAATATTTTATATAGGATAAAAAAAGATCATGGGGAGATGTGCTCTGCTGCAAGGGTTTGTGATAAAGGATTAATTTTCGTAATTACTATATTTTGCGAGAATCAATATTATTATCTTTAAAGCAAAATTAGGAATGCCTTTGTTCTCAAGATATCAGGATATTAGGACACTCCCAAGTCTGGGTCTGCTTAGTAAACATTATCAATCTATTCCCCTAACTGTAAGCATCTCCAGGCTAGGAATACCTAGCTTTCTGGGAATGCAGCCCAGCACGTCCCAGCCTTATTTTCCTAGCTGTCACTCAAGATGGAGTCTCTCTAGTTCGAACGCCTCTGACATTACTGTCAGTGGGGTGTTTGGCAGCTTTAATGATATGTAAGTCATCTGCTCCAAGGCAAACGCAAGTTTACAATGTGGGCCAGGCCACATCTAGGCCTGCCCAATTAATACCCCAAACCCAAAGTACTTCCTCTTAGCCTAGATTTATGAAAGAGGTCTTTCCTGGTAGTTTACACAATCAACCATCAACTACTGATCTATGAGAACCAGACACCTTCCTCAAGGAGATAGTCTGACCCCAACCTGACGCATTCCTCAAACCAGGTTTTTCCCTCTCAGTTCTATTTCAGTTATTATTTTAACCCCTTTATGAAACAATTACACTTTTTCCTGCTTTCTTTTCCCACATTCCCAATTCCCTCATCTCAGCTTTTTAGTTTTATCACTCACTTAAATATTTTTGAGGACCAGAAAGGGTATCAATACATACAAAAATAAAGTGAAATATGTATAAATTCTAGAAAGACCACAGAGGTCTCACTCAGGGACAACATTCAAAACGTGTAACAACAACAGTCATGTGGCTTTCTGAGTTCCTGGAACACACCAAGCATGTTCCCGCCTCAGGGGCCTCAGGCCTCCAGGGTCGCCCTCTCCCAACCTCGTTGTGAGGCTGCCTTCCTCTCAACCCTCAGGTTACTCAGGTTTCTGCACCAACATCATCTCCTTTCCTTCTTTTCTTTTCTTTCTCTCTCTCTCTCTCTCTCTCTCTCTCTCTATCTGCCCGCCTCAGCCTCCCAAACTGTTAGGATTACAGGCGTGAGCCACCGCACCCTGGCCATCATCTCCTCTTTAATTTTTATCACAGAATCCTGTTTATTCTCTCTAAGGCAAAATAACAACCTACAATTATTATATTTACTCAACGGCTACAGTCTCCCCATGGGAGGTTAGCTCAGTGAGGACAGGGGTCTTTTCTGCCTTGTAACTGTACTTCCAGCCCCTTATATCACCATCCCCTATACCTGGCACATAGTAGATGCCAATAAATATTTGCTAAATATAGAAGTGAATGGACATTACCCACAAGTGCGTGGGCACGCTTGTCTCCAGGCAGCACCATTCTTATTAGTTGATTGGAATCTACTTTAAGAATCACCTCAAAAGTCAGTCTTCCAGCCTCTGTTGAGCTTCCAGCTGTTAAAGCGGTCAATTAAGACAATGAGTCCAAATGAAGCACCAACCCAGACTTTATTAACTTACTGTGACAGTGCAGGCAAGAGATAAAAAAGAAGAGAGGTGGGGCGCGGTGGCTCACGCCTGTAATCCCAGCACTTTGGGAGGCCAAGGCAGGCGGATCACAAAATCAGGAGATTGAGACCATCCTGTCTAACACGGTGAAACCCCGTCTCTACTAAAAATAGAAAAATTAGCTGGGCGTGATGGCAGGCGCCTGTAGTCCCAGCTACTCGGGAGGCTGAGGCAGGAGAATGGCGTGAACCCGGGAGGCGGAGCTCGCAGTGAGCCGAGATCGCGCCACTGCACTCCAGCCTGGGTGACAGAGCAAGACTCCGTCTCAAAAAAAAAAAAAAAAAAAAAAGAAGAAGAAGAGAAACAGGCTGGTTCCCCAGTGTTCCATTTCCCCCCACCACCCCACCCACCCCCTCCCACAAATTCATAGTTTGAAGTCCTAACCCCCATGACCTCAGAATAGGACTGTATTTTGAGATAGGGCCTTTAAAGAGATAATTAAGGTAAAATGAAGTCATTATGGCAGGCCCTAATCCAATACGCCTGGAATCCCTATAAGAAGAGGAGTTGGGGACACATACGCACAGAGAAGAGACCATGTGAAGACACAGGCAGAAGGTGGCCGTCTACAAGCTAAGGAGAGAGGCCTCAGCAGAAACCAGCCATACCCATGCCTTAGACTTCTAAGCCTCCAGAGCTGTGAGAAAATCCAGCTGTGCTATTTAAGCCACCCTCGCTGTGGTACTTTGTTATGGCAGTCCGAGCAAACTGACACAGGTTGAGTATCCTTTATCCGAAATACTTGAGGCCAAAAATGTTTCAGATTCGGGATTTTTTTTTGGGGCGGGGGGCGGGTATTGGAATATTTATATTATACTTACCAGTTAAGCATTTCTAATCCAAAAATCCAAAATCCAGGAAGCTCCAATGAGCACTTCTTTGAACGTCATGCTGGCACTCAAAAAGTTGTGGATTTGGGAGCATTTGGGATTTTGGATTTTTGGATGAGGGATTCCCAACCTGTATGGTGTACCAGTAAGGAAGTCTCAGTGGAGGCACCTGGGAAGAGCCTCAGCCAAGGCTCCTGATAAGGGAGCCCCCAGAATAGAGGCTCCTGGGTCAGGAATGCAGATATGTATATGAGAGGCTCCTGAGCCAGTACAGCCTGCGTCGTTGACCAAAACTCCCTCCAGAAAATTGCAATGCATTCACTGTGCACCAAGTCAGGCATGGGGAGGGCAGCTTTCCCCCATGAGGCCTCCCAAGTAAAGCCTTGTAATTGCAAATGTTGGGGGCTAAAAGATCACACAGAGGATTTTGACCTAAAGATGAAGTCCTCACCCTCCTCTTCAGAAATCATTTCAGTGGTGCAGCATGCTTAGCACAGGAAGTTCTTCTCTGTAGCAAATCCCAGTACTTTGTGCTGCAACATTACACCCTCCTTCCTATTTAATCTCCCATGAAGATGGAGAACCGCTGCTTACAAACATCTTTGTAATGATTCTAAAGGTCCTTGGCCTCCTCTTCCTCATATTTAGTCAGGCAGTTCTACTGTGGCTTGCTTCAGCTACAATTTTCTTAAGCTGCAGTGACAGTCACATGTGGAGTAGCCAGAGAAAGACCACACCCCAGAACCAAGGCAAGTGATCAAAGAAAATGAGGATGCTGCAGGTAGCATCAAGTATAGGAAAGGTTGAAAGAATCTCTTCTAAGCCAGCACCTGCTCAGAGAAAGAGAATAAAGAGTTCATCTATCAGGGTGCAGTGGCTCACGCCTGCAATCCCAGAACTTTGGGAAGCCAAGGCAAGTGGATTGCTTGAGGTCAGGAGTTCAAGACCAGCCTAGGCAACATGGTGAAACCCATCTCTACTAAAAATACAAAAATTAGCCGGGCGTGTTCACACATGCCTGTAATCTCAGCTACTTGAGAGGCTGAGGCAGGAGAATTGCTTGAACTTGGGAGGCAGAGGTTGCAGTGAGCCGAGATCGCACCACTGCACACCAACCTGGGCCACAGAGCAAAACTCCGTCTCAAAAAAAACAGGGGGATTTCACCTGCTCTTAGCATTTCTATCAGAAAATTTTACTTTAACAGCTATATTTTTATTCAAAGAAAAGTCTAATAAGTTTACCTAGAAGATAATGAAATAAAATAAAAGAAAGAGAACTCAATAAGTTTATAACAAGCTTATTTAGTGATTTTCCTAATGAAGTCTCCCAGAACATGCTGCTACTTTTTCTAGTTCATCAAAAACATTTAGAATTCAATGATACATTAAAGATACAGTAAATGCTAAGTCCTCATAATAAAATAGGAAAGCAGCCTGGAAACATGTAAGAAAATTTAAAAGTCTGAAATGTTTGCATTCTCATCAAATTACTGTGCAAACTATCTTGCATAGAATCTTTGCCACCAATGTCTTTCATGCACACAAATGTTTGGCAATATTTAGTCTCTGCAGAGCCAATCCCACGACATAGGGAATAGGAGCTTTCATTTCACAATTCCATCCCTGCCCTCCCCTAAAGCAGCCCTCTGAGCCCTCACTAGTAGTGGAGGAATTATCCAACCACTGGGCTCTGTTCAAAAGGTGGATCCAAGGCTCACAGGTATGCACCACCCCCAAACTCGGGCCACCCCACATGCATTAAGCAAGGATCAGGGGTAAGACACACACAACACAGCTTACTGCCATAAAGAAGTGCACATATTTCTTTTTTTTTTTTTTTTTTTTTTTTTTTTTTTTTTTTTTTTGAGATGGAGTCTTGCTGTGTCACCCAGGCTGGAGTGCAGTGGTGTGATCTCGGCTCACTGCAGCCTCCACCTCTGGGTTCAAGCAATTCTCCTGCTTCAGCCTCCCAAGTAGATGGGATTACAGGCACACGCCACCATGCCCAGCTAATTTATTTTTTATTTGGCCAGGCTGGTTTTAAACTCCTGACCTCAAGTGATTCACCCGCCTCAGCCTCCCAAAGTGCTAGGATTATAAGTATGAGCCACCATTCCTGGCCTTAAGGATGACTCATAATGTGCGTGATCTCTAAATATTTGTTCAGCCTAGAGCTCTTCTCATTCTTTTTAGGGGCCACATTTTGAGTTATCAGGTTGCAAAGTCTCACAAACCAGGACCCTAGAACTACACACAGAGCCTCATGCAGGGTCCCCTCTCTGCTGCTCTCCCAAACAGGGATAACACGCATACACTGAATGGTCAATACAACTGCTGGTTAACTGAGTTGAAGCTAAAGTTACTGCATTAAGTTTCTAAGGCTGCCATACAAAGTAGCACAAAATGGGTGGCTTAGAACAACTGAAATTTCTCTCTCACCATGCTGGAGGCTACAAGACCAAAATCAAGGTGTCAGCAAGACTGCCCTCCCTCTGAAATATGTAGAGGAAGGATCCTTCCTTGCCTCTTCCAGCTTCTGGGAGTCCAGTCCTGGGCATTGGGTTCAGCCACTGCATCAGACACAGCAGGGCCACACCTGTCTTCCAGAAGACAGATTGTTGAAATTCAGGTACTTTTAAAATCAAACAGCAATTCCATCAGGGTGTTGCTCTGATAAGTAAATTCTATGGTGGTGTTGCCTTTTGAATATTTCTTCAAAAAGCATTGATGGGGTGTCTAAGACAAGCTTCCACAAGGAAACAGTGCAGCATACTTTGCACAGGAATTCTACTCTATGGGGCATCTCAATACTCTGTCCAGACATGAACAGGAAGACAGGGCCCCACCCTCAGGAAGCTCATGATCCTAATAAGGAGACAGACATGATAATGGATGGCTCCAAGGTGATAAGTGGCATTAGCAAGGCAACGCAAAGTTTAGCTGGAACTCAGAGGAAGGAGTAGTTAGCATGTCTGTGACAGTAGTATAGCGGGTAAGAGCGTGAATTCTGCAGCCAGAGTACCTGGGTTTAAATCTGGATTTACCACATACTAAGTGTGTGATCTTGGACACATCACTTAACTTCTGTGCGCTTCAGTTTCCTCATTTGTAAAAGAAGCATGCTAATTGTACCTCCTTCATACATTCATAAATTGTTGTGACAATCAAGAACTCAATGTGTAATATGCTTTAGACCTGTGCCAAGCATCAGTAAGTGTTGTCTGTGTGTGTTAAATCAATACCCTGCATTAAGCAGGGGAGCAAAGCCCCTCATTACTAGGCCATTCCTCCTTCTCACCATTCTGCCCCCTATATTTGGTATCACTCCTATACACAGTATGCACAGTATATGGTGCAACTTGAAAGTAATGGAGAACTCACTTCTATTTCCCACCTCTCACAATTAAGATGTGCATAATCACTTTAAACCCGTATTATTCTCCAGTTAATATTCATTTATTAACTCCACATGTATTTTCTGAGCTTCTAGGATGGGAAAACCACTGAGGGAATACAATATGTTTTTGACACTGAGAAACTGGCAGGGCACATGGGACTCAAGGAGCTGGCTTTCCTCAGGGCAGTTTCCACCCTGTTGACATGAGGGATCTAATCAGTGTCCTATGACCTCATTCAAACAGTTCTTTATTGCAAAGCAGAAAAAGACTCCCTGCCTCTGAGCAGATGCAGCCCTGCCCAGGTGACCCTACTCACCCGCTTGGCCAGGAATCCATGTATGTAGCACAACCATAGGCAGCTCCATTGACTTAGACCACTCAGGTGCCACTTAGTAAATCTTTTCCTAACTAGGCAAATGGTTCCAGAATGCAGAGAGTTAACAAAGGTTTCATAAATGCCTAAATTACAACCAGGAATAAATGTATGATTTGGAAAAATGTATTATTGCCACTAAATTAACCTTAAAAATTAAAATCTCCCCCCAAAATATTATTTGAGCTGATAAGAAGTATCTTTAAACAAATAATATCTAGTTATTAAAACAGTACTAAAACAAGTTACTATTTCTATAATATAGAAGGCTATAGAAGTCTGTATGCCAGTGGATTATTTAGCATGGCAAATGTGTTCAGTATATAATGCACTGTACGTTTCTCTTTTTTTTTTTTTTTTGATACAGAGTCTCACTCTCAAGAGCTGAGGGAATCCTGCTAGCAGATCTACTCTACAAGGAATGCTAAAAGGAGTCATTCAAGATGAAATAAAAAGACACTAGACAGTAATTCAAAGCCATACTAAGAAAGAACAACAGTATAGGTAACTACATATGTAAACATAAAAACCAGTATTATTGTATTTTTGGGTTGTTTTGTTTTTGAGATGGAGTCTTCCTCTGTTGCCCAGGCTGGAGTGCAATGGCGCGATCTCAGCTCCTGGGTTCAAGCAATTCTGCTGCCTCAGCCTCCCGAGTAGCTGGGATTACAGGCACCTGCCACCACGCCCGGCTAATTTCTGTATTTTTAGTAGAAACGGGGTTTCACCATGCTGGCCAAGCTGGTCTTGAACGTCCAACCTCAGGCGATCCGCCCACCTCGGCCTCCCAAAGTGCTGGGATTACAGGCGTGAGCCACCATGCCTCTCCATATTTTTGGTTTTTAACTGCTTTTTTTGTATATTATTTAGAAGACAAATGCATATATAATAACAATAATTATAAATTCATAATAATGAACAATCATGTATAAAGATGTAATTTGCAACAATAATGTAAAGGACAGAGTTATACAGAAGCAGAATTTGGGATGCTGTTGAAGTTAAGCTAGTATCAATTCAAACTGGATTGTTATATATTTAGGATACTAATCGTAATCTTCAGAATAAGTACTAAAAAAAAACTAAATATATATAGAAAAGGAAATGAGGAGAGAATCAAAATGGTAAAAATCAGTTAAACCAGAAGACAATAATAGAAGAATTGAGAGTAGCCAAAAAATATATAAGGCATATAGAAAACAAGCATCAGAATGACAGAAATAAGTCTTTTCTCATGGAAACAAAATTTTCTAACATTAATATTTTCCAACAAAAGATTTGCAGTGAGTCTTGAATCTATTGTTTAAAACATCAAAACGGGCCGGCTGCGGTGGCTCATGCCTGTAATCCTAGCACTTTGGGAGGCCAAGGTGGGTGGATCATCTGAAGTCAGTAGTTCGAGACCAGCCTGGCCGACATGGTGAAACCCCGTCTCTACTAAAAATACAAAAATTAGCTGGGCGTGGTGGCAGGCGCCTGTAATCCCAGCTACTCGGGAGGCTGAGGCAGAAGAATAGCTTGAACCCAGGAGGCGGAGGTTGCAGTGAGCTGAGACCGTGCCACTGCACTCCAACCTGGGAGAGACGAGAGAGACTTCGTCTCAAAAACAAAACAATACAAAACATTAAAACGTAATACCTTTCTACTAGGAATGCTGAATACAACTTGGAAGTGAACAATTACCGGCCAAGTTTCTACTTCTAAAAATTTTTAGGCTAACCGAAGGATGGGGCAGAGCTAGAGCTATAGTACCATGATTTAGTAGCTTAGACAGCAAAAGACGTGTACAGTCACTTGGGGCCTCTCACTTCGAAGGGCCCCTCGCTTACTTCAATGCTGTGCTGTCACCATCTTGATATTTAAAATAATTTTTTAACAAGGGGTTCTACATTTCCACTTTGCACTGAACTCTGTAAATTATGTGACTGGTCAATGCAGTTCTTCCATTTGAATCTACATATTTTTTTAGGTATCTTTTCAGCTATAACAACCACTAAAATCAAGTATAACATAAAATCAGGCCGGGTGCAGTGGCTCATGCCTGTAATCCCAGCACTTTGGGAGGCCAAGGTGGGCAGATCGCTTGAGCCCAGGGGTTCAAGACCAGTCTGGCCAACATGGCAAAACCTTGTCTCTACAAAAGATACAAAAATTAGCCACGCATGGTGGCATGTGCCTATAGTCCCAGCTACTTGGCAGGCTGAAGTGGGAGGATTACCTGGGCCTGGGAGGTGGAGGTTGCAGTGAGCCAAGATAGCACCACTGCACTCCAGCCTGGGTAATAGAGTGAGACCCTGTCTCAAAAATAAAATTAAATTAAAAACTGAATTGTTATAAGAGCTAAACTAAATTTCTCAAAAATAATTATACACACAATTATATTTGCATATTTGTGTGTTTATAAACACACAATCATAAAATAGAGAAAGCAAAATTATTTGAGGACTGTTAAAAGTATTTTCATCATTGTTATTTTATATTTTTAGTTTCTTTTCTTGCATGTTTTATAATATAGATAATATATAAATATGGTAAAAATATTTTCATCATTGTTATTTTGTCTTTTAGATTTCTGTTTTTGCATGTTTTAAAATATGCACAACACATATCAATATAATACATGCATGTAGTTTATAAGTAAATAAGCACATATGGCACTAGATGTTCAACAACTTGTCATTTATGGAAGTGCATGGTCAAAAGAGTTTCTAAAACACTAATCTAGACACCCAATGATAACCTTGCTCTTTTAGAACCCAAGCTCCAAAATCGCTCCCTCTTCCCACTTCCTGTTCCTCAACAATACTTTGCAGAAGAAGGAGGCAATTTGGGCTTAGTGTCCAGGATTTGAAGTCAGGACTGGATTCAAATTCTCCTGCCCCTTTGGGAGGTCAAGACAGAAGGACAGCTTGAGGCTAAGAGTTTGAGACCAGCTTGGGCAAAATAGCCAGACTCTGTCTCTACAGAAAAATAAATAAATAAATAAATAAATAAATAAATAAATAAATAAATAAATAATTGCCAGGCCTGAGGTTGCAGTGAGCCGAGATCGCACCATTGCATTTCAGCCCCGGCGACAGTGCGAGACTCTGTCTCAAAAAAAAAAAAAAAAAATTGCCAGGCACGGGGGGGCACGCCTGTAGTCCCAGCTACGCCCAAGGCTGAGGCGGGAGGATCCCTTGAGCCCAGGAGTTCGAGGCTGCCGTGAGCCGTGATCGCACCACTGCACTCTTGCCTGGCTGAGACCTGTGAGTAAGGGCCAGGCACTGCAAGATGCTGCTTAACATGCACCGCAATGTCGTTTGCCCCGGGTGTTCGCGGTGAGGCTCGGATCTCTGAGAGCCTTTCTATCTCTGTCCGCCTAAGGTCTCATTCGCCCCCAATGACTGGATGGTGGCACTTCAGGCAGTGCAGTGAAGTGAATCTTTTCAGTAACATTAGAGTGATACCGCTGTTATAACCTAAAAATTCTCTCTTAAAATACACCACAGAAGGTAATTGCCACCGACTTCTCCGAATAAGGCCCGGGAGGTGGGGCAGGAGGCGCCCCTGAACCCTCGAGGACTCAAGCCTGGCGGGACGCTCCGTGGGTGACGGAGGCGGGAAGGGCCGAGGCGCCTGCATCTCTTAGAGCGCAGCCTCACACTTTCCCCTCCACCAGCCCGAACCTGACCACAGCCTCATGTCACCTCGCGTGCTCCCCCTCCTCGCCTCGGGCCGGTGGTGCCGGTGCGGTGCTTCCACGAGATCGCTCCTGGGTCGTGGGCCCTCGCGCGCGGGGATGGGGGCTGCCCTTCCCAGTCGCCCGGAGCCACTAGCGCGCGTGAGGAAAGGGCCCGATCCCTTCTCCGGGTGTCTGGCCGGCGCGGGAAGGAAAAGGCGCGCCCACCCCGGCTCTCTCCGAGGCCCTCACCTGGATGGTGTGGCCGCTGCCTGGGGCGGTGGGGCCCCCGACCAACTTGCAGTAGAGCTCGGGCTGGGGCCTCCCCTCGCCGGGTCCCCTCTCCCCGCAGGTGGCGGTGGCCCAAATCCTCGCCGCCTCGGCCAGGTTGAAGTAAGTCGGGTGAAGGCTGAGCCCGGCCGCGGCCCCGGGATCCCGAGCGGTCGCCCCGCAGGCTGGCAGCACCCGCAGTACCAGCAGGAGCAGCGGCGTCGGCGGCAGTACTGGCCCCAGTGCCCGACCCCGAGGCCGCGCGGCCGCCGCCATCCAGCCGCGCGGGGTCCTCCCGCCTGAGCCGTCCGCAGAGGGGCTCGGGGGCACCGCCGCTCTCCGCCTGCGCCTCCCGGACCTGCAGCGCCAGGACTAGCGCAGCCGGGGATATGGGCGGCGCCGGGGCCGCTCCCCTTGCTCCACGCGCTGGAAGCCCGCGGCGTGGGGGTGGCCTCTCAGCTCTGGAACCTGCCGCGGCTGGAGCGGGCACCAGCCGGATCAGGAACTGACAGCGCTCAGCCGCGCGCCAGCAGACGGCGTCTCTCCCGCGCGAGGCGCGCTGCAAACTTCGCGGGCGGGGAATGGGAGAGGCGTTCCCGGGCTCCCACCCAGGCGGCGGGAACGGGAGCCTGGGATCTTCGAACCCTCCAGGCGCCAGGACAGAAATTAATTAGATCGTTCTCCTCTCTGGATACTCACCGCTCAGGTCAAAGCCAGAAAAGCCACCTGTGACCTAAGAGTAAAGGAGGCTTGTAAACGAATTTGGTTGAGAGCAGAGGAAACTGCCACTACCTACAGAACTCACATCAAAGACATTTCGATTTCCCAGCCAAGTGTTGAGTCGTCAACTCCTCAACACTGTGCACCTAGGATCCCTGTGGCACTGCAGCCACAGGCTGAGCCAGGGAACTGGGAGTGGTGGAACGTACATATTTAAAAGACAGCCAATAATGCAAGTTGTAATTTGCCAACCTGGAAAGGAACCTTAGAGGAAATCCTTTAGATGCCTAATCTGCTCAATTTTACAAATAAGCTAACAGAGATTGAGTGAGGTACGCCACCTGCCATGATGGCCTCAGAACAGAGAAGACCCCCTCCCCCCACGACCCCGGACTGATGCTTGGTCTTATATGCAGAACACCCTACTAAAACAGAACCCACATAGGCCCTCGAAGAAATTAGAGGAATGCAATATTTGTACAATAAAAATTGCAAAACCTCTTTGAAAGAAATGTTAAAAGACCTAAATGAGTGGAAAAGCCTCCCATGTTCATGGATTAGGAGACAATATTGTGAAGATGGCAATATTTCCTAAAGCAACCTACAATTCAACACAATGGATTTTGATAGGGATCAAAATCCCGACTTTTTTTTTTTTCAGAAATTGACAAGCTGATCCTAAAATTCATGTGGAAATGCAAGAGACCTAGAAAATCCAAAACGATTCTGAGAAAGAATGAAGTCAGTGGACTCACGCTTCCTAGTTTTAAAACTTAATACAAAACTACAGTAATCAAGACAGTGTAGTACCGACATAACGATAAACATAGATCAATGGAATAGAATTGAGAGCTCAGAAATAAACCGTTACATTTATGGTCACTGGATTTTCAACAGGGTGCCAAGACTATTCAATGGGAAAAGAATAATATTTTTAATAAACGCTGCTGGGAAAACTGGACATCCCAAAATAATCTAGTAGGATCCCCACCTCATACTATATGCAAAAATTAACTCAAAATGGATTTAAGATCTCTAAATTTTACATTTAGAGAGCTAAACTATAAAGCTAAAACTATAAAATTCTAAGGGAAAAACACAGGAGAAAATCTTCATGACTTTGGATTAGCAATGCTGTCTTAGCTATGATATCAAAAGCGCAAGCAACAAAAGAAAAATATAAATTGGGCCGGGCACGGTGGCTCATGCCTGTAATCCTAGTACTTTGGGAGGCCGAGGTGGGTGGATCACCTGAGGTCAGGAGTTCAAGACTAGCCTGGGGAAAATGGTGAAACCCTGTATCTACTAAAAATACAAAACTTAGCCAGGCATGGTGGCATGTGCCTGTAATCCCAGCTACTCCAGAGGCCAAGGCAGGAGAATCACTTGAACCCGGGAAGCGGAGGTTGCAGTGAGCCAAGATCATGGCACTACACTCCAACCTGGGCAACAGAGCAAAAATCTGTCTCAAAACACACACACACACACACACAAAGATAAATTGAAACTTACCAAATTTTAAAACTTTTGTGCTTCCAAGGCACCCTCAAGAAAGCGAAAGATGGCCAGGCACAGTGGCTCATGCCTGTAATCCCAGCACTTTGGGAGGCCAAGATGGGTTGATCGCCTGAGGTTAGGAGTTCAAGACCAGCCTGGCCAACATGATGAAATTTTCTACTAAAAATACAAAAATTAGCTGGGCATGGTGGTGCACACCTGAAATCCCAGCTACTAGGGAGGCCGAGGCAGGAGAATCACTTGAACCCAGGAGGCAGAAGTTGCAGTGAGCTGAGATTGTGCCACTGCACTCTAGCCTGGGAAACTGAGAATCCATCTCAAAAAAAAAAAAAAAAAGAAAGTAGAAGACAATCCGCAAGATAGAAGAAAATATTTGCAAACCATATATCTAATTAGAAATTCATATCCAGAATAAACTCTTACAACTCAACCATTTTTTAAAAAGTAGTGGGCAAATATAAAAATGGTCGATAAGCATGACCATGGAAGACGCTCAACATCATTAGCCATCAGGAAAATGCAAACCAAAACCACAATGAGATACTACTTCACACACACTGGGATAGTTATAATCAAAAAGATAGATAATAACAAGTATTTGTGAGGATGTGGAGAAGTTGGAACCCTCACAGATTACTGATGGGAATGTAAAATGGTGCAGACACTTTGGCAATTCCTCAAAAACTTAAACATAACATGACCATGTGATCTGGCAATTCCAATCCTAAGAACATACTCAAGAGAACTGAAAATATATATCCACACAAAAACTTGTACATAAATGTTTATAGCAGCGTTAGTCATATAATAAAAAAATGAATACAACCTAATGTTCCCCAACTGATGAATGGATAGACAAAATGTAGTATATCCATACAATGGAATATCTGTCACACATAAAAAGAAATGAAGTTCTGATCCATGCTTACAACATGGAAGAACCTTGAAAACGTTATGGTAGGTGAAAGAAGTCAGACAAAAAAGACCACATATTGTATGGGGAGTGACTGCTATTGGCTATGGGGTTTCTTTTTGGAGTGATAAAAATGTTCTGGAATTAGATAGTGGTGATGATAACCATCACGCTATGCATCACCACTATCACATCACCAATTGTGTGAATATACTAAAACCACTGAATGGTGCACTTTATGAATTTATGGTATATAAATTATATCTTAAAGCTGTTATTATGGATTTTTGCAGAACTGAAATATCTACTAAACATAAGAAATGTGGCCAGGTGTGGGGGCTTACGCCTGTAATCCCAACACTTTGGGAGGTGAGGCGGGTGAATCACCAGAGGTCAGGAGTTCGAGACCAGCCTGGCGAACATGGTGAAACCCTGTCTCTGCTAAAACTACAAAAATTAGTCGAGCATGGTGGCACATGACTGTAATCTCAGCTACTGGGGAGGCTGAGGCAGGAGAATCGCTTGAACCCGGGAGGCAGAGGTTGCAGTGAGCTGAGATCGCACCACTGCACTTCAGCCTGGGTGACAAGAGCGAAACTCCGTCTCAAAAAAAAAAAAAAGAACTGTATATGAATGTGTGTGTGTGTGTGTATGCGTGTGTGTGAAAGCAGACAAATAATTTTTTTTTTTTGAGACAAGGTATCACTCTGTTTCCCAGGCTGGAGTGCAGTGGCATAATCATGGCTCACAGCAGTGTCAACCTGTGGTGCTCAAGTGATCCTCTCACCTCAGCCTCCCAAGTAGCTGGGACTACAGGCATGTGCCACCATGCCTGGATAATTTTCTTTATTATTATTATTATTATTTTTTTTTTTTTTTTTTTTTGTAGAGATGGGATTTTGCCATGTTGCCCAGGCCAGTCTCAAACTCCTGAGGTCCAGCAATCCATCCATCTTGACCTCCCAAAATGCTGGGATTATAGGCATGAGCCACTGCGCCTGGCCAGAATTTTTGAAAGCTTTACAATAGGATATTCAAGTGGCTAGATAGGATGGAGAGAGGGGATTTTTTGTTTGTTTGTTTATTTTCTTCTTTTTGCTTGCTTATATTTTTTAATTTCTCCAAGAATGAAACTATATTGCTTTTGTCCTAATAAAAACTTTCAAAATATTCTATTAAATCAACTGAATGAGTACCCAGCACTGACTCTAATAGTCCTGCCCTAAGTGATATGGTCCTACCTAAATTGATGAAAGAAGATTGATAAAAAGCGAGAAAGGGCTGGGCGCTGTGGCTCATGCCTGTAACCCCAGCGCTTTGGGAGGCCTAGGCGGGCGGATCACGAGGTCAGGAGATCTAGACCATCCTGGCTAACATGGTGAAACCCCGTCTCTACTAAAAATACAAAAAATTAGCCAGGCGTGGTGGCAGGCGCCTGTAGTCCCAGCTACTTGGGAGGCTGATGCAGGAGAATGGCCAGAACCCGGGAGGCGGAGCTTGCGGTGAGCAGAGATCCCACCACTGCACTCCAGCCTGGCCAACAAAGCCAGACTCCGACTCAAAAAAAAAAAAAAAGTGAGAAAGATTTTATGTACTTTTTAAAGTCCTCTCAGACAAGATTATTTGAAGGAAAGCATTCAACAAATGGCTAAGATTCCAAAACTATTTTATTAACATGTAAAAGTGAAAGCAAAGTCTAAATTTAAAAAGTTGTTTTCTGCCCTGGCCAGTAACTCTTCCACACTGCCAAGTCCTTTTGCTGAGATGTTCTGATGCTATCAGAAACCTCGGCAGCAGCTACAACCATCCCTGGATTCAAATCAAGGCTTTGTCCTTACAGGGCTTCATATTTTGCTATAAACGGCAACACTTAACAGCATGATATACAAATTTATTGCACTGTACAATGACAATATTTCTCTTTAATGTGTTTTATTGCATTCCCTAGTCAGAGGGTAAGTGATATCATTGACTTCATGTTGTCATTGCAGTTTAAAAATAACTTTGCGATGTCAAGGTACATTAAGTGTATTTGCCCACCGAGAACAGCTATAAAGATGATCAAATAAAAGCTTCATATCTAAAGTTAATATTTGCTAGTAAAGTCATCTCTCTGAAGATTAAATGTCTAAACCAAACATCCAGGAAACAACTACGCTCCACAGTCCTGGATGCCAGAGATATAAAGATGAGTAATGAGAATGAGGACACTTTGGTGGGTGGGAGGAGGAAGGCTGTTCTGAAGTTTAAATGAAGGAATGTTATGAGCAAGTGGTTTGAGACATTAAAGCAGCAAATATAAGGACACACATTTTTAAGGCAAAATGGGGCTGTCATGTTTTTGTTTTTATTGTTGTTGTTTTTGAGATAGGGTCTCACTCCACTCTCCAGGCTGGAGTGCGGTGGTGCAATCTCAGCTCCCTGCAACGTCCACCTCCCCTACTCAAGTGCTCCTCTGGCCTCAGCCTCCCAAGTAGCTGGTACTGCAGGTGTGCACCACCACACCCAGCTACTTTTTTGTATTTTTGGTAGAGATATGGTTTTGCCATGCTACCCAGGCCAGTCTCAAACTCTTGGACTCAAGCGATCTACCTGCCTTGGCCTCCTAAAATGCTGGGATTACAGGCATGAGCCACTGCACCTGGCTGGGGCTGTCATGTTTTAATATAGAAAGAGAATGCTTAAAGGAATTAAATGACTTGCCCATATTTTAAGAAAAACAGGAATAATCAGCTGGACCCAAGACATCTGATTTCCAGTTATGCTTCTAGGAGGACTCTGAGAGGACAAAAGGAAAACACCTGGGTGAGGCCCATCTGTGGTGTGAAGGCTACAGATGTGTCCCAAGCACAAGAGGTTTACTTCGCCCTGGAAGGGTGGGTGGGACATACGTGCATTGTTGGGTGCAAACAAACTCAAACTAACAAGAGTGAATTGGGGTTTGGCTGACCTCCCAATACTTCAGAAGTGATTCATGCAGAGCTACATCCTTCAAATCTTAAGATGGAAGTGGAACTTGCCATGCATGCTGTTGTTAAAAAGAATGTCCTTAGAGCCAAGAACCTAGACATGCATGGGTAATAAACTCAGTGTCTTACAACGGCATAACAAATGCAGTAATGTCCCTTTAATAGAGTGATTGACCTAACATACTCATGGCTATTCTTCCTCTTAATCAAAACATAGGTTTTCTCCTCCTTTTTCACTCGCTCCCCAATATGGCAGCTCTTCCCTTCTCTCCTCTCCAGTTCTCCTAGGAATATGAACTGGGATCAGAAGCCCTGGGTCCTGCTTATTATTTCTATTCTCTTTTAAATTGCATGGTTAAACTGTGACTTGTTACTGGCTTGGTTTCACTTAATAATCAATCAGTTTGCAGAAATTGACCTGTCATCATCATTTAACAGAGAAAACAATAACATCATCTAAGCCAATAGCAGTGTGTGGATCACTAACAGCAACCAAAAGAATACAAACAAAACCAAAAGACTAAAGGCATTTCTACTTATAATGACACACACCTGGTGAGGCACGTCGAAAACCAGAGGAAACTAGGCAACGAGTAAAGTTCTGCCACCCAATTTGTTACCATCATTGCAAACCCAAGATGGAAAGCATCTTTTGGAATCCTGCAATTCTACCATCCAAGAAAAAAAAAAATCTTTTGTTACTCTTCTACAGTGGTTCATGTCTGTAATCCAAGCACTTTGGGAGACCAAGGAGGGTGGGTTGCCTGAGCTCAGGAGTTCGAGACCAGCCTGGGCAACACGGTGAAACCCCATCTCTACTAAAAATACAAAAAATTAGCTGGGTGTGGTGGCATGCACCTGTTGTCCCAGCTACTCGGGAGGCTGAGGCAGGAGAATTGCTTGAACCCAGGAGGCGGAGGATGCAGTGAGCCTAGATTGCGCCACTGTACTCCAGCCTAGGTGACAGAGCGTGAGTCCATCTCCAAAAATAAAAAAGAAAGTTTCACCAAGTGTATTTCTCAACAAGCATTTTTCTATGTTATTAAATATCTACCTAACTGTGCAAATGTAGGCTTTTGGTTAACATCAAACAATTACCATGACCACACAGAGCTGAAATCATTCCAGTTCAGAGTGAAGATAGTGTGCTTGCTTTAGCCTATGTTGTCAGACTCTAAATAAAGGCAAGGTTTCTATTAATCATTTTGAAAACTGAGAATTACCCCTAGACCCTTGGGTATCAGGAAACACAAATCTAAGATCACCCACTTTTGTTTCCAGACAAGACAGTCAAGGTTAAGGACTTGTTCAGTTGCTCAGCCCTCATTACCATGAGATGGTATCCAGAACCCAGCTATGTGCCTGCCTGGGATTATAGGACATCTCCACCTCTCTAAAGTGTGGACCTCCCTGTTCCAGGTCCCCTGATCTAAGGACTTCTTGTAAAGTAAGGATACTCACTTGGCCCATGGCCTCTGTCTGGTTTATCTTCTGAGCTCAGAAACCCCAGTGTTAACCAAACCAGAGTAGAATTCTCAGCCTGATTATATCAAGTGTTTCTGCTCACTGCAAGCAGATTCTAGCTTTCGTCAGAACCTTGACAATGGTACCTCCTGTTAGGGCACTCCCTGGTAGATAGCTCTGCCAAACCCCCTATGAAGAATTCACATTTCAGGCTGGGTGAGGTGGCTCATGCCTGTAATCCTAGCATTGTGGGAGCCCAAAATGGGAGGATTGCTTGAGGCCAGGAGATCAAGACCAACCTGGCCAACGTAGCAAGACATGATTTCTATTTTTATTTTATATCTGTTAAATAAAAATTTTTTTAAAATTCACATTCCAACTGCATGAATTTTCTCTCCAGCTCTTGTTTCACACAGTCCCATTTGGCCTTTCTGTGAAATACACAGCTGGGCAGAGGAAGTAATTTTATACATTTGTTTTTAAGGAGAATTTTTTCCCCACCCCAGGTGTCTGTTACTACAAGCAGTAGTTCTAGGATAAAAGAAAGCCTACACCTATGTAATAGTACCTTGTCTTTACAATGCCTTTTTTTTTCCTGTCAGCCCAGAGCTACCCTGCAAGGTAAGTGTTTGAAAGCCATTAGTCTCATTTTGCAAATGAGCAAAAATAAAGTAGTGAGTAATTAAATCATCTTGCTTCAGCCATAGTGGAGATTTAAGGAATAGAGCCTTCACTCTCTTGACATGAACTCTGACTCAAAATCTGGCAGAGATTTTTGAGTGAAAATTAGAAATCAGTCTTTAAAATATCTTTTTGCTTCATTTTCACATTTTCCCCTCTTTAGTTGCCCTAAGTTTAGGAATTCAAGTCCACAAGAGGTAGCACTGCCAGCAGGGTAAAAATATGTCAACACCTAGTGCTCAACCACACTGCACTACCTTTCTTTCTTTCCATCTTTCTTTCTTTCTTTCTTTCTTTCTTTCTTTCTTTCTTTCCTTCTTTCTTTCTTTCTCTCTTTTCTTTCTTTTTTTCAGACAGAGTCTTGCTCGTTGCCCAGGCTACAGTGCAGGAGTGTGATCATGGCTCACTGCCGCCTCAAACTCCTGGGCTCAAGCGATCCTCCCAAGTAGCTGGGACTAAAGGTATGCACCACCACGCCCAGCTAATATTTTAATTGTTTTTTTTTTTTAGAGACAGGGTCTTGCAATGTTGCCAGGGCTCATCTTGAACTCCTGGCTTTAAGCAATCCTCCATCCTTGGCCTCCCAAAGTGCTGGGATTACAGGTATCAGCCACCACACCCTGGCCTGCACTGCATGTTGTTTCTATGTCCAAAATACATCACTTCAGAGACATGCATTTTGTAAGAATTTGACAAATAGTCTCAACAAAGGTCTATTTAACAATAAAAGCTGTAGACTTTTTGAGGACAGGGGCTGGCCCAGGGATTTTTTCTTTTCCTTTTTCTCCTTTAAGATTTCCATAGAAGTGTCTTATACAAAGTAGCAGGTTGATAAATATCTGTCAGAATTCAGATTGAATTAATTGCACTTGAGCCCTAGAATATCGGGCTAATAGACAATTTTGTAGACCATACAACTGAAATCTCTCACCATTTCATGCTCTGTAACAGCCCATATCATGCTGAGCAGTTCAAAGAACAAATGGAGGTGCCTCCTTCAACACGCACTTCTTAAGAAGGCAATGTAGATCCAACTTCCCTATGTCTCTACTTTTTTACTCTCGATTTATTGACGACCTAATTATGTCTGTGGGGCTTGTTATTTATTTCTTTATCTCATTCAATATGTTTTTTCTAGAAGTAAATTTCAGAAGATTTTGAGGGTGGCTCTTTAAATAGCCAGGGCATGGTTGCTCCCAGCATGTAAAACAACTGGAAAATATGAATATGCTACAGGTGTGGCCCTGAAGAGGTGGAGTAAATGGGAATGGGACAGAGTCAATGGTATACCTACCAAGGACTGGTGCAATACAGAGTTCCTGAGAGGTGGCTGCCTGCTCTGAGACTACATTTCCCAGTACCACCTGCATCTAAGTAGGGTCATATGACTAAGTTTTGAGCCAATGAAAAGTCATCAGGGCTGGACAGCTGCGGTGGCTCACACCTGTAATCCCAGCACTCTGGGAGGCTGAGGCAGGCGGACCACCTGAGGTCAGGAGTTTGAGACCAGCCTGGCCAACATGGTGAAACCCCGTCTCTACTAAAAATATAAAAATTAGCTGGGCATGGTGCCATGCACCTGTAATACCAGCTACTCGGGAAGCTGAGGCAGGAGACTAGCTTGAACCCGGGAGAGAGAAGTTGCAGTAAGCAGAGATCACACCATTGCACTCCAGCCTGGGTGGCAAGAACAAAACTCTGTCTAAAAAAAAAATAAATAAATAAGGGAGAGAGAGAGAGAGAGAGAGAGAGACCAGGGCTGGACACGCTGGCTCATACCTATAATCCTAGCACTCTGGGAAGCAGGGAGCAAGCTGAAAGGATCGCTTGAGCTTGAGCCCAGGAGTTTGAGACCAACCTGGGCAACATAATAAAACCCTGTCTCTAAAAAAAATTTTAATTTAATTTAAAATACAGAAAACATCTCTCTGAGTATGTTTCAATGAAAAAAATAAATAAAATACAGAAAATATATTCAGTGGAACTTCCTAACTATGATCCCTTCTGGGCCAATCCATTTCCATCAATGACATCACCAATTTGTCTAGTATCCCAAAGATGACACTTCTGTGAAAGTATCCAGCACAGTGCCTAATTCGCAGGTTCTTAACAATCATTAATTCACTTCTCCTTTTCCTTTCATCTGTCAGATTAGAAACATGGATTTCTCATTGACTATTCTCTTTCCATAATCCTTTATGCTCAAATGGCATTGTTCACCATTAGCCTGAATTCATCCAGGTATCTACCCTCTGCTACCACTACCTTAGTCCAGACCACAATCGACCATGCCAGAATTATCTCTATAGCTTCCCTACTGCTTTCTCTGCCTCCATTTTCTCTTCCTTACAATCGGTCCTGCACATTAAAGAAAGAGCAGCATGATATGCCAGCTGAAGAGGTATGTGTTGCCACCTCTTCCTCCAGCCTACCATGTCAATCCAAGCTCGACTGCTCGGCTTTCGCAGCCTCTAGATTTGGTCTCCTCATCCTCCTCAGCGTACTTCTTTGTCCCTACCCCTGAATACCACTCTTCTTCTCATGATCAGGGCTGCCTCCTCGTGTCAAATGAGATATCAAATTCTGTCCATTGCATTTCCTAAGTAGTTCTCAAGTTAGTCTTCCCAACTACTTTAATTTGATATTAATTCTCACCTGAATTGTTACCAAGTCTTCTATCTTCTTCTGGTCTTGTCCTCATCCAATCCATTTTCCATATGGCTGCCAGAGGGATTTTTCTAGAGTCAACCTGTCCAATATGGCAGCCAAGAGCCACATCTGGATATCTAAATTTAAATTTAAAAATTAAAAATTCCGTTCCTCTGTCACACTGGCCACATCTCAAGTGCTTAGCAGCCTCATGTGATTATCGGTTATCATGTTCAATAGAAAAGATTATAGAACATTTTATCATTGCTGAAAGTTCTATGGAACAGTGCTTTTCTATAATGTAAATTTGATCATATCTCTACTGTGCTTAACACACACAGTAGAAGTGTGTGTTAAGTAAAGTGGAAGACTTTATTCTTCCACTTAGAATAAAGTCGTTTTAGTAGAAGGGTTCATATGTTGACCTTAGCCTTCTTCTGCCCTATATCCTTCACCTGCCTGCATTGTATCCTATTTTCCAGTTTTATCAAACTATTCCCCAACCCACAATGTGTCATCGTGACTTTGCACACGGCCATGCCTCTGCTAGGGTTGCCCTTCTCCATCTTAGCCACTTGTATCACCCCAAACCATTCTCCCAAATTCACTTCAGGCATTGCCTCATTTGGCAGATATGATGGTGAATTTTATGTGTCAGCTTGACTGGGCTAAGGGATGCCCAGACAGCTGGTAAAGCCTTATTTCTGGGCATGCCTGTGAGGATGTTTCTGGAAGAGGTTAGCATTTAAAACAGTAGACTGAGTAAAGAAGATCTGCCCTCACCCATGTGAGCAGGCACCATCCAATCCATTGAGGGCTCAGGTAGAACAGAAATGCAAAAGAAATGTGACCGTGCTGTCTCTTCTTGAGCTGGGTCATCCATTGTCTTCTACCTTCAGACATCAGAGCTCCTGGTTCTGCAACCTTCAGACTCCAGGATTTACACCAGTGGCTCCTCACCCTCACCCCATTCTCAGGCTTTTGGTCCTGAAGAGAGTTACACAGTTGGCTCCCCTGGTTCTCAGAAATTTGGACTTGGACTGAATCACACACTAGCTTCCCTGGTTCTCCAGCTTGCAGGTGGCATATTGAGGGACTTTCTGATCTCCATTGCATGAGCCAGTTCCTATAATAAATCCATATATATAGATTTAGATAGATAGATTTATCATTTTTATACGGAAGAGTGTATATATATATATAAGTGTACGTGTGTGTATATATATATACATATATATACACGCACACACATATACATGCACACACACACATACGCACACTTCTGTTTCTCTAGAGAACCCTGACTAATACAGTAGGCTCTCCGTGGCCCTGCCCCAGATTCTCCCCTCTTTCTCAGAGTTGGCCATTCCTGCCATTGAGCTCGCATAACATACTATTCAGGCCTCCCTGGTAGTGCTTTTATCTGCCTACTTACTAGACCATGAGCTCCTTCGGGGCAGGCACCATGTTTCATTTATTTTGTAGCCCTATGATCTAGCAGAATGTCTGGCACAGGAGTAGGTACTTAAATATTTATGGTATGAAAGAAGCGGCGGAGCCTAGAAAAGAGGCGGTGTTCTTTCTTCCCCGGTCTTCAGCACCTCATATCTGGGAGGATTTGCTGTTCCAAATGCCATTACTTCTCCTCCCATTCTGCACAACTCTTTAGCTGTCATCCTCTCCCAGTGCAGTTGATTGTTGCCCATGGCCACATTGTTGGTTACAAAGACAAGGAAGACCAGGCAGATACTGAAAACTTGAGTTACAAGAGCCCTGTCTTCTCCAACAACAAGGATCAGGTTTGAGAAAGTCTAATCACCTTTCTTTAAGCAGCTGATTTCCCTTGATATCTGTGTTCATGAGGCCATTGTCTTCTACCCCTGAGAGGAGGCCCAGAAGAGCCAGATGGTTGCTGTAGTCAAGTGTATATGCTCAGATTTGGACTATTAATGCCTTATTACATCTCTTAGACCATGTGTTGAAGGCCTCATCAGAATAGGTCATGACTAGAAGTCTGAAATTCTTTACTACTTTACATTCTGTATGATATGATTTAGCACTTTGTTATATTCTGTCTTACAGTATTTCCAACATTATTTTTACTATTTATATTCTCCAACTCCATTGTAGGTACCCTGCATGCAAGAAAAATGCATCTTCCACACTACTTTGCATAGTGATAATTACTCAATCGGTGCTTAATAAATATGGATAGGTTGATCAGTTGGCTTGGTTGGTCTAATCTGTGAGTTTATATAGCCCCACAAACCACTAAGAACATTCCCAAAGACTGGTGCTGTTTTACACAACTCTGAAACATCGCTGGTTTTCTAGGTAACCTGATTCTGCCTTATTCAGAAAAGCAGAACTTGCATTTATATAACCTTCAACATTTTCCTATTAGTGTGACAGACTGTTAACATTGTTTGCCCCCAATGAACAATGCCCCTTAGAGTTCATACCCTTGTGTTGTTCCTTCTCACACCGAGGCTGGCCTTGGTCATGTAACTTGCTTTGGCAAATTGGATATTAGCTAGCATGATGTAAGCAGAGGTTTGAAAAGCTCTAGTCCTCTTAGAAATCTCCCTTTTGTTAGTCAGGCATGGTGGCGGGTGCCTGTAATCACAGCTACTTGGGAGGCTGAGGCAGGAGAATCGCTTAAACCCAGGAGGCAGAGGTTGCAGTGAGCAGGGATTGCACCACTGCACTCCAGCCTGGGCAACAGGAGCGAAACTCTGTGTAAAAAAAAAAAAAAAAGAAAGAAAAGAAAAAAATCTCCCTTTTGGAACTCAGATTCCATGCTGTAAGGAAGTCCAACTACTGCTAGAGAAAAAAAGTATGTAGAAAGAGGTCCTGGAGTATGTGAGACCACACAAGACGTGGCAAAGTAAAGCCGTCTTGGATGTTACAGTCCATTCAAGCCCTCAGATGATGGTACCTGCATGACAGACTTCCAGGCAAGACCAGCAGAACTGCCCAGCTGCCTAGATTGCTGAATCATGAGCAAATGAATAGTTATTGTGTTAAGCCACTGGTTTTGAAGGTGGTCTATTATGCCACAATAGACAACCAAAACACTCGAAATCTTGATTGCTTGAGCCCAAGAGGTCAAGGCTACAGTGAGCTATGATCACTCCACTGCACTCCAGCCTGGGCAACAGAGTGAGACTCTGTCTCAAAAAAGAAAAAAGTCTTGCCTCTTCTTCCTAATCACCAGCATGAGCTGATTAATATCACCTATGTGTAGGTTGCATTTTTAAATGCTTTAATGCATCATAAGTGAAATACAAAATATTCTTTCCGATTACTTCTGGACATTTCTGGGAAATTGAGCTTTTAGAATTTGACTTTTTTTTTTCTACGTAGTTAGTGTGTTTAAGAAGACAAAATTAAGTTTGTCTCTAATTCTTTTTTTTTCTTATTTTTTGGCTTTTGCTCCTTAGTAAGTATCTAGGGAAAAGTAAAATTTGATCTCTTGAGTCTCATGCCCTGTTTTTTGCATTTGCCAAAATGTTCCATTAACTTCATCCCAAGTTTAAAAAAAGTTTGTGTGAATATGCTTTTTGCCAAAGCATCAAGAATAGTGCCAGAAAGAACAATTCTACAAAAATAGATGTCTTCAGTCTGTATCTATGAGAATTCTACAAGCCAAATACTTTGTAGCTATCTTGTGAGAGTCATAGTTCATAGTTTTTCTCTGAAAGTGGGTTTTGACCATTTATGAATCTTATTTTTTTTATTTTTACAATTTTTTTTCTTTAAGCAGCACCAGGATGAATCTTCCTTTTAAGCATAGCATTGACCTCATTTTTTCCCCTTGGCTATGGGTTATATTTTATATTTTCTCTTTTCATTCTTTATGCACCTTCTATACATTGATCTTAGAAGGAATAATTTCTCCCTTATGTCTAAATTGGAAAAAGCGTGGTTTACCTTGAATGAAGAAGTTTCTTTAATCCTTTCATCAGGTATTGAAAAGTTCACTAATATGGATAAGCAAAAATAATTTAAAAAGGAAAAAAAAACGCCACAAAAGCTAGTTTTTCAGCTGTTGAGATGGTTTCAGAGTGGTCCTGCTTATTTAAAATAAACTGTGACCTCTCAATCAGTGCCAGTGGATGAACTGTTTGTTGTTGCAATGAGAAAAGCACAAAAACTGAAAGTGTTTATAAACTTTTTTAGCAATTTCATATAGCCATGACATCCAACTATGTGATCATCTTTCTCATAACCCAGTTGTACTGTGTATTACAAAATATTTGTCAATTTTCTTTGACTGCATTCAGAGGCCGAGGCAGGAGGATCACTTGAGGTCAGGAGTTTGAGAAAAACTTGGCCAACATAGTGAAACCCTGTCTCTACTAAAAATACAAAAATTGGCCAGGCATGGTGGCAGGCGCCTGTGATCCCAGCTACTTGGGAGGCTGAGGCGGGAGAATCGCTTGAACCCAGGAGGCAGAAGTTGTGGTGAGCCGAGATTGTGCCACTGCACTCCAGCCTGGGCAACAGAGCGAGACCCTGTCTCTAAGAAAAAAAAATTTTTTTTAAATCATTTGTTGGTTATTATTACTTGATAGTTTCTAACCTCATGATGCTCTAATACTATGTTAAATCTTTCCTATTCATTCAACAGTACATATAAGAAATACAAAATATCAGAATTGGGCCAGGTGCAGTGGCTCACACCTATAATTCCAGCACTTAGGGAGCCTAAGACGACAGGATCGCTTGAGCCCAGGAGTTTGAAACAAGCCTGAGCAACATGACTAGACCCCATCTCTACAAAAAATACAAAAATTAGCCAGGGTTGATGGTTTGCGCCTATATTCCCAGCTACTAGCGGGGCTGAAGCAAGAGGATCGGAGCCTGGGAAGTCAAGGCTGCAGTGAGCCATGATCTCATTAGTGCACCCCAGCCTGGGTGATAGAACAAGACCCTGTCTCAAAAAAAAAAAAAAAAAAAAAAAAATCAGAGTTTTACAACCTTTTTTAAAAGGGCATGAAATAACCTGCTTCATTCTCTTGGCTCAGTATGAGTAATTGTACCCAAGTTTAGACAACTCAAAAGAAATGACACATATGCTAAAGTTAAAATTCGTTTCACTTACTCCACAATAGCACCTACTGATTTAGCTGCCTCTGCACAGAGACATGGGTGTAAGGTGGTTGTTTTAATAATATGAATTCAATGTATGGGCTAAATCCATGACTCATGCATTATGAAGAACAAATGCATCTTTGGGTTATTTCAGGTGAAAGCCACTCCCTGCACTTAGTAAGTAAGCCATACTCCTTGAAGTTGTGTATCTTCAAAATTTCTCTCCATCTTACAAGATCGTCACTAACTCAGGTTTTAGGCTAAGGAGGACTAAATGTATATAGCAAGTATTACATCCTTAATGCTTAGGTCTCTTCCTCTCCCATGGCACATCAGCCTCAGGGTAGTCTTGCTGCTGGGTTTCTCTGACATGTGCCCCAGTCCCATTTATTGGGTTATTGCTTCCTTCCCGTGTGAGTTGAAGCAAGCCACTCAGTCTCTCTATGCTTCCAATCCCTCACCTGAAATAAAAAATGATGATAAAGATATTGTGAAGGTTAAATGACATAATGTATGTGAAAGTGTCTGCTGCAGGGCTGGACCTACCACCAGAGTAGAATGGTGGTTGCCAGGGACCAGGAGGTGCAGGAAATGGAGAGATGTTGGTCAAAGGCTGCAAAGTTTCGGCTACCACAGGAACAAGTTCTGGGGTTCTCATGTACAGCATGGATGGTGATGGACGCTTGGATTAATTTGACTATAGTAATCACTACACACTGTATATGCATATCAAATCATCACATAAAACACATTAAATATATTACATCTTTATTTGACAAAAAAATTTTTAAGCCGCAGTTTCTTTTCTTTTTTTTTTTTTTTTTGAGATCGAGTCTCACTCTGTCTGGCAGGCTGGAGCACAGTGGTGTGATCTCAGCTCACTGCAACCTCTGCCTCCTGGGTTCAAGCAATTCTCCTGCCTCAGCCTCCAGAGCTGGGACTACATGTGCGTGCCACCACACCCAGCTAATTTTTTGTATTTTTTTTTAGTAGAGATGGAGTTTCACCATGTTGGCCAGGATGGTCTCTATCTCTTCACCTCGTGATCCGCCCACCTCTGCCTCGCAAAGTGCTGGGATTACAGGCGTGAGCTACCACGCCCGGCCAAGTCTCAGTTTTTTCATGTGAAAAATTTTACCCATGGCATAAGATTTGTAAATACTCTTTCCAGCCTCAACTCCAGACCCTACAGCCACCGAGATGTTGATGCCTAAGAAGAACCAGATTGCCATTTATGAACTCCTTTTTAAGGAGGGAGTCATGGTGACCAAGAAGGATGTCCACATGCCTAGGCACCCAGAGCTCGCAGACAAGAATGTGTCCAACCTTCATGTCATGAAGGCCATGCAGTCTCTCAAGTCCAAAGGCTACGTGAAGGAACAGTTTGCCTGGAGACATTTCTATTGGTAACTTACCAATGACAGTATCCAGTATCTCTGTGATTACCTTCATCTTCCCCTGGAGACTGTGCCTGCCATCCTATGCCGCAGCCGTCCAGAGACTGGCAGGTCTCGGCCTAAAGGCCTGGAGGCTGAGGAACCTGCAAGACTCACAAGAGGGGAAGTCAATAGAGTTACCTACAGACAGAGTGCTGTGCCCCCTGGTTGCCGACAAGAAAGCCAAGGCTGGGGCTGGGTCAGCAACCGAATTTGAGTTTAGGGGCAGATTTGGTCGTGGACGTGGTCAGCCACCTCAGTAAAATTGGAGAGGATTATTTTGCATTGAATAAATTTAAAGCCAAAAAATTTTTTTAAAAAGATCTGTGAATACTGAAGGAAGTAATAATTAGAAAGGGCCAAATGCAATGCTAATACATAGTACGCCTCCAATTAAAGCTAGTGATTGCCTTTATGTGCAGTTCTAGACACAGGTCTTGACCCATTGTGTCTGAATTTCTGTCCAGGAGCCTGCCTGGGATGCCAATTTCTCAGAACCTGGAAGCATTCTTTACATCAGTCCTTAGAGATCCACCTGCTGGCCTCCTGTACTGGACATAGCTCACTGCTCCCCACTTTTTGACCTTGCCAGGGCCCCAGGGTGTTGGAGGGCCTTTCAGGAGTTCCATGGAAGCTGTCACTGCCCTAATCTCCTCTCACCAGCTGGTCTGCCTTGATCACCCTCCCCATACTGTCTTCCCCAGATCCCCCTGGGACACTGAACCAGACTTTAGATTTCTTCATTTCCTGCTCGAAGCTTCCCAGATCCCTGCCCACTCAGTGAGCCTGACTAGCCTCATGATTGAGCAGAGTACTCTGGCCCTTAGGCCACCTGCTGAGCCCCAGCAGGCACAGGACTTGCCTAGGAAAGACTCAGGGCATGCATCCCACCCTGAGATCAGCACATTACAACTGTGTCACAATTCTGGCACCATACTGAAGGTGGATGTTATAAGAACCATTTCGTCCAGAAGGCATGTTTGATCGTGGCTGTTCTGGGAGCTTCTGACATTTCTCTTTCCAGTGAAATCACTTGGATTTCTACCCTACTGTTTCCCACTTCTTGTTCCTTCTCCAGCCCCATTCTACTTGCTGGGGAAACCAAGAATTCTACACCTTCATAGAAGGCATCAAAGCCAATCGTGCCCACTGAAGGGCTGTGGCCTGAGCTTAGTTTGACCCGCATCACTGGGACAGTGGGGGAAGGGGGAGCAGACATCCTGTAAAAGTCCAAGATTCCCTTGTACAACTTCAAAATTCCTGAGGCCCCCCCGACCACACACACACACACACACACACACACACACACACACACACACGATCATTTAATTGAAAACATACATAGACATACACAAAGATGGAGTCATGACCCCTTAGCAATTACTTTCAGGCCCCTCCAAGCCCCATGCTGGGGACCCATAGTGGCAGGTCTTTGCGGGATGGAGGGGAGAAGGTGCTGCCTTCAGTGAAGCTGTGATAGTTGTTCTACCAGGCAATACTCCTCCCGTGAAAATAGGATGATGTCCTTTATTGTCACTTGCCCTGGGACCTCACTTGGAAGCTGGTGGCCACATGCCTTAGATTTCTGAATATGAGAAGAACCGCACAAACACAGGCTCCCAATCTCGTTAGAGGAAAGTGCCTCAGAAACTTTGGTTTCATATTTGAGAGGTTTGTGGCTCCTCAGATAATCTGTGAGGATTCATTTATTCATTCACTTATTCGGAAATGCTCAGTGAACACCAACAATGTGCTAGGCTCTGGACTTGGCATCGGGGCTGCCAAAAGGAGGCACACACAGCTTCTGCTCCCATGTGGCTCACCATCTGATGTTCAGCCCACTGAGGTCCCTGCAAATCTAAGCTGCCATATTACCTCTAAGCTGTGAGAAGCCCACTAAGGAAGCCTCACTGAAAGAATGAGGCTCCAGCCACACTTGAGATGTACACTGTAATCTGGTATATTATATATAGTTTGTGATATTACTATAGAATTGCCAAACAGGGCCCCAAAAGTCAAATGTTAATAAAAATGTTACTTTCTGCATTTCAGCCATGGGGGCAGGAGATCCGTTTTTGCCATAAACAAAATTAAGTTTGCATTCCACTCTTGCTCCCATGTAAAGCGGTGAGACAATTTCCATAGCACAGGAGTCTTTTTGTCCATTTTCCCTAATGATTGAACTCAGCTTTTTTGGCTTCTTGGTTTTGGCTCAATTAAAGATTAAATGAAACAAGTGCCAATTGGCAAATAATTGAGAACTAAGTCTGTGTGTACGTATCTCCTACATTTTACCCCATATGGTTTTAGCAACTTGGCAGTAAAATCTAAGGACTGGTACATCAACTAGACAGAATTCAGAGTCCCCAGTACATTCAAAGATACTGCTCTTGTGTGAATACTTGGAACCCTCAGCAGAATGTCGAAGGCAGCTTCACTTAGGAGACGCCTCCTCTGGGCCCATTCATAATAGATGCTTCTATTCCCAAGGGCCAGATTAGTGATAGGGTACTTTCCAACCATTAGCCCAGACTCTCCTTAAACAAAGGTTGGAAGCTGAGAGTTACACAATAATGCTAAATATCCAAATGAAAATCAAACACTCAGGCAACAGCTAGATGTCTGGCCAGGGACTGAAGGCTCCTTAAGGCTGGCATTTTTACACCTGTGCCTTGTCCACTGGGTCACAGATGAGGCTCCCAGAAATCCTGCCATGTATTCAGGGCTCATCACTGCATGTTTTAAACTGCAAAGCATCTGATGGAGCAATGCTAAGGGCAACTGACCCTAATGGAGCATCGTCCATTCCATCACTAGAGTGAAGGAAATCTAACACTTTGTTAAATCACTGTGATGGATAATAAAAGCAAAATTACTAGCGCATCTGAGGCCAGGTGCAGTGGCTCATGCCTGCAATCCCAACACCTTGAGAGGCTGAGGTGGGAGGATGGCTTGAAGCCAAGAGTCTAGATCCTCCTGGGCAACATAGTGAGACCCTATCTAAAAAAGAAAAAAGAAAAGAAAAGAAGGAAGGAAAAGAAAGGAAAGGAAAGAAAGGAGAGGAGGAAAGGAGACGAGGAACGACGGAAGGAGAGAGAGAGGGAGGGAGGGAGGAAAGAAGGAAAGAAGGAAGGAAGGAAGGAAGGAAGGAAGGAAGGAAGGAAGGAAGGCAGGCAAAAATTAGCCAGGCATGGTGGTTTGCACCTAAACTTCCGGCTATTCAGGAGACTGAGGCGGGAGGATCCTTTGTGCCCAGGAATTCAAGGCTTCAGTGAGCTATGATTATGCCACTGCACACTACAGTCTGCACGACAGAGCGAGACCCTATCTCTTAAAAAATAAAAATAAAAATAAATGAAAAGAATATACCAAAAAGCAAACAGTAAAAAAAGACCTAGATGGTTATTGGCTACTTGGAGGATCATTGGGCCATTTTGTAGAGTTCCTCCATGTCAGTGTGGGACTCCTCCTCCCCAGGGAAAAGAAGGAAGTGCAGTGGAACCTTCACTTAAAGCCAAGCCGGGACCAGCCTTCCATGGGCCAGGGCACCCTGCCAGGTGGCAACATTCGGATGCCCCACCCAAAAGAAGAGACTGCTTCAGCAAGCAAGCAAGGATTTACAAGACTGTTAGCAGTGAACCAAAGAACAATAGAAAAATGTTAAGCAAATGAGATCCCCGCTGCAGGAAGCCTCATTTCCCGAGTAGCTGGAACTATAGCCTGGCTAATTTTTTGTATTTTTTTTTTTTTTAGTAGAGGTAGGGTTTCATCATGTTGCCCAGGCTGGAAGTGTAGAGGTTTTTTTGTTTGTTTTTGTTTTTTCTGAGATGCAGTCTCGCTCTGTCACCCAGGCTAGAGTACAGTGGTGCGATCTCGGCTCACTGCAACCTCCACCTCCTGGGTTCAAGAAATTCTTCTGCCTCAGCCACCTGAGTAGCTGGGACTACAGGTGCGCATCACCACACCCAGCTAATTTTGTGTATTTTTAGTAGAGACGGGGTTTCACTGTGCTGCCCAGGCTGGTCTCAAACTCCTGAGCTCAGGCAACCTGCCCTCCTGGGCCTCCCAAAGTGCTTAGATTACAGGGGTGAGCCACCGTAGAAGAGTAATAAAAGAATATTTTTTCTTGGATGGTAGAATTTCAGGGTTCCAAAAGATGCTTTCCATCTTAGGGTTTTCAATGATGCTAAAAAATTGGGCGGCAGAACTTTACACATCGTCTAGTTTCCTCTGGTTTTCAATGTGCCTCGCTGGGTGTGTGTCATTACAATAAGCAGAAATGCCTTTAGTGAAGGCTGGCTGAGTAGAGTTATTTTTAATAATAAAAATGAAAATCTACATAAAGGTTTTATAAAAGAAGAAAGGTTGAATAAATTATAGTATATGCAATATAACTGCAGCCATAAGAGATGGATTTTGCTGGGCATGGTGGTTCATTCATGCCTGTAATCCCAGCACTTTGGGAGGCCGGCGGGGGGGGTGGATCATCTGAGGTCAAGAGCTCGAGACCAGCCTGACCAATATGATGAATCCCCGTCTCTACTAAAAATACAAAAATTAGCCGGGTGTGGTCGCATGTGCCTGTAATCTCAGCTACTCGGGAGGCTGAGACAAGAGAATCACTTGAACCTGGGACGGGGAGGTTGCAGTGAGCCAAGATCATGCCCTTGCACTCCAGCCTGGGCAACAAGAGCGAAACTTCATCTCAAAATAAATAAATAAATAAATTACAGATTTTCAGAGAACTGTTAATGCTAGGAGGAAATGCTCACATTATCATGCTTTGTAAAGAGCAGAATATACATATTCCCATTATGTTACTGTATGCTTAAGAAAGATTGTGAGCTGGGCACGGTGGCTCACACCTGTAATCCCAGCACTTTGGGAGGCTGAGGCGGGCAGATCAAGAAGTCAGGAGTTTGAGACCAGCATGGACAACATGGTGAAACCCTGTCTCTACTAAAAGTACAAAAATTAGCCAGGCGTGGTGGCATGAGCCTGAAATCCCAGCAACTCAGGAGACTGAGGCAGGAGAATCTCTTGAACCCAAGGAGGCAGAGGTTGCAGTGAGCTGAAATAATGCCATTTCACTCCAGCCTAGGCAACAAGATCGAAACTTCATCTCAAAGAAAAAAGAAAGAAATAAGAATTCCCCATTGGTCAACACAGGGCCTTAGTGACACCATGGTCTGCTCTGCCACCTTCAGGGGGTAGTTTTCCTTATGGTCACAAGGTGTCTGCAGTCATTCCAGGCATTGTACTTGTACAGTACAGTGTCCCAAGGAATAAGGACCATCTTCTCCTGGGTATGTCTTACAACCAAGGAAATCTTTCTCAAAAGCCCCCAACACACCTCCTCTGACATCTCAAAGATCAGAATTTGTCACCTGCCCACACCTAATTCAAGCACTATCACCAGCCTAAACAAGAGGACTTTGGATGGAACAAAGGGCTATGTTCCCCTTAAGCAAATCTCCAGGGGGAGTATGATGGACAAAACTGAGCAAAACTGACATTCTGATAGGGAAAGGAAGGGAGCAATGGGTGTTGGGTAGATTACTCCAAGCTGTGTCTGCTACAGTCCCCACTGCAAGAAGCCTCATCTAGGGTAAATTCCAATAGGTTAGGAGAGACGGAGCTAACTAGCTGGGAGATGTGAGGTGGAAGCTGGGCATAGTGGCATGCACCTGTAATCCCAGCACTTTGGGAAGCTGACAGGGAGGATCACTTGAGCCTATGACTTAATGACCAGCTTGGGCAATATAGTGATGCCCCATCTCTAAAAAATAAAATTAAATAAAAATTAAAAATTAAACAAGGGCTGGGCATGGTGGCTCATGCCTGTAATCCCAGCACTTTGGGAGGCTGAGGTGGGAGGATGGCTTGAGGCCAGGAGTTCAAGACCAGCTTGAACAACATAGCGAGATCCTATCTGTAAAAAAATGTTTTTAAAAATTAGACGGTATAGTGGCATGTGCCTGTAGTCCTAGCTACTCAGAAGGCAGAGGCATTAGGATTGCTTGAGCCCAGGAATTCCAGGCTGCAGTGAGCTGTGATCCTGCCACTGCACTCCAGCCTGGGTGACAGAGACCCTATCCTTATAAAAAATAAATAGATACAAAAATTTTAAAAGATGTGGGATGGGGAAGTAGACAGAGAATAAAGACAGAAAAGATGTCCAGCATGAACTCTTAGTTGGATGAAGGAGCCTGATTACAAAAAGGGTGTTAGAAAGCTCAGTAGGCTGGGCGCAGTGGCTCATGCCTGTAATCCCAGCACTTTGGGAGGCAGAGGCTGGCAGATCACGAGGTCAAGAGTTTGAGACCAGCCTGGCCAACATGGTGAAACCCCGTCTCTACTAAGAATACAAAAATTAGCCGGGTTTGGTGGCCTGTGCCTGTAATCCCTGCTACTCAGGAGGCTGAGGCAGGTGAATCGCTTGAACCCGGGAGGTGGAGGTTGCAGTGAGCCAAGATCATGCCACTGCACTCCAGCCTGGGTAACAGACCAAGACTCCGTCTTGAAAAAAAGAAAGAAAGAAAAAAGAAAAAAAAAAGAAAGCTCAGTAGACCAGATTGACCTACTTCTCAATTCTGTCGAGGGCAAATCCTGTTGGACCATCAACTGGGACAGTGCAAAATAGAGGCCAAACACATCAAGGTCTGTGCTGGTGTGAACAGAAGGTGACAATGACTATGGACTCATTTGAGATCAACACAGATGTCTGTGCATCTGAGTAATGCATGTCTGTGGATAAGAGTGGGCCTTCTGACTTGGTAGATTTGGATAACACAACCCCCTGACTCTTTTACTAATTCAATGATGAATAAGTTTTGACCATCTACCATGCCTCCAGCCGTAAATTAGCCCCTGGGGAAAATAAAAGATACATAAGACACAGGGCCTGGCCTTGAAGAATTTCAACTCTGCTGAAGAAATCAAAAGCAACAGAAGTAGAACTGAGAGCAATACCAGACCCTGTGGAATCAGGGTTGAGGGATGTGGTGTAGAGCAGAACCATGGCAAGAGCTCAGCAAAGTTGGGAGGAAGATGACTGAGAACCAGGGTGTAGGAAGAGGAACTTGAGCTGGGGGTAACACCCTGGGTAGGTTGGGATTTGGCAGACAAAAGAGAGGAGATGAAAGAGAGCCGTAGTGGGAAGAGAGCAGTGATAAGATTTTGGAGCTAGACAAACGCCTAGCTCTATCACTTATTAGCAAATTATTCCATTTTCTCAGAATTTTACTTTTTTCATCTATGGAATAGGTATAATACCTACCTCATAAAATGTTTATAAGGAAAGCACCTTGTACCTAGAAAACACTCAAAATATTAGTTTTTTCCTTTATCCCTTTTGTTTGACAGGATGACAAGGATGGAGAGGCTCTGTTTGGGTAGTGAGAAGATGTTTGGATAAGAAAACTGGGCCGTGCAGATTAAATCTTGTATTAGGTCCAGTGGGTCACTATTAAAGTTTGGAGTGGACCATTTTAGAAAGAATTGCCTGTTGTGACCATGAGAGCTTTGTTCCATTTCAGAGCTGTTTATATGAAGATGAGTTTAACCGCGTGTGTCAGACGGTGTTAGGCACGTTCTTTCCAGAGACTGACAAGAATCCCATCAGCACCCTGGCCAGAGAAAAGCAGCTTTGAGCTCAAGTGTAACGGAAAGGAAACAGGCTTTGGAGCTAGACAAACACCTAGCCCTATCACTTATTAGCAAATTACTCCAATCTCTCAGAATCTTAGTTTTTTCATCCGTGGAATGGGTTAATACTCACCCCATAAAATGTTTATAAGGAAAGCACCTTGTACCTAGAAAACACTCAAAATATTAGTTCTTTCCTTTCTCCCTTTTATTTATCAAAACTATTAAAGCAGACCAGGCGCGGTGGCTCACGTTTGTAATCCTAGCACCTTGGGAGGCCGAACCAGGTGGATCACCTGAGGTCAGTAGTTCGAGACCAGCCTGGCCAACATGGCGAAACCCTGTCTCTACTAAAAATACAAAAATTAGCTGGGCACGGTGACAGGAGCCTATAATACCAGCTACTCGAGAGGCTGAGGCAGGAGAATTGCTTGAACCCGGGGGGTGGAGGTTGCAGTGAGCCAGGATCATGCCACTTCACTTCAGCCTGGGCAAAAGAGCGAAACTCCATCTGAGAAGAAAAAACAAACAAACAAACAAAAAACTATTAAAGCAAAACCTCTGATGCTTGATTTTTATATAATAACGTTGTGTGGCAACTTAAAAACTGTGTCATTTATAGGCACTCAAGGCAAGGAAAATGTTTAGAGTCCTTATTTTTAAAATTGGAATTTTCTATAAAAGTTCAGAATGTTTTTAATTTAAAGTTGTTTTAAGCACAAAGTAATACAATTTATCCATGAAGGTTAAACATTTTAATTTTTATCATTAACTTTTATTTGTAATTGTTTTCTACCTTTTAAATTAAATATTCGTTACAAATTTAATTGAGAAGAGGGAAGGAGGGGGAGAATGAATGAGTGGATTCTTATAGTTTGAGGGGGTAAGACCTCCATTTTTATACTATTTTTTTGTTTTGTTTTTATTTTTATTTTTGAGGCAGAGTCTTGCTCTGTTGCCCAGGCTGGAGTGCAGTGACCGAATCTTGGCTCACTGCAGCCTCAACCTCCCAGGTTCAAGCGATCCTCCCACCTCAGCCTCCCGAGTAGCTGGGACTACAGGTGCGCACCACCACGCCTGGCTAATTTTTGTATTTTTAGTAGAGATAGAGTTTTGCCATGTTGGCCAGTCTGATCTCGAACTCCTGGACTCAAGTGATCTGCCCGCCTTTGGCCTCCCAAAGAGTTGGGATTATAGGCGTGAGCCACTATGCCTGGGCTACTTTTTTACTTTCACTTTTCTAAAATGCTCTCAAAGAGCTGTTGTTGCCGTTTATACTTAAAACTCCCAGTTTTACTTCGCCCAAACCAATCCTGGGCAGGCAGCAGGAGTGGACACACATACTGCAATACTCCAGGGCTGCAGCATCAGACCCAGAGGAGGAGGGAACTGCTGGATTAATAACGCGGAGGAGGAGGAGGGGTATGAGTCTATTCCAAAATTGGCCTTTGCCCTTCAAAGAGGAAAAGACCACTTATTGTTTGTGCAATCAAAAGGTTTGTTTCCTAGATATTTTCCCCAGGAGAAAAAAGTTTCCCAGGAAACCGAGAAAGAAATTATAACGAAAATAGCTATTGGATGAATTTTTTCCTCAAGCTTCATTTTTACATCATTATAATATTTGTGCTGTAATGAAGGTTGGGAGTCCTCTGGGGCAGACCAGTCTATTTGGGAGGATATGTATGGAGTTTGTGTGTGAGTACATGCGGGTGAGTGGGCGTGAGTGTGGAAAGTATGTGTGTGGAACCTCTGTGTGTGTGGAATGTGGAGCGTATGCACAATGTGTGTGGAGTTTGGAGTGTGTGTGTGGACGAGTGAGTGTGGAAGTGTGGACGTGTGTGGAAAGTGCACAGTGCGTGCGGAGTTTGGGGTGTTTGTGCACGCGCGTGTGTGGCAGGTCCTGGAGCGCGTCCACGCGACACCCCATGTGTAGTGTGCGCGCGCGCGCGCCCCCGCGCCGCCCCTTCGGCCCGGCCCTGTGTGCGGCGGCTGCTGCCGGGCCGGGCGGCGGGAGCGCGCGGCGTCGGAGGCCGCCCCTCTGCGGAACGCCGAGAGCCCCGGGAGAGTGAAGGGCCGGGGAGGACAAGGCGCCCCGGGCCCAAAGCGCGCCGGCTCCCGCTCGGGCGGCCGCGGACATGTGCAGGATGTCCTTCAAGGTGAGCGACCGGGACTCCGGGGTCAGGGCTGGGGCCGGGCTCGGGCGGCCGGGCCCGCGGGGTCGGGTGGGGTGGGATGGGGTGGGATGGGGTGGGCGCTGCCCGCTGCCCGCCGCCTCCTCCTTCCTCTCTCCTCCAGCTGCGGGCGAGGCCCGGGAGGAAGCGGCGGGGCTGGGTGCGCCCTGTGGGTTTGCGGTTTGCCTGCCTGCCCTGCCTGAGAGGCTTCGCACTCATGGCTGTGGATCGGCTGAGTCTGTGCCCGGCGACGGGGCGGCGGGGACTGTCGCCGGGTAACAGGTCGGGGGCGGGTAAGAAGCCTGGGGTCAGCGCTGTCCTGCAGCAGAAGGAGTCCCCGACCCTGACCCTCTGGGTCCTCATGCAGGAGTACCAGCTGCACCCACGGATGCCTCCTCCCCGGAGGGGTGGCCAGCACCCAGGGAGGCTTCAGGGTCCAAAGGTGTCTTGTCTCAAAAGAGTTGATTAAAGTCATTCCATCTAATCCCCACATTTTAGGATGAAAGAGGTTGATTTGCCTCGATTGAAAGGGTTTAATAAAAATAGCAGTTAAAATGTATTAAACAGTTCAAATGTGCCTGACTCTGAACCAAGGACATGGTGTGTATGGTCTCAACCCTGGGGGAGACCTGTGGGAGGTGCTCTTCGTGGCTCTTTTTTTTTTTTTTTTCAAATGAGAAAACTAAGATATAGAGAAATTAACTCACCCACGGTTTTGCAGCCAATAAGTTATGGTGTTAAGACTGAAACCCAAGTGTGTCTGACTCCTAAGCCACTGTAATCCCGTTGCCGACAATAGCTCATGTAAGCAGAGGAGTGACATGGCGAGATGTGCATGTTGCAAAGATCTCTGGCTAGGTTTGGAGAAGAGGGTTGGAGCTGGAAGATGTTGTCATCTTTTTAAGAAATGGTACTGGACCAGTGCATAGGTGGTGAGAATGGAACGAAGCAGACGAATGTGAATGACTTTAAAGTTTTTTTTCCTGAGACGGAGTTTTGCTCTTGTTGCCCAGGCTGGAGTGCAATGGTGTGATCTCAGCTCACTGCAACTTCCGCCTCCCGGGTTCAAGCTATTTCTCCTTCCTTACCCTCCAGAGTAGCTGGGATTACAGGCGTGCGCCACCATGCCCAGCTAATTTTTTCGTATTTTTAGTAGAGACGGGGTTCTGCCATGTTGGCGAGGCTGGTCTCGAACTCCTGACCTCAGGTGATCCACCCTCCTTGGCCTCCCAAAGTGCTGGGGTTAAAGGCGTGAGCCACTACGCCCGGCCGACTTTAAAAGTTTTAAATCGGCATAATTCAGTAGGGAAGGCAAGAGAGATAAAGATAAAACGTTTGGTTTGGGATAAATTTTGAGGATAGATGGGAATCCAAGCAGAGATGTTGATTAGACAGATATACTCTCCTCGATCCCAGGAGGCAAGTCTGGGCAGCAGCTAGAGATGAGATTTAGGAGTCAGCAGTGTTAAGTAGGCACCCATGGGAATGAACATGATTGCCCAGTGGAACCATATAAAGGTGGAAAATAAGAGGACTGAGGACAAAATCTTGAAGAAGATTTGAGAAAGAGCAGCCAGAGACGAATGAGAAAACTCAGAAGCATGTGCTGTCACTTACACCAAGCATCTCTAATCTTTCAACAAAGATGAAGAGGACCTTGATGTTTATTAATGCCACAGGGAAATCAAATAAACAAAGAATTGAAAAGTCCATTGGATTTAGTGACGGAATAGGCACTGGTGACCTTGCCAAGAGCACTTTCAGTGGTGTTAGGATCAGGAGCCAGATTGCAATAGCTTGAAAGAGAGTGGGTAGAATCCACAAGTGTGGAGAACTCTTTCAAGAAATTCTGCAAGAAACAGATTTTTGTTAGTTTGTTTGTTTGTTTGGACAAAGTCTTGCTCTTGTCACCCAGGCTAGAGTGCAGTGGCGCAATCTTGGCTCACTGCAACCTCTGCCTCTCGGGTTCAAGCGATTCTCCTGGCTCAGCCTCCTGAGTAGCTGGGATTACAGGTGCCTGACACCAAGCCCAGCTAATTTTTTGTAATTTTAGTAGAGACGGGGTTTCGCCATGTTGGCCAGCCTGGTCTCGAACTCCTGACCTCACGTGATCGCCCGCCTCAGCCTCCCAAAGTGCTGGGATTAGAGGCATGAGCCACGGCACCCAACCCAGAGATTCTTTTTAAAAGGCAGTGGCTGCAGCAAGGATCTGGAATTGACCAAGTGTTTGTTTGCTTTAAAATGGTAGAGACTTGAGCATCTTTAAATGATGATAGGCACTTCAACAATAAAAAGACAAATAAAGCCTAATTTTAAAGTGGACATATGAATAGACATTTCTCCCAAGAAGTTTACAAATGGCCCGTAAGCACCTGAAAAGATGCTTAACATTATTAGCCATGGTCTTGGAAATGCAAATACAAAACTGTAATGAGATACCACTTCATACCCGCTAGGATGGCTTTAATCAGCAAGACAATGACGAATGTTGGCAAGGATGTGGAGAAATTGAATCTGCATGCATTGCTGGTAGGAGTATGAAGTGATGCAGTCATTTTTATTTATTTATTTTATTTATTTTTTTGAGACAGAGTCTCACTCTGTCAGCCAGGCTGGAGTGCAATGGCATGATCTCAGCTCACTGCAACTTCTGCCTCCCGGGCTCAAGCAATTCTCCTGCCTCAGCCCCCCGAGTAGCTGGGATTACAGGCATGTGCCACCACGCCCGGCTAATTTTTGCATTTTTAGTAGAGACGGGGTTTCACCATGTTGGCCAGGCTGGTCTTGAACTCCTGACCTCAGGTAATCTGCCTGCCTCGGGCTCCCAGAGTGCTGGGATTATAGGCGTGGGCCACCGCGCCTGGCCGATGCAGTCATTTTTAAAACCATGCTTGTCTTTCTTCAAAAAGTTTTTTTTGTTTGTTTGTTTTTTGTTTTTTTTTTTGTCTTTTTTGAGATGGAGTCTCACTCTGTCATCAGGCTGGAGTACAGTGGCACGATCTCAGCTCACCGCAACCTCTGCCTCCCGGGTTCAAGCAATTCTCCTGCCTCAGCCTCCTGAGTCACTGAGACTACAGGCATGCGCCACCATGCCCAGCTAATTTTTGTATTTTTAGTAGAGACCGGGTTTCACCATGTTGGCCAGGATGGTCTCGATCTCTTGACCTCGTGATTCACCTGCTTCAGACTTCCAAAGTGCTGGGATTACAGGCATAAGCCACCGCACCCAGCCTCAAAAAGTTAAATATAGAGTTACCACATGACCCAGCAATTTCACTACTAGGAATATACCCAAGAGAAATGGAAACGTGTTCACACAAAAACTTGAACATAAAGATCCATAGCAATAGTATTCATAATAGTCAGAAAGTGGAAACAATCCAAATGTCCATAAACTGATGATAAAAACAAAATGTGGGCCAGGCACAGTGGCTCATCCCTGTAATCCCAGCACTTTGGGAAGCTGTGGCGGATCACCTGAAGTCGGGAGTTTAAGACCAGCCTGGCCAACGTGGTGAAACCCCGTCTCTACTAAAAATACAAAAATTAGCTGGACGTCATGGCAGGTGCCTGTAATCCCAGCTACTGGGGAGGCTGAGGCAGGAAAATCACTTGAACCCTAGAGACAGAGGTTGCAGTGAGCCAAGATCATACCACTGCATTCCAGCCTGGGTGACAGAGTGAGACTCTGTCTCAAAACAAACAAAAAAAAAGTGTTTTATATTATAAATACCATAGATAGGGAGGCTTAAACAACAGACATTTATTTCTCACAGTTCTGGAGCTAGGAAGTCTTGAGATCAAGGTGGCTGGTGAGGGCACTTTTCCTGACTTACAGATGGCCACCTGTGCATGCCCCGTTTCCTCACATGACCAAGAGAGAAAGCCCTGGTGTCTCTAATTCTTTTAAGGACATTAATTCCATCATGGGGGCTATACCTACACAACCTCTTTTAAACTTAATTGACTCCCGAAGACTGCTCCTCCTAAAATCATTACACTGGGCATTAGGACTTGAACACATGAATTTTTGGGGGGATGCAAACATTCAGTCCTCAGCCCCTGTCCTCCTGGCATGTCTGTCTTGCGTGCAACATATATTCATTCCATCCCAACAGTCCCCAAAGTTTTAGCTAGTTCCAGCATCAACTCTAAAATCCACAGTCTCATCTAACTATCTAAATCAGATATTGGGTAAGACTCAAGGTATGATTCATCCCAAGTGAAATTCTTCTCTAGCTGTGAGCCTGTGAAATCACACAAGTTTTTTGTTTTTGTTTTTGCTTTTGTTTTGAGACAGGGTCTCACTCTGTCGCCTGCCCAGGCTGGCACAATCACGATTCACTACAGCCTTGACCTCCTGGGCTCAAGCGATCCTCCTGCCTCAGTCTCCCGAGTAGCTGGGACTACAGGCTTGCACCACCATGCCTGGCTAATATTTTTTATTTTTTGTAGAGATAGGGGTCTCCCTGTGTTGCCCAGGCTGATCTCAGACTCCTGGACTCAAGCAATCCTCCTGCTTTGGCCTCCCAAAGTGTTGGGATTACAGGTGTGAGCCACCATGCCTAGTCCTCAAACAAGTTTTGTGGTTCTAAAATACGACAGTGGGACAGGCATAGGATATACATGTTTCCACCCCAAAAGGGAGAAATTGGAAGAAAGGAATGACAGGTCACAAGCAAGTCCAATACCTAGCAAGGCAAATATTATTAGAACTTAAAGTTTGAGAATAATCCTCTTTGGTTCAGTGCTTTGCCTTCTGAACTCACTGAGTGGTGGGTCCTGCTTTCTGGACCAACTCGGGCAGGGGATTGGGCTCGCAAGACATTGGTGGTTAGGGCTTCAGCATATGAATTTGGGGAGGAACACAAGCATTTAGTCCATAACATGGTAATCTGTACAATGGACTATCATTCAGCCATAAAAAGGAATGAAGCACTAATGCATGCTACAACATAGATGAAACTTAAAAACATATTCAGTGAAGGAAACCAGACACAGAATGCCATATATTGTATGATTCCATTTATATGCAATGTCCAAAATCGGCAAATCCATAGAGACAGAAAGTCGATTAGTGGTTGCCAGGGGCTGGGGAAGAGGAGGGGATGGCGAGTGATTGTTGATGGGTAGATAATCTGGAATAGATAGTGGTGATGGTTGTGCAACCTTATGATTGCACCAAAACCCACTGGATTGTATGCTTTGAAAGGATGAATTTTATGTATGTAGATTATATCTCAATTTTTTTAAGTATTTTTAAATCATAATAGGGAATGAGGAGAAGGCTTGGGGATGATTTTGCTGAGTGACTGAATTTCTCAGGGAGTTGAGGGCGGTGAGCCTGAGCTGGGCTCCATTCGCTGTGGAATTAGCTAGAATGGCAGAAGGAAACCTCTCCCGTTGGGCTAAAGGGAAAGGAGGTGAGGTTGAGTGTGGATGTTTTGTAAAGTGAAGCCCAGGATGAAGTCAGGATTTGGGGTAGGTAGAAAGGAGGCTGGCAAGCCAGGTGCCAACGTTTTCCATGAATAAGGAAGAACGATCAGGTGGTGAACGATAAGGAGGTGACAACTGCCAGGTGAGGTGAGGTAGAGGTTGGGAAGGTGGGACGACCTGAGTCTTGAAGGAGCAGAGATTTGCACCCCTGATGGAGGGGCAGTGGCCTGGAAGCCAGGTGGGCCTATTCACTGCAGTGCTGATGTGGGAGAAGGCCTTGCTTCCACCGGGAGCAGGCACTGGGGAGGTTGAGGCAGGGAGAGAGGGAGTGCTCTGCGCTAGGCAAAGGATGAAGAGGAGTTGATTTACTGTGAAATGGACTTCCAGAAGGCACAGAGGGAAGGTCTGTCCAGAGCAGAGTCCCAGGCCAGTCTGAGATTTGCATTAGCAACATTCTTCTATCCACCTCCCATCCTATCAAACATATTAAAATGCACCCACGGCCACAATAATAAAAGAGACCTTTTATTGTAAAATTTTTGAAAGGATTTTGTGACACTGCTTTTTAAATGATTTAGCTGTAAGTTACTCATTTAATTTACCTTTTGTCCATTTTTCTGCAGTTGTCATAGTTGGTCAGTAACTCATGCAGCGAGCAAATCAGACCTACAAATGATTTTCATGTGGCATCAGTATTTTATGAATACCAAATTTAGCAGTTAATAAAGTTGACAGGATGTTATGTTTTGTAGCTATTTAATTGAATATTTATTAACTTTGATTTGGGAAACACAGATTAACTTTTTCATTTTCATAGGCTCCTGAAAGACTCATAGGCCCTAGGCTCTGGGTCTCCAAAGCCTACGTGTAAAAAGGCCCTGGTTTGTTAGGCGAGTCTGTGGAAGAATAAATAGAGCATTATAAGTCACAATTTAGGCTCTTCTTGATGATTCAGAATCAATGTATGTAGGGCTGCTTGCATCTGAGCTACATGACTCCTTTGCGTCTACTTTTGATGGTTTTTCCGTCAAGCTGTTATCAGTGACTTCTCACTGGTACCACTTTGCCTCCAGCAAACTTCCTTTAACAACTGGCAACTCCTAATCTCTTCTGCTTGAGAACACAGACACATGTTTGTTAGAATTATCTTTTTTTTTTTTTTTTTTGAGACGGAGTCTCGCTCTGTCGCCCAGGCTGGAGTGCAGTGGCGGGATCTCGGCTCACTGCAAGCTCCGCCTCCCGGGTTCACGCCATTCTCCTGCCTCAGCCTCCCGAGTAGCTGGGACTACAGGCGCCCACCACTACGCCCGGCTAATTTTTTGTATTTTTAGTAGAGACGGGGTTTCACCGTTTTAGCCGGGATGGTCTCGATCTCCTGACCTTGTGATCCGCCCGCCTCGGCCTCCCAAAGTGCTGGGATTACAGGCGTGAGCCACCGCGCCCGGCCAGAATTATCTTTTAAAGTAAAACGAAACTCAGAGAATTATTTTTTAAAGTAAAAGGAGGCCAGGCACGGTGGCTCACGCCTGTAATCCCAGCACTTTGGGAGGCTGAGGCGGGTAGATCACCTGAGGTCAGGAGTTCAAGACCATTCTGGCCAATATGGCTAATACAGTGAAACCCCATCTCTACTAAAAAGTACGAAAATTAGCCAGGCGTTGTGGCAAGTGCCTGTAATTCCAGCTACTCAGGAGGCTAAGGCAGGAGAATCGCTTGAACCCGGGAGGCAGAGCTTGCAGTGAGTCGAGATCACGCCACTGCACTCCAGCCTGGGTGACAGAGTGAGACTCCGTCTCAAAAAATAAAAAAAATTAAAAAAAAGAATTTCATATTTCCTTCAGGGTCTGCTGTCATATGATACTATACCCCAGCCAGGTTGGAGTGGGTATCTTATTCTACAAAGAGTCTGTTTTGTGAATCTTATGAACTATATTTTAATATTAATGCTGGTTAATCGTTGCGCCTAAGTTCCAAAGGGAGTGAAGTGTAATGAGATATATCAGACCTCCCTTCCTGTCATGGCCTGAACTTTTCAGGTTTTCTTTGGGATCCCCTGGGCCAAGAGGGGGGTTCACTCAGTCAGTGGGGGGGCTTAAAATTTTATTTTTGATTTACAGGCTTGATGTTTGTTAAGCATTCTGAAAATTGTAAATACTTAGCACAAAGTGGGACAATGGATGTCTCAAAAACATCTTTCTGCATATAGCTTTGCAATCCATCACTACATCTTTATTTTATGTCACCTCTAATATCATAGAAATTCATTATTGAGTAGAGCTAATATTCTCTTGATTGAATTAATAAGTGTACGATTGAAGTCCACATTACTCTAAACTTTTTTAAACTAATAGTTTAAATTTCTACCCCCTCTTAGCTTTTAATTAGAATTCCAGTTCTGTACAAATAAATTTTCCTCTGTGTTTCCTCTCCCCTTCCTTCCTGTACAATTTCTGGAAGTGTACAGATGAGCAGTGTATTAGCCAAAATTCTGACAGTAAATGGAAGGGGGCAAGTAGGGAGAGAAGAAAATATGACAAATGTGGAAGCTTGCACTCAATTTTCTACAAGGTGTAAAATGTAAGATCTCAGACTCTGGACCCAAACAGACTATCAGACTTTTTTTTTTTTTTTTTTTTTTTTGAGACAGAGTCTTGCTCTGTCACCCAGGTTGGAGTGCAGTGGCGCCATCTTGGTTCACTGCAACCTCCACCTCCCAGGTTCAAGCAATTCCTTGCCGCAGCCTCCCGAGTAGCTGGGATTACACGTGTGGACCGTCACACCCAGCTAATTTTTGTATTTTTAGTAGAAACAGGGTTTCACGTTGTTGGCCAGACTGGTCTCGAACTCCTGAGCTCAAGTGATCTGCCTACCTCAGCCTCCTAAAGTGCTTGGGATTACAGGCGTGAGCCACCGTGTCCAGTCCAGACTTGGATTTATTTATTTATTTATTTATTTATTTATTTATTTATTTATTTATTTTTTGTGGAGGCTGGGGAAACAGAGTCTCGCTCTGTCACCAGGCTGGAGTGCAGTGGCATGATCTTGGCTCACTGCAACCTCCGCCTCCCGGATTCAAGCAATTCTCCTGCCTCAGCCTCTCAAGTAGCTGGGACTACAGGTGCGTGCCACCGTGCCCAGCTAATTTTTGTATTTTTAGTAGAGATGGAGTTTCACCATGTTGGCTGGGATGGTTTTGATCTCTCGACCTCATGATCTGCCCGCCTGGGCCTCCCAAAGTGCTGAGATTACAGGCGTGAGACACCGCACCCAGCCCAAACTTGGACTTAAATCCCGGCTCTGTTATTTGGATGAGCCAAGATCCTTACTGCGTGACCTTGACTAACTCATTCCTATGCTCAATTTCCTCATCTTAAAAATAAGAATAATAGGCCAGGCATGGTGGCTCATGCCTGTAATCTCAGCACTTTGGGAGGCTGAGGCAAGTGGATTACTTGAGGCCAGGAGTATGAGATCAGTCTGGCCAATGTGGCAAAACGCTAGCTCTACCAAAAATACAAAAATTAGCCAGGCATGGTCAGTGTCAGGCATGGTTGCAGTGAGCCCAGATTGCGCCACTGCACTCCAGCCTGGGCAACGGATCGAGACTCCATATAAAAGAGGGGAGGGGAGGGGAGAAGAGGGAAGGGAAGGAGAGGGGAGAGGAGGGGCCTTCCTTTAAAAAGTAAAAAATAAAAGAAAAAATGGGACTAGGCCAGGTGCGGTGGCTCACGCCTGTAATCCTAGCACTTTGGGAGGCCAAGATGGGCGGATCACGAGGTCAGGAGTTCGAGATCAGCCTGGCCAATATGGTGAAAACCCATCTCTACTAATAATACAAAAATTAGCCGGGCGTAGTGGCAGGTGCCTGTAATCCCAGCTACTCAGGAGGCTGAGGCAGAAGAATCGCTTGAACCCAGGAGACGGAGGTTACAGTGAGCCGAGATCATGGCACTGCACTCCAGCCTGGGTGACAGAGTGAGATTATCCATCTTAAATAAAAAGAAAAAATGGGAATAATTATCTCAGTCATACATTACTTAACAACAAGGACACATTCTGAGAAATGCACATTAGGTTATTCTTTCATTGCGCAAACATCATAGAGTGCACTTACTACAGACATAGAGAGTGTAGCCGACTGCACATCTAGGCTCTATGGTGTAGCCTATTGCTCCTGGGTGACAAAACTCTATAGCATGCTCCTGAATGGAATACTGTAGGCAATTGTTACACAGTGGTGAGCATTTGCATATCTAAACATATGTAAATGTAGAAAAGTACAGTAAAAAAATGGTATCATAATCTTACAGGGCCACTATCATTTATGCAGCCTATCATTATATATTACATGACTGTACTACCTCATGGGGCTGCTCCTGGAATTAAATGAGTTAAAGCAGTAAATTGTTTAGCACACTGCCTGATACAGAGCAAGATCTCAACTTAGTTGTCCTTGCTGTTACTTATAAGGTTGGAACCAGCAAGCCTGAGAGAAGCTCCTTGGTTTTATTGTAGAGATCAGAAAAATCAAGAAAGAGGTGAAATAGTAATAGCATGCTTGGTAAAGTGCTTTACAGTTTCTGTGATGTATTTTCACGTGCACTGTCTCCTTTAAAGGCTAGAGGACTGGCCCCATCTCTCGCCACACCATTTATGATTGTGTGCATATCATACTGAGAGGAGATTTGGAAGTTATCCAGGGAATGTGATGTGTATAGACCCCAAACAGAAGGAACGTTGGGGACTTTCCATCTTAGCTGGAGAGGAGCTTGGGATGGAGGATAGGAAGGAGGTCACCGGGGGTCACTGCTGCCTTACTCCTTGCTATCCACAGAAGAATTCCACAGGAGGCAGAACAGTGTGATGGGGAGTTAAAGGGCAGCCTCAAGCAAGAGACTGCCTGTTGCTGAAGCCTGACTTGCCATTTCTCACTTTCCTCATCTGTAAAATGGGGTCGTCCCAGTGCCCACTTCACTGAGCAAGGATGAGGATGAAATAAGCTAGTGTATGCAGAAGATACGCCACGTGGTCCAGAGTAAGCACTTTGCACTGAGTGAGCATTAGCTCAAGATTCCTGACCTCCAGTAAATGTGCCGGCCATAGGGTGACAGGAGCACCTGCCCATTTCTTTGCTAGACATTGCCACCTAGATGCCCCATAGGCACTTGAAACCCACCATGTCCAACCCTGAACTCATCATTTTTTTCCAAAGCCTGTCCTTCGTACGGTGTTTCCAATCTTCAAGAATTGGCACCAAGATCAGCCAGGCACTGGAACCAGAAATCAGGAGTCAATCCACTTTCCTATTCCCTCCTCTCCTGCACATACAATCACAGACCAAGGCTGTGGAGTTTAGCTCCTTAAAATGTCTCTGGTCTGTCTAATCTTCCCATACCCACTGTTGCTGCCTCTTAGTAAATTAAGCCCTTGAAGGAAAATGAAATATTTATAGCTTTTCACAAAGCTTGGTTTCTAGAACCTTATAGAAAACCAGGATGGCCAGCCCAGCTGGAGAGGAATCCCCAAGACCATCCTAAAGGGAGGAGAGGCCCCGACTAGAGATCTTGTTATGACAATAGACACTTGCTGTTTGCAGATGGTCTTTTGAAGGTATTTGGGGTTAAAGTGAAATGACAGAGTCCCTGAAAATGAATTACAGTCTATCATTCTTGTGTGTTTACCTTTCAGGAAAAGCTAGCAGAGCTGTTCCCTGGTGCATATTACATTGTCTGCCTGATTCACCCTACCAGACTTCATTTTGGCCTTGTGCAATCTCTTTGTTAAAAGGCTTTGTTTCATGATTCATTATACAGGTCAAACCTCCCTTGCCATTTCTTTGCCTAGTTACTGACAGCTGGAACAAATTAGACCCAGCCTGGTGCCTAAGCTGCAACACTGGTGTGAAAACCATGGTTGCAGTTTGCCTTGAAAACTCCAGGATAGCAAAATTTACACGGTCAGGAAAGGCAAATTGTTCATCTGAAATTGGAGGTGATTTTTTTCCCTTCTAAATGAGCCAGGAAACTATTCAAAGTATGTTTGCTGTTAGCTTATCACTCTCCACCCTGCCATTCTCTCATTCAGGTATGTACAAGGGCGTACGCCTGTGTATGTGCTGAAGGACTTCTGAAATGAAATCCTCACACCCACAAATACTGCTGCCACTGTCCTTTCATTTTAGAGGGCTTGTTGAGTAGCTGAAATTGTTGGTATTTTCTTTTGAGCTTAGAAAAAGCACTGTATTTAATACGATATCAATATATTTAAAAGGCATATTACGCAAAAGGCCTTTTGAGTCGCGTAGATGTTTTAAACCCACTCACAAAAAATGCTTTCATTAAACAATGTGAATACTTTTATAAAATTTCCTAAGACCATCAAAATTCTTTATTAGTACCAATACTCTGGATTTAATTTTGCCTATTGATTCTGACTTCGTAAAGAAAAGTAAATAGAGGAAAGGAAACTGGCACTTAATCAGCATTTATGGTGTGTTGGGTACAATATTAGGCAAAAATCAGCATCATTTAATACCGTCAACTTCAAGGCAGGTACTGTGATCTCCATCTAAGCAAGAGGAAACTGAGATTCCCAAGGGCCAACTTACTTGTGCAGGGCTGGGGTGAGCTGTCTGGTCCCAAAGCCAGTTCTTCCCTCTCGTCGACTGTTCTCTACAAACTCATATCAATTATTTTAGAGAAGAAGATTGTACTACAGTCAGCTCTGCCACCCATTTAGAAGACCTGTTTTCCACTTCCATGCTTTCCATAGGTATGGCTCCAAAATTAACTTTGTAGCTTTAAAATAACCCAGTAGGCCCAGTGCAGTGGCTCACGCCTGTAATCCCAGCACTTTGGGAGGCTGAGGTGGGTAGATTGCTTGAGCCCAGGAGTTCGAGACCAGCCTAGGCCACACAGCGAGAACCTCTCTACAAAAAATAAAATAATTAGCCGGGCATGGTGGCATGCGCCTGGGGTCTCAGCTACTCAGGATGCTGAGGTGGGAGGATGGCTTGAGCCTGAGAGGTCGAGGCTGCAGTGAGTCATAACTATGCTACTGCACTCCAGCCTGGGCAGCAGAGTGAGTCCCTGTCTCAAACAAACAAAACGATCCAACAGTGGAATGAAGGATCCATATGAAGACATGTAATGGCATTATTTGCCCTAAGTTCCTTGTTCTCAAGTCAAACCTCTGGCAAGTTCCAGCTGAAGCAAAGAAAATTAGATGGAGGGGCCGGGCACGGTGGCTCACACCTGTAATCCCAGCACTTTGGGAGGCCAAGGCGGGAGGATCACGAGGTCAAGAGTACAAGACCATCCTGGCCAACGTGGTGAAACTCTGTCTCTACTAAAAATACAAAAATTAGCTGGGCATGGTGGCGCACGCCTGTAGTCCCAGCTACTCAGAAGGCTGAGGCAGGAGAATCACTTGAACCCAGGAAGGGGAGGTTGCAGTGAGCCAAGATCACACCACTGCACTCCAGCCTGGCGACAGAGTGAGACTCCATCTCAAAAACAAAACAAACAAACAAAAAAAGAAAATTAGGTGGAGGAAAAGTGAAACATTCACACAGGTAGTTGGAATCAGATAGAAAGCATTGAGGGCTTAGGAAACGGGCAGGTAAACTCTTTTGAGAGGTCAGAATTGGGAGAAATTTTGCCCCACTTAGAGGTGAGGAAAGATTTGGAGTGTTTCTGGGAGGAAATAGCATTCGAGCAGAGCCTTGGCCTTGAAGGATGGAGGAAAATTCATTTCAAGCAAAAAGGAAACTGGGTGAACAAAAACACAACAGAGGCAGGAAAGTGAGAACATTAGTGGGAAATAGGTTATTAATAGTGCTGGATTATCAACAACACTGCTCTTCATAGCCATGTGGTGGCTCAGGTGTCTGGAATCCAACAGAGTTCATTCTGTTATTACAGTTGTCTATTGCTGGAGGATCAATCTTTCAAATGATGCAACACATCTGGATGTTCTTCTTTCTGAATGTTATTATCTATGTGCATAGCAGCAGTCATGTTAACTGACATCAATTTTAAGATCCTGTTTCATTTTGTTCTTGCAGAAGGAAACTCCACTTGCCAATGCTGCATTCTGGGCAGCCAGGAGAGGAAACCTGGCGCTGCTGAAGCTGCTGTTGAACAGCGGCCGGGTGGACGTGGACTGCAGAGACAGCGTACGGTGGTTCGGTAGATGCATGCCCAGCATGCACCATTGCCCTCTGTGGGCACAGGAGCACCTCAGGAATACATTCCCCTTTACAATGCTTATTTACTTTTTCATGTGTTTGCTTGCTTTATCCTTTTTAAAACATCCAAGGTACTGTGGTGAACTTAAAAACATGCTGGGGGAAGTCAGAAAGAAAAGGAAACAATGAAATGCATAAAACAGAAGGCAACCACAATAGGGAAAGAGGCACTTCACTGGGAATCAGAATTGGCAGATTACAAGAAGAAAAGCCTGTTTAGTGAAAGAATTCAAGCCAACCACTTCCATGAAAAGATGGAGATAATTTAGAGCACAAGTGGGCTGCCATGGATGTGGGCGTTATGTTTCTTCTACAAGGATGAGAAAACAAAAATTGAAGCCTCCCCCAGGATTTTATCCTTTCATTACCTCTTGAAAACATAAATACACTAATTGGCAATTTAAAAAGGGAAACAAAAATAGATACTACTGCCCACTGGCAGATACCACTTAGAGAGCTTTTCCATCCCCAGCTAGAGGCAATCGTTTTTCTGTCCTCAGCAAGACTTCTCATCTCTGGGACCAAGAGGACCTCCAATGAGGAAAGGGAGCGAGCAATGATGTTTTGATTTTAGGATTTGAATAAAAATGTTTCAAAGGAGCTTTGTTTTCCTGAAAACAGGGTGTGCCATTTCCAGCTTTTATTGTACAAATTTGAAATCTACCACAAGCCCAAAAGTGAAATAGCAGTTTGCCCCAGTTGGCCCCGTGGGGGCATCACAGTAGGATATCTTTGGTTTACGGGATATCTTTGGTTACACCTCCAGACCCACTCCACACCCTTCTCGCTCTTAGTCCCACAGTCTGAATTGTATGTACTGCTCCAGCAGACTCGCTTTCCTCTGGCCTCCAGTTGTGTTTGGCCCATAGGAGCATCTGCAGGAGTCAGAGGGTAGGAGGAGAGGGACATCAGGGAGCCCACCGCCCTCCCTGTTTCTGTCTGGCAGCAGCGCCCCACTGTTCTCTGCATCCTGGGAGCCGCTCCCTTCCCCCCTGGCACCTTCAGGCCTCAGCTGGTCATGGACCCCCACTGTTCCTAGATCCCAGTACTGTGCTGTTCTTTGTAGATGCCCTACACCCAGGCCTCAGCTTAATAGTCTCTTTATTACACTTTCTTCCAATTATCCCAATCTGAATGTACCATCTGTTCCTTGCCAGAACTCGGGCTGCTGTCAAGTCTTGGGCATCTGTGAACTGGCCATCTTGGTCTTATTTGGGTTTTACGGGGCTGGTTCCTACATCACAGTGGGAAAACTGTAGGGCAGAAACACCAGTTGTCACCGTGGCCAACACGGAGAAACCCGCCTCTACTAAAAATACAAAAATTAGCTGGGCGTGGTGGCAGGCGCCTGTAATCCCAGCTACTCAGGAGGCTGAGGCAAGAGAATCACTTGAACCTGGGAGGCGGGGGTTGCAGTGAGCTGAGATCGTGCCATCCCACTCCAGCCTGGGAGGCGAGACTTCGACTCAAAAAAAAAAAATACCATAGAGCACCACTAAGAAGCCATTAGCTTTTTGTTACTTCGTTACTTCGTTACTTTACCGATACTTTTTACATAAAGCCAACAAGACTTTCACAAAACTAGCATGGCCATTGACAGAAGTCAACAAAAGCCAGATGACAGCCTAACATTGAATTATCGTAATGTTATTTTAATATCTAACACTTACTGAACGAATATCTACCATTACTATGTTAACCATATTGCCTGACTTATCTCATTCAGTAATTTAATCAGGTGGATACTTTTATTATTCCCCCATATTTCAGATGAAGAGAATGAGACTTAAGGGTTACATGATGTGCCCAAGATCATACTGTCAGTGACTACTCAGCAATACTGCCTTCCTACAAAATCCCGTAGATGAAAATAACACGAAGCCTCCAAAATTCACTTAATTACCCTATACCTAATGAGCCTCCCCTGTGTGCAGAGTCACCTGTCTCTCTCATCATCCACTTCTGAGCAGCAGGTTGCTGAATATGCAGAGGTGGTAGCTAAGATTACAATTTCAAGTGCTTGAAAACAACTGTAAGTCAAACTGCAAATGCCCACTTCAATTAGAAGGGTCCATATCACATGGTACACCTCAGGTCCTTGAATCTTAAAGCTGGGACAGACTTTGGTGATCATCCCATCCAACCGCTCATTTTAAAAATGAAATAAATGAGTCCAAGTAATTGTAAGCAACTTGCCCAGGTTACACTGTTGGTCAGTGACAGCTACCTGGGTTTAGCCCCCACAGCTCCTGACTCTCAACTCTGTAGTCTCTCATTTCACCTGGTGCCATACATCTTTACCTGAATCATTTTGAAGATGAAGACTTTTAAATATGGAAAATCAGATGGTACCATTTAATTTTTCTTTTGCATTAATAGCAATGTTTTGGCTCAGGAATCATTTAATAGGAATCATAAAATGAGAGCAATATATCATCGCTGCCTTAAAATGCAGTAACTATGGTTCATTTGGACTGTGCTTCTGAAGGTAATGGAAGTAAGTGAATTTTTACATCGAAAATTCCAACCTCAGCAATTTGTCACTTTGCTTTTTCCCATCTAGGCTGCATGATGAGATTATTCATGACCACTTTTATCACTGCAGGGAATTTTGCCCTTGGATGTGTTCTGAGTGGAGCTGACATCTCTGCAGCATCTTCTCTAGGACCCTTCTCTCTGACATAGCAGTGGCCTAACTCTTCATCTGTCTCTCCTCCATCCAGCATGGCACCACACTCCTGATGGTTGCTGCCTACGCTGGCCACATAGACTGTGTGAGGGAACTGGTTCTGCAAGGAGCAGACATCAATCTCCAGAGAGAGGTAGGTCAGGCTTTGCACTTGAAGAAAAATGACCAGGCTCAGAGATCTGAAGTTTTCATGATAGTGAACTGGTATGGGGGACAAGAGCCATCATTGCTTTTCTCCCACATTAAAGCCCATTGCAGAGTTTATTGTGCCTACAATGAGGTCCAGCAACGTACTAGCAGTTATAATGCATTTGAGCGTAGCCTGTCGGGCATATCTGAGGTAACCAAACCTCTTACCACCTGCCTATAAACACTCACACTTTTTTTTTTATCAAGCTTAAATCAGTTCTTTATTACTCCCTTGGGATGAGATACTGTAGGATTTATAGCATTTTCATATAGATCATTATATTTTTAGAAGAGTTGAGTCACCAGCCTATTTGTAATGAGGCTCACTTGCTAGGATGTCTCAATCATCCTCCCCAAACCATGTTTTCAAAGGACTGCTCTCTAACTGGCCATGAATTAAATAAGCTCTCCTGGAAAAAGCCGTATGGGTCAACACTGGACAAAAATGTGAGCCTGTTCCCACACTTCATTCAAGGACAATCTTGGGAGTTTGGTCTTGCTTGAGGATCCATTCTTGGTCTAATCTAGAGAAGCAGAAGGGAGTCTGGGACTTTTTTTTAAGATGGAGTCTCGCCCTGTGGCCCAGGCTGGAGTGCAATGGCGCAACCTCGGCTCATGCAACCTCCACCTCCCAGGTTCAAGTGATTCTCATGCCTCAGCCTCCCGAGTAGCTGGGACTGCAGGTGTGTGCCACCACGCCCAGCTAATTTTCTGTATTTTTAGTAGACATGGGGTTTCACCATGGTGGCCAAGATGGTCTCGATCTCCTGACCTCGTGATCTGCCCACATCAGCCTCCCAAAGTGCCGGGATTGCCTAGGCTGGGACATTTTAACATACTTTGGGGCTCAATTCTGAGAAAGCTCCATCCATATATTTCCAAGCTGACCCAGGACCTGGTAAACTAATCTTTATGGAGACACACGCTCAGGTCACCCCTAGAGTGTATCTGACCTCTCAGTTCACACTGACTCAGACCTGAGATGGGCTTCCTGGGCAAGTCCAGACTGAACCACTTGGTTTTCCTTGGTCCAGCCTTATTTTATCCCAGGTCATGCCTTGCAACATTTTAGAAAGACAATTCACCAACCAAACTTTCATCAAGCCAGTATATCGTATATCTCATTCTTCCAGCCTGGACCGTCACCTCTGAGTGGAGCAAATTAAGACACATCAGGTCTCAGGACTGTGTCAAGAGTTCCAGGTGTAACATAGGCCTGGGCAACATAGCAAGACCCCATCTCTACAAAAAAATTTAAAAATTTAGCCAGACATGGTGGTCTACACCTATAGTACCAGTTACTTGAGAGGCTCAGGCTAGAGGCTCGTTTAAGCCCAGAAGTTACAGGCTGCAGTGAGCCATGATTGTACTACCAGCCTAGGCAATGCAGAGAGACCCTGACTCAAAAATAGAGTTCCAAGACACATCCAGATGTCCTTCCCACCACCCGTCTGGGTGTTGGAGGCCTTGGCTGTGGACCATGAAAGAGTGACATGCAGAATCTGGGACTGGGTCTCTGTAGCCCTGGATCAACAGGCCTGGTCTCTTGAGAGGAGCAGTATAAAGAGACTACAGCAAATGCAGTCTTCTCACAAACAGATTCTTTGGTGCAATTTCCATAACACTAGATCGTTGTTTGAGGTCATTTTCACTTCAGCACTTAATTTTCCTGTGGGATGAAAATATCTGGACCCACTTAGAATTACAGTTTAAAATTACTTTAATCTTTTTATTTTTCCTCTCTGCTTTATGGTCTTTGTTTATTACAACTTTAAAGACAGTTTTTCTCTAATAAAAACAATATGGTCCAGATCTGGTTTACTTTAAAAACTTTATCCTGAAGGACAAATTGCACATGCACAAAAATCTCTCTGAAACAACTGAGAAAAGCAGCTAGAAGAGGAGAGAAGTATTTGATTTCTAGCCAGTCTATGGTTTCTATGGTTTTATATTTATCCATTTGGTTCCAATTGCTCAACTAATCTTGGAGATGAAAACTCTCGTAGCACTGAGAACAAAAGCCTTTGAAGATTTACCAAAGTGTACTCAGCTTAAAGGTAACCTGCGTGGCTCAAATGATGGTGCTATGTAAGTTCCTGGCAGTCCCTGAATTTCCTGAGACTGTGTCAGTCTGGGGCAAGAGGGCTGCCAAGCCAAAGGCAGACCTCAGCCTCCTGTACCAGTTTTGGAAGCTAAGAGTGCCTTGCAGTGCTTTGAAACTTACTCCTATGGCAGACTTCTGCCTTGATCCATTGTTAGTTAATCCACTTTGCAATATCAGAATATTTGTCTCCTGAAAAACTACCTGCCACTCCTTGCTTAGGTCAGCTCTCTAGATACACAGAGCTTGCTAGAGAGACAAACTGGAAACTAATGTTCCTGAAACACTATTGCTGTAAAGAACCCACAATTGGCTGATGACACCTCTCAGGCATAGGAGCTGCACATACAGTTGGCATGAAGCCCTGAAGTAAGGCACACATATTTAAAACTTTTATTCACATTCCAGACTAAGGTATAGCTCCTATTTATGGATTGCTGCATTGAGGTACAGAATGATTAATAGTAGTATGTATGTTCTAAAATCAGCTCAAACTGCTCTAATAATGATTTATGTAATTAATGTACCAAGAAAGCCTATTGAAAAGCAAATTATTTATCTTACTAAAGAAACAACTTCTAGAAAAGACCTTTGGTAGTCTCTAAAATTTAATATCTATTGAGAAGGTGAGAGTTTTCCTATTCTAGCCAAGTTTCTTCCTCCAGAACTATTAATTCCCTAAGGTTTCCGGAACCCAGCATCATCAACTGTAATAAAGCAGTGGGAGGATGCTTCCCACTTATTTCTGTGGGAACCAAGGAGAAAATCACACCTGCATTGCAGGCAGAAAGGCCCTGTGAATGGTCACAATGCCTGTGCCTTCCTGGGACAGAGTCTGGCTGAGGGCACAGCCTGATGTGGGTTATATCTGACTAGGAAGGTGTTACATGTTCTCCCTCAGTGGTGGTGTTATCAGCACCCTAGATTCTTATAATCTCCCAGGATAGAAGTCAAAAGAGATTGTCAGATAGCAAAGAGGAAGTTTGTTTAGCTTGTGCATAAGAGAACCAGGTTCCCTTATGGAAAGGAAAAGGGTTGCCTGCTCCCCAAGAGAAGTATGTGAGTTTGTTTTATAGGGTCTTTTTACAGGGAAGGGTTTAGTCAGGGCATGTACAGCACTTGCACAGTAGCTCAATATGCTTTTTAATCATTGCATGTAAGATTAGCATTTTAAATCTCCACCTTCAGGTGTGATTTTTAGCATTAAGATAAGGAAGAGGTGACTGTAAGTTGAAGTTTAAGTCTAACTGTGCATGCAGGGCCCCAGGAAGTCCCTACCCACCTAAAGTGAGAACTTCTGGATAGTTTCTTGGGTCTTTTGTTGCTGATTGGCTGTCACAGGATCCTTAGGGTGTCACTTTGCCAGCTGGAAACCTCCATGGCTAGCAGCGCCTTCTGCCCAAGTGTTGCTCAGGCCCGTTGGGCTCATTCTGCCCACTTGGCCCAGCAGGTTGCACTTGGTTCACCCTACCAGCCCAGGTCCCATGCCTGCCAAGGGCAAGCCAGGTGTGTGAGCAAGCATGGGGTCCAGCCACTGCACACAACCAGGCATGCCAGCTGTGGCGAGGCAGGCAGCTCCAGCCACTGGCACAGGTGCCAGCTCTGTGTGAGGCTGTGGCTGGACCAGATGTACCGCAAGTGGCTTCCGCTGCAGGCACCAGGGAATGTAGTGGTGCCTGGGAGCTTGGAGATGCCAGGAACCGCAGAGCCCCAAAGAGGATATCATAGCCCTGGCTCAGGGAGCCCCTAGGTCTGGGCTCCCCAAAGGGCTGTAGCTCCTCTCTCCTCATTGCCTGCAATGTGGCAAGCAGAAGGCGTGTTTCAGCCCTGTTTGTGTTATAAACAGGGTCATTCGCCAGGTCCTAAATTCTTGTCCCGCATCCAAGAAGAATGAGGTATGCAAACAACTGGAGGGTGAACAAAGTGGAGAGGAGCTTCATTGAGTGACAGAACACCTCCCAGGAGACCCAAAGTGGGTGGCTCTTTTCTGCAGGCAGGTCATCCTAACAAGTGTTCAGCTCTCAGTGGAGAGGAGACCCATAGTGGGTAGCGCCTTTCCGCAGGCAAGTCATCCTGATGATCTGAGGAGACCCAAAATGGATAGCTCCTCCCGCAGCTGGTAGTCCCGATATCTGGGTCCAGCTCTCAGCAGAGAGGAGACCCACAGTGTGTAGTTCCTTCCTGTAGCTGGTAGTCCTGACCTCTGTGTCCTGCTCTCAGTGGACAGGAGACCCACAATGGGTAGATCCTTCCAGCAGCTGGTAGTCGGGACATCTTTTTGAATCTGGCTGAGTCAGAGGTTTTTATGGGCTCAGAAAGGAGGGAGTGTGTGCTGATTGGTCCATGGGAAGCCATGGGTGGGAACGTGTCTGCCTCTCACCATCAACATGCCATCCACGGCACCCAGGCTGTTCCTGCCAAGGGGCGCCTACAGGCCCACACCTAGCTGCCCTCAGCCCCTCAGCCTCCCTCCTGTGCTTGTCAGCACCCAAAGTCCGGAGGGGGCCAAGGTTGGGGGGCAAGGCTGGCATGTCAACACCACCTCAAGCATACACACCTCAAGCATGCTCTCCCCTAGCCAGGTCATGACAGACAGCACCCAGGCTCGGCTACAGCTTTGCTCCGCACTGGAGCAGGTGCCGGGAGTGGGGAGAGGCCAGGGAGCAGGAGCAGGCACTTCCAAGCCTGTGGGGGTAATGGGGGCTTCCCAGGCCCAGAGAGCACAGGGATGCCCAGAACCGGAGCTGCAGCTGGGCATGGCTGCTCCCGCACAGCCAACTCAATAGGGGATGGGGCTCCCACCTGCTTCCAGCTCCCACTGGACCTGAGGAGCATGCAGCCCCAGCTGCACCTCCCGTGTGGCAGCCTGCATCTTCGCAGCTGCTGCTCCAGACAGGCCACCACTGCCATCAGTGAGAAGTTAGGCAAGCTACAGCTTGAGTAAGGGGCTTTTTTTTTTCTAGACCACATTTAAAAACAGGCAAACAAGTGGGTGGATCCTGCCTGTCTCAGTGGGTCTTATTGTCCCCACTCCCATCCCACACATGCATGCACACACGTACATATTCACAGAGACACCCAGGCCCTTAAGAACAAGTTTTAAGCATGATCACTAGCTTATAGGCCAGGCTGTCCTCAGCTTTTCACACATGAGTGAGACCTACCATCTTAACAGCTTTGGGTAAACTATGGAAAAAGGGATTTCTTTTCACTGTGTCTGGTAAGGTGTGGTATTAGCTTTGTCCCAAGCTCCAAGCTCAGAAGTGAAGAGTACTCTATAGGAAAAATGTATGTTGCCCACAAGAATGGTTCATTATTTTGCTCATATTACACAGTGATTTGGGTACCAATCTTTGAGTAGACTTGTAAAAGTAGATAGGAAGGGAGGATGCTAAAAACTGTGTCTCAGAATGTCATGATCAGTTTAAATTTTAGAATCAGGATGTTTCTTGTTATTATGTCCCATTTTGAGAAATGTTTTGAGCTCATTTTGACTCTGGGCTTGCAATTGGAGAAGTTTGTGGGTGAATTACTTATTTTCCTTCTTGTACAAGTAGTCTTCCACTCTGGGGCGCTAAAATTTGTAATTTGAATTCTTCCCTGTATTAAGGAATGCTAGTGTTTACCAAACACTATACCAAATATCTTGAGTTTCCAAGGGCTGCTGTGACAAATTAACACAAACTAGGTGGCTTCGAACATCAGGAATTTATTCTCTCAGATCTGGAGGCCAGAAGTCCAAAATCAAGGTGTGGGCTGTGCCGCACTGCCACTGGAGGCTCCTGGGGGAATTCCCTTCCTTGCCTCTTCCAGCCCCTGGTGGCTGTCAGCACTCTCTCCTCAATGCCACAGCTCTCCAGTCTCTGCCTATGTGGTCACATTGGCCTCTCTCTGGGTCAAATATCCCTCTGCCTCACTTCAAAAAAAAATTTATTGTTTTTTATTGTGGTAAAATACACATAATGTAGACTTTACCCTCTTAGCCATTTTTAAGTGTACAGTTCAGTCTTATTAAATGCATTCATAATGTGGTACAACCAACATCATCACCCATCTATAACTCTTTTCATTTTGTAAAACTACACAACTCTGTATCCATTAAATAATAACTTCCCATACTCCCCTTCCCCCAGCCCCTGGCAACCAGCATCATACTTTCTGGTTCTATAACTCTGACTACTTTAGATATCACAGCAGGCTGGGTGCAGTGGCTCATGCCTGTAATCCCAGCACTTTGGGAGGCCAAGGTGGGCAGCTCACTTGAGGCCAGGACTTTGAGACCAGCCTGGTCAACATAGTGAAACCCTGTTTCTACTAAAAATACAAAAAATAGCCAGATGTGGGGGTGCACGCCTGTAATCCCAGCTACTTGGGAGGCTGAGGCATGAGAATCACTTGAACCTGGGAGGCAGAGGTTGCAGTGAGCCGAGATGGCACCACTGCACTCCATCCAGCCTCGGTGACAGAGCAAGACTCTGTCTCAAAAAAAAAAAAAAAAAAAATCACAGTAAAATCATACATAGTTGTTGGCCTTTTATGACTAGCTTATTTCACTTAGCATAATGTTATCAAGGCTCATCCATGTTGTAGCATATGTCAGAATTTCCTTTCTTTTTAGCTAAATAATAGTCCATTGTATGGATACATCACATTTTGCTTGTCTCCTCATCCATAGATGGACACTTCAGTGCTTCCACATTTTAGCTGTTGTGAGTAGTGCCTCTGCCTCACTCTTAGAAGGACACTTGTCATTAGATTTAGGGCCCACCCAGATAACCCAGGATAAGCTCTTCTCAAAATCCTTAACTTAATCACGTCTTTTGCCATAGAAGGTAATATTCACAAGTTTTAGGATGGGGACAGATCTTTTGAGGAGCCACCATTCATCCCATTTCACTAAGAATAAAGTTTTCCTTTCCTTTTGTCACTTCTCTGACCAAAAAATAAGAATCTGTTCAAATTTAGCCCCTTCCTAGGCTAGAAGTTTTCTATGCAAGGATATTGTTTTGTTTTCTTTGCAGATGTTCAAATCAAATGTAAGATAACCAAATGTCTTTTAAAACTAGCCTCTCCCTCTCTCCCAGTCAGGTACAACTGCCCTATTCTTTGCCGCCCAGCAAGGCCATAATGATGTCGTGAGATTTCTCTTTGGATTTGGAGCATCCACTGAATTTAGGACCAAAGTGAGATAACCTTCTTGATTTTGTATTATGTTGAAGAATTTCAGCAGCCATGGGTATTGCTTTTCTCCTCATCTATGGTACGAATTTATGTTTCCCTTTTTACAAGATTCTCAAACCTAAGTAAGTGGATTTCCTCAAGGTTACTTGTAGTGGTTCAGGGGTAGCTCTAAGGGTTCTATTCAAAACGTTACATTTTTACTCTGGGCTCACAATTGGAAAATTTTATGGGGAATTACTTCTATCCTTTCCTGAACTGATACCTTTCTACTGTAGAACACTAAATTTTGTAACCAGGAGGGATACAGTAGCAGTGGCTTTCTAACTTTCCCTGTTTCCATGTTCTTTTTCCCACTGAAGATTAATTCTGATACTATGATAGGAATTGTTGGAAGTATTAATCTGATCCTACTAGATCTGAGACATTTCTAAAGAGGGTGGTTTGGCAGACAGCTTACTTTCATGAGCTATCCTCACTGAAATACATAATACATAGCTACAGTTTACATAGTTGGGAAACTATATAGTGGTTCTTCCTTTAAAGAAGTAATTGGCTAGGCGCGGTGGTTCATGCCTGTAATCCCAACACTTTGGGAGGCCGAGGCAGGGGGATCACGAGGTTAGGAGTTCGAGACCGGCCTGATCAACATGGTGAAACCCTGTCTCTACTAAAAATACAAAAAAAAATTAGCCAGGCGTGATGGCACATGCCTGTAATCCCAGCTACTCAGGAGGCTGAGGTAGGAGAATCACTTGAACCCGGGAGGCAGAGGTTGCAGTGAGCCAAGATCACGCTACTGCACTCCAGCCTGGGCGACAGAGTGAGACTCTGTCTCAAAAAAAAAAAAAAAAAAAAAGAAGTAATTGATTTTCATTTTTGACATATAGATAAGAAAGCTGAGAATGTAGAAAGATTAATTTCATGTTGACAGTATGATTTTACATGATAATATTTTGTAGTAGCAGAATTTGAACTGCCGTAAGATTTTTGTAATTGTCAGCTCATTTCTAGCCTAATTATAATTTTTAAATTCCTGAAAATGTGCGCAAGTTGGAAACTTTTAGGTTTTCTTAGTTAATCCTTTTTGTGGACTATTTAGATATCAAGGGAGTTTCCAGTGGGATTTTTTTTCTGTTAAAATGGTAACTACTGGAGCTGGCCAAGGTGGCTCACACCTGTAATCCTAGCACTTTGGGAAGCTGAGGCAGGAGGATAGTTTGAGCTCAGGAGTTCAAGACCAGCCTGGGCAACAAAGCGAGACCTCATCTCTATTAAAAAAAAAAGGATTCGCTGGGCATGGTGGCACATGCCTGTAGTCCCAGCTATTTGGGAGGCTGAGGCGGGCAGATCACTTGAGCCCGAGAGGTCAAGGCGGCAATGAGCCGTGATCATGCCACTGCACTCCAGCCTGGGTCACAAAGGAAGACTCTGTCTCAAAAAAATAAATCAAATAATAAAATTCTAACCATTAAGTAGATGTGAATTTCATATAAGGTTTTGTCTTTTCTGAAACCTGCTATTGTACTACGTATATGCCTTCAAACTTACTGAGTATAACATACAGTAATACTATATATTTTTTTACATTATTAGTTTATTTTCTATTATAAAAGTGATAACTAAAAATAGAAAGTAAAGTCCTATGAACCTAAATCTCAACTCTTTGAACGAAGGTCAAAATGATCGTGAGTGACCATATGGCTGCTTCAGTCTTCTTGGTTAACGAGTGAATACTGGCTTAAAGCCTTTGTACATGAGCCAGTTTGTACTATCTCAGAAATCCATGGAACATGGAACTCAGGATGAGCAATTCCACAGGTTTCCATTAGGTCAGCTGCAGGTATCCAAGAGCTTTCCATGGGAAGAAGAGAGGGCTGAGAGGCTTTCAGTTTTAAATGATTCTGTCATCAAAACTTTGCTTCAACAATTGTTCTCACTGCTACTAAATCTATATGCCCCAAAACTGTGTTTTATAAAATAAAAGAGGCTGGGCATGGTGGCCCACACCTAGCACTTTGGGAGGCTGAGGCAGGCAGATCGCTTGAGCCCAGGAGTTCAAGACCAGCCTGGGCAATATGGCGAAACCCCGTCTTTATCAAAAATACAAAAATTAGCCAGGCATGGTTGCATGTGCCTGTAGTCTCAGCTACTTGGAAGGCTGAGATGAGAGGATCGCTTGAGCCTGGGAGGTCAAGGCTGCAGTGAGTCATGATTGCGCCACTGCACTCCAGCCTGGGTGAGAGTGAAACCCTGTCTAAAAAAAATTTTTTTAATTAAATCAAAGAGGCCAGGTGGGATGGCTCACACCTGTAATTCCAGCACTTTGGGAGGCCAAGGTGAAAGGATTGCTTGAGACCAGGAGTTGGAGACCAGCCTGGGCAATGTAGCAAGACCCTATCTCTATAAAACATTTTTTAAAAAATTAGTCAGGTATTGTGATGCCAGCTACTCAGGAGGCTAGGGTGGGAGGATTGCTTGAGCCCAGGAGTTCTAGACCGGCTTGGGCCACATAGCAAGACCCCATCTATAAAAAAGTAAAAAATATTTTAAAAGCTGGCACAGTAACATACACCTGTAGTCCCAGCTACTCAAGAGGCTAGGGCAGGAAGATCGCTTGAGCCCAAAGTTCAAGGCTGCAGTGAGCCATGATTGCACAACTGCAGCCAGCCTGGGCGACAGAGCAGGACCCTGACATACATACATACATACATACAAAAATAACAGCAGTTCCTCCATAAGAATCTTCATATTTTATCTTTTCTGTTACTTTATTAGGCAGGAAAATTTATTACTTTATTAGCTAGGAAAATTGACAGGATAAAGCTTAGAAATGGTGCTTATTCCTGCTGTTACGCAATTCTGTGATGCCTCCTCACCACTGCCGTCTACCACCAGCTTCAGCCTTCAGCCTCCCTCCTCTCCATTCCCCACACTTCAAAGCCCATCTCAAGCACCCTCCCCCACCACAGAGCCTGCCTCTGGGGAAGCACTACCCAGCCACACGCAGCCCCATAGGATGTTACCTGCCTACGAATTCGAGACCTCTTATAGCAGTGTTTCTCCACATGAGGCCCACCTGCCACCTGCCTACACAATCAACCCACATGACTGGTCAAAAGGCATATTTCTGGATCTCACCCCAGACCTACTGAAGGCAGGGCTGAGGGTGGGGATCTATGAGTAGGCATTTTGAATAAACACCTTATGCCCAAATTTAGAAACTACAGTATCTTATATTTATGATTCATGTTTTAGAACCAGGTTATGTGTTTTTGAATTACTTACAATTAGCTCAGATGTCCAGTTCAGAGAGCCAAACAACTCAACAACGCTAGATGGGAAAAAAGAATGCCTTAGCTGTAGCACCTGAGGAAAACAATTAAGGATTTTAGTTGACCACAAACTCAATGAGTCAGCAGTGTGATGTGGTTGGTAGAAAAGCTCTAATTTAGGCTGCAGAGATAAAAGTAGAGTAGATGGAACACAGGAATATCCCATTCCACATCAGAGCATGTGTGCTTTACAGTGCCCTGCTTAGTTGGGTTTTTTTTTTTTTTTTTACTTTTTTTATTTGTTTGTTTTGACACAGTGTCTCGCTCTGTCACCCATGCTGGGGTGCAGTGGTGTGATCTTGGCTCACTGCAGCCTCCACTTCCTGGGCTCAATTGATCTTCCGACCCCAGCCTCCCAAGTTGCTGGGACTACAGGCGCACACCACCACACCCTGGCTAATTTTTGTTGCTCAGGCTTCTGCTTAGTTTTTAGGGCCACACTTTTAAAGAGCCCTGGACAAATTGGCACATGTTAAAAGGAAAATACTAAGTAGGATAGTGAGAGACACACAGAATGTGCCATAGCTATCCGCTCTTTTAATGGCAGCAGATCTTGTCCCATGAGGGCAATGGCCCCAGAGGGTTACCCCATACAAACACCTTAATCTCAGTGGCTTACCACTGGGTTACATCACAGGGAGAAGACGGCGTTTCCCCAGGAAGTCTCTGGCTAGAAGCCCTGGGAGGCTTTTCTGATGATTCCAAGAACTGACAAGACTTTCTCTTCTGTGTTTCTCATATTGAGAAGCAAATAGATGATGCTGCATTTGGCATAGGAATTTTCTAAATTAATTCACAATAAATAACTTGGTCAAAAAACTGTAATACATCTCTAGCAAGCCGCCCACATATACAACATAATCACGTCCTTAGGATGAACTCTGCCATAATTATAAAGAAAAAGTAAAAGGGATAAAAGAGGGAAAGTAGGCTGGACATGGTAGCTCACACCTGTAATCCCAGCACTTTGAGATGTCGCGGTGGGCAGATCACTTGAGGTCAGGAGTTCAAGACCAGCATGACCAACATAGTGAAACCCCATCTCTTCTAAAAATACAAAAATTAACTGGGCATGGTGGTGCACGCCTGTAGTCCCAGATACTTGGGAGGCTGAGGCAAGAGAATCGCTTGAACCCAGGAGGCGGAGATTGCAGTGAGCCAAGATCGCACCACTGCACTCCAGCCTGGGTGACAGAGCAAGACTCCATCTCAAAAAAAAAAAAAAAAAAAAAAAAAAAAACAGGGAAAGTGAGTTTGTTATTATCTTTGGGAAAACTCTCTTCCTAAATTCTATGTATGTGAGGAACATCTGCTGGTGAATTATGTGCCTGCGCCACCTCTAATGTGTTTATACTTTGCATGTCCATAGGACGGGGGCACCGCCCTGTTGGCTGCCAGTCAGTACGGGCACATGCAGGTGGTGGAGACCTTGCTGAAGCACGGAGCAAACATCCATGACCAACTTTATGTGAGTGCATTTCAGGGGGACATTAGGACATTTCTCATCACATACAAAATTGCAGTCTAAATTCAGATGCCAGAAATGCCAACTTCAAAAATACTTTAATGGACAGTAGGACTTGGGTCTGAGTCAAGAGAAAAATATATAGCGGACCAGATGGGCTTTTTTTATATAGAAACCACATATCTGGCCGGGCGCGGTGGTTCACGCCTCTAATCCCAGCACTTTGGGAGGCCGAGGTGGGTGGATCACAAGGTCAGGAGTTCGAGACCAGCCTGGCCAACATGGTGAAACCCCGGCTCTACTAAAAATACAAAACTTAGCCGGGGATGGTAGCGGGTGCCTGTAATCCCAGCTACTCAGGAGGCTGAGGCAGGAGAATCGCTTGAACCCAGGAGGTGAAGGTTGCGGTGAGCTGAGATCACACCATTGCACTCCAGCCTGGGTGACATAGTGAGACTCTGTCCCCCACCGACAAAAAATGAAACCATTTATCTTATTTACCCATCTTTGTTCTCCCTTTTAAATCTGTTGTGCAGATGAAACATTTCGTGTACCTATGCAATTAAGGCCTTCAAAAATCATGTGATACTTATTCGTACCATGACAAACTACAAAGCCCAGCATATGGACTTGCTGAAAACCAAAATATACAAAATTTTTCTAAATGCGCTCATTGGATATAAAAATATACTGTTGTAGTATTTGTGAGGAAGGGCACAAAGAGGAGAAATCTAAGGTATTTGGTAGAAAAGTGAGGTTGGATGGATGAAGACCTCTGTGAAATATACACATGCCATTGACCTGTGAAAGGCATCCACTGCTAGTGCGGGTCTGTTTGCAGCTAACTGTCAATTAGTACATCATCACCCAAGGGCCTTTCAATTGATTGTCGCTATAATGCCATAGGATTTATGGCAAACATTACTCCAGTTTTGTAAGCGAAAATAGAATATAGGGAGATGAATAGACTTGACAGTCTCATGGTGAAGAGTGGAAAAATTCCTACTTCCAATTATCTAGGAACCGTATTTTAGGCTGTCCTACAGGTAGGCATTTAACCCTTATGCCTGGGGCACTATACTTTCATAGACATGTAATGAGCTCTGTAGGTGTGAACTTTTCCATTTGAACACCCTTTCCAGAGTTTACATGGTTAACCCTGACAAATCACAGGCCTCTTTGAAATTCATAGCAGCTAGCCTCACCCTCTGCACTTCAAAATCTGTAACACACTTTGAGCCTGCAACATTACCAGTAGAATGATTGAATTACTTGATAATGATCTAAAGAGGCGATTCTCAACTCTGGCTGCCCATTAGAATTATCTGGGAAAGTTTAAAAAAATACTATTTTGAGGCCCACTCCAGACCAACAAAACTGGAGTCTCTGAAGGCACAGCTTGGGCAACAGGTAGTTCTCACATGTAGCCTAATCTAAGAAGCACAGGTCTAAAGGTTAGATATGTCTTTGGCTATATATAGGTAGAGTATATCTGAGAGTGTGTAATATATATATATATACACACACACACACACACACTGAATAGGAAAAGCCAAAGTGTTTGGTGAAAAGAAAAGCCCCTTCCCATAGTAATTTCCTCTCTGTTTTAAGGTGACTCAAGAAATTTCATGCATTATAACTTCCATTTTATATTAAGACCTTTACCTTTACCCAAACAATCTAAATATTTTCTTAAAAACGATTGAAATATGGATGGGCGGGGCAGAACCAAAACTTGGAATGCACAGTGAAAAATTCAATGCATGGGTAGTTCATCTTGGAAAATTCCTGAGAGTTAAAAAAAAATTAAAAAAAGAAAAAGAAAAAGAAAATTGCTGAGAGTTTTCAGCAGCTAAGGACATGGTAGACTTTCCGAAAATGTTATCCCCATATAAAACATCTGCTTGAAAATCTGTACAGGCTGATTAATTTCTTAATGATTGCCTGGAGGGCAGTTTGGCAGCTCTGCTGACGCCCACTGAAAATCCAGGACCCTCCACGTGACACACGTGGCTGGACTTGCAGGGAAACATGTCTTATATTTTTGCTTGAGGTTAGTGTTCCCAATGGGAGGTGTGGTAATTAGCTGGGTTTGCTAGGTGTTTTCCTCTAGGGTGTGCTCTGGTTTTCCACCGTGGTCTGAAAACAATGAAGCTCACCCTGCGCTGCGAATGTTGTCAGGCTGAAGGGAGCATCCGGGGATCATGCTCTCAGCTGATCCACACGTCTGCCGAAAGCACCGAGTGACATGTGTCCAAGAAAACAGAAATGCCCAGAAGGCATAGATACTCAGTTAAGACGAAAACTAAAGAGCACTGGAAAAGGGGCACTTGCTCTGGGCTTTATGCAGGAGTGCTTTTTTGTGTTTATAGGTGTTGTTGGTGTCTGCTGGGCTGGCAGAGAGCCACTTTGTGGAGATGGTTTCTAGGGCAGTTGTATTGAAAACATCTTTCAGGGTTCTTTTGTGTTTTGTCTTGTTTTGTCTTGTTTTGTTTTAGAGACAGGGTCATCTGGATATGGTGGCTCATGCCTGTAATCCTAGTGCTTTGGGAGGCAGAGGCAGGAGGATCGCTTGAGCCCAAGAGTTCGAGACCAGCCTGGGCAACATAGCAAGACCCTGTCTCTACTATAAATTTTTTTAAAAAATTAACTGGATGTGGTGATGCACGCCTGTAGTCCCAACAACTCAGGAGGCTGAGGTGGGAGGATCGCTTGAGCTGAGGAAGTTGACGCTGCATTGAGCTGTGGTCGTACCACTACACTCAAGGTCTGAGTGACAGAGGGAGACCCTGTCTCAAAAAAAAAAAAAAAGAAGAGAGAGAGAGACAAGGTCTTGCTATGTTTCCAGGGCTGGTCTTGAACTCCTGGGCTCAAGCAATCCCCCTGCCTCAGCCTCTTGAGTAGTTGGGACCACAGGTGTATGCCATCGTACCCAGCTGCATATTGTATCTTAATTCTTGCAGAACCCTCATGTTGGGGGAACAAGGATAAGGGGACAAGAAAGAGAAAAGGGTAGGAAAGATCTAATTAAAAGGACACCTTTTACTCTCAATTTTTTTTTCTTTTTTTTCTTTTTTTTTTTTTTTGAGACAGGGTCTCACTTTGTTCCCTAAGCCTGGAGTGCAATGGCCCAAACATGGCTCACTGTAACCTCAACTTCCCAGGCTCAAGTGATCCTCCTGCCTCAGTGCCCCCAAGTAGCTGGGACTATAAGCACATGCCACCTCGCCCAGCTAATTAAAAAAAAAAAGAATTTTTAGAAATTTAAAAATATATTAAAAATAAATTTTTTAAAAATGAGGTTTGGGGGATTTGTATATCTAACATTTGGCTCTTCATTGACAAAAAGGTGGAAACCTACAAAGAGATGGAGATGGAAAATTATATTAAATGTGTATATTTTAAATCTAATTTATTTTATTTTATTTATTTTGAGACAGAGTCTCACTCTGTTGCCCAGGCTGGAATGCAGTGATGCAATCTTGGCTCACTGTAACCTCCACCTCCTGGGTTCAAGAGATTCTTCTGCCTCAGCCTCCCGAGTACCTGGGATTACAGGTATGCAGCACCACACCTGGCTAATTTTTGTATTTTTATTTGTTTTTTGTTTTTTGATTTTTTGTTTTTTGAGGAGGAGTTTTGCTCTTTTGCCCAGGCTGGAATGAAGTGGCGCGATCTCAGCTCACTGCAACCTCTGCCTCCAGGTGCAAGCGATTCTCCTGCCTCAGCCTCCGGAGTAGCTGGGATTATAGGTGCCCGCCACCACGCCTGGCTAATTATTTTGTATTTTTAGTAGAGATGGGGTATCGCCCTGTTGGCCAGGCTGGTCTCGAACTCCGGATGTCAGGTGATCCACCTGCCTCGGCCTCCCAAAGTGCTAGGATTACAGGCGTGAGCCGCCGTGCCCAGCCTAATTTTTGTGTTTTTAGCAGAGACGGGATTTCACCATATTGGCCAGGCTGGTCTCTATCTCCTGGATTCACCTACCTAGGCCTCCCAAAGTGCTGTGATTACAGGCATGAGCCACTGCACCCGCCCTAATTTCTTTTAAAATAAGTGTGAAAGATAATGTTTTTAATGCTTTTAATTTGTTCTCTCTCAGGATGGAGCCACTGCCCTCTTCCTAGCTGCCCAAGGTGGTTACTTGGATGTTATTCGATTACTGCTGGCTTCAGGAGCAAAAGTCAACCAGCCAAGGCAGGTAATGTCCACTGTTGACATTTGCCCGAGCACATGGCGCATGGGGCAGGGAGGGCTGGGTGTCCGCTGGCAGCACATACCTGAGATAACCAGTAAGCTCAAGGCATCCTTTAAACCCTTCTGCTTCTGTGATGAAAAGTTAATCTTTGATTAGGGTATCTCCTGTTCTATGCTCTGAGCTGGCCTGAAAGCCTATGAAACCAAGCTGACATCACAGTTCAGTACTTTCAAAACTTAAGTATTTGATGTCTGAGGTCAAGTACACAAGTACACACTCTGCCACCTCCTGTGCAAACAAATTATGGCTGCACTGATCTAATGAGTGCAGGCTGGCCTGGGACATAGGTAAACAGATGTGGGCCAAGTAGCCTGGCCCCTGCTGATAATGCTGCCTTACTACCTGCCCACCACTTCTTCCACCAAGCCAAAGAGGAGCCCATGCCGTTGGAATCATTAGGAGGTTCTGCACCTTCATCTCTCACAATTGTTATGCTGTTGAGACTTCATTTACCAACAGCAAGCTAACAGCTAGCAATTCAATTAACTGAAAGTAAAAGAACAGAAATGTAGTCTGGGAGTGGTGGCTCATGCCTATAATCCCAGCACCCTGGGAGGCCGAGGCAGGAGGATCACTTGAGGCCAGGAGTTTGAGGCCAGCCTGGCCAACATGATGAAACCCCGTCTCTACTAAAAATACAAAAATTAGCCAGGCGCGGTGGCGCATGCCTGTAATCCCAGCTACTTGGGAGGCTGAGGCAGGAGAATCACTTGAACCTGGGAAGCAGAAGTTGCAATGAGCCGAGATCGCGCCTCTGCACTCCAGTCTTGGCAATAGAACAAGACTCTGTCTCAAAAAAAGAGTAATGATTTTTAAAAAGAAGAAAAAAGAACAGAAATGCAAGATTATACAGGCAGCACTTTATAAACAGTGAAGAACCTTCCAAATGTACAGTATTATAATTAGCTTCTCTTGTGTAGGTACTATTTTTGTCCAGATTAACTTTTTTTTTTTTTTTTTTTGAGACAGCGTCTTGCTCTGTCATCCAGGCTGGAGTGTGGTGGCATGATCTCGACCCATTGTAACCTTCGCCTCCTGGGTTCTTGTGCCTCAGCCTCCCAAATAGCTAGGATTACAGGTGCATGCCACCATGCCCAGCTAATTTTTGTATTTTTAGTAGAGATACATTTTGGTAGAGAGCCATGTTGCCCAGGCTGGTCTCGAACTCCTGGCCTCAAGTGATCCACACACCTTGGGCTCCCAAAGTGCTGGGGTTACAAGTGTGAGCCACCATGCCTGGCACCAGATTAATTTATTTTTAACAAAACATTTCGAATTAAGGAAACATTACTATAAAGGTAGTTTCCTAGGAAAAAGTCAAGCTGATTTCATACCCAGGCACATCTCCACTGTACTATGACCTGATACAGGAATGCCTCTCTGTGTTCACATAATGAATAGCTATGAGAACTTTAAGGTTGGTCTGAGCTCTTGGACACAGGTTTCTCTGGTCTTTAGAAGCCCAAGCACATAAGGAGCCTGAGAAAAATAAAGAGCCTTTGGGCAGAGTGGTTTGAAGTCAGGAAAGCAAAGTGGTTTTGAGGTCAGGAATCCCAAGTTCTCAATCCATCTCTGCCAATAATTTGAGCTGTGTGGTTTTGAACAAGTGAATCAACCTCTCTGGGCCTGACTTTCATCATTGAAAATTAGGAGGCTGAGCAGCATGAGCCTGATGATCTCTTCAAATGCCCACATTTTAAATAATTGTTTTATTCAACATTCAATCAATATTTCTTGAGTACTTACCATGTGCCAGACATTGTAATCAATGTAATGTATCAATGTAAGGTTATATTTTTAGAATTGTAAAGTTATTCTTAGGTGGCCCCAGGAATACTCCTGGGAAAGGAAGCAGTTTCAAAAAAACTTTTACTTTCGTCCTGCTAGAGTTGACTTTCGAGGACTGGAGTTTAATATTTTCGTATTGGTCCTTCTTATTTTGTTATTGTTGATTGATTCTGAATCAGATGATTCATTTTACTAAAATTAGTAAAAGGAATTGGTTATTTTTAGATTGCCTAAGTTTGATTTGGGGGCCATTATTGAAGATACCACTGTGAATTTAGAATGTGAGGTTATCAAGATTATCAAGTCTCTCTATTAGTACATCCTTCCAAAATAATTTCTGGCACTTTGAATTTTATTCTTTATATGCCTAAAGTACTGCTTGTAAAAAACCAAGTCGATATAAGAGATTATATTTCAAATGTTGCATGAGCCATGCCCACTTAAACCTAAAATGAGTCATGCCGTGATGTTGAAGCCAAGAAGTTAAAGAGTAAACCAACATTGCAGCAGTAGCCACAACACGCCATAGCTGTTTTTTCTTCCTCAAGAGTTAGGATAACCTGGTCAAAGTGGATGACCTAGTCTTTGAGTGCAGGGATCCACCCTCTGGTCAAGGAGCAAGTGCTACAACTTCTAAAGACTGCATCTAATGAAATTGTTTTGAATTATTTTGAGTTCAGCCCTAAAAGAATTGTTATTCAGGAAAAGGGTGTCTTATAAAATAAGAATTGCTTTGGGGAAAAAAGGCAATGGAATTTTTCCTTTTTACAGAGTACACTCACCCCATTGTGCCCTCAAATCATAATAATTTTTATTACCTACTGTGAGCTTATAATTAGAGGTTGTTATCTATCCAGGTCAGACTAGCTCAAGTTCCGTCTTCTCTGAAAGTGTAAACTCTGCATATTTATTATGTTCCAAGAAAACAGTGCCATGCCTGCACATGGCCTGCACATGGCCTACCTATATTCTATAGGTAGAGCATTTGGAAACCAATGTTTTATTCTGAAATCTCAGCTGACACATTGAGTCATTATTGGAAAATCCTTGAATTTACAAAATGAGGACAGGAATACCTGCCTGGTTTAATTTCCTAATACTTTTGGCTAAATCTGATTTGTAATTGTTGCACTGACATTCTATGAAGCCCTACCATTTTATTACGGTATCCTGTAACAGGATGTTGACAAAGTTACATTGAAATTACTCAGCTGACATTTGATATGAGCTTCAGGGAATCTGAACGGTAGTGGGATGACTTTTCTTTGTAACTCTATCACTGAGAACTAAATGAAGACCTTTTTAGTACTTTGGGATGAGGAATCATAATCCCAAATCTAGTCATAGCCAGACAGTAGGAAGACTATGTTCTTGATTTGAAACTTCAAAAAATATTTTCCTTCCATATTGTCCTAAGCCAAAAGGTCAAGAGTCACAGAGATCATTGAAATATAGATTTCACTCTAACAATTCATTTTCATTTCTTTCCACGTGTCCTCACCAAGTTGAGTTGCTATGAGTCAGACCTTTTTAATCACTAGCTGAGTGGCTATTTCTATTTTTCTATTAACCAAATGCCTCGACATATATTTTCCCAACTCCACTCACCCACCTTATTAAAACAATACTTTAATAGAATGCAAAGGTCTGATCCTGTTAACCCAGAGCTGAGGTTAGTCAGTTAACTCATCTCTATCTAGTCTTTTTCATGTGCTAAACAGTATTTCTTTGAAGGCTGGAGGAAAAGTCATCTAATAAAGTGCCATCTCCTAACAGAAGCCTTGACTTGTACACAGAGTAGCTGGACCCAGAAATTAAACGTTCTCCCAGGTCGGAAGCTTAGAGGGGTGAATCCATCAATGGCAGTGGGAGAAGGAGCCAAAAGATTAGCGTAGAATCCTGGGGGTTTGGAAATGGGAACAGACAGCCATAGGAAGTCCTTGCTGCTTGGCAAGGGCAGGGACTCTGTCTTGTTTCGTTTGCACATGGTACACACTCAGAAAAAGTGTATCGACTGCCAGAAGATCCCCATGGCTGGTGCAGAGCAGGTCTGGAAGCCTGCAGCATTTAGTGATCAGTGCCTGAGAGTTAGAAGAAGGCTCCAGATATAGGGCCCAGACTCATAAGCATAAGCCCCAGGAAGACTGTAAGAGGCAGCTAGGGAGCAGACCCAGATTTTTTGGGTGGAGAGCAGCTTGGAAATTATGGGGATATAGATATCTTAAAATGAAACAGAGGCCCCATTTTGCTTATTAACTGTGTGACCTTAGCAGGTTGCCTACTGTCCCTGAGTCTCAGTATTTTAGGACTACTGTGATAATTAAATAAAATAATCCCTGCAAAACTCTTAATGCAGTAGCTGATACACACCCAGTGCAATGTTAGGTATTGCTGTTATTATCATTCCTATTCCAACCAGGCCTCATTGGAACAGAAAACCCATCAGAAATCAAGGCTGCACTTTCTCTAGTGAGTCGTGTGTTCTCTGTCATCTCAAAGTCTCTTCATATCTCTGTTTCTCCCCACTCCTTTCTTTTTTTACCAGTTTTGTCTGCTTACTTATCTTGTATGTGGTCCCCAGGTTTATGGATCAGACTGCCAACCTCTGGGAATAGCCATGTCATTGTCACAGCTCATCTTTGTGCACCAGGCCACAGTGACTGGCTGGCCTGCCTATCCTCAGTCCCATCACCCTTGACTGGGGAGGATAGAGTCAGACCATGGGCAATGCAGCATCTGGTAAAATCTCTTACAGACCCATTTGCTGGGCCAGGCACACGGTGCAAGGGACAATCATAAGAAATAGGCTCCAGGGCAGGGTAGGGTGGGTAAGAAAATTATCTCAATATTGAACTCCCTCTGCCACGGGCAGGATTCCTCACAGCTCTTGGACTCCCAACTTCAAATAGAATTGGTCCCCAAGACTTTCTGACTGGCCTAACCCTGTAGGTAGAAGTAACCCAAGTGTGACGGCTGGAAATCGTAGAAGCAAAGAGCTAGTGCCGCTTCAGATACTCATTCCCACAGAAGAGGATGGTTTTAGTTCTTTTTTCCAAATACTCTCAGGAGCCTACATAAGACCATACAAGGTTAGTCTCTAATACAGGTTGTGTCATATACTCCATCTCATGCTGTGATCTGGCTGTAAAAGTGATCTCGAATGAAATGAGGGAATAACAGAGTTGGAGGAAACTATAAAACTCACTCTATTTAGCCATCCATCGGTACTCGAATCCTTTCTATGATAATCAGCTACTGTTGAACACCTCTAGGCATGGAGAACTCACTCCTCTCTGATCAGTTTCTTTGGTCTTAGCCAACACTCATTAAACTTTTATACATTGACCCCAAGTCTCCATGCAGCTTTCACCCATCTGTCTTCTTTCTATCACTTGGTCTGAAAAATTGGTCTAAATCCTTTTCTACTTGATATACACACACATAGTAAAAGACAGCTATCATAACCCCATGAATCTCATTCTTCTTCAGGCTAAATGTTCTATTACCTTTTTTTTTTTTTTTTTTTTTTTTTTTTTTTTTTGAGATGGAGTCTCACTCTGTCGCCCAGGCTGGAGTGCAGAGGCATGATCTTGGCTCACTGCAACATCTGCCTCCCGGGCTCAAGTGATTCTCCTGCCTCAGAATCCTGAGTTGCTGGGACTACAGGCATGCACCACCACACCCGGCTAACTTTTGTATTTTTAGTTGAGACAGAGTTTTGCCATATTGGCCAGGCTAGTCTCAAACTCCAGGCCTCAAGTGATTTGCCCCACCTCGGCCTCCCAAAGTGCTGGGATTACAGGTGTGAACCACCATGCCTGGCCATTACCTTTTTAAAAAAAGTGCTGTAGAGGTTATAACTTCACAATGATTTCTTTGATTTAATATCAAAGTATTAAAAATATCAAAGTATATGGAAGTATTCAAAAGCCTATTTGAATATTTTTAAATGTTTTTTCACATTTTGGTACATTCCAAAACTCTACAAAAAGGAGCTAAATTGACTTACTTTTCATCATTTTCAAAATTATTTTTATATGTTTAATTTAAAAAAATATATAAAATCGCCAGACGCGGTGGCTAACACCTGTAATCCCAGCACTTTGGGAGGCCGAGGCGGGCAGATTACAAGATCAGGAGATCGAGACCAACCTGCCTAACACGGTGAAACCCCATCTCTACTAAAAATAAAAAAAAATTAGCCGGGCGTGGTGGTGGGCACCTGTAGTCCCAGCTACTCGGGAGGCTGAGGCAGGAGAATGGCGTGAACCCGGGAGGCGGAGCTTGCAGTGAGCCAAGATTGTGCCACTGCACTCCAGCCTGGGCGACAGAGCAAGACTCCGTCTCAAAAAAAAAAAACATATGAAATCATTGTTCTTTTTTTTATAGAGATGGGGGCCTCACTGTGTTGCTGAGGCTGATCTTGAACTCCTGGGCTCAAGCCATCCTCCCGCCTTGGCCCCCCAAAGTGCTGGGATTACAGGTGTGAGCCACTGCACCCCATCATTTTCATGATGAAAATGAAGGCTCTAACCATTATACCAGAAGGAAAAAATAAGAGAAAACAGAAATTAAGGTGTACAAAAGAGGAAAACCTCTCCTAATTCATAAACTAAATAATCAACTGATAGGTAATCTGATTTGACAATAATGCTCTAACTCACATGCAACTCCCTGGGCTCCAAAATCAGATTTGGAGATGTAATGACTAGTAATGAAATACACAGGCGGCCCCCAAATCTCATTTTCCCACTCATTCCTACCTGCTCACAGTCAGTTATCTCACAGGGTCGATGGAAGAATCAAATTAAAAAGCATATGGAAGTATTTTGTGAACAAAAGTACAAATTAAGGGGCGTATTGTTTCTCATGATAAATACTACTCAGATGCAATTAACATTTCCTAAGCATCTGTGAGCCAGTGCTCATGCTCACCACCTTTGTATATGTTTTCTCACTTATCTCTGCGAAGCTAATAATTTTTCCTAAGAGGACACTCACTCAGGCTGAGATGATTTGCCTAAGGTCTTACAGCCAGGAAGAACTGATTGCTTTTTCCACCTCCCATGACTATTCCAATTAAGATGATATATTTGATGAGTGTTATCATTGATGTTCTAAATTGATAATAATAATTTTTTGGCCAGGCACAGTGGCTCATGCTTGTAATCCCAGCACTGTGGGAGACCAAGGCGGGTGGATCACTTGAGGTCAGGAGTTTGAGACCAGCCTGGCCAACATGGTGAAACCCCGTCTCTACTTAAAATACAAAAATTAGCCGGGTGTGGTGGTGCATGCCTGTAGTCTCAGCCTCTCGGGAGGCTGAGGCAGGAGGATCTCTGGAATCTGGGTGGTGGAGGTTGCAGTGATCTGAGATGGCACCACTGCACTCCAGCCTGGGCAACAGAGCAAGACTCCATGATAGGTAGGTAGGTAGGTAGATAGATAGATAATTTTTCACAATATAGCACCTTTTAGCACTTTCCCACATATTAGTTTCAATTGTTAATACAAGTTTACTAATAATGACCAAGCCATTGAAAAGCACATTGAATAGACAGCTGGCTGCCTCTCCCTGCCCGCCCTCTGGTGGAGAGAGTGACAAAGAACAAAACAGACCCAGAGCAGGCACGGAGGGAGAAGCGCATTAGTATTGGCACCAGCTTGGACCCACACTCCCCTCCTGCCTTCCAGGGTCCCACCCGCACCCCTCTGGCTACAGCAGCTAGATTTCCCACCCTGCATGAAGGAGCCATGCCTGTCCAAGCCACTGTGACTGTAGCTGCTTTTCCTTCTCCTTCAAACGACCCTTCCCCTTTCTCACACCTAGCAAAATCCTGGTCCTTCTTCAAGACCTGGATCAGATAGCACTCTATCCAGGACACTGAGCCCTCATTCCCCATGCAGCAGCCCTCCCACCTGTTTGATTTTGTGCATTTTTGTCCATACTTTATGATGGCACTGCAGTCGTATGGAAACCTCCATGTCTCTTCTCCAGGACTTATTTTTAGCACTCTGCTTGAGACTTAGAAGGCTGGGCTCACACCTGTAATCTCAGCACTTTGGGAGGCTGAGGTGGGAGGATTGCTGGAGGCCAAGAGTTCAAGAACAACTTAGGCAACAAAGCAAGGCCCCATCTCTACAAAAAGAAAAAAAGAAAAAAAAATTAGCTGGGCATGGTGGTGCACACCTGTAGTCTCAGCTACTAGGAAGGCTGAGATAGGAGGGTCATTTGAGCCCAGGATGTTGAGGCTACAGTGAGCCTTGATCATGCCACTGTACTCCAGTCTAGGTAACAGAGTCCTGTCTCAAATAATAATTATCATTATTGGTTGCTTGAATTATTGATTAATTAAATCCTGAATTGGGAAAATCAAATAAAGAATATGGAAGTGCTTTTAAACTAAAGTACAAATTAAAGTACAAATTGCTCATGATAATATTTAGATTCAAGAATATTTCCACCAAGAGGACCCTGGAAAAATTATGAAGTAAGTTAAAGTGTCTTCCACTTCCCTCTATCCTTTGTTTCAGCACCTCTTCCACTGTCTCTCCCAAGACAGGTCCCAACATCCTGTGACTGCTCTTCAGCACCCCCAGATCCTCCTGGGCTCCCAAGTCACCAGCTTCCCCGACCCAGCTCAGATGTCTTCATCCTCTCTCCCTTTCCTGGGACAGCAGTGGGCAACAATCTTGTGCCTGCTTCTGCTAGTAGGCTAAGGTTGAAATTACACACTGCAGCAGAAAATGTAACTTTATATTCTATAACTGAATCATTTTGCTCTTCAGCCCCCCTTCCCCCGATGGGTAATTCAGTCTTATCTGGCTAAAACAGTCTCTTGGGGCATATTACCATAATTACCTCAGAGGTTACCTTTAGCCCATTCTGGATCCTGCTCCCTCCTGCCTTTCTCTCCGAAGGGACCTAAGAGTCAGACTATCATCCTGGCATTGAGATGGGGGTGGAGAGCCTCATGCGTGGCCCTTGTGCTGGTCCACAAGCGTCCTGCACTCTTACACCCCAGGGTTGCAGCTGGTCTCGCCATTCTCTGCTGGCCTGGCCATTGTATCTACTCAGGAAGTCAGGGCACTGTGGCCTTGCCTTCCCGACACCAGGCTCACTCCAGCCGACTGTTTCTCTGTCACTTCTGATTTCCCATAGGCAGACGGGACTCCTGGATGCCTAGGTGCTAGGTGGATGTGGGCCATGGGGACTGGGGGACCACTGACTCTGAAACTCCCACGGCCATTTCTCTCCTATCTCCCGGGCACCAGCAGAGAGCAGAACTCTAAAGGGCTTGTAACTTTCCTGGTTTCTCACAAGAAGAGAAAATCCTTTCCCATCTGGAATTCCCCATAACTGACCTGATGTTTCTTCCACAACCTAGGTTACCTCTCCCCCACAACACACGCGAGATTCAACGCAGAGGGGGAAGAAAACGTGGACACTCTCACGTGACCTCCGCCTTCCCCCTCCCTCTCTAGCTCCTTCACACATTGGAAGGCTTTCCCAGTTTCCATCCCATCTGCTGGGAACCACCCTACTGTCAAATCCTTCCCCATCCCTTGCATGTTTTACTTTTTTCTCCTCTGAAGCAATATATCTCCACCTCATGGCCCAGTGTGCACAGAGATAGCAATATTGGGGAAATACTCCCAAATATACGCAGAGGAAATATTCCCCAAAATGCTGTCCTGCCGTAACTAGTTTATGTGCATCACTTCCTAGAAGACACAACAACAGATTCCACCTAAAATTAAGCCCCCTAAGAAATGAGGTGGCTTTGGAGGGTTCTGGACACCAGACTAGAAGAGTAGGAGAAATGACTTGAGTTCTCTGACCCGCAGACCCCACCTCAAAGAAAACTGCCTGCGTTCTATGGGAATGAAGGGTGTATTTTGTGAACATTAAGGTGTGACCCACTGGGAAAGCAAAGAAATGGACAGTCTTGGGGGAATAGGCCGGCTTCTCTCTGGGTTTGTGGAATTTGGTTCTGCTGTGGTGTATGTATACAGGTCAGCTGCTCCCCCAAGCCTTCAAAGCAAGGTTCCCACGCATCTTTCCATGAAGTCTGTACCACCCTTTTTGGTAAAAGATCCAGCCACAAAATGGATGATTTTATAAGCCAAAATTTGAATACTGGCAATTATTCAAGTAGCCCAGGCTCAGCCACGTGCCGTCTGCGTCCGTGGGCTACACACACCCCCTCTTTTCTCACTGCCTCCTGGGCGGTGTGGATCAGCTGCAGAGTGTGATCTGCGGTCAGGGAGTGCCTTCCCGGAGTTTTCGCTTTCAGACCCCTGGTGTTAAAGACGTTCTGTGAGCGGGTGGGGCCGGGCGCCCCAGTCACGGCGGCCGCCGCCTCCTCTTCCCGCAGGACGGGACAGCGCCCCTGTGGATCGCGTCCCAGATGGGCCACAGCGAGGTGGTGCGGGTGATGCTGCTGCGCGGAGCCGACCGCGACGCTGCGCGGAACGTGAGTGCCCGAGTCGCGCGGCCAAAGAGCGAAGCCTCCCGGCGCGCCTGTGTGGAGAAAACGGGTCTTGACTGAGTCTGCAGCCCACATGGGTTTCCTCCCAACCTCCTTCCTTGAGCAGGAAAACAAAGTCAAGGTCTGATTCGGTGCTGCTCGGTCTCTCTCCTCCTCCACCCGAGATGACCTTGGGACGCACTAGAGAGGGTGGAATCTTAGCCTTAGGCCTGAGGGCGGTAGAGACGGGGCCTCCCGCCTGTCCTGGGGGCCTCCCGCCTGTCCTGGGGGCCTCCCGGCTGTCCTGGGGCGTGTCCTAGGGGGATCCCCTGGCTGGTGCTGCGCCTCCTGCAGGCCCTGCCTCTTGCCCCTCCTCCCTGGAGCTGCAGACCCCTTGCACCCCGTCCCCTGTTGGCCCGCCGTCATCCACTGGCCTCTGCTGGTGCCACCTAATACTGCCTTTGTGTGCTGCACAGCAGGCCCTTTTCCCCATAAGGAAGGCTTGAAGAGAACCTGACCACCTATGCTGTTTGCTTTTTGTGTTTTACTGTGGCCTTTGTATAACCCTTGCTTACGTAACCCACCTTCCCCTCTCCAAGTCTAAGCTCCAAAAAAGGGAAATCACCAGACGCGTTCGCCACCATTTCACTGCCCTCTCTCTCACTCTTCTTCTTCCCACAATCTCTGAAGCCAGAAAAGACCCCCACCCCCCGCCCCCCAATTCATTCTTCCTTCTTTCTGATTACAGATAAACCCTAATGGCAGGCCGAAGTGGTTTCTTGGCTACGGGAGAATTATGGACTAAATCCTCCAAACACAGCGACTGATATGTGAAAATGGGAGAAAAAGGAATTTGGAAACTGTGTTCTTGAGCCAAAAAATAACGACAGAAGCTAAATATTAATTTTTGAATTTGGCTTTTCATTCTTTTTAGCAGATTTTATTTTATTTTTTTCTGAGACAGAGTCTCACTCTGTCACCCAGGCTGGAGTGCAGTGGCACGGTCTCAGCTCACTGTAACTTCCGCCTCTGGGTTCAAGTGATTCTCGTGCCTCAGCCTCCCGAGTAGCTGGGACTACAGGCACGGGCTACCACACCCGGCTATTGTATTTTTGGTAGAGACGGGGTTTCAAGTGACCCTCCTGCCTTGGCCTTCCAAAGTGCTAGAATTACAGGCGTGAGCCACTGCACCTGGCCTTTTAGCAGATTTTAATCTATCACCTCTGCCCCTAAGCCCCACTACCCACACACGGGCGGATGCCTAGAGCAGACTAGGGCAAGGCTGTATAAATTTTTTTAGAAACAGTAAATACAGCTCAACAATGATCTAAATTATTAAAGACAGTTAACCATTTCTGCTAAGTTATGAACAGCCGAGAATGCCTCTTTGGTCCAACCATGGCCTAAAAATATGCTCTTGAAATTCCCCTTGTCCCCTGCCCAGTGTTCTCAGGAACTGTAGAAGTATGAATTCCCAAATGGCAGAGTTCTAACATAATCTAAGTCACTGTTTATCTGATACTCTTTCATGCAGAATTTACTGCTTAATATTCTCTAAAATGCTCCTAGATTAAGAGACATTGCTGATCTGTGCTTAATTTACACGTCATTAGTTTCTGACAACGGTACTTTCCAGTTCCCAACTGACTGCTTTCAAGCAACACAGATATATGTTAATAATCAACTTTTATTTTCCTCTTTCTGTTAAGGATGGCACAACAGCATTATTGAAAGCAGCCAACAAAGGGTATAATGATGTCATAAAAGAGTTGCTTAAATTCTCACCCACTCTTGGTATTTTGAAGGTAAGACCTAAAGATAAATTTTACTAATCTGTAAGAGAGAGGTTAGAAAGTAAGTCCTCACTTGGGGACTGTGTCGAATTTGGGTGCAGTTAGCCTGGTTAGTTGGATTCTTGAAAGAACACACCTGCAGCTTCTTGATGCTGGAGATCCCAGGGGCTCTGGTAGAAGTGGGGAGGTGGTAGAAAGAGTGAACCACAGTCTGTCATTACCTAGTTTTGCAGAAAAAAAAAAATCGACAGTAGTAATGAAATAGCTAATTGGAAAGTATGCCATTTTGACACCATTTGGAGGATTTGTGAAATCAAGGAAGAAGAACAGACACTTATGTCTGTTCTCTTCATTTTCTTAAGCAAAGAACCACTCTGTTTTGTTCCCTTAAGTGAAATAAAATAAGCCTCAAACACCTGGAAGCCTCAGAAAATATGTCAGTATGGATACCTGGGTCACCTAAAAAACAGAGCCAAAACTCTTTTTTTAAGTTTTGATCTTTTTGTTTTGTTTTGTTTTGCTTTTTTGAGATGGAGTCTCCCTTTGTAGCCCAGACTGGAGTGCAATGGCACGATCTCGGCTCACTGCAACCTCTGCCTCCCAGGTTCAAGTGATTCTCCTGTCTCAGCCTCCCAAGTAGGTGGGATTACAGGCACGCTGCCACCACACCCAGCTTTTTGTATTTTTAGTAGAGACGGGGTTTCACCATATTGGCCAGGCTGGTCTTGAACTCCTGACCTCAAGTGATCCACTTGCCTCAGCCTCCCAAAGTGCTGGGATTACTGGCATGAGCCACCCTATCTGGCCTAAATTTTGATCATTTTTGATTAAAATATTTCTAACCTATATTATATATCAGGAGTCAGCAAACTTTTTCTGTAAAGTCTTAATAAATATTAGTATTTCTGTTTACTAATATAATTATATTATTGATTATATTAATTTTATTATATTATATTATTTATTATATTAATAGTAATGCTTACTAACATTTTAGTAAATATTACTAAATAGTAAATAGTAATAAATATTACTAATTACTAATATATTTACTACAGTAAAGATATATTTATTAATATATAAATATTACTATAGGAAATATATACTACAGAATGTATTTACTATACACTATATATATAGTATATATAGTATATATATATATATACTGTATATATAGTGTATATATATATATACTATATATATATAGTATAAATTTACATTTTTTCAGAGACAGGGTTTCACTCTGTTGCCCAAGCTTGAGTACAGTGATGCAATCATAGCTCACAGTAATCTTGAATTCTTGCGCTCAAGTAATCCTCCTGCCTCGGCTGGGACTACAGCCACACACCACTGCACCCATCTAATTTTTAAATTTGTTGTAGAGATAGGGTCTCACTATATTGTCCAAGCTGGTCTCAAACTCCCAGCCTTAAGCAATCCTCCTGCCTTGACCAGGAGGCATATTAGTATATGGCATATATTTACTATATATAGTAAATTATATACTGTAAATACATACTATATAATATATAGTACATATAGTATGGATGTATTATATACATACAGTATGTATAGAGTATACATACATACAGTATGTGTAGAGTATACATACATACATACGGTATGTGTAGAGTATGCATACATACATACGGTATGTGTAGAGTATGCATACATACATACGGTATGTGTAGAGTATGCATACATACATACGGTATGTGTAGAGTATGCATACATACATACGGTATGTGTAGAGTATGCATACATACATAGTATATATACATACATATAGTATGTATATATTATATACTATATAATATATACATACTATATAGTATATACTATATAATATAAATATATACTATATATACTATAGAGTAAATATTTATGTCTAGTAATATTTACTGAAATGTTAGTGAATATTACTGTTACCAGATAGCAAATATTTTAGGCTGTGTGGGCCATACAAGTCTCTCCCAACTGCCCCAACTCTGCTGTGGTAATCCAAAAGTAACCATAGAAAATACAACAAAAAGGCCCAGTGCGGTGGCTCACACCTGTAATCCCAGCACTTTGGGAGGCTGAGGCAGGTGGATCGCTTGAATCCAAGAGTTCCAAACCAGCCTGGGCAACATAGCTAGACTCCATCTCCACAAAAAATGTTTTTAAAATTAACTGGTCATGATGGCATGCACCTGTAGTCCCAGCTACTTGGGAGGCTGAGGTGGGAGGATGGCTTGAGCCTGGGAAATGAAGCTGTGATCGAGCCACTGCACTGCAGCCTAGGTGACAGAGAAGCTCCTGTCTCAAAAAAAAAATCTTAATTCCTATAAAACTTTATTTATGAACATTGTTATTTGTGGAATTTCATATTTTCACATATTACAAAATATTTTTCGTCTTTTAATCTTTTTAAAATCATTTAAAAATGTAAAAACAGTCTGAGTGCAGTGATTTATCCCTATAATCCAGCACTTTGGGAGGCTGAGGCAGGAAGACTGCTTGAGGCCAGGAGTTAGAGACCAGCCTGGAGAATATAGTAAGACCCTATCTCTACAAAAGTTTAAAAATTAGATGGATGCCATGGTGTGTGGCTGTAGTCCCAGCTGAGGCAGGAGGATTGCTTGAGCCCAGGAGTTCAAGGTTACTGTGAGCTGTGATTGTATCTTTGCACTTCTGCCAGGGCAACGGAGTGAAACCCTGCCTCTGCAAAAATTTTTAAAAGTAGAAGCCGTTCTTAGCTTGCAGGATTTGATTTGCAGGCTGTGGTTTGCTGACCCCTGAGATATAATGCTCCTGTTTTATTACATACAGGACACCAAATCTGTTCTAAATGGACACAGCGGCTTAGCTTTAGGACTGTCCTCTCAGAGTCTATCAATGTATATAAAACCTACTTGCCCTTGAATGACCCCAGACACTTTTTGGATATTTTGTGTCTGCTCTTTATATTTTTAGATTCCATTCTTGCTGACAGTTAATACAGAACTGCTGTTGTCAATGTGTTGGCCTCTCTCCCCTGCCCTAATGAGCTCATGAGCTACTTTCATCTGCCATGAGCTTTTTTTTTTTTTTTTTGGAGACAGGGTCTCGCTATGTTGCCCAGGCTGGTCTTGACCTTTGAACTCCTGGGCTCAAGTGATTCTCTCATCCTCCTGCCTCAGCCTCCTAAAGCGCTGGGATTACAGGTGTGAGCCACTGTGTCTGGCCTGCCATGAGCTTTAGAAGCCAGAAAGCTGCACTTGTTAAAATTGTTTGTAAAGTAAGAATAAACCATCTATGAAAATGAATTCTATGAACAAAAGGAATAAGCTTTAGAAAGCTTGGACTTTGCAAAATATAGTCTTGTTTCAAACAGCTCTTTTTTGGCTTTTTAAAAACTCCTGGTCTGGTGTGGTGGCTCACACCTGTAATCCTAGCTCTTTGGGAGGCCAAGGTGGGCGAATCACCTGAGATTAGGAGTTCAAGACCAGCTTGGCCAATGTGGTGAAACCCCGTCTCTACTAAAAATACAAAAATAAGCCAAGAGTGGTGGTGTACACCTGTAATCCCAGCTACTCAGGAGTTTGAGGCAGGAGAACCTGGGAGGCAGAGGTTGCAATGAGCCGAGATCACGCCACTGCACTCCAGCCCAGGTGACAAGAGCAAAACTCCATCTCCAGAAAAAAGAAAAAAAAGAGGCCAAAAAGCTGCACTTGTTAAAATTGTTTGTAAAGGCCGGGCACACTGGCTCACGCTTGTAATCCCAGCACTTTGGGAGGCAAAGGCGGGTGGATCACCTGAGGTCAGGAGTTCAAGACCAGCCTGGCCAACATGATGAAACCCTGTCTCTACAAAAATACAAAAATTAGCTGGGCGTGGGGGCTCATGCCTGTAATCCCAGCACTTTGGAAGGCCAAGGCAGGAGGATCACGAGGTCAGGAAATCAAGACCATCCTGGCTAACACGGTGAAACCCTGTCTCTACTAAAAATACAAAAAATTAGCCGGGTGTGTGGCGGGCGCCTGTAGTGCCAGCTACTTGGAAGACTGAGGCAGGAGAATGGCGTGAACCCGGGAGGCAGAGCTTGCAGTGAGCCGAGATCACACCACTGCACTCAAGCCTGGGTGACAAAGCAAGACTCCGTATCAAAAAAAAAAAAAAAATTGTAAAGTAAAAATAAACCATCTATGAAAGTGAATTCTATGAATAAAAGGAACAAGCTTTAGAAAGCTTGAACTTTGCAAAATCTAATCTTGTTTCAAATAGCTCTTTTTTGGCTTTTTAAAAACTCCTGGTCAGGCATGGTGGCTCACACCTGTAATCCCAGCCCTTTGGGAGGCTGAGGTGGGCAAAACACCTGAGCTCAGGAGTTGGCGACCAGCCCAGGCAACATGGCGAAACCCTGTCTCTACAAAAAATACAAAAATTAGCAGAGTGGCTGTTACACACCTGTAGTCCCAGCTACTCAGGAGGCTGAGGCACGAGAATCGTTTGAGCCCTGGAGGCAGAGGTTGCAGTGAACTGAGATTGCGCCATTGCACTCCAGCCTGGGAGACAGAGCGAGACACTGTCTCCAAAAAAAAAAAAAAAAAAAAAAAAATTCTGACCCGTGTTGCATGTAGGTGAAGTTGATAGATTGGCTAAGATTTAGACAAGTAAATTGTTACAAGAGTAGTGAATTATCATACATACTTAAAAGCAACCATAGAAAAATGCTACTTTGTGGGAATTTTTCTCTGGGTATGATATTTTACTCTTTTACAAAATCAGAGTGGTTTTTATTATGAGCAACTAATTAGGAAACTAAGTTTGCATTAGGTACTATTTATGGACATATGTACCCTCTAGAACCATGTCTTATGACTGCCCACTGTTCTTAGTTTTGTTATAGTCTCCTCCCCTCCTCTCCGTGGTCCAGCTACATGCTGCATTTAGCTGGTTCCTTATTTTGATAAATATTTGCAGTAAATGTCATAAAACATTAACAACTGACCTATGAGGCCCTTCTGTGCTCAAAAATGCTCCAACTCAAAGCTCCGGGGCATTGCCTCACCCCACATACCCTTCCTCTTAAGCCCTGTAGCTCCACAATCACAGTCCTGCCCACCTGAGTGCTCAGAGTGTCTGTAGCTGGTCTGACAGGTCAGCCCGTTGGCTAAACAGCTCTTCCTCTAACCTCGCTGGAAGTGGCTCAGCAAAACTACAGACTGTACGTGTTGTCCTTACGTGTTGTCCTTGAAGAACAAAAATGTTGGGCACGGCGTTGTTGTTTCTTCTGCAGCAAGTTCCAAAGTATGTAAAACAGACTGAGTGACCATGAAGTCATGTGTCCCCTCAGCCCTATTCCTTATTTCACTTGTAAGAGAACATTAGCAATATTTGTACTGACCATTGGTTATGTATCCAAGGACACTATACTAGGGGCTGATGTGACTTTGAAAAGTACAAGGCAAGATAAGGAAGGTTACGGGTATGAGGTTACAGTCTTATCACCCAGATGGTTTATGATGAAAGCCATGCTGAATGCCAATGGCTGTGAGCTCACTCCTGACACACACTGTCATTTTCTCTTAGAATGGGACATCAGCGCTCCATGCAGCAGTGCTCAGTGGAAACATTAAAACAGTTGCGCTGCTCCTAGAAGCAGGGGCAGACCCATCCCTGAGAAACAAGGTACCCACTAAGCAATCTTTTAACTCGTTTGGGCCCATTGATGTGTCCTCCTAGGCCAGGAAGGATAAACATCTCCCTGGCTCCAGTCACCATCTTCATTCTTTGCATAGTAAGGGCATTCAAGGTTGCTGTTAGTAGGTGATTAGTGAGCAGTACAGTTGGACCCAGGAAATTCTACTGTTAATAAAAACCCTGACTCATATCAATGGTTTTTTTTTTTCTTTTTTAACAAACCCTTGTGTCAAGGGCTGACTTTCAATAGATTTTTGCAGCGAGGGAGGTGCTCTGCTATGTACGAAACCCTGACCCAGAAGCCGGTCATTTACAAATGGTTTAGCACCAGGTTCCCCATGGACGTGCGTTGTGTGATGGGTGAGGGCGCTATCAATGGTTTTCTTTTTTTCTTTGAGAGGGAGTCTCGCTCTGTCACCCAGACTGGAGTGCAGTGGCGTGATCTTGGCTCACTGCAACCTCCACCTCCCAGCTTCAAGCAATTCTTCTGCCTCAGCCTCCTGAGTAGCTGGGATTACCGGCGCAGACCACCATGCCCGGCTAATTTTTTTGTGTTTTAGTAGAGACGGGGTTTCACCATGTTAGCCAGGCTGGTCTTGAACTCCTGACCTCAAGTGATCCACCCACCTCGGCCTCCCAAAGTGCTGGGATTACACACATGAGGCACCACGCCCGGCCAGTGGTTATCAATGAACAGTGGTGCACTCTCCTGGTGGAGGCGAGGAAGAAAGGGAGAGCAGTTACTATGGGAGTATTGTTCTGTCATCTAAGATGTACCCTAAAAATGCCAAAATTCTGGTAGTTTATCACCATTCCCATAAGTTCGATGTTCATATCTTGAAAATTGCTTGTGCTATATTTGGTTGCTTTTGTATTGTTAACAGGAGTACATGCCACTGTTACAAAACAAACCCACTTTTTTCTAGTCCTAAATTCTTCATTTACAATTAGGCCAAACTTCGCGGTGGGTGGGTACACAATAAGAATTTTTTTAAATGATTGTCATTTTACTTCCTCCTCTTCAACATCTGCTTAAGCTGGCACATGTATAGATTGCAGCAGAGGAGAGTAGCCTAGGAAAGGTCTTGAGAGAATGCATGCGCCAGGCGCAAAGGCCCACTCCTGTAAACCCAGCACTTTGGGAGGCTGAGGCAGGTAGATTGCTTGAGCCCAGGAGTTCAAGACCAGCCTGGGCAACATGGCGAAGCCTGTCTCCACAAAAAATACAAAAATTAGCCAGGTGTGGTGGTGTGCACCTGTAGTCCCAACTACTGAGGAGGCTGAGGTGGGAGGATTACCTGAACCCAGCCAAGGAGGTCAAGGGTGCAGTGAGCCATGGTCACGCCACTGCAATCCACCCTGAACGACGGAGTAGAGAGAAAATGCACTAAACTACAACCTTTATTTACTTATTTATTATTTATTTAAATGTAAATTTTTTTCTTTTTATAGAGATGTGTTCTTGCTGTGTTGCCCAGGCTGGTCTTGAACTCCTGGTCTCAAGCAATCCTCCCACCTTGGCCTACCAAAGTGCTGGTATTATAGGCATAAGCCACCACACCTGGCCTAAACTACAAACTTTTCTGTTGCTATTGTTGTTTTTGAGACAGAGTCTCACTCTGTTGACAGGCTGGAGTGCAGTGGCACGATCTCAGCTCACTGCAACCTCCACCTCCCAGGTTCAAGCAATTCTCCTGCCTCAGCCTGCCCAATAGCTGGAACTACAGGTGTGCACCATCATGCCCAGCTAATTTTTTTGTATTTTTAGTAGAGACAGGGTTTTGCCACGTTGACCAGGATGGTCTCCATCTCTTGACCTTGTGATCCGCCCCCCTCGGCCTCCCAAAGTGCTGGGATTACAGGCGTGAGCCACTGCGCCCAGCCATAAACTACAAACTTTTGGAGGAGAAAGTGGTATTGGTGTTTACGAATAGAGGAGGATATGAAAAGCAACTTTTACTTTATACTTAACATACTCTGAATTTTTCTAAGCATATCTTACTGTGTTAAATTTTTTTTTAATAATAAAAACAAAAACATATAACATTTCATGACATTTTGAAAAGAAACCTTAAGAAGTGCCAGTTAAACAACATGCCAGGGGTCACTTTTTTCATTTGACTCAGCATGTAGAAGTATTACTTCCCCATTCCCATTGAATTGCTTGTCTATAACATTTCTGCTTATCTCTCCTTAGATACTTGGATTTGTTTTCCATTAGCTGGCCTGGCTGTGTGATAAGCCAGTTGAAATCACAATTGCCTTTCTTTAGATCTTATCTTTAGACCTTGTGCACAGACTTCCTAAAGAGACCAGTCTTTGTTGGTGAGCTATCCAGTCCTGAATTAAGGCAAGGAGGAAACATTAATACCTTTACATAGGAACTGAAAAATGCAATTCCTTGTGTGTCTCCTAGAATAATGGAATAACTACCAACAATAATGGTTATGAGTAATTTCAAGTGGGCAAAATGCTGGACTTTGGACCCTCCTGAATCCAAGCAAGTGTAACCGCCCAATGGGTTCACCTTGCCTGCTGCCTAGACAGAACCGATGTATCAGGACAGGGGACTTGCAGTGGAGAAAGAGTAATTCACGCAGAGCCAGCTGTGCGGGAGATAGGAGTTTTATTATTACTCAAATCAGTATCTCCGAGCATTTGGGGATCAGAGTTTTTAAAGATAATTTGGCGGATAGGGGCTTGGGAAGTAGGGAGTGCTGATTGGTCAGATTGGAGATGGAATCATAGGGGGTCAAAGTTAGGTTTTCTTAATGTTTTCTGTTTCTAGGTGCGATGGCAGAACTGATTGGGCCAGATTACTGGTCTGGGTGGTGTCGCTGATCCATCAAGTGCAAGGTCTGCAAAATATTTCAAGCACTAATCTTAGGTCTTACAATAGTGATGTTACCCCCGGAGCAAATCGGGGCAGTTCAAACTCTTCGAGCCAGAAGCTGCATGACCCCTAAATTGAATTTTTTTTTTTTTGAAACAGAATTTCTCTCTTGTTGCCCAAGCTGGAGTGCAATGGTGCGATCTCAGCTCACTGCAACCTCCGCCTCCCAGGTTCAAACGATTCTCCTGCCTCAGCCTTCCGAGTAGCTGGGATTACAGGGGCATGCCAGGCTAATTTTTTGTACTTTTAGTAGAAACAGGGTTTCACCAACTTTCACTTTGAGAAACAGGGTTTCCCAAAGTGCTGGGATTACAGGCGTGAGCCACCGCGCCCGGCCCTAAATTGTAATTTCTAATCTTGTAGCTAATTTGTTAGTCCTACAAAGGCAGACTGGTCCCCAGGCAAGAAGGGGGTCTTTTCGGGAAAGGGCTGTTATCAATTTTGTTTCAGAGTCAAACCATGAGCTGAATTCCTTCCCAAAGTTAGTCTGACCTATGCCCAGCAATGAACAAGCACAGCTTAAAGGTTAGAAGCAAGATGGAGTTGGTTAGGTCTGATTTCTTTCACTGTCTTAATTTCCTCAGTTATAATTTTGCAAAGGCGGTTTCACAGGGAGGAAATATTAGTACCTGTATATAGAAACTGAAAAATGCAATTCCTTGTGCATCTCCTAGAATAATGGAATAATCACCAGCAATAATGGTTATAAGTATTTTCCAGTGGGCAGAATGCTAGACTTTGGACCCTCCCTTAAAAATGACTTGAAAACATGTGTGGGCACTCCTGTTGGACCTTCATACTGCAGAAGCCCTCAGACACCTGGGAGGAGCCGCCAGGGAAGTCCCCAGCTTCCTACCAGCCACTCCATAGAAGCCAGTCTTGCTAATAGCAGCTCCATAGGCAAGGGTGTTGGGATTCCTGCAGAAGGAGCATTCTTGGCTTTCATTCTTTCATTCAACAAACACTAGATACCATGCACTGTGCTATGTGCTGGGAATGCCATAGTGAATAAGATTCACAGTTGCTGCTTTCATGAAGCTCAGAGTTTAGTGGGGAATAAAGACAATTAAAGCAATTGCAATATGGAGTGACAGCTGTAAGCAGGGGAGTAAAGAATGGTTTGGAGGCTTCCAGGAGAAAGTGACTTCTCAGCTAGTACAGAACACTCTTCTGCTCCAGGAGTTCCAAGACTTCTGCTCTGGGGCTTCGAGACAGATGCCTGAGGAGAAGGCCAACCAGTGGCCCCAACAGCCATTCCTCACACTATAGCCATTCCTCAGACTGTAGCCATACCCCTGGGTGCAGGGGTCTTATGTTCCCAACACCCTTGACTGAGCACATCTTCTCCCAGGAGCAGTGGGGAGATTTAGTGGTTTAATACTGTAGTATCATGAATATGGGCCTATGCTCCTGCTCCATAATGAACGAGATAGCCTTTAGGGGCTAGCCTGGGGCACTCGCCATCACATCAATCTGTACAATCTCAGCAACCTGAGAATCTAGTGGGGACTAACGGGGAGGGAAGAGCAATTAAACCAGGATTTTAGAACAGCATGGAAGACAGAATGGTGATGTGAATGACCAAAACTTGACAACATGATTTGAAAGTATAAAGCTTTTTTTAATAGCAGAGGATATGGACATTCATGGAGATGGTCACACAAGGCAACACGCTGGCAGGCTGGTAGACAGAGGTAGAGCTTCTTAAGCTCCCTTCTCCTTGACTGTAGAGGTTCCTCTAACTACCTGCCAGTCTGCTTACCATGGACCAGCCACTGATGTAGACAGCTCAGTTATTCCTGAGTGTTTGCTCTGAGACTGGATGAAGCTTAGGTCTGTTTACCAGGAGCATTTCTCTGCAGGCCCAGGTGTTAGGCCTGTACAATATCTGTTCCTGCAGGAACTAAGCTAACAGAACTTGACCCCATAGAGGAGCCTCTGGTCTGTAGTAGCATAGCATAATAATTTCCTCTGTGATTGAATCCAGCATCGGCATCCAGGGTCCCATGTGGTGAGAAGGGGTGCAGCCACAGGACATGCTGCACAGCAGACCACTTGTGACAAACTTACAATTCCTAACAAGTGAGGTTCCAGCCAGCAGATAGAGGTCAGGGGGCAGGATCCAGCTAGAAGATGGGGACTGCAGAAGTTTCACCTAGGATCAAGTTTCCAGATAAAGCAACTGGGGTTCCAGGCTTGGCTGCTGGAGAAGAAAATATGGTGAGACAGGTAACATCTACAACCAAGCCTCCATCCCCGATACTGCCTGCCGCTTTACCCTTTAATGGCCTCCCCTGAAATTCCCAGAACATCCTTCTTTCTTTTTAGAGACAGAGTCTCTGTCACCCAGGCTGGAGTGCAGTGTTGCCATCATAGCTAACTGTAACCTTGAACTCCTGTGCTTAAGTGATACTCCTGCCTCAGCCTCCTGAGTAGCTGAACTATAGGCATGAGCCACCATGCCTGGCCACAAGAAAGTCCTTCTGATTCCTCTATACAAACATTTCTCAAAGTGGGATCCTTGGACCCCTGAAGATCTTCATGACCCATACAGGGGGTCTAAGAAGTCAAAACAAGGTTGGGTGTAGTGGCTCATGCCTGTAATCCCAGCACTTTGGGAGGCAGAGGTGGGAGGATCACTTGAGCCTGGAAGTTCAAGACCAACCTGGGCAATATAGCAAGACCCCCTCTCTACAAAAGAAATAAAAATCTATTTACAATTTTAAAAAAGAATTCAAAACCATATTCTTGATAATAAAAAGATGTTAGCCAGTTGAGGTAGTTCATGCCTGTAATCCCAGCAGTATGGAAGGTTGAGGCAGCAGGATCGCTTGAAGCCAAAAGTTCAAGACCAGCATGGGCCATACAGCAAGACCTCATCTCTTTAAGAAATTAAAAAACAAAAAACATAGCTGGGCATGGTGGTGTGTGCCTGTAGTCCTAACTACTAGGGTGGCTGAGGTGGAAAGATCACTTGAACCCAGGAGTTCAAGGCTGCAGTGAGCTACATGATTGTGCCACTGCACTCCAGCCTTAGCAACAGAGAGAAAACCTGTCCCCTATAAAAGCAAACAAGATCTTATCTGCCTTTTTCACTGTGCTGACATTTGCTCTAATGGTACAAAAGCAAAAGCAATGGTGGGTGAAACTGTTGGGGCCTTAGTACACCTCAAAGCAGGAACACTAAACTGTACTGGCAAAATATTTTACAAGCCTTTGTAAATTATTTTACAAATTTTGTAAATTACTCTACAAAAATACCAGTTGTACTTAAGAATGTCTCTGATGAAGCAGTAAAAATATGTCAATTTTATTAAATTTTGGCTCTTCCTATACATCTTTTTAAAATTTTGTGTAATTGGCTGGGTGCGGTGGCTCATGCCTGTAATCTCAGCACTTTGGGAGGCCGAGGCAGGTGGATCATGTGAGGTCAGGAGTTCGAGACTAGCCTGGCCAACATGGTGAAACCCCGTCTCTACTAAAAATACAAAAATTAGCCAGGCATGGTCGCGCATGCCTGTAATCCCAGCTACTCAGGGGGTTGAGGCAGGAGAATTGCTTGAACCCGGGAGGCGGAGGTTGCAGTGAGCCGAGACCTCACCACTGCACTCCAGCCTGGGTGACGGAGCGAGACTCTGTCTCAAAAAATAATGACAATAATAATAATAATAAAATTCTGTGTGATGGCGGGGCAAAGTGGCCAACACCTATAATCTCAGCACTTCAGGAGGCCTAGGTGGGAAGACTGCTTGAGGCCAGGAGTTTAAGACCAGCCTGGGCAACATAGCAAGACCCTATCTCTCCAGAAAAAAAATAAGCCAGGGATAGTGGCACACACCTGTAGTCCCAGCTTGAGCCCAGAGAGTTTGAGGCTGTCATGAGCTATGATTGCACCACTGCATGCCAGCCTGGGTGACACAGTGAGACCATCTGTCTAAAAAAATAAATAAATAAAACAGAATTCTGGGCCGGGCATGGTGGCTAACACCTGTAATCCCAGCACTTTGGGAGGTTAAGGCGAGTGGATCACCTGAGGTCAGGAGTTCAAAAGCAGCCTGTCCAACATGGCGAAACCCCATCTCTACTAAAAATATAAAAATTAGCCAGGCACAGTGGTGGGCGCCTGTAATCCCAACTACTCAGGAGGCTGAAGCAGGAGAATCACTTGAACCCGGGAGACAGAGGCTGTAGTGAGCAGAGATTGTGCCATTGCACTCCAGCCTGGGCGACAGAATAAGACTCTGTTTCAAAATAAATAAATAAAATAAAATAAAATTCTGTGTGATGAAATGGAAAACATGCCTACAGCACTTCTGCTGTGTACTGAAGTATGATGATTATCTCAAGAAAAAGCACCTGGCCAGGAACGGTGGCTCACGCCTGTAATTCCAGCACTTTGGGAGGCTGAGGCAGGTGGATCATGAGGTCAAGAAATCGAGACCATCCTGGCCAACATGGTGAAACCCCATCTCTACTACAAATACAAAAATTAGCCAGGTGTGGTGGCACGTTCCTGTAGTCCCAGCTACTCGGGAGGCTGAGGCAGGAGAATCGCTTGAACCGGGGAGGCGGAGGTTGCAGTGAGCTGAGATTGCGCCACTGCAGTCCAGCATGGCAACAGATTGAGACTCCATCTCAAAAGGAAAAAAAAAAGCACCTGTTGGGCGGTGAGCAGGCAAAACTGCCCCCAAAAGTCTGAAGAAGCTGAGAAGCCAAGAAAGAAGCTGACATCCAGATGATCTCAGCAGAAAAGAAGAAAAAAATAAAAACAGGCTGACATATCCAGTTTCTCAGAAAGTAACAGGGACAGGAGTCATAGTCTCAGGACACCACCCCCCAGACCCAGGGCCTAAGGGAAGGAATATACAGGACAAGTGAAGTCAACCTCTCAGGGAAAGGCAAGAACACTACGTGACTGCCTAAGGGCAGGACTTATGGGCAAGGTCGTTTTGACCTATGGTCAGGATTTTCAGTAGGAAACACAAAAAAGTAGATAAAATAGGAATCTTAGAGGCATTCCCAAAACTAGGGTTAATCACATGGCAGCCTGAGTGCGGTGGCTCACACCTGTAATCCCAGCAGTTTGGGAGGCCGAGGCAGGCGCATCACTTGAGGTCAGGAGTTCGAGACCAGCCTGGCCAACACGATGAAACCTCATCTCTACTAAAATACAAAAATTAGCTGGGCATGGTGGTGTGCACCTATAATCCCAGCTACTGGGGAGGCTGAGGCAGGAGAATCACTTGAACTCGGGAGGTAGAGGTTGCAGTGAGCCGAGATGGCACCACTGCACTCCAGCCTGGGCAACAGAGTGAGACTCCGTCTTAAAAAAAAAAAAAAGAAGTAAACATGGCAGATTAGCATCCAAGATGGAGTTGCATTAGCCTCCACAGTCCCTGTGCAGTTGTTTGAATTGCAAAGTGAACCTGCCACTTTTTTCATAGATCACTATTTTTACTTGAAAGAACAAGGTATCTACCACTATGACCTTAACAGCTTCCCAAAACTTAAAGGCTTTTCTGATGGATCAGTTTTTTTGTTTGTTTGTTTGTGAGATGGAGTCTCTCTCACTATCACTCAGGCTGGAGTGCAGTGGCGTGATCTCAGCTCACTGCAACCTCCGCCTCCCAGGTTCAAGGGATTCTCCTGCCTCAGCCTCCTGAGTAGCTGGGATTACAGGCATGTGCCACCACGCCCAGCTAATTTTTGTATTTTTAGTGGAGACAGGTTTTTGCCATATTGGCCAGGCTGGTCTTAAACTTGTGACCTCAGGTGATCCACTTGCCTTGGCCTCCCAAAGTGCTGGGATTACAGGCGTGAGCCACCACGCCCAGCCAGAATGTGAGTTTTTGATATTGCACAATGAAATGTGCCAACATTCTACAAACTCAGTGAACTGATATTTTCCAAATGAGCAGTGCATGTTACAAACCATGCATAGGTAAAAGATCCAACTATAAATAGATAAACCTGTGGGTTTTAAAGTTCATTGGTATGGTTTCAAATCCCACATTGCATTTAACCTTTAAGAAACTACCATTTGTTGAGTATTGATGTGGCATCAGAGAATAATATCCACAGCAATCCAAAAAGACTGTTAAAATACTCCTTCCTTTTCCAGCTACATATCTGTGTGAAGCTTAATTTTCTTTATATCCTTCTACCAAAACAGCATATCACAATAGACAGGATACAGATGGAGATATGAGAATCCAATTGTATTCTGTTAAGCTACACATGAAAGAAATATGTAAAGCTGTTGAGCAGTGCTACTCTTCTGAGAATTTTTACTTGTTTTTGAAAATTTAATTTTTCATAACTATATTAACTTGGATTTATTATTTTTAGTGAATTAATAAATATATTTTTAAAATTTTCTCAGTTTTAATTTCTTTTTTTTTTCTTTTTGAAAATATTTTCTTTCTAAATAATAGAGATGAGGTTTCACTATGTTGCCCAGGCTGGTCTCCAACTCCTGAGCTCAAGTGGTCCTCTCACCTCAGCCTCTCAAAGTGCTAGCATTACAGGTGTGAGCCACTGCGCATAGCCCTCAGCTTTCATTTTTAATAAGTTAAAAACAAAATTTGTTAGACTCTTCAGTAATTTTTGAGAGTATAAAGGGTCCTGAAACCAACAGGTTTGAGAGCCACTTCCACATCACACCTGTTGTCAATGGTAGGGACTGGTTCACTAGATGCCTAATGGATGTATCTCAGCAGCAATGTGAAAAGAAAGGCCTTCGAGTGATACTGAGTAAGGTGGAAGGTGTTAGCCACCAATGCTCTTCTTTCCCGGGTGTCTCTTATGCTCTGGAGGTTTCCTATCTCTGCCTTCTCATCAAAAGATATCTGGCCCGGGCGCGGTGGCTCACACCTGTAATCCCAGCACCTTGGGAGGCGGAGGCGGGCGGATCACTTGAGGTCAGGAGTTCAAGACCAGCCTGGCTAAATGGCGAAACCCCATCTCTACTAAAAATACAAAATTCAGCCGAGCATGGTGGCACATGCCTGTAGTCCCAGCCACTCGGGAGGCTGAGGCAGGAGAATTGCTTGAACCCAGGAGGCAGAGATTGCAGTGAGCCGAGGTCACACCACTGCACTCCAGCCTGGGTGACAAAGTGAGACTCCATCTCAAAAAACAAAAAAAAAGACACCTGTGCTGAGTCCTGACTCAGTCCCAAGTCCTTAGTGGGCAGACTACCTCATGTCATACATTAATAAATATAAGGTAGGCTGGGCACGGTGGCTGATGCCTGTAATCCCAACACTTTGGAAGCTGAGGCAGAAGGATCACTTAAACCGAGGAGTTCAAGACCAGCTGGGGCAACATGGCAAACCCCATCTCTGGAAATTAGCCGAGCATAGTGGTGCACATCTGTGGTCCCAGCTACTCGGGAGGCTGAGGTGGGAGGATCATTTGAGCTGGGGAGGTCAACGCTGCAGTGAGCCATGATTGCAACACTGCACTCCAGCCTGGGTGACAGAGCAAGACCCTGTCTCAAAAAATAATAATAATAAAATACATATAAGGTATAACATTTAATTTGACCGGTACTTATTGAGCACATTTTAGACATGCTGGGCATTGTGCTGGAGATAAGGATACAATGATTAATTAGATCTGGACCCTTCCCCCTAAGAGATTACAGTCTAGTAAGGGATCTGGCTGGAAAATGTCTCTAAGAATGAGATAAGGATATAACAAGTAATATTTATACATTTAAAGAAGATTTGTAATACCTTTATATAAAAGAGTGAGTCCAGTGTGGATTTTTTTCATTAGTGAAGGAGAAAGAGTGGGTCAAATGCCCCTCTTTGGAGTCCCTAAAACCACACCAGCTATGGGGATTCACTAATGCCCATCTTCTCTTCTTTCAGGCCAATGAACTTCCGGCAGAACTAACCAAAAATGAACGTATATTGCGTCTCCTGAGAAGTAAAGAAGGTCCCAGAAAGAGCTAACTTAGCTCCATATTTGACAGAAAGATAGAAAGCTTAACCACATTGTCCAAAAAGAAATTGCATTTCAAGCAGTGTTGGAAATTCTTTTATGAAAAAAAAAGATGCCCAGAATGCCCATCCTGTGGGTCCCTGACAAAGAAGAGCTACGCTCTGTGCACGAAGTCAAGAACCAAACAGCTCAGGGACCCTCTTGCCCCTTCACCATGGACTTCTCATGGTGTCCTGTAACTCATCTCCCGGGGGGCCTGGCATGTTCACAGATTCCACAGAAACTCATTTTCAACAATGCTAACTTGGACCTGTCAGTTAAACTCTAAGGTGGACAGGGTTCTCAGTACTAAGCAAGGAGACAGAATGCTTTGTTCCTTTAAAAGACTGAAAAGCTGACCTTCAATGGATTGAGGCACTTTTGCTTTTGTGTTAAATGTAGATGTGCTAAAATATATAGATCTATCATATTTTACCTACATATGTATGTCATTCCAGTATAAAACATTCTCCTCTACCCAAGAACCATAGCCATGATTGTTATAAATCAATGAAGTGTAAACATACATTATTAAAAAACCACTTCTGACATTCCATTATGTGCTATTCAAAGATGGACTATTGAACTATAGAAAAGACAGACTGTGCATTTGTTCGTTGATCCTCATCTTATTCCTGACATGTAAAAATCAATTTTACGTAGAGTCAACATTGTAGGTAGGTTAAAATACCAGTGGCAAATTTGGAAATTCAGAAACTTATAAACCACGAGAAATATATAGGCTTGTCTCTTTGGTCTTTTATTTTGGCTCTATTGTTGGGAATCTATTTCCTATTCTATAAGTAAGTATACCTAACATGCTGTGGAATCTTGAGTTTCCAACACCGTGCTGCTTGATAGAATGACTTTGAGGTCCTTGGATAAAATGTGATATATGCAAGTACAGTATGTTGCTATTACTATTGCAGGAATATAAATAATAAAAGACTGTTATTAGCACTTAGTAAGTCTTCATCTATGCATGTTTTTGAGTTGACTGATTCCAAGAATGAAATATGAGGTTTATTGAATTATTCCTTTGAAAGGGATCAAAACTTATATTCAATGCACTTTATAATTAATGGTGTCTAAATGCCTCAGTCAGTGCCTAACTGCACATACAAAAATAAAACCTTCTTTCTGTAATCTACCAAAATAAACGCAATGGTATTTCTGCTATTTAAACACATCTTTAGCTTATTTCTTCATGTTCTGCTCTGGTTTTCAGTCAGTGTCTATGTAAAGACACTTTTAGAGGAAAATGTTGTAATCCCAAAAGAATTTTTGTTTAACCAACTTTCAGAGTTACTAAAAGGATTATCTTTAATTCAGTAAATAATAGAATATAATCTTCAAAATTAGAAGATATTCTCTTAAAATTTATAACAATTAATGCAACAAAAATCAGCATATTTTGATAAATGTCTCAAGCAAATGAGCAACTCACAGGCCCCACAGGTGCCTACAGCCTGACCAGCTATACAAAAAGCCTGCAACCTGATTCTAGGATAAAATATTAGAAAGCTCTCTGTTGCTAAAACATCCAGATATAAACATTTTGGTGGCTAAAATCAATGCCATTTCCTCATTGACATTCTTTTATTCAGCAAATTTGTACAAATATACATTTTCTCCTGTGCGAATTTCAAAAAGCTATATTCATTTTGAAGAGGAAAATAATATGGCATTAAATGCTTTGTATTTTCCCCTTAGTTAGCCCTTATGGCAAAAATAGTTGCTAATCACTGATACAAAGCAAAACGTTATGGGTACTGATAACAAAGTTCCAAAAGCCAAAATGGGATGAATCACAAACTTACTGTTTTTCACTAAAACATGTAATTGGCCTATTACATCAATAGTTTTAAGTGGGTAATGTTCTTGAACAATATTAGAGCCATAAAATTGAAGCCAGTAGCTTGAACAATATGGAGGCCTTCTTACTGTAGGGAAGAGGTGTCTAGCTTAGAAGGATCACATTTGATCTAGATGAGATTACCCATAGCAGGGAAAATGAATCATCACCTACCAAAGACTGTACGGAAAGGTGTGTTATTTTCAAAATTGCATTTTAGTTTGCACACATGTAAATGATTATTCTATGTTAATCTAATTGACAATTCAGTTAGCTCCGCATCCTAAGACTTAAAACTAGCAATTCCTATGCAAATCATCTGCTTAACTGAACTACAAACGTTTTTCATTAATTCATTCTTTGATGACATATTCCATGTTATATAATAATTCAAAATAAAGTTAATATACTACCCCATTTGCCTTTGCTGCTTTTTTCTTTTTGTTTTTAATCAAGAGTTATTGCTATGTGATTTTTAGTAGCATGGAATTTTAGGGTGAATAATTCAACTCTGTAAATATATTGATATTTGGGACCCTAAATAGATATTTAAACTTTATTTTAGTAATGGACCTATGATTTCATTATCTCTGCTGTAGAGAATGAAATGATTCCAAAAAGTTTTCATTCAGAAAAGAATTCTTGGGACAGTTATTTAAGATGCTGAAAATAGAAAATTTTCTGATTTGTATTATTTATGATGCTCCTGGCCCTTTAGTCCTTTGCAATAACTTTCTCTTGTGAAGTAGCTGGTGGTTTTGCAGAACTGTTGGTGTAGGAGACAATAATTTGCAGCAGTAACATCAGGAATATGGAGATTTACAGGAACATCCTGGCTTCCATCTGCTCCATCCACCCTCTGCCGCCACAAGAAAGCTACGTCTCTTCATAAATCCCACACTGAGACACCTACTCAGAGGAAAAGAGTGCCCCCAAATACCAGGCTACTTAGAACCAGGCAGAGATGCCTGTATTTTGGTGGGGGGCTACAGATTATAGGGGTGAGAAGCTGAGTTCCTAATTTCCTAACAAAGTGCTTTTGGTGCTAGAACTGGATGTTTCAGAGGTAGTGGCCAGGTGAGGAGTCCCGGTGGCTCACGCCTGTAAACCCAGCACTTTCGGAGGCCAAGGCGAGGTGGATCACTTGAGTTCAGGAGATCAAGACCAGCCTAGGCAACATAGTGAGACGCCCATCTCTCTAAAAATAAAAAAATTAGCCGGACATGGTGGTGGTTCACACCTGCAGTCCCAGCTACTTGGGAGACTGAGGTGGGAGGATGGCTTGAGTCCAGGAGGTTGAGGCTGCAATGGTACACTCCAGCCTGGGTGATAGAGTGAGACCCTGTCTCAAAATAAGTAAATCAATAAAAATAAAAGCAGCAACTAAAATTTGTTAAAGGATTGTTACGTGCTAAGCACTTTAGATAGATAATCTTATAAAGTGTTACGCATTTTTTTCATTTACACCTGACAACAACCCTATGAAATAAACACTATTACCATCCCCATCTTACAGTTGAGGTAACTGGCTTTGAAAGACAGTCTACCTTGTAGTGGTGTCTTGGTGCTGTCCTCCAATCTTGGGAATTTTACTTTTGCTTTCTGGGGGAAGGTGGAGGAGGCAGTGGTGCCCAGATGGAGTCACAATTGTAGCATCAGAGCAGTGAAGGTGGAGAATATGGGACATGTTTTTGAAAATACTTGCAGGTAGAGTTAATGATAATTGGTGACAATTAAATATAGAGGATGAAGAAAAGAAAGGAGAGCTAAGAATTGTGCTAAAGTGTGTTAGGCATTCCCAAGATCATCCCCAGGTGTAGTGACTTGCTAGGAAGACATAGGACTCATATATCTAGTTTACTCATAAATATACTCATATACATGGTTACATATACATGTATACTCAAATACATGGTTAAGATTACAGCAAAAAGACACATAGCAAAATCAGCAAAGACAAAAGGAAAATAGAGCAAAGATAGAAGACAGCAGGTGCAAGCTTCTGAGAAACCTCTCCCACAGAATGAGCTTAATTCCTCCAGCAACCGAGTTGTGGCAGCAAGTGTTGTCTACCAAGGAAACTCATTGAAGACTTAGTGCTCAGGGTTTCAACCGGGAGCTGGTCACATAGATCCCTTCTGCCTAGCATTTACCAAAAATCAAGACCTCCAGAAGGAAAACAGGCATTCAGTATAAACCACATTGTTTGCACAAACAGTTAAGGCAAAGTGAATACTTCTTATCATTTAGGGCAAGTTTGATATCAGTGTAGGGAACTGTTTGTCAGCTGAGGGCCAACCTTGTAAGCAGGACTTCCTAAGGATAGGCAGTCTTGGGCTGGCTTTGTTAATTCTTCTTGGCCCACAAAGTTTACAAGGTGGATGAGCCAATAACTTTGTTAGGCAATAGGGAAGAATAGCAGATTTGGGGTGAGGAGATAGAGTTTGGACATGTTCACTTGGAAGGATCTGTGAAATAGATTCTAGAAGGCAGTTGGAAATAACAAATTAATGTTTAGGACAAGGCTGTTGTTACTAGTGTAGGCATCATCTGCATAGAGGTGATGGTCAAAGTCATGGGATGAATGAGGTCCCCACGGAGAATCTGCTGAGAATAAAAGAGATGGCAAAATGGCTGGGCATAGTGGCTACTGTCTGAAGGGAGGCTGAGGCGGGAGGATTACTTGAGCCCAGGAATTGAAGACCAGCCTGGGCAACATAGCAAGGCCCTGCCTCTAAATTTAATACATTTTTTTTTAAACAGATGGCAAACTGAGAATAAACTTTGAAAGAAGGGAACTCAGCAAAGAGAATGAAACAATGAACAAGAGCAGGAAGTGAAACATAATGAGGAAGGAGAAGGTCTCCAGGAGAGGAGAGCAGGCAGCGAACCACGTGAAGAAGTGTGGCCATATGACACAAAGGCTGGGAAACTCGAGGCTGCTTTTGCTCCACCACTCTGTCTTTGATGAGCTTGTTCAGTCATCAAAGAATTCTGGCCTTGTGGCTGGGCGTGGTGGCTCTTGCCTGTAATCCCAGCAGTTTGGGAGGCCGAGGAGGGTGGATCACGAGGTCAGGAGTTCCAAGACCAGCCTGGTCAAGATGTTGAAACCCCATCTCTACTAAAACTACAAAAATTAGCCGGGCACAGGGGCAGGTACCTGTAATCCCAGCTACTCGGGAGGCTGAGGCAGGAGAATCGCTTGAACCCGGGAGGCAGAGGTTGCAGTGGGCCGAGATCGTGCCACTGCACTCCAGCCTGGGCTACAGAGTGAGACTCCATCTAAAAAAAAAAAGAAAAAAAAAAGAATTCTGGCCTTGTAATGGAGATTATGGATAAGGATTGGTGAGTGGACCTGGAGCTAACGTTAAATTAAATAAAATTATTCCCTTGAAATGATTCTACTCCTCACTGGATAGAATTGTATTTGTGAAGATACTCCTGATGCTTTCTAGGAATCACCGGCCAACTATCAGTGTGCATTGCCTCTGCTCTGTACTAAGACTAAGGCAACATGAAAAAAACAGACTTGGTACCACCCTATAGAGATGCAAATAGGCGTGGTGCAATGCAAACAGGCCTGGTCAAATGAGATAATTTATGGTTGCGGATCTATACCTATGCTGGTTGATTGGTTTTAATTGGTGATTTTTTTTTTTTTTGAGACAGGGTCCTGGTCTGTCACCCAAGATGGAGTGTAATGGCACGATCTCAACTCACTGCAACCTCTGCATCCTGGGTTCGAACGATCCTCCTTCCTCAGCCTACCAAGTAGCTGGGACTACAGGCACGCACCACCATGCCTGGCTAACTTTCGTATTTTGGTAAAGCTGGAGTTTCGCCATGTTGCCCAGGCTGGCCTCCAAATCTTGGACTCAAGCGATCTGCCTGCCTTGGCCTCTCAAAGTGCTAGGATTACAGGCATGAGCCACCTTGCCCAGCCAAATTGGTGAACTTCATCTCACTGTGAAAAGATGCTAAAGTGCTTAGAACATGCCTGGCTGTGAACAAAGCCACACCATGTTATGATATTTCATGCCATTGAGCCATAGCAGCTCAGACCCTAGTATTTGTACTTCAAAGCATGGAGAAAAACAAAAACAAAAAATGACAGGCAAAACTAGCATTAGACATTCTAGTCGAGAAATGTGAAAATAATTATTCTTCTGCTTAATGTAATGAACACATGGAGGGTAAACTAGTCACACAGAGGTGTTTTCTCTGGGCCCTCTGACTATACTTAGCCCTCAGTTAAATAACCTATGTATCACTGGGTCTGGAAAGTCTTCGATTCTTTTCCTGGTGACCTAATCCTTATTTTTAGCAATACTTTCAGGTAATTTTAAAATATGAGTGAGGCTAGGCATGGTGGCTCATGCTTCTAATCCCAGCACTTTGGGAGGCTGGGGTGGGAAAAGCACTTGAGCCCAAGAGTTTGAGACTAGCCTGGGCAACAAAGTGAGACTCCGTCTGTACAAAAAATACAAAAAATTAGCCTGGCATGGTGGTGTGTGCCAGAAGTCCCAGCTACTCAGGAGGCTAAGGTAGGAGGATCACTTGAGCCTTGGGAGGTCGAGCTGTGATCTCACTACTGCACTCCAGCCTGGGTAATAGAGCAATTCCCTCTCTCTCAAAAAAAAAATTAATTTATTAATATGAATGAGGTTATGTTTCAACAAAGGAATTCAGCTAGGCACAGTGGCTCACATCTATAATCCCAGCACTTTGGGAGGCCAAGGCGGGCAGATCACTTGAGGCCAGGAGGTCGAGACCAGCCTGGCCAACATGCCGAAACCCTGTCCCTACTAAAACTTAATAAATTAGCCAGGTGTGGTGGTGGGCGCCCATAATCCCAGCTACTCAGGAGGCTGAGGCAGGAAAATCACTTGAACCCAGGAGGCGGAGGTTGCAGTGAGCCAAGATCGCACCACTGAACTCCAGCCTGGGCGACAGAGTGTGACTCCATCTCAAAAAGTAAAAATAAAATAAAGTAAAATAAAAATAACATAAAGGAAGTTAATTAAAGATCTTCAGTTCTTAGGTGACATGTCAGCCTTATCTCTGTCAACAGAAAAAATTCCTTCCGCTATCTTTGGTTCTTCTTCCCTCCCTCACTAGGATTGAATCCTCCGAGCTTTAATGAGTGAAATGCTGTTGTTATTCCTACATTTCAAGTTTTAAGAATAGTCTTAGAAAGTCTTCAGTTTACAGGAGTTGGACTCTCCATTTTAGGAAACATTTGATCAAAAACCACCCCTGGCAAAGGAAACTATGTCCTGTGAGCAAATCCTGCAGGGAAGGCAATGCCAGTTTGAAACCCTGACTGCTAAACCACAAGTCATTCCAACTCTGGTAGCATCCTAACTGAGTGGAAGTTACACCACAACCCATGACTGGATTAATCACCAACTCAAACATCCTTCCTTACTAGGATGAGTAACATTTTACCAGAATTCTGAGCAACAATGCCCATTTCCGAGTAGGTCATAACCATTGGTACTAAAGTCATGAGTTGTAGCTGTAAGCTATTTTAAATGAAGATGTCTATAAAATTTGGCTTGCGTAAGTAAAGAGTTTAAAAAGTCTATCACAGAACCCAAAGTAATTGAGTGTGTATACTGAACACATGACCTGTACAACAGTGCTCACAGCACCTTTATTTGTAACAGCCCAAACTGGAAGAAGAAACAACCCAGATGTCTGCCATGATATGTTTGAGCCATGGAATACTACACAGCAATTCTTTTAAAAGATGCTACCACCACAAGTAATGTGGATGAGCCACACACATAATGTTCAGTGAAAGAAACCAGACGCAGAGGAGTATGATTCCCTTTACATGAAGTTCAAGGACAGGCAAAACCAACTTACAGTGAGAGAAATCAGAAGAGTGGTTGCCTCCCGGTTAAAGGAGGGGTGATGATATCGACTGGGAAAGGGGCATAAAGGAGGCTTCTGAAGTGCTAAAGTTTCCATATCCTTCCTCTGGGTGTTGGCTACATGGATGTTGTGGTTGCCAGCCTCCAAGATGGCCCCAGTGCTCCCCTCCTCTTGTCCTTGTCTGGTCCCCTTCCTACACTGCATCAGGACTGGTCTGTGTGCCCAGTATTACATGGCAGAAGTGATGGCATATAACATTTGAGGCTAACTCATAACAGACATTATGGCTCTGCCTTGCTCTCAATCCCTTTTGGATCACTCCTTCTGGAGGAAGCCAGCTGCCAAGTCCTGAGGACACTCAGCAGCCTATGGAGAGGAGGAACTGAGGCCTCCTTCCCACAGCATCTTTTTTTTTTTTTTTTTTGAGACAGAGTCTTGCTCAGTCACCCAGGCAGGAGTGCAGTGGCATGATCTCAGCTCACTGGAACCTCGGCCTCCTGGGTTCAAGCAATTCACCTGCCTCAGCCTCCCGAGTAGTTGAGATTACAGACATGTGCAACCATGCCCGGCTAATTTTTGTATTTTTAGTGGAGACAGGGTTTCACCATGTTGGCCAGGCTGGTCTCGAACTCCTGACCTCAAGTGATCCGCCCACCTTGGCCTCCCAAAGTGCTGGGATTACAGGTGTGAGCCACCGAGCCCAGCTTCCCACAGCATCTTCAACAGCAGATCCTCCAGCCCCAGTCAAGCCTTCAGATGATGGTAGCCTGGGCCAACTTCTTGGCCATAACCTCAGGAGAGACCCTGAGCCAGAACCACCTAGAACCACCCAAATCCCTGACTGGCAGAAACTGGGATAAAATAAATGTTTGTTCATTTAATATACTAAGTTTTGGAGTAATTTGTTATTCAGTAATAGACAACTAATAAAAGTGTTTAACACATAAAAGAAACTTGGCTGGGCGCAGTGGCTCATGCCTGTAATCCCAGATCTTTGGGAGGCCAAGGCAGGTGGATCACTTGAGTCCAGGAGTTTGAGACCACCCTGGGCAACATGGCGAAACCCCGTCTTTACTAAAAATACACAAATTAGCCAGGCATGGTGGAGTGTGCCTATGATCCCAGCTACTTGGGATGCTGAAGCACAAGAATCACTTGAACCCAGGAGGCAGAGTTTACAGTGAGCCAAGATCACACCACTGCACTCTAGCCTGGGTGACACAGTGAGACTCAGTCTCAAAAAAAAAAAGTAGAAAACTCATCAAGCTGTACAGCTAAGTTCTGTATACCTCATATATGAATATTATATCTTAATTAAAAGGAAAAGTCTATTAACAAAAAGAGTTCTCAAAAATGCTCAACCTGAACCTCCTTAGGGGGTTGGCAGAAGCATTAACTAAAGCTCTCCTATATTTCACCAAAATGTGTTGGCAATTCGTAGCCTGCTGGAGGAAGGGAGGTGTGAGCTGTTCCCTGTGTTCAGCTGGACAGCCTCCCACTCTCTATAGGCGCTTCTTTTAGAGCCAGCTCCACTGCTGGTCCTGGAGGTTTTTTGGGGAAGGCGATCAAAAAATTTACAATGTCCATGACTACTATAGGGAATAGTTCTACGATGCTGGCTGCGAAAACCAGATCAACTTATTAGGCACAGTAGACACAGTGATAATTTTACTGTCCCATGAAAATGTTTTAATTTTAATTTCTTTTGAAATCAGAACAAAAATAAGAATACTGTAATAATGAGCATATAATAATGAATTCAGCCAGCGTTATATGTGTCTTTATAATGCAATTGGAAACTCTCATTTTAAATTTTTTTTTTTGAAGGAAAAAGGGGTCCTTAAAGGCAAAGGTGCCTGGGGCCCACACAAGTCATAATGCAGCCCTGAGTAAAAGGAAAGGTGCTAGGGACTGAATTGTGCTCCCCCAAATGTCTTGTGTTGAAGCCCTAACCCCCCAAGGTGACTGTATTTGAAGATAAGGCTTTTAGGAGGTAATTAAGGTTAAATAAAGTCATAAGGGAGGGGCCTTAATTCAATAGGATTGTTGAAGAAGAGGAAGAGAGAGAGAAATCTTTCTCCCTGAAAGCACACACTTAAGGAAACACCATCTGGGGACACAGGGAGAAGGTGCTGTCTACAAGCCAGGAAGAGAGCCCTCACCAGGAACCAAATAAGCTCCCCATGCTGATCTTGAACTCTCTAACCTCTAGAACTGTAACAGATAAATTCCTATTGTTTAAGTCACACCAGTCTTTGGTATTTTGTGCAATGGCCTCAGACGTCACTAAATGACATTGATTACATTCTATTACCCCAAAACCCTAGTTCTATCTTCATTTTCTGTTATTGAACTTTAGGCTTCAGGTTAGGAACTAGGCAAGCTTGCAATTTGTTAGGTAAGTAGGCATTCTTTTTTTCTCTGCCTATTTGAAGGACTACCTACTTTGAAGGTTGCAGATCAGCAGCAGAAAAAAATTTTTTAAAAAGCTTTTTAAAAAAATTTTAGAAGAAATCAAAGGTTTTTTTGGTAATAAAATTTTATTGGCTTGGCATGGTGGTTCATACCTATTATCCAGCACTTTGGAGGCTGAGGCAGGAGGATCACTTTAGCCAGGGAGGTCAAGGCTGCAGTGAGCTGTGATCATGCCACTAGACTACAACCTGGGTGACACAGTGAGACTCTGTCTCAAAAGAAAAAAGAAAAAAGCACAGAAAAATAAATAAAATTACTTATAAATGTGTGAAAAGATTTTTAATCTCACTTATAATTAAAGAAATACAAATCAAAGCATCCTAATTTTATTTTATTTATTTTTTTTTTTGAGACGGAGTCTTGCTCTGTCGCCCAGGCTGGAGTGCAATGGCGTGATCTCGGCCACTGAAACCTCCACCTCCTGGGTTCAAACAATTCTCCTGCCTCAGCCTCTTGAGTAGCTAGGATTACAGGTGTGTGCCACCACGCCCAGCTAATTTTTTTTTTTTTTTTTGAGACGGAGTCTCGCTCTGTAGCCAGGCTGCAGTGCGGTGGGGCGACCTCGGCTCACTGCAACCTCCAACTCCCTGGTTCAAGTGATTATCTCACCTCAGCCTCCCGACTAGCTGGGATTACAGGCATGCACCACCACCCCCGGCTAATTTTTGTATTTTTAGTAGAGACGGGGTTTCACTATGTTGGCTAGGATGGTCTCGATCTCCTGACCTCATGATCCACCCACCTCAGCCTCCCAAAGTGCTGAGATTACAGGTGTGAGCCATCACGCCCAGCCTAATTTCTTGTTGCCCAGACTGCAGTGCAATGGCGCAATCTCAGCTCCCTGCAACCTCCGCCTCCCAGGTTCAAGAGATTCTCCTGCCTCAGCCTCCTGAGTAGCTGGAATTACAGGCATCCACCACCATGCCTGGCTAATTTTTTGTATTTTTAGTAGAGATGGAGTTTCACCATGTTGGCCAGGCTGGTCTTGAACTCCTGACCTCAGGTGATCCACTTGCCTCGGCTCCCAGAGTGCTGGAATTGCAGGCATGAACCACCGCGCCTGGCCAATTTTTGTATTTTTAATTGAGACGGAGTTTCAGCATGTTGGCCAGGCTGGTCTCGAACTCCTGACCTCAGGTGATCCACCTGCCCCGGCTTCCCAAACTGCTGAAATAATAGGCGTGAGCCACCGTGCCCAGCCCCAATATTTTTTAAAATAAGAAACAAAATAAATAAAATCACAGATTGCATTTAGGTACTTCCATACATTGCTGGCTGCAATTTCTTTGGAGGGCAATTTGACAACAATCAAAACTTAAATACCCATTTCCTTTGATCCAACAATATAAAAGTATTTCCAACAGTTCTATTTGCGCATGATTGCAAAGATTTACATCCAAGAATGGGCCAGGAGTGGTGGCTCACGCCTGTAATCCCAGCACTTTAGGAGGCTGAGGCAGGCAGATTGCTTGAGCCCAGCAGTTCAAGACCAATCTGGGCAACATGGTGAAACCCCGTCTCTACAAAAAATACAAAAATTAGCCAGGAGTGGTGGTGCACAGGTGGGAGGATCGCTTGAGCCCAGGAGGTAGAGGCTGCAGCGAGCCATGATCATGCCACTGCACGCCAGACTTGGCAACAGAGTGAGACTCTGTCCCAGAAAAAAACATTTTTAAAAGATACAAGGATGTTCATTGCATCATTTCCAGTAACAAGTGACAAGCTAAATGCCCAAGAAGAGACTGATTAAATAAGTTACATAGTGGATCAAAAATTATTAACGTAAGTATTTCTAGCCTTCCCCTACCATCTGCCAGCTACAGATAATTTAGTCTTGGGTCAACTTTCTCCTCTCCCTCTACAAGGGAAATGTTCAAAAGTGTTTAGACTTTGGTGATGCAGCATGATTGGGAAAGCAGAGGGCACAGAAAGATGCCAGGCTTTGTGGTCTCCAGGCAAGCTCAGGAATGTGACAAAGCATACCGAAAAGAAAAGCGGGCTGGGAGCAGTGGCTCACGCCTGTAATCCCAGCGCTTCAGGAGTCTGAGGCTGGTGGATTGCTGGAGGCCAAGAGTTAAAGACCAGCCAGGCCAACATGGTGAAACCCCATCTCTAATGAAATCCAAAAAAAAATTAGCTGGGCGTGGTAGCGCACACCTGTAATCCCAGCTACTCGGGAAGCTGAGGCATGAGAATCTTTGGAGCCGGGGATGTGGAGGTTGCAGTGAGCTGAGATCATGTCACTGCACTCCAGCCTGGGAGACAGAGCAAGACTCTGTCTCAAAAAAGAAAAAAGGAAAAGGAAAGATAAATTTATAATGTATTGCCAGGACCACACAAACCCTTCATATGTACCAGGAATGCAAGTAGAGGAATTGAGTTATTTTGAAATACTTGTTGGCTGGTGATTTATATTTCATTGATTTAGACACTGCTCTGAGTATGGCTTCAGAAGTGTTACATACGCATAATAAAATCCTTTACAGCTATTAAAAGGAGTGAGGTAGGAAAGCATACTGCTAAAAGCAAAGAAGCCAGATGAGAACTGTGTACTGTACATCCCCACTTGTTTAAAACGTTTGTATATTATATTCACATATGTATGCTTTCCACTACATAGAAGTTTTCTGGAAGGTATTTCTGCACATTTATAAAGATGCACATCTAATAATTTCATTTCCCCCCATTTTCTACTTATTGCTCTGAGGTCAACACTGAATAGTCCTTATGAAGATGGTATTGAATATTCTTTCAACAAAAAAGTCTCCGGATCTCAACTACTGGAGCTCAGAAAACGATACCCCAAAGTAGGAGGCTTTGGCATGCTAAGTACTTTGAACTAAAGGAGATTAGGTCTCAGTAGCAGCCTCAGAAACAAAGTCTACCCATGACTTTCTCCTGCCCTCCTGTCTCCAGCGGTCTTGCACCCCTGAAGTAAGTCACAGGAACCAGAATTCTTCTTCCCCAAGGAGGGTTATGGAAACTTAGAACCTTCAAAGTAATTTATAAACTTGGAAATCTTACTGTAACATTTTCTTCTACCTCTCTCTGTCTTTGAGACAGGGTCTTGCTCTATCACCCAGGCTGGAGTGCAGCAGCATGATCATAGACAACTGTAGCCTCCTGGGCTCAAGCAATCCTCCTGCCTCAGCCTCCTTAGTAGCTGAGACTACAGGTGTGTGCCACTATGCCCAGCTAACTTAAAAAAAATTTTTTTTTTGTATAGAGGGAGTCTTGCTACATTGCCCTGGCTGAGAATTTACATTTCTAACAAGTTCCAAGGAGATGCTCCTGCTGCTGGTCTGGGGATGGCCGTTTGAGGATCCCTGCATGAAGGCATACACAGGACTTGATCCTCAGTGGGGGCACCAGGAGCTGGAGCCTGGGGAGTGGGAAGCGAGAGCACAGAGCTGACTGAGGACCACGAGGTCGTCGTGGAGGACCTAGGCTGAAGGTCCTGAAGAAATCCCCATAGTTTCACTGCCAGGCCAGCCAGGTGGACATCTCAGGGCTGAGGAGGTGAGAAGGCAAGACAGAAAGTGAAACAGCACTTTATAGGATAGGGATGGGAAGGTCATCTGCATCATGGGACTCCTTGGGGAGGGGTTCGGTCATTGCTCCAGATGAAGGTTTAGTCTTTTCATCGTAAATTTGCTTTCACTGTTGGGAAAGAGATCTTCACCTCCATTTTCTTAACTTCAAAATGGAAATGACAGATGCTTTTGAGTGGTCTGAATACTTGAAATTTGAGGGAAAACGTTACCAGAAACACATACAACTAGAGTTAAAGATAAATACATATATCAAACGCATGGCTCAAAAATGACAACGCGTCTTCTTTATCTGCCTTCACGTAGAACTTAAAACAGACCCTGGTCCCCACCTCGGGGTTTCCTCGCGCCCACGGGCTGCGCTGCGCAGCTGGGCCAGCAGGTGGCGAGGCTCCCGCACTTTTTTTCCCGGGCCTGGCCGCACCGCCACCGCCCACCCCGCGCTCCGCCCCGCCCCGCCCCGCCGCACTCGCGGATCGTCACACGGTCAGGCCACCGCGCGTCACCGCCCCGGGCTCTGCTAGAAAGTGCCGGGGTCCAGATTCCTTTCAGGTGACTGGGTTGGGAGGAGAAGTCGCTCAGCGTAATTGTCGGAGCCGAAATAAACAGAGACTCCGCGGCCGGGCGGGACCTTACCCGGAAGTCCCCCAGAACAGCACTACCCTTCGCTGAAACCTCGCCCGCCCCCTCCAACCCAGAGACGAAAAGGGAAAGCATCACGGCCAGAAACCGTTGGCACAACTCCACAGATACTCTCCCGGGCCGAGCCAGACTCCATAAGTCCCGCGCCTGGCCCCCGGGGATTGCAGGGGCTGAGGAGAAGGGCAACACGGGGACCTTGAAGCGGGGTCGCGGCGGCGCCCCAGCCCGGGCCAGGGAGTCCCGGCAGCGGCACCTCCCAGAAAGGGCGGAGCCGACGACGCCTTCTTCCTTCCTGACCGGCGCGCGCAGCCTGCTGCCGCGGTCAGCGCCTGCTCCTGCTCCTCCGCTCCTCCTGCGCGGGGTGCTGAAACAGCCCGGGGAAGTAGAGCCGCCTCCGGGGAGCCCAACCAGCCGAACGCCGCCGGCGTCAGCAGCCTTGCGCGGCCACAGCATGACCGCTCGCGGCCTGGCCCTTGGCCTCCTCCTGCTGCTACTGTGTCCAGCGCAGGTGAGCGGTCGCCGGCCACCGGGACGCCCTGTGGGGACGTGGCGGGGCCGAGAGCCGGGGAAGGCGACGGGCCCAGCGACGGCTCAGGCCCGGGTCCTGGGGAAGTTGGTCTGGCGATGGAGAGCTCGGAGGTTCCTCACTTGTCCTGTTTCTGTCTCCGGCCACGCTCTCTTTCCTGTGGTCTGGAAGAGGGTGGCAGTGGGGGCTTGGGTGACCTGTTCTGAGCTTGTTCCATCTGTGGTCACCTAATTTCTCTGTGTAGGATGTGGCACCAGAAGAAGGGAGGAAAGTGGGTAGAGTGGGATAGGGACACTACTTGCTTTTTAAAAAATTCTGCTACATGCGCACGAACTCCAAAATTTAGGAGCTCTAACCACTTTATTTCCTCTTCTCATCACCTGAGGATGGAGGTGGAAGCAGAGGTAAAGAGACACAAACTTCCTCAAGCACCCGGTGAAACTGCCTTGAGTACTTGACATAAGTCAGCTTGGTCTTCTAAAGAGGGCAGGTTACTTTTCATCAACTCCTTTTTACACCTCAGGACACTGAGACTCACAGGGCGGTATTGAATTTCCCCTTGTCACTATTAGCCAGCGACAGGATGGGGCCTGGAACTCGGTGTCCTGCTGACTCCTTCTGGGGGCTTTTGCTTGGTTTAATAGCTTTGGGAAAGAGCACCTCAGTATTTGTGTGTCTGTAGTTTCCTCTTTTAAAACTGGAGTGGGGCAGTGTCACGCTGTGACTCGTTAAACCAAATCAGGATGAGAGTGCCTCCGGGGAATTGTGTCCTTGTGCACATTAACGCCCCTCACATAGGTGTGGCGTCAATAGGAAGTGGTGAATCAGGGGAGAGGGGGTTCCGTGGACTAGAAAAAACTCTCCTTCGACTTCTATTTAGTTCTCAGAAGGGGATAGGTGATGTTGATCCAATAATGGACTAAGAGCCAGGAGAAGGGCTCCGCGGGAGGATCTCTTGAGCTCAGCAGTTCAAGACCAGCCGGGGCAACATGGTGAAACACCGTCTTAAAAACATTTTGTTTTTCTTTTCATTGTTGAGGTTGAGGCTGCTGTGAGCTGTGATCACGCCGGTGTACTCCAGCCTGGGCAACAGAGCAAGACCCTGTGTCAAAACAAAAAAGAGAGAGAAATAAATAATAGCAATTATGTGCCGTAGAGAAAATGTGGCTATTCTGTTTCCCTAGAGTTTTTTAAAATTTATTTTTAAAATTTATTTATTTTAGAGACAGGTTCTTGCTCTGTTGCCCAGGCGTGGGGGCAGTGTCGCCATCATAGCTCACTGCAGCCTGGAACTCCTGGCCTCAAGCAGTCCTTCCACCTTGGCCTCCCAAAGCACTGGGATTATTGTGAGCACCACTCCTGGCCCCTCCTAGAGTTTTAGATCAGGACCTTAAATAGGCTTCCCTTTTTTTTGGAGACAGAGTCTCTGTTGCCCAGTCTGGAGTGTAGTGGCGCAATCTCGGCTCACTGCAACCTCTGCCTCCTGGATTCAAGCAATTCTGGTGCCTCAGCCTCCCAGGTAGCTAGGATTACAGGTGCCCACCACCACGCCCAGCTAATTTTTGTATTTTCCGTGGAGATGGGGTTTCACCGTGTTGGTCAGGCTGGTCTCGAAATCCTGACCTCTAGCGATCCGCCCTCCTCTTTTGGGGATTACAGGTGTGAGCCACCTCGCCCAGCCAGGCTTCACATTATTAAGTAGCCATCTCTTAAGTATTTTTTAAATCTCAAGTACCCAAGGCTGATGGCCAATGAGTGCTTCTTTTATGACATTTGGGATAGGTCAGAGGTTTGTTGTAAGTCTCTTGCAAAAATGCCTGGAGGCCTTTTCAAGGTCTGTAAACCTTAACTGGAAATAATCCTATTATTATTTTAAAAATTCCTCATGTCTGAAAGCTTTCAGTGCACCTGAACAGATTGGGGTGGAGCCATGAAGCCAAACAGATTGGGAGAGAGAGTGTGTCTGCTTTTAGAATTCGTACCGATGATAGCAGCTCATTAGCTTCAGTCTGAGCGCTAGTAGAGTTCTATCATGGAATTATGGACTAGTTGTCCTGTGTAAGATCTGAAATACATGTTGGGGGGATTTTTGCTTTTTCTTAATGTTCAATATGTACAGATGATGTAATAACATTACTAGACTGCCTTGTTTTTAAAACCCTGTAGTCATCTAAAAACTATATGCAGTTTTGAGACATAGCCTTTATTTTTCCCGGCTGTAATTTTGGTAAGCTTTATCTTGAGGGACTTGGAACATAGAGAAGCCTGGGTAGAAATTAAGCATTAAAATGGCTTTTCCTCAGAAGACTGGGAATGGTTAATCTTTTGACCTGTGAGTGATTAAGAACAACCATCTGAAATTGGAATGACTGTGGGAAATCTTTCCCCATCTTTCCCACTCCTTGACTGATGCTGTGATCAGAAATTTTACTAACATAAGTAATCAAGGGGAAAATGAGATTTTTTTAAATTTGAGCCAGTGGGCAGAGGGAAAAGGACTCGCTGAATAGGCCTTTGTATTCCTCCAGTGTTTGTTATATTACCCAGAACAAAGAATCACTCTGGTCATGAAGACAGTGTGCTCTCTCTTTCCTGGGTAACCCTCCACTCCTAAAAGGGATGCAGTATTCTAAGCATGGCAGATTACCTACAGCGGAAGCCTGGATCAGTCATCTCTGATCTCGGGTGCCCCTTTCTGCCCTTTGACCTCCAGCTCTGTGAAGGGCATCAGCTCTCCAGTCAAATTGAACTGCTTGCTAGCAAAATCCTGCCCATCTTCCAGGGCCCCATTTCACATGCTACATTATCTACGACATTCTTGTCCTGTTCCCCTAACTAGAATGCCTTCCCTCTGAAGTTCTGAATCTTTATTTAAACTGCTGCAACAGCATTTGCTGCCTCATTAAAAGACCTTGGTGTGGGTCTTGACTCTTCTCTGTTCCCAAGAGTGATCTTGGGTAAGCCAGTTATCCTCTGGAGCCTCAGTTTCCTCCTCTGTAAAATTGGATTAACTGTGCCAACTATGCTTGTGAAAGACAAATATTTCCTAATTGAACTACCGAATTGCAGGCTCCTTAAGAGCAATAACTGTTGCTCTCCAATATCATCTACAAATGTGGCCAGGACACTTGACTTGGGACTCTTTTTTTTTTTTTTTTTTTTGAAACAGGGTCTTGCACTGTCCCCCAGGCTGAAGTGTAGTGGTTTGATTGTGGCTCACTGAAGTGTTGACCCTGGGCTCAAGCTATCCTTCCACCTCAGCCTCCCACGTAGCTGGGACTGCAGGTGCATGCCACCATGCCCAACTAATTTTTAAATTTTTTGTAGACACAAGGTCTTGCTGTGTTGCCCAAGGTGGTCTTGAATTCCTGGGCTGGAGATCCTCCCACCTTGGCCTCCCAAAGTGCTGGGATTACAAGCATGAGCCACCGTGCTGGCCCTGGAATCTTTTTTTTTTTTTTTCAAGACCAGGTCTTACTTTGGTTGCCCAGGCTGGAGCGCAGTGGCACGATCTTGGCTCACTACAGCCTCGACCTCCCGGGCTCAGGTGATTCTCCCACATCAAGCCTCCCGAGTAGCTGGGACTATAGGTGTGCACCATCATGCCCTGCTAATTTTTTGTATTTTTAGTAGAGAAGGGGTTTTGCCAGCTTGCCCAGGCTGGTCTCGAACTCCTGAGCTCAAGTGATACCATCCACCTCCGCCTCCCAAAGTGCTGGGATTACAGGTGTGAGCCACCATGCCTGGCCCACTGGGATTCTTTGATCATAAGATATTTGGGCCTTGAAATGGATTTTGGGGAGAGACTTAGAAACTAGTGGCAATCAAAATTGGATTTGCAGTTGGTTTCTAGGTGATGGCAGTGATCAGCTGCGGCCAGCCAGGTTTTTCTTCATCTGGACTGTGCCTCTCACTTTCAAATTTTTGGAACATTTGCTTTGGCAGCAAAACTTTTAAAAAACCAACTCTCTCTGGTGCAGGTGTTCTGTTGGAGGATTTGAGAGAAGCTTTAAAATTTTATCTTATTACTGTCCCTTGCTTAGGTCACAAGAGGAGCTCAAAATAATTTCATAAACATGAATTGGCTTCCCTAGACACAACAAAGGATAAGATCAAAAGAATTAACCCATTTAAAAAAATCAGTCTAGGCTGGTCCTAAGGTAGTGTGTTATCAATTGATCAAAGTCAGTTACAGATCGAACTCCTTGATCTACTCTTTCCTCCTGCTCACTACTGCACTTGACTAGTCCAAAACAATAAGTAAGTAGTAAAAAAAAGAAAAAAAGTCCGTCTATACACTGTAAAGTGCTGTGTAAATGTTCATAATTACTATCACTGTCTTCTTCATAGTTGATGGGGGGAAGGCTGGATACATAAAAAAATGGTAATACAGTAAGAAGTGCTCAGATAAGAATAAAGATAAAATGTTATGGAGAGTCCATTTTTGAGCTGAGCTATGGAGGATGAATTAATGTATCAGGTGGACAAGAGGAAAACTAGAGAAAATAGTCGGGAGAGTTGCCTAATTGTTGCCCTAAACTATTGAACTGTTCACTTGAAAAGGGTGAATTTTATGGTATGTAAATTACATGAGTAAAGCTCTTAAAAAAATTTGCAGGGTGCTATATACTAGATTACATAAGACTAGAGACAAAAGCTACCCAAATTTTGCATAGTACTCCATTGCTATCACATCCGATCTTGTTTTATCCTCACAGAGCCCCTTTAAGGTAGGTGTAATGCTGTTTTTCCTATTTTATAGATGCAGACATCAAGGGTCAAATTTGTCCCAAGGTCACATAGCTAGTAGATGGCACATTGGGTGCTTCAACTGCCATCTTCTGACTTCTGTGCCCTAGTTTTTTGAAATTCAAGGCTAGATTATTGGTGTTTAGCAAGCTTAATTGAATGGGTGTTCAGCAGATATTCCACTTGGTTAGTAGAGCAGTCTCATTCAAGGCCTGGTTCCGTCCCCAGTGTGGCTCTTCCAGTAGTCCGTAATAGATCAGGAATGGGTTTAGCCTGCTGGCCTGACCCCTGATTCAGTCACCACACTGTGAACATTCCATAGGGAAAAAACTGCAGACAGTGTATACTGGCACCCACTTTCATAGTTTTGTTTTAGTTTTGTGGCTCCTAAATGTCTAAGACTAACTAGTAATATGACCTTGGGTGAGTCACATAAAAAACCAGAAGCTAAAGGGGTTATCTGTAAAACGAAGAGTTGGACTAGCTGAGCACACCTAGCACTCAAAATATATGACTTAAACACCCACATGCAGGCAGGCCTGGTGCACACACAAATTATCCTTTGTTATGTAGATACGTTCATGCCAGGTTGGCTATAAAACACTTCCAGAGATTTCCGTCAATAGAAGTCAGACCAGCCCGGCAGCCTCCACCCTAAATGCCCTGCCATATTTGTTTGGTCTGCCTCCCTGACTCCAAAGAAGCAGCAGGCAGCTTAATCTCTGGACAGGATTCTTCATGCCACTCCCTCCACTCCAGCCTGTGTTGTCCTGACTGGCCAGGCCAGCCTCTGCTCTCTGGAGAAGCAATGAGGTAGGGAAGTTAACCAGCAAGCCCCTCTCCTCCATCGCCTCACTGGAGCTTGAGCTGGGTATCTCTCCATGTTTTGCCATTAGCTTTACCCATCCAGGACAGGGGCACAAGTGTTGGTGCCAAGCCCTGCACTCCCAGCTCTGGTGGATGGCCAAGTCCTACCCTGGGGTTGAGGACTGTCAGTGATACTGAGTAAGGGAGTCATTGCTTGACAACTGCCTAGAGAGATACTTTAAAAGATAGGAATGGGAGGCATTATTTCTACAAGTGAACAAGTTTATATTGAAGGAACACTTGTATAGGATCATCATGGATGGGACAGTTCATCTCCAGTGCATTCTCCAATTCTGAGGATACATCACTGCACAAACTGGACTAGAGTTTAAATGGTACAGAAGCTGGGGGTAGGGGAGGCAGGAGGACAAGGGGGATGGGTGGAGAATGCTTAACTTGGTGTTCAAAATCATGTTATTTATGAGCCATGTGACCTCAGAGTATCTTTGAGCCTGAGTTCACTTACCTGTAAAATTCTGCTGTGCTACTGCATAGAGTATCTGAGAAAATGAGGCATGCAGTCGATGTTTGGTATTTTTGTTTCATTTATTTATTTTACTGCCATGCCTCGAGAACAATAGATGTTCAGTAAGTATTTGAATATGTTAGTTAATGCTTTAGGATTTCCTAAAGGCAGTGGAATAGAATTCTCACTGAGTTCAGAGCTTTTCTGATAATAATGTGTGCTTATGGAGCTCCTGAATGGGGTCCAATTTAGCAGTTGCTATAGTTGCTGAGATATAGCACAAGGGGCATTTTTTTTTTTTTTAGATGGAGTCTCTCTCTGTTACCCAGGCTGGAGTGCAGCGGTGCGATCTCAGCTTACTGCAACCTCCGCCTCCCGGGTTCACGCCATTCTCCTGTCTCAGCCTGTAGCTGGGACTACAGGCACCTGCCACCATGCCCGGCTAATTTTTTGTATTTTTAGTAGAGACGGGGTTTCACTGTGTTAGGCAGGATGGTCTCGATCTCCTGACCTCGTGATCTGCCCACCTCGGCCTCCCAAAGTGCTGGGATTACAGGCATGAGCCACTGCACCTGGCCTAGAAGGGGCTTTTTTTTAACCTTTCCTGAACTGTTCCTATCGTTGAAAGAAGCTTCCCTATCCAGTCATTTTCTTAGTAATTAAACTCTAGAGCATGTTGTGAAATATCCATATGATCTAACCTTTAAAAATAGAAACTCTTTAGCTGTGTAACTACTAAATTCTGGGTAGAAGCCAAAACAATCAGCACTTCTCATTTCTGAACTTAGATAATCCAGTTGTACTCCCTCAGCTCATTGTGAGTTTTGACAAGTTCTGCATCCATGAACACCAGATGTAATACAATAGGGAATTTCAAAGGAAGGATTACACACCTAGGCTCTGCCCTCTAGGATTTTACCGTCTTACAAGGGAGTTGAGACAAAAGTGAGAAAATACTCTGGCAACTTCTCCCAACATCACAACTTTGCAATTCTCATAAATTTTGCTTGATCCTAGGGCATGACCAAGGCAGAGGCAGGCAGGTCCTACTTCATGTGGGAGAGAAGGAAGGAAGGGTAGGCAGTTAGAGTGATAGGTTTGGAATACTGTAGAAAGGAGAGTGGGCAGAGCCAGAGTGAGGTGTCTGAAGCTTGTCGCACAGGCAGTGGGAAGGGTGGGTTGGAGGTTTCTGAGCACCAGAAAACTTTGAGCATTGTTCCGGAAGAGGCAAGCGGCAGGCATCTGCACCAGAGACACTGCCGGGTCCGAGTGAGGGCAGGAGGCTGCACGAGGGAGCCTCCCTGGGAGTGAGCGATAGGTTCGCTATGGGAGGTGGGTTCGAAAGGTGCCTGAGATTTTCATTTGAAACTCTGTTGAAGAGGAATTGGCAATAGAGGAGGAAATACAAATAGAGGAAAGATTGGTTTCGTCTTAAGCACTGAGGCTGTTGGGCAGCTAGTGGAAAGTGCTGCTGGAGAGAAGCTGGAGATCACTGAAGCTGAGAGAGGGGTTTGTGGATATAATTAGAGCAGTGTTTCTAGGGAGGTGCAGGTGAAGGGACTGAGAGAGAGATGAGGTTAAAAACACAGAAGAGAAAGAGATGGAGGTGTGGAGGCCCCTGAGGTGGAGCAGCTGCAGAGGCAGGCCTGGGGGCCAGGAGGCTGGCTCTCCACTTTCAGCTGTTGGTGAGAAGGGAGTGAAGGCTGAGCAGCTCCCATTGTGCAGCTGTTGAGTGCACAGGTGCTCGTGCTCTTGCACACGGTGGGGTTTGGGGAGGGTGTGATGCTACAGGGAGGACTTTCATGATGCAGCTGATTCTCTTTTATTGAGAGTCTGTTTCTGGAGTCACCTGCTCTGTTTTGAATCCTGGCTTTGCCACTGTGACCTTGGACAAGTTGTTTAGCCTCAGTGCCTTCGTTTCTGCATCTGTAAAAGGGGTATAATAACGCCTCCCTCATCAAACTGTTGTAGGATTAATTGGGTTAACATATTGAGAGGTGACAGCGTGCTGGCAGTCCTCAGAGCCCTTGCTTGCTCTCGGCACCTCCCCTGCCTGGGCTCCCACTTTGGTGGCATTTGAGGAGCCCTTCAGTCCCCCACTGCACTGTGGGAGCCCCTTTCTGGGCTGGCCAAGGCCGGAGCCCACTCCCTCAGCTTGCAGGGAGGTGTGGAGGGAGAGACACGAGCAGGAACCGGGGCTGTGTGCGGCACTTGCGGGCCAGCTGGAGTTCCGGGTGGGCGTGGGCTTGGTGGGCCCCACACTCGGAGCAGCCAGCCAGCCCTGCTGGCCCCGGGCAATGGGGGACTTAGCACCCGGGCCAGTGGCTGCAGAGGGTGTACTGGGTCCCCCCAGCAGTGCCGGCCCACCGGCGCTGCGCTCGATTTCTCGCTGGGCCTTGGCTGCCTTCCCACGGGGCAGGGCTCGGGACCTGCAGCCCGCCATGCCAGAGCCTCCCACCCCCTCCGTGGCCTCCTGTGCAGCCTGAGCCTCCCCGACGAGCGCCACCCCCTGCTCCACGGCGCCCAGTCCCATCGACCACCCAAGGGCTGAGGAATGCAGGCGCACGGCGCAGGACTGGCAGGCAGCTCCACCTGCAGCCCCGGTGCGGGATCCACTAGGTGAAGCCAGCTGGGCTTCTGAGTCTGGTGGGGACGTGGAGAGTCTTTATATCTAGCTCAGGGATTGTAAATACACCAATCAGCACCCTGTGTTTAGCTCAAGGTTTGTGAGTGCACCAATCAACACTCTGTATCTAGCTGCTCTGGTGAGGACGTGGAGAACCTTTATGTCTAGCTCAAGGATTGTAAATACACCAATCAGCACCCTGTGTTTAGCTCAAGGTTTGTGAGTGCACCAATCGACACTCTAGCTGCTCTGGTGAGGACGTGGAGAACCTTTATGTCTAGCTCAAGGATTGTAAATACACCAATCGGCACTCTGTATCTAGCTCAAGGTTTGTAAACACACCAATCAGCACCCTGTGTTTAGCTCAAGGTTTGTGAGTGCACCAGTCGACACTCTGTATCTAGCTGCTCTGGTGGGGCCTTGGAGAACCTGTGTGTGGAAACTCTGTATCTAACTAATCTGATGGGGACGTGGAGAACCTTTGTATCTAGCTCAGGGATTATAAACGCACCAATCAGCACCCTGACAAAACAGGCCACTCGGCTCTACCAATCAGCAGGATGTGGGTGGGGCCAGATAAAAGAATAAAAGCAGGCTGCCCAAGCCAGCATTAGCAACCCGCCCGGGTCCTCTTCCATGCTGTGGAAGCGTTGTTCTTTCGCTCTTTGCAATAAATCTTGCTACTGCTCACTCTTTGGGTCCACACTGCTTTTATGAGCTGTAACACTCACCGCGAAGATCTGCAGCTTCACTCCTGAGCCCAGCGAGACCACGAGCCCACTGGGAGGAACGAACAACTCCAGACGCGCTGCCTTAAGAGCTGTAACACTCACCGCGAAGGTCTGCAGCTTCACTCCTGAGCCAGCGAGATCACGAACCCACCAGAAGGAAGAAACTCCGAAAACATCTGAACATCAGAAGGGACAGATTCCAGACGCGCCACCTTAAGAGCTGTAACGCTCACCGCCAGGGTCCGCGGCTTCATTCTTGAAGTCAGTGAGACCAAGAACCCACCAATTCCGGACACAATGTGAAGAGCATTTAAAATAGTGCCTAAGCCTAGGACACCGCCAGTGCTTTGTAAGTCTTTGGGTCCTGCTGGCTTAGGTTGCTTCTTTCGGCAGGATGACTTTTTTTTTGAGACCAGTTTTCACTTTGTTGTCCAGGCTGGAGTGCAGAGGTGCTATCTCAGCTCACTGCAGCCTCAACCTCCTGGGTTCAAGCTGATCTTCCCAGCTCAGCCTCCGGAGTAGCTGGGACTATGGGCATGTGCCACTAGGCTCGGCTAATTTTTGGCTGTTGTTGTTTTTGTTTGTTTTGTTTTTTTGTTTGTTTTTTGAGACAGTTTAGCTCTTGTTGCCCAGGCTGGAGTGTAATGGCACAATCTTGGCTCACCACAACCTCCGCCTCTCGGGTTCAAGCAATTCTCTTGCCTCAGCCTCCTAAGTAGCTGGGATTACAGGCATGCACCCCCCACACCTGGCTAATTTTGTATTTTCAGTAGAGACAGGGTTTCTCCATGTCGGTCAGGCTGGTCTCGAACTCCTGACCTCAGGTGATTCACCTGCCTCAGCCTCCCAAAGTGCTGGGATTACAGGTGTGAGCCACCGTGCCCGGCCTGTTGTTGTTGTTGTTTTTAAGAGACAGGGTTTCACTGTGTTGCCCAGGCTGGTCTCAAACTCCTGGGCTCAAGCGACCCACCTGCCTTGGCTTCCCAAAGTGCTGGGATTATAGGCGTGAGCCACCACTTCCAGCCAGGATGACTTTTTTTTTTTTTTTTTTTTTTTTTTTGGTCTTCTCTGCTGTGTCTCTAGAAGATGACCTTTTGAGAAGCAAACCTGAATGTTGATTCAAGCCCAAATTTCCTGGGCTCAGGTGTTAATTTTTTAAGTCTTTGGAACCTCTTTGCCGAGGTCTCAAGCAGGTAGAAGACATTAATAATAATTCCTTATATTTGATTGCGTGGTGCTCTGTAGTTTACTGAGTACTTACTATATATGTACAGATAGGCCCTTATTTGATCTTCACAGGAACCTGTGAGGTAGGCAGAGCTTATGAGCTTCATTTCCCAGGTAGGAAAACTCCTACGTGGTTACGTAACCTGCTCCAGGTGTGATCCCAGGTGCAATCCAGCTCAACAAGCACACTGAGCCTCAGGAGCTCTTGGGATCAGAACCCAGGACTCGATCCCACTCCGTGCCGCCTTCTCACCCACCCCTCTTCCACCAAGTGGGTGGAAATAGCACTTGCTTTGAAATAAGTAACGAATGATCTTTGTGAAAAGGAACCTAAACAGCAGTGGGCCATCTTTATTCACATCTATAGTACCAAGTGCTGAGTAAGGGGATTTTAGACTCCAGACACCCGTCCTGTTTGTCAGGCCAGAGCTGCAGTGTGTTGACTGCACATCTGTCTCTTGTCACTCCTGCTCCTGTGGGTAACCAGCCAGAGTGCCCCTGAGGCAGAGACAGGCCAATCCCTGGAGAGTTCTGCGAGGTCTAGGGAAGAGTTCTTTGTATTTAAAATTTCATGTGAACTTCAGCAGTTTCCTCTGCCTCTGTAGTCAGCTTTTGCCTTTTCAAACTTTAGTTAGATGGATAATGACTTTTACTCATTAGGACTTTTTTCCATTAGTTGGAAACCCAGAGTTGCAATACGTTTCTTTTTTCCTTAGAATCACCGGGTTTATGGGAATAACAATTGGGATTCTCTTTATATAAAAATAGTGGTGGAATCTTGGCACAGGGTTCATATGTGGCTTTGTTGAAGGCTTGTTGTCACTTCCTTATTTGTATAATTTCCCTCCTTTGTGGCCTAAACATGACTTTCAAAGAGTCAAGAGGAGTTAAGTCCTAATTTTTATTTTAGAACATCTGAAAAATGAATTCAGAGAAAAGTGATATTGATGCCTTGGATTTCCCCACACATACAAATCCCAATCTCCTGCTGACTTTTTCTCATGTTTTTGGGCTTCAGGGACTGTTGTGGGATTTGTATTTTGATACTGAAGGACCAACACAGACTGACTTAGCTTCTTGCCTGTGTGCAGGTCATGTGCCACTGTCACTGGAGAGAATTTCATGTTGTGACTTCTGTTCAGATTTGTTTTTTTTTTATGGCTTTCCCATCAGGGTTCTTGGGAGCCATGGCTGCTTCTTGATATCTTCTGTTTCCCTGTAGAACAGACGATTGCAGGCCCGGGGCCCTGGCAAGCTGGGCCCTCTGTGGCTTTCTGAGTCCATTGTGAGGCAGAGGATCAGGTGCGTTTTGGGCAGCAGCCTTCAGAGCAAGGCACTGACCTGATGATTCACACTGACCCCTCCCCTCCGCTGAATTTTCTGACAACCTTGTGACTCTCACATGGGAAATGTGAGTGGTTTTTGAGAAATCTTTACATAAGAGGTTTTAAAATTTTCTTTTGAGATTGCCTCGGTGTTTTTCCTTAAAGTTAGCACATTCTTTGCTTTCTACTTCAGCCTCAAGGACAGGAAGTTCATTCTCGCTCTTTACATTGGGGTGTTGATGTTTGTGGTTTTGTTGTTTTGTTCTTCATGTTACTCATGATGTATTGATATTAATTAACCTAAATACATATGGAAATATTCTTTCATTACTTAGAGCTTATATAGTTCCTGGTGCAGATGTGCAAAAATAGTGCTTTAGTAATTGCTAAGTCACTATCTTGCTTTTCTCTCTACTGTGATTGAGTATTTCTTACATGGAACTATAGCTTCCTCTTATCAACAAATAAGCAGGAAATAGAAATTATGTAAATAAGCAATTTCCATTACCTACTTCACTGACTTGACAAATAGGCATTTGGTCTGCTTTAATTAATATTTTTCAAAATGTTAAGTGCCTGTTGCTGTTACTTAATTTTGCAGGTAGCATTGGAAGTTTCTGTGATTGTACTTGAGTGGGCACTTCTTGTTGAAATTTACCATTGAGACCCTGGTAACACTGAAGTTTGTGTTGACTTTCTGTAGGTGTTTTCACAGTCCTGTGTTTGGTATGGAGAGTGTGGAATTGCATATGGGGACAAGAGGTACAATTGCGAATATTCTGGCCCACCAAAACCATTGCCAAAGGATGGATATGACTTAGTGCAGGTAAGTTCATTATCTTAGGCACTGGGAACACAAAATGCTGATCACAAGATCCTCTGTAATTATTCCTTAAATGTTATTGCAGGGTGGAGGTGGAGATGAGACTAACAGGCTTAAGTCTTATCCCGGACTCTCAAACTCTAACCTGTGGCATACAGTGCAGAGAAAGAACACCGTAACTCCAAAGGCTTAATTTTTCAGGGGCTGACTTTATACCTCTCATAAAGTTTCCCAATAGCAGGTTGCTATTTAGAGACTGACCTTGGTACTTCGTATGTTGCCCTTGCAGCATCTGCAAAATATATTAGAAGTTAGCTGGTTTTGATTCCTAGATTTCAGGACTCAAATGGACTCTGTTGCTAAGTGGCTTTGACGTCCTTGTCCCCTGGTCATTTCAGTGTTTTCTCTGTGTTCCACTGAGAGCCTGTGAATTTTGGCTGCTACCAGGATTCTGATTCCTGTTCTTTTTTTACCATCCTGTGATACACAGGGATATTAGAACTGGAAAAATCATGTGAAAAGCCTGGTTTTAGAGGCTTAAAGTAATCAAAAGTCAAGTCGACATGATAACAGAGTTCCTAGGCTCACTTGTTCGTTTCTTTTCTGTTTTTGAGACAGAAGGAGCCTTGCTCTTTTATCCTGGCTGAAGGCTAGAGTGCAGTGGCACAATCACGGCTCACTGTGTCCTCGACCTCCTGAGCTCAAGCAATCTCTCAACTCAGCGTCCCAAGTAGCTGGGACTACAGGCACATGCCACAACCCCTGGCTAATTTTTTAAAAATTTGGGGAGATGGGGCTTCACCATGTTGCCTAGCCTGGTCTCAAACTCCTAGGCTCAAGCAATCCACCCTCCTCAGCCTTCCTAAGTACTGGGAGTACAGGCATGAGCCACAGTACCTGTCCTCACTTGCTGCTTTCATCATAATTATTAAAGGTTTCAACTTTCCCTGGAATTACTAATAGAAATAGTAAGTAGCACTCTGGTTGAATTGAATCAAACAAACAAAAAACCCTAAGAAGACATAAAATGATTGTCAGGAGAGGAGAGAAAGCTTCCAAATAAAAAGAAAATTAGAAACATCTCTACTTGTGAATAAATAGTAAATGTGTAGCCTTTTAAAATAATTCTATAATAACTTTGCAAATACAGGATGTGTCTTACCCTTTTGTACTTCAAAAGGATTACATGAATGAATGTGTCTTAGTTCACTGAGGAATGTTGACCTTACTCTAACTGTTGCCTACTCCCGTGTCTGTGCTCTTTCACCTGAAAGGAACTCTGTCCAGGATTCTTCTTTGGCAATGTCAGTCTCTGTTGTGATGTTCGGCAGCTTCAGACACTAAAAGACAACCTGCAGCTGCCTCTACAGTTTCTGTCCAGGTAGGTTCTGCTGGGGAAACAGAACAACTGGGCTGTAGATACTTGTGAACTGGTAATGCTCAGCTTTCCATTTATTCTTTGTTTACATATTTTTATTTATTATATGTCTATATTATATGTATATTATATATTTATACATATATGTATACATGTAAAGTAGGTGAATATATATTTATGTATTAAAAATACATGTATGTATAATGTGTATGCATGCGTGTGTGTATAATAGAGACAGAGTCTCACTCTGCTGCCCAGGCTAGAGTGCAGTGGTTTGTGGTGTGATCACAGCTCACTGCAGCTTAAACTTCCTAGGCTCCAGTGATTGTTCTACCTTAGCCTCCTGAGTAGCTAGGACTACAGGCATGCACTACCATGTCTAGCTAATTTTATTTATGTTTTTCTTTATTTTTTTTTTTTTTTGAGACAGACTCTTGCTCTGTCACCGAGGCTGGAGTACAGTGGCATGATCTCAGCTTACTGCAACCTCCTCCCGGGTTCAAGCGATTCTCCTGCCTCAGCCTCCCCAGTAGCTGGGACTGCAGGCACATGCCACCACACCTAGCTAAGTTTTATATTTTTAGTAGAGGTGGGGTTTCACCATGTTGGCCAGGCTGGTCTCAAACTCCTGACCTCAAGTCATCTACCCGCCTCAGCCTGGTTATTACAGGCTGGGATTACAGGCATGAGCCACTGCACCTAGCCTAATTTTTATTTTTTTCTAGAGATGAGGGTCTCACTATGTTGGCCAGGCCTGGTCTCAAATGATCCTCCCACCTTAGCCTCCCAGAGTGCTGGATTATAGGTGTGAACCACAGTTCCCAGCCAGTTTTTTTTTTTTTTTAAAGTCAGTTTTTGTTTTGTTTTAAGAAAGCACTCTTACAATTTGTCAGAAATAAAGAGAAAAACAATAATTACCAGACTTGGTTCACTTCCCAGTTGCATTCAGAGTTGATGCTTGGTTTCCTCTGCGATGTTCTCACCCTGCAGGGTGTCTGCACTGCGGCCAGGCTCCTTTCAAACTTGAGCTGTGCACTGTGGGGAAGAGAGGTTCCTAGGGGTCCTGCTCAGGTGCCTGGCCTGAGACTCTCATCATGCAGTCCTTCCTCTCCCCCCATGCTTTGCTTTGCACATCATTCTTGTCCCTCCCTCTGGTGAAGGGTTGTGATAGAGTCAGGTCCTCAGTAGAGCCGGCCTCGGGGAGCTGTTAAAAATTTTGTTCTGCTGTAGCTGGCTGGTTTTGTCAAACTTAGTTTTTTATCTGTTCTGTTGGCTATGACCCTGAGCAGTGAAAAAGGGCTTGGTAATAGATGTTCTTCTCTAGGCCTAGCCAGCAATTCTCAAATATGCAAAAGAGCAAGCTGGTAGTGGTCTTTAGAACAGCAGATTGTGGTATCTTTCTAAATTTTTCAGACTTCAGCACACTGATAAAGATGTTTGGGAAGCAAATATTAAAAAGGGAAAATGCTTCTCTGCACAAATATCACTGCAGGTGGTGATAGGGCACAAGTTGGCTTCCAGTGAAGAAATTCTGCTTCTTACCAAAAGTTAACAATAGAGAATGGAAAACCACCACTAAATTGTTTTTTCAGAACAACAAAAGTTGAGGCTGTAATTGGGCCAGCATATCCTATGAAAGGCTTGTGAACATTGATGGAACCAAATTGGAGCCTTGTACACTCAGTCAAAACACATTTATTTAGGATCCACCGTAGGTGAGGCATTATGGACATACGGACATAAACATAAAAAGATAGCCAACCTTTCTCCATATTATCAGAGGTACCAAAGCTTGATTTATAATAGCAAACAGGAGAAACAACCTGATATTTGGAAAAATATACAGCTGTCAAAATTAGTGATTGTGGGCATTAAATGTAGTAACATGGAAAAGGTTTGAAAACTGTGTACCCCAAGAGTGATTCCTATTAGAATAATACAATTGTGGTTTCTGGCTTTGTTGCAGTAAAGCAGTGGGGCTCCTGAAAGAAAGAGAGTCTGTGCTTCTCTGTCTCCTTCACTAGAACAGAGACTCTTGAAGGCCAGGACACACTTTTTTCATTCTTTGTCTTACATGGTCACTGGGACTGAATCGGAGTCTAAAGTAATCTTGATTGCAAGAATGCAAGTCTAATGAAACAGCTTTTGCAAGTAACAGTGGACCAAAGGGAAAAGAGAGCTCTTTTATCATGTAACAAGTCAACATTAGGAGCTTAAACTTTGAACCTGAAGGATAGCAGGCAGCTTATGGTTCTTGTGCAGTTGTGTGCTCCTGAAGTGCATGCAGCCAGAGAACAACATTGCTGTTCTCTATCTTTACAAACCATGGGGATTTCTCCTTGTGTTTCAGGAGGGCCTAGTGATTTTCCGGGGCTTGAAAGAAAACCTTTCAATAGGTTATAAGATGAAGATTCTCATAATTCTCATTATTTTATTTTCTTCTTAATCAAAACTGTCAGCTGGTGCAGCGCTCATGTCGATAATCCCAGCACTTTGGAAGGCCAAGGCAGGAGGGTTGCTTGAGTTTAGGAGTTTGAGACCATCCTGGGCAACACAGACCCACATCTCTACAAAAACATTTTAAAAATTAGCCAGGTGTGGTGGTGTGCACCTGTAGTCCTAGCTACTTGGGAGGCTGAGGTGGGAGGATTGCTTGAGCCTAGGAGCTCAAGGTTACAGTGAGCTGTGATCACACCACTGCACTCAGCCTGGGCGACAAAGTGAGACCCTTTCTCAAAAAATAATAATAATTGTCTTCCTGATGCTCCAAAGTCCCTTTACTCTAGGTCAGAGAATGTATGTCTCTAAATTATAAAGTGCAGAATTCAGAGAAGCATCTCTCTCTTTTTGAAATTATAATTGGACACAATAAATGCAGAAAGTAATTAGGGCATTTTTTAAAGGTGTGCCTTTATTTTAACATGAAGTTTTAAGTTTAGAATTGCTGGTTTTTAATATGTTCTCTTGGTAATTTGTCACTTTACAGTAAGTTTAAAATATTCTTTGTCTATTTAAAATCGTTCTTGCTGGCCCTATTATGTGTGAGATCATGCAGAATATAATTTACTTTTCCTTTAGATGTCCATCCTGTTTTTATAACCTACTGAACCTGTTTTGTGAGCTGACATGTAGCCCTCGACAGAGTCAGTTTTTGAATGTTACAGCTACTGAAGATTATGTTGATCCTGTTACAAACCAGACGAAAACAAATGTGAAAGAGTTACAATACTACGTCGGACAGAGTTTTGCCAATGGTAAGTAAACTTTTAATTATTCCTCTTTTACAGCTGGCATCAGGACAGCAGAGCAAATTGTTCCTTTTAGTTGTCCTGTCAACTCTGGAAAATCACAATTTTCAGTTCCATTGGCCAGGAAATAAGAGTTGTTGCTTTGCTTGTATCCTAGGACTTGAACTGCAACGAATATAAAAATCTCCTTAAAGCGCTTGCTTTAACTCCCCCTAACTTTAACTTCCCACATGGAAAATTTTAGTATGTGCAAGTTTGCATCCATACACTTCAGTAACCATTGGATCTTTGACTCTAACAGACATGAGTTGTGTAATGTCATAAATTACTGCAAGACTGAGAAGATAGAACTGTTAATAGTTGGCAGAGAAGAGGTCATGACTTGCAAGAATCAGATCACCATAAAGGAAAGTCAGCAGGTCTAACAGATAGCAGAAATGATCCCCCAGCATTGACCAACATACAACATTTAATTATAATGACAAAGTAAAAAGGTAACAAAAAAATTCCATAGAAAAAAGGTCTCATTCACAAAAGCAACAAAAAATAAGGCACTTAGGAATCCAAAAGATGTGACATACAAGGCAACCTGACTGAATGGAGAGAGGTCATTTTGTCCAGAAACAGAAGCCTGCATGTATGGAAAGTGGATGTGTAACACGTGTGTCATTACAAATCATTGAGAGAAAAGGTGGGCTAGTTGATAAATGAGATGAGAAAATAGATTATATTTATCTAATTTTAATTTTTACAGAAAATAAAAAAATCAATTGTGTAGATTAAAAATCCCAATTGGAAAGTTTTAGAAGTAAATATGGAAAGATTTCTAGACAGGAGAGGAAAAGCAGAAACCATAAGAAAAATATTTATGAATATAAACAACTGTTATCTAGAGCAGACAGCGAAATGCAAATTTGAACAGTAAACTACCATTTCACACCTCATCAGCTTGGCACAAATTAAAAAGTTGGTCAATTTCAACTGTGGGTGAAAATGTGAAGCAATAGGAATACTAATGTACTCCACCACTTACAACCATAATTTGGTACAATCGTTTCAAAACTACTTGAAAAACAACTTTGCAGTACGTAGTAAGTTGAAGCTAACCCTCCTCCCAGAAATTTCACTTATAGATGCCTGCCTTAGAGAAACTCTAAATGCATATAAACCTGGAGACCCATATAAGAACACCCACTGTAACACTATTGTGATTGTGAAAAATTGAAGACCTCAAGAACGAGAAGACAAGACACAGACTGGGAGAAAGTATTTGCAAAAGACATGTTAGTAAGGACTGTTATTCAAAATATACAAATAACTCCTAAAACTCAATAAGAAAGCAAACAGCCCAATTGAAAAATGGACAAAACAACCTGAACAGATACCTCACCAAAGAAGGCATACAGTGGTAAATAAGTACATGAGAAGAGATGCTCAACATTATGTCATTAGAGAATTACAAATTAAAACAACGAGATACCACTACACATCTATTAGAATGGCAAAAATTCAAGACGCTTTCAACACCAAATGCTGGCAATGAGCTCTCATTCATTGATGGTGGGAGTACAAAACGGTACAGCCACCTTGGAAGATAATTTAGCGGTTTCTTACAAAACTAATCATACTCCTTGGTATTTACCCAAATGAGTTAAAAATGTGTCTACCCCAAAACCTGCACGTGGATATTTGTAGCAGCTTTGTCCATAAGTGCCAAAACTTGTAAGCCACCAAGATTTCTCTCAGTAGGTGAATGGGTAAATAAACTGCTACATCCACACAGTGGAATATTATTTGGTGCTAAAAAGCCATGAAAATTCAGTGCTATCAAGCCATGAAAGTACATGGATGAACCTTAAATCCTATTACTAAGCAAAGCCAATCTGAAAAGACTACTCACTATGATTCCACTATATGACGTTCTACAAAAGGCAAAACCGTGGAGACAGTAAAAAGTCAGTGATTGCCATGGGTTAGGAGAGAGGAAGGCATAAGTAGAGCACAGAAGATTTTTAGGTGGTGAAAATACTCTATATGATACTATAATGGTGGTTACATGTTTATATGACATTTTGAAACAAAAGTACTACATACTTAAAACAAGTACACAAACATGCATGGGAAGGATAAACATCAAATTCAGGATTGTGTTTACCTTAGGGAAGGGGCTACTGTCAGGGAGGGGTAATTGGGGAGCTTCAACTGAATCTATAGAGTGTGTGTGTGTGTGTAAGTATTTTATTTTTTGGAAGAGACGGGCCTCACTGTGTTGGTGAGGCTGGTCTTGAACTCCTGGCCTTAAGTGATCCTCCTGCCTCGGCCTGCCAAAGTGTTGGGACTGTAGGTGTGAGCCACCACACCTGGCCTATAGTGCATTATTATTTTTATTTAGTTTTTAAATTATGCCATAGCCAGTTGTTCTGAATAGTGCAGTACTACAAAACAGAGTCAAGGTCTCATGCTGTCACCCAGGCTGGAATACAGTGATGCAATCATGGCTCACTGCAGCCTCAACCTCCTAGGTTCAAGTAGTCCCCCTGGGTAGTTGGAACCACAGGCATATGCTACCACACCTAGCTAATTAAAAACAAATTTTTTTTTGTAGAGATAGGGTCTTGCTTTTTTGCCCAGGCTGGCCTCAAACTCCTGGCCTCAGGAGATCTTCCCACAGTGCTGGGATTACAGGTGTGAGTCACTGCACCTGGCCGAGTCCATTATTTTTTTAATGTTGAGGCAAATGTTGTGAAATGGTATGACTGATAGTTAACTGGGTAATGAGGAAATGAGAATTGTATTATTCTCCATGTGTTTTGTATGCTTGAAACATAAAATAAAACCTGAAAACCAAATGGTGAGCTGGAAGATACGAGGGAATTACTCAGAAAACAGCATACAGATACAAAGACCTATAAATCATTAAAGAAATGACATATAACATGAGAAGCTCCAGAGAGTTGGGGAGAGACAATAATAATCAAAGGGATAATGAGGATTTTCCAGAGTGGATAAGGGATGAACCCTGAGAACTTAGAGAAAATTCAGCATACAAAAATCAGTTGTATTTCTGTACACTTGCAATGGACAATCTCAAAGTGAAAATAAAACAATTCCATTTACTTTAGTATGGGAAATACTTAGGAGTAACTATAACAGAAGGCAAAACACTTTAAAGAACAGCCGGGTGCAGTGGCTCACACCTGTAATCCAAGCACTTTGGAAGGCCGAGGCAGGCAGATCACAAGGTCAAGAGATTGAGATCATCCTGGCCAACATGGTGAAACCCCATCTCTACTAAAAATATAAAAATTAGCTGGGCGTGGTGGCGCTCGCTTGTAATGCCAGCTACTTGGGAGGCTGAGGCATGAGAATCACTTGAACCTGGGACGCGGTGGTTGCAGGAGCTGAAATTGTGCCACTGCACTCCAGCCTGGCTGACAGAGCGAGACTCCATCTCAAAAAAAGAAAAACAGAAAAAACACACTAAAGAACATTATTCAGCGAAATTAACGAGGATCTAAATAAATGGAAAGACATTCCATGTTTATCAATCAAAAGACTTAATATTGTTTAGATATCAGTATTCTCCAAATTGTTTTATAGATTCAGGGCAATCTCTGTTATAATCCCAACTGACTTCTTTGTGGAAATTGACAAGCTGATTCTGAAATTCACATAGAAGTTTGAGGGACTTAGAATAGTAAAACAACCCTGAAAAAAGAACAAAATAGGAAGACTCACACTTCTCAGTTTCAAAACTAAGCAATGGAAATCAAGACAGTGGTACTGGAATAAAGATAGACATATAGATCAATGGAATATAACTGAGAATAAATAATATATCTATGGTCAACTGATTTTTGACAAGGGTGCCAGGGCCATTCAATGAGAAAAGAATACTCTTCATCAAATGGTGCTGCAATAACTGGATACACACATGCAAAAATAAATAAATAATAATGAAATTGGGCCCTACTTCACACCATATGTTAAAGAAATTAACTCAAAGTGGATCGAAGACCTAAATGTAAGAGCTAAAAACTATAAAACAATAAAACATAGGGATTAATTTGCATGGCCTCATATTTGGCACTTGATTCTTAAATATGACACCAAAAACAAGAGCAATAACAGAAGAAAAGATTAATTGGACTTCATTAAAATAAAAAAGTTTGTATTTCAGAGGACGCCATCAAGAAAAGACAAGAAGGCCGGGCACAGTGACTCACACCTGTTATCCCAGCAGTTCGGGTGGCTGAGGCAGGAGGATTGCTTGAGCCCGGGAGTTCAAGACCAGCCTGGGTGACAAAGTGAGACCCTGTGTCTACAAAAAATAATTAGCCAGGCATGGTGGCATGTACCTGTGGTCCCAGCCACATGGTTATCTGAGGCAGGAAGATTGCTTGAGCCTAAGGAGGCTGCACTAAGTACCTCGCACTCCAGCCTGGGTGACAGAGTGAGACTCTGTCTCAAAAAAAAGGACAAGAATATATTTGCAAATTGTATATTTGATAAGGGACTTGTATCTAGAATACATAAAGAACTCTTGGCCGGGCGCTGTGGCTCATGCCTGTAATCCCAGCACTTTGGGGGGCCAAGGCGGGTGGATCACCTGAGGTCAGGAGTTCGAGACCAGCCTGGCCAACATGGTGAAACCCTGTCTCTACTAAAATAGAAAAATTAGCCAGGTGTGGTGATGTGCGCCTGTAATCCCAGCTACTCAGGAGGCTGAGGCAGGAGAATTGCTTCAGCCTGGGAAGTGGAGGTTGCAGTGAGCTGAGATCACACCATTGGACTCCAGCCTGAGGGACAGAGACTCCATCTCCAAAAAAAAAAAAAAAAAACTCTTACTACTCAATGATAAATAAATAACCCAATTTAAAATGGCAAAAGATCTGAATAGAGTAGACATTTCTCTAAGGAAGATATACAAATGACCAACAAGCACATGAGAGATGCTCAATACTATGAGTCATCAGGGAAATACAAATCAAAACCACAATGAGATACCACTTCACACCCACCAGGATGGCTAGAATCAAAGTCACATAACAAGAAGTGTTGACAAGGCTGTGGAAAATAGGAACCTTTATTAAAAAGAAATCCAAAAACCAAAAACAGCTGGGCACAGTGGCTCATGCCTATAATCCAGCACTTCGGACGGCCAAGGCAGGTGGATCACCTTAGCTCAGGAGTTTGAGACCAGCCTGGGCAGCATGGTGAAACTCCATCTCTACAAAAACTTAGCTGGGTATGGTGGTGCACATCTGTAGTCCCAGCTACTTGAGAGGCTGAAGTGGGAGGATCACTTGAGCCTGAGGGGCAGAGGTTGCCAGTGAGCTGAGATCACACCACTGCACTCCAATCTGTGTGACAGAGTGAGACCCCACTTTGGAAAACAGTTTGGCAGTTCCTGAAACAAACATAGAACTACCATATGACCCATCAGTTCCACTCACAAGACGAAAGTATAGGTCAACACAAAAACTTATACACAAATGCTTCTAGCAGCATTACTGATAATAGCCAAACTGTGGAAACAACTCAGATATTTATCACCTGATATATGGATAAACAAAACATATGTCCTTGCAATGAAATGTTGTTCGGCCGTAAAAAGAAATGAAGTATTGATACATGCCACAATATGCATGAACCTTGAGAACATTATGCTAAATGAAAGAAGCCGGTCATGAAAGACCACATATTATATGATTGGATTTATGTGAACTGTCTGAAATAGTCAGATAAATAGAGACAGTTCAGTGGTTGCTTAGGGCTTAGGGAAGTAGGGAGGTAGTTGTGCATAGCTAGAATACAGGATTTCTTTTGAGGTGATGAAAATGTTATAAAATTGACTATGGTGATAGTTGCATATATCTATGAATATGCTAAACTCCATTAAATTATATAGTTTAAGGGGGTAAATTGTAAATTACATGTAATTATATTGTAAATTATATAGCGCCACCACACCTGGCTAATTTTTTTTTATTTTTTTATTTTTTGTAGAGACGGGGTTTTGCCATATTGCCCAGGCTGGTCTGGACCTCCTGAGCTCTGGCAGTCCACCCACCAGGGCCTCCCAAATTACTGGGATTAAAGGTGTGCATAACCACCCCTGGCCCAAAGACAAATATCTTAAAAGCAAATAGAGACAAGACACAAATCACCTTAAGACAATGATAATTGGAGATTTTCTTACCAGCCATGATAGAGCCTGGAAGGCAATGGAATAATCTGTTGAGAATTCTGAGGGAGATGACTGTCACCCTAGTTAACCTGTCTTTCCAGAACAAGGGTAAAACAAAATGAATGTGTAAGCATCTCCTTGAAGATTAGGGAAAGAAGATCCTGGGAAGTTTCTAGCAAGCAGAGACTGGTAAATGAGAATCGACAGTACAGGACCCATTCCAGCTATTTTCTTAGGTGTAATACACTGATACTATCCTTATATAATGTGTTGTGTGTATGTGTAAGAAAATAAAATCCAAAAAGATAACAGTATTAGGGGTTTTTTTTGTTTTTTTTTTTTGTTTTTTTGTGATGGAGTCTTGCTCTGTCACCCACGCTGGAGTGCAGTGGCGCAATCTTGGCTCACTTCAAGCTCTGCCTCCCGGGTTCATGCCATTCTCCCGCCTCAGCCTCCCGAGTAGCTGGGACTACAGGCGTCCGCCACCACGCCCGGCTAATTTTTTGTATTTTCAGTAGAGATGGGGTTTCACTGTGTTAGCCAGGTTGGTCTCCATCTCCTGACCTGGTGGTCCGCCCACCTCGGCCTCCCAGAGTGCTGGAATTACAGGTGTGAGCCACCGTGCCCGGCCAACAGTATTAGGTTTATTGACACGTGACCTCTGCTCTAAAACCAGTTTTCCAAGTAAGTTCCATAATTCTCTGGCTGTGTAGCTTCCTGCGGCAGAGGTTTTCTGGAACCAGCTTTGTTAACTGAAGAAGTACTGAGGCTCTTAGCTGCGTCTTCCTGGGCCTTGGTATACTCTTCTATATAGTGGGGATTTGACTTCTCCAAGCTGTTGTGAGAGCTATGAGATAACGTGTGCCTTTCCCTTTCCTGTCTGTTTTTTACTTTTAAGTTACTTGGAATCGGGCCTCCATATTATTTGCAGGGTGATAAGCCAATTTAAAGGGAATCTCTGTTCGTGCCCTTAGTTAGTGTTTGCTGTCCAGCATTCCAGCATGGTGCATATGGAGTTCGTGTTTCCCTTCAAGAGGCCTTTTGTAAGATCTTGCCTCGTGAATTACAGCAAGCATCTTGTCTCCTTTTTCCTTTGGGTTTCCTCTTCTAGCAATGTACAATGCCTGCCGGGATGTGGAGGCCCCCTCAAGTAATGACAAGGCCCTGGGACTCCTGTGTGGGAAGGACGCTGACGCCTGTAATGCCACCAACTGGATTGAATACATGTTCAATAAGGACAATGGACAGGCACCTTTTACCATCACTCCTGTGTTTTCAGGTAGGTATAAAGATTCCAAGTTTGGTGTGTTTATGATATTGTTTTAAAGCCAAGGAACTGGCTGGGCACAGTGGCTCACCAGTGCTTGGGGAGACTGAGGCAAGAGAATTGCTTAAGACCAGGAGTTCCAGACCAGCCTGGGCAATGTAGTGAGGCCCCATCTCTATGAAAGAATTAAACATTAGCCAGGTGTGGTGGCATGCATCTGTAGTCCCAGCTACTTGGGAGGCTGAGGCAGGAGGATTGCGTGGGTCCAGGAGTTCAAGGCTGCAGTGAGTTACGATCATCCCATTGTACTCCAACCTTGGTGAGGGCAAAGCCCTGTCTCTCCATGAATGAATGAATGAATCTTAGTTGAGGAAGCATAATCTACAATAGGAAGATAAACACATTCAGGTAACTAGTTCATAGTTTCTCCCAGTAAGAGAGGTAACTGGTACATTTATCCTGCTGTGGCTAATTTAGGGGGTGCTGGGAGTGGGAATGGAGGAGGAAATGAATTGCCTTCAGGCATTGCTGTCATAATTGAAAGAATAAGCAGTTAAAAAGGGGGTGGGAGGCAGCTTTTCTAGAGCTCTGCTATAGTATTAGCTCCTGAGAATGGAGATGGGACATGATTGAAGGGTTGCCTTGGTATGTGGTGTACTTGGAGGATTCCTCTATCAGTGACAAACCCCTACGCGCAAGTTTATTGAGGTAACTTAAAATTCCATAGGACGAAGCAGCAAAACATAATTTAATTAAACTAAAACCTCCAATTCTTTTTCTTCTTTCAGTTGTTTTATGTATTTCAGTGGGCTTTTCTTTGAGTTTAAGTATAATACAAAATTTTGGATGTTTTTAATTGAGATTTGTACTCAACACAATTCCTTTCTGTAGATTTTCCAGTCCATGGGATGGAGCCCATGAACAATGCCACCAAAGGCTGTGACGAGTCTGTGGATGAGGTCACAGCACCATGTAGCTGCCAAGACTGCTCTATTGTCTGTGGCCCCAAGCCCCAGCCCCCACCTCCTCCTGCTCCCTGGACGATCCTTGGCTTGGACGCCATGTATGTCATCATGTGGATCACCTACATGGCGTTTTTGCTTGTGTTTTTTGGAGCATTTTTTGCAGTGTGGTGCTACAGGTAAGCAGTTTTGTTTGTCATCCAGGGCAAAAAGAGCAAAATTGCCCACTGGCACTTTGAGCTTTCATTTGTCAGAGCTTGGTTACTTAGGACAAGAAACAAATACCTCCATGAATACCATTGCATGGATTATTGTGTCCTACAGCTATTCTATAGTAAACCATCAAAGTTCTGTTTAACACTGCAACATCTGAAATGAATTTTACTGATTTATTCAAAATGATGTGTGATTTAAAGCACTGTGCATTAGCCACTGATTCTTTTTTTTTTTGGAGACTGAGTCTCACTCTTGTCGCCCAGGCTGAAGTGCAGTGGTGTGATCTCAGCTCACTGCAACCTCCACCTCCCAGGTTTAAGCAATTCCCCTGCATCAGCCTCCTGAGTAGCTGGGATTACAGGCATCCGCCACCATGCCTGCATGCCTGACTAATTTTTGTATTTTTAGTAGAGACGGGGTTTCACCGTGTTGGCCAGGCTGATCTCCAACTCCTGACCTCAGGTGATCTGCCCGCCTTGGCCTCCCAGAGTGCTGGGATTACAGGAGTAAGCCACCGTGCCCAGCCGGCCACTCATTCTTTAGAAAGTCAGAGTCAAGGCCAGGCTCAGTGGCTCACACCTGTAATCCCAGCACTTTAGGAGGCCAAGGCAGGAGAATCATGAGGTCAGGAGTCCATTGCAAACAGCCCTGGCGACAGTGCGAGACTGTGTCTCACCAAAAAAAAAAAAAAAAAAAAAAAAGTCAGAGTCAAATGAGCGAAATCAGATTCAAATCTAATTAAATGGAGTACTATAGTCCTTTTAGATATTTGCATCTTAATTTAGGACAGTACTTTTTTTACTTTTTATTTTGAAATAATTGTAGACTTAACCAAAAAGTTGCAAAATGGTAGAATTTATGTGTATCCTTAACCCAGTTTCCCCGATGATACAACTTACATAACTCATAGTACATCTAGAACTAGAAATACCATTTGACCCAGCCATCCCATTACTGGGTATATACCCAAAGGATTATAAATCATGCTGCTATAAAGACACATGCACACGTATGTTTATAGCGGCACTATTCACAATAGCAAAGACTTGGAACCAACCTAAATGTCCAACAACGATAGACTGGATTAAGAAAATGTGGCACATACACACCATGGAATACTCTGCAGCCATAAAAAATGATGAGTTCATGTCCTTTGTAGGGACTTGGATGAAACTGGAAACCATCATTCTCAGCAAAATATCGCAAGGACAAAAAACCAAACACCGCATGTTCTCACTCATAGGTGGGAATTGAACAATGAGAACACATGGACACAGGAAGGGGAACGTCACACACCGGGGACTGTTGTGGGGTGGGGGCCTGGGGGAGGGATAGCATTAGGAGATATACCTAATGCTAAATGACGAGTTAATGGGTACAACACATCAACATGGCACACGTACACATACGTAACAAACCTGCACGTTGTGCACATGCACCCTAAAACTTAAAGTATAATAATAATTAAAAAAAAAACTCATAGTACAATGATCAAAACCACGACCATGCCATTATTATTACATTATTATTAGCTAAACCAGAGATCTTAATCAGATTTCACCAGCTTTTTCTCTAATGCCCTTCCCTGTTTCAAGGTCCCATATTACATTTTTGTGTTTTATGAGTCCCCTCTAATCTGTGACAGAAAGTTCCTCAGTCTTTCCTTTTCTGGCCTTAACACTCTTGATGATACTGGTCAGGTATTTTGTAGCATGTCCTTCCATTTGGCTTTATCTGGTATTTTCTCATGATGAGATTGAAATAAGGTGTTTTGACAAGTACATCACAGAAGTCATGTTATGTCTTTCTCGGTGCATCATGTCAGGGATCCCTGATGTTGATGCGTCTCTTTCCTGGTGATGTTAACCTTGATCACTTGCTCAAGGTGATGTCTGCTGGCTATCTCCACTGTGAAGTTACTGCTTTTCCCTTCGTAATTGATAAATATCTTGGGGGAAGATGCTTTGAGACTATACTAATATTTTGTTCCTCCTGAAACTCAACCACTGATTTTAGCATTCATTGTTGGGTCTTGTCTGCAACAGTTATAACTAAGGTGTTTGCCTGATAGTGATTTTTTTCTCTTTCCCTCTCTTCCTCTGCATTTACTAACTGGACTTCTGTACAGAAAGCTATCCCTTCTCCCTCATTTATTTACTCAGTTATTTACATCATGGACTTTTAATTCTGTGGGTTGTATCCAACACTGTCATTTATCTTGTTACTCAAAGTTTTCCACTTTGGGCCATTGGGAGTGCCTTCTGGCTGGCTTCTGTGTTCTTACATACACCTCCCATCCCCAGCTTTATCTTACATATTCCCTGTCCCTGCCCTGCAAGGAGCTCTGGTTCCTTTTATTGGAGAATGGTATGTAGAAACGAAGATCTGGGCACTAGGTATGCTCATTGCTGCTGGAAAGAGTAGCATGTTTTTGTTTGTTTGTTTGTTTTTTTGAGATGGAGTCTTGCTCTGTCACCAGGCTGGAATGCAGTGGCGCGATCTCAGCTCACTGCAACCACCGCCTCCCTGGTTCAAGCAGTTCTCCTGCCTCAGCCTCCCAAGGCACGTGCCACCACACCCAGCTAACCTTTTTGTATTTTTAGTAGAGACAGGGTTTCACCATGTTGGCCAGGTTGGTCTCGATCTCTTGACCTCGTGATCCCGCCCACCTTGGCCTCCCAAAGTGCTGGGTTTACAGGCGTGAGCCACCGCGCCTAGCCCAGTAGTGTGTTTTTAAAGGACCTAAAAGTTTTAAATAAAATGAGGGCCACAAGGTGAAATTATCCTTTATTAATTGTTCTCTTAACATCTTCTTAAATTTTCTCCTGAGACTGGTGAGCAGAGGGACCCAGAGCAAGGGGACTTAGGGGAAAGAAGGCAGTAATTAGGGAGGAGGAGGCCAGGAGGAGGAAGAAAGCATTTCATGGGATTACAGGAATGTCCCAAAAACAACCTCACTGTGATGAAGTCCACTAATGCTATTTCTTCACTTCTGTTTTTCAGAAAACGGTATTTTGTCTCCGAGTACACTCCCATCGATAGCAATATAGCTTTTTCTGTTAATGCAAGTGACAAAGGTAGGCATATTTGTCCATGAATAAAAGGGTTCAGATGATGCTGTCTGTCATGAGAGCATTCGTTTCCTCAGTGGGGTTGCAGCAGTGGGTGAGGTGGTGTGCCAGTGCCGAGGACACGGCTGCGACCAAGGCAGACATGGTCCTTGCCTTTGTGGCCCTACCATCTAGTCAGGGTGGCACAGCAGAACCAAGTAATTAATCATAGCTGGGGAGGCGCGAAAGCAGCAGGACAAGAGTGGGAATAGCAGGGCAGGGTTGAACCTCACCCTTCAGAGGCTCCTGTGTCGGCATCTCCTCTGTGGGGTGGGAATAGCGCTCATTGAGGGCAGCCAACAAAGGTGGCTTTGCTGAGCAGATAGGTAGCTGAGGGCAGGGGTCTCATATGTGTCCCCAGGTGGGCTTGATTCCTGCCATGAGATAGCAACTAATGCTTTCCCTGTTCCGACTTTCAGGAACGGCTTGGCTCTTAACCTCCACCTTCCCTTCCTCTCCCGTTCTTCCAGGAGAGGCGTCCTGCTGTGACCCTGTCAGCGCAGCATTTGAGGGCTGCTTGAGGCGGCTGTTCACACGCTGGGGGTCTTTCTGCGTCCGAAACCCTGGCTGTGTCATTTTCTTCTCGCTGGTCTTCATTACTGCGTGTTCGTCAGGCCTGGTGTTTGTCCGGGTCACAACCAATCCAGTTGACCTCTGGTCAGCCCCCAGCAGCCAGGCTCGCCTGGAAAAAGAGTACTTTGACCAGCACTTTGGGCCTTTCTTCCGGACGGAGCAGCTCATCATCCGGGCCCCTCTCACTGACAAACACATTTACCAGCCATACCCTTCGGGAGCTGATGTACCCTTTGGACCTCCGCTTGACATACAGATACTGCACCAGGTAACCTGCTGTTTGAAGAAATAAGTCACTCTAGATGACCTTGTGGTTTGCTGGCTTTTACATGTTGACTACTGCTAGATGGGGATTTGGGGCTGAATGTCATGGTATATCTTGAAAATCTTAGCGTATAATGGCAAAGCTGCCTTTAAGTTAGGTTTCAAGAAAGTGAATGATGTTGAACTTAATGGAATATTTATTGTTGCTCACTTTTGTATTTACTTCAGATAGTAGACCTTGCCTTTTTCTTGAAATTGAGATGAGCAGAGAAAGAAGACTTCAGTGGCGTTTCTCTATTGAGGCAGGATATATTTATTAGGAAGTCACCTTAGGAATTTGTGAAATGTTTTCTGTTGGTAACTGAAAGTAATATGCAAGGACCCAGAGGCATGAAGCCCTTACTGCTGTCCTGGGGGCTGAGGAAGGAGCTGCCAGATTACCATCCCTGATCCAACCTGTAGGAATGAACTTATCACTCACTGCCTGAACATGGGCACCCAGCCTGTTTTTGGTGAGAGGCGCATTTGGGGCAAGATCCATCCCATTGCTCCTAGAAAGGCATGTAAACCTTCCCATTGTCCCTGTCACACTTGCCTTGGAGAACTGTACCTGTGCATAAACTGTACCGGCTTCTTTTTTAATGAATGTATAATCACATGGTTTTTCCTTTAAACATTGCTCATGTCTACAAGAAAGTCTGCAATCTTGAAAAGCATTAAAATGGTCCCAAGACTTGAATCTTTTCTCTACCCAGTGACTGTCTGTTGCTTTTTCCAGCTTGTTGCTGAAGGTGAACAGCATAGTCATTTACCTCCAAGATCATCTTCTCTGTTAGGAAATAAGGGGACATATATAAATGGCTGTAGTGCAGAGCAAGGCAGGAGGTTATGTGTTACTATTGAGAGGAGGGTCAGGGAGACCAGGAGTCCCCCTCCACTCTCCCCTCTGGCCTGCTGGCCACCACTGGAGAACGGTGGAGGGGAGATGGTTGTGTGTCCTATGTTGATAGCTGTTCTGGTCATGGTGTTCCCCCTACCCCTCGCCGCCTCTGTGGACGCCTCTAACTAGTTTGCTGTTAGAGTGGGCCTGTGGCCTGACCAGTTTTCTTACTGTATTGCATCTTAATTCTCTCCCTCATCTTAGGAAGTATTTTCCCCAAATACTCTTTGTCTTCTGACCCTCAGGGCAATGCTGATTAATCAAGATCTGAGAGAAATGTGACGTGTTTCTGGGTTTGCTTATTTTTAAAATCTTCTTTCAGGTTCTTGACTTACAAATAGCCATCGAAAACATTACTGCCTCTTATGACAATGAGACTGTGACACTTCAAGACATCTGCTTGGCCCCTCTTTCACCGTATAACACGAACTGCACCATTTTGAGTGTGTTAAATTACTTCCAGAACAGCCATTCCGTGCTGGACCACAAGAAAGGGGACGACTTCTTTGTGTATGCCGATTACCACACGCACTTTCTGTACTGCGTACGGTAAGTGGCAAGAGACAATCATTGGTAGACACCATTCTTGGGTCTGACTTAGGGTACATGGGCAAAAGCTTGTTTTATGAGCATAACCCAGAGGTGAGCAAACAACAAGACCTTGCCCTGTGAAGTTTACATCATCTTTTTTTTTTTTTTTTGAGACAGGGTCTCGCTCTGTCGCCCAGGCTGGAGTGCAGTGGCGCAATCTTGGCTCACTGTAACCTCCGGCTCCCAAGTTCAAGCGATTCTCATACCTCAGCCTCCTGAGTAGCTAGGACTACAGGTGTGTGCCACCACGCCCAGCTAATTTTTGTATTTTCAGTAGAGATGGGGTTTCGCCATGTTGGCCAGGCTGGTCTCAATCTCCTGACCTCAGGCGATCCGCCCACCTCGGCCTCCCAAAGTGCTGGGATTACAGGCGTGAGCTTCCATGCCCAGCTGGAAGCTTACATCTTAATGGAGGGAGACGGTTGATGAACACATAACATGTGCTATCGTGCCAGCTAGAGATTAGTGCTATGAGGAGAAAAATAAGGCTGGACAGAGTGGGGGGTGCATTGCTTAAGCGTGGAGATGTGCACAAAGGGAGAGGAAAGGACAGCTGGGCACATCACAGGGATGAGAGTTCCCGGCAGAACCAGCAGCAAGTGCAGAGCCCTGGCAGGAAGCTCTCGTGGTGTGTGATTGAGGAGTGCAGCTGCCTCTCACCCTTTACCTCGTGCCTGGGTCGCTAACACAGTGTCATGTATCACACCCCCCACAAGATTTAAAGATAGAAGAGCCTTTGGTGCCTTTTGTTCTGTCTCAGATATATAGCCCAGTCCCCTGTAGTGCCCCAGCTATTTGGGAGGCAGCCTCCCTCTGAGGAGTTGAGGCAGTATAGGTCTGCAGCTCCGCAGCTTTAGATTGGAGGGCCCTGCAGCTGCTTCCCTTAGGAGGCATGTCTAGCTGGGCAGGGTGCGTTTATAATTGGGAATAGTCACCCCAGGAAGCGGTGCTTTGGTGACCTGTAGGGGAATCTTAAGGCTTCTCCCAGTAGGGGAAGAGTAGCATGATGCCGGATGGGCCTACTCTCCCTGAATGCTAGGGACCTGGCCTAGGGACATTTGTTCAGCCAGTTGAGCAACCACAGTGGCTATTTCTTCAGCATGGGAACAGAGAAATTATTCCTTTTTGCCTTTAAGGACACTGCTCAGCCGACTACTTCTCAAGAGCTAAGGACTCTCACTTCTGGTTCTAAAGAACTTTGACCTTGAGTTCTGTTTGTTTGTTACTGGAGTAAGACTTTTTATGCAGTTGGGCTATATTTACTCTGTTTCAAGAATATCACCCCTAAAAACATGAGTTATACTCATGAAAACACAATAGCTTATGCTCCATACCCTAAACCGGCATTCTCCACAGGGTAGACGGTGCAGACGAGCCATGGGTAATTTGAAGAAACAAAAAACATTTAATGTTACATAATTTTTATAATTGGACAACCATTTAATGTTACATAAATTTTATAGTTTACTCTCTGTGGCACAAGATAAAAGTCAACAAAAATGATGGGGGACAGAGGTGCGTGAGCCTTGTGTTTCCTCAAAGCGGACGTGGTTCCCACCAGTGTGGAAGCGGTACAGGGAGTGGCAGGCTCCTGGTGGCAGGGACCTGAATTGGTTTGTAGTTATGCTTGTGCGCGTCCTCATAACCCCAGTCTCGCCCTAGCGCTGTCCCCTTTCCTCTCCCTCCAGCTTTTCCTGGACTTTTTCACCTGAGGGTCCTGCAGTAATGGCAGGTGGCCTGCCCAGAACCATGCCCTTACCTGCTTCTTCTCCCCATTTTGTTTAAAGGCAGTGACAGCTACCAGTTACTCAGGCTTGAGGCTTTATCCCTGAATTCTGCCTCGCCCTCGCCTTCCTCATGGGGTTCTTACGGGTCTGAGCCTCTGGATGCTCTCTCAGATTTCTGCTGTGGATGAAGGGACTCAGCTGCTCGCTGCAGGTCACCTGACCTCCCTCATGCCGTCACCCATCCACTCTGACGGGTGGGTCATATGCAGAAGCTTCTCAGCACCTGGCCAAGTTGTAGCTGATGGTCTGTCCGAAAATGCTGGTTCACTCTCCACTGGCCAACTGTCTGTCTGCACTGCACTGCCAGTTGCCTCTTGCCTGCGCCATTGCGCTAACATCTCCACTTACTGTTCCACCTGCTTCCTGTTTCTTTGCCGTTTCCAGACCTTCCACTTTGCCACGCAAGCTATCTTTGTAAAACAGCTCATGACATTTCTTTCCCGGAAATCTCTAATTGTTCCCCAGTGCCTCCAGAATAAAAATCCAAACTACTTAACTGGCACTGAGTCCTTTTATTTTGCATTTGTCTGTCCATTACTCTTCCCAGACTGGCCCCCTCCTTCAGGAGCCCCCTTGGTGGGCACCCCATGCTCTAGGACAGGACATCTTTTCTTTGAATTATTATTATTTTTTTTTTAGAGATGGGATCTTGCTATGTTGTCCAGGCTGGACTCAAACTCCTGGGTTATAGCCATCCTTCTGCCTCAGCTTCCTGAGTACTTGAGATTAGGCGTGCCACCATACCCGGCATACAGGACTTGCCAAACCACCATCTTGCTCTCATTCCCTCTCACTGTTCTCTCTCCCTCCCTTTTTCCTCCCACAGTTGTAATTGTGTGAGACACCCTTTTGTCCTCCCTCTTTGGTGAAATCCCCCTCATCCTCGGAGCTCTGGGTCTGTACAGTCTCTTCCTCTTGGCTATAATTTTGCCTTTTAGTGTTTGCTCCCTCCTCTGTGCCTGCATAGCGCCATGCACCATGTGCCATTGATGGCACTGGGCTGTATTTGCCTGCCTCTTGCCCAGTGATTCTGAGCTCCCAAAGGTGAGTGCTGAGCTGTATTACTCAACTGAGAAACCTCAGGGCCCATGTTGTCCTTAGAATACAGCCAGCCTCATCAAATGTTCACTGTGTAAATGTTTAGGTCCCTGATGTCTTGAGGCCCTTCTAACTGGGAGGTGTTTTCTAAACTTTTTGGCAGGGCTCCTGCCTCTCTGAATGATACAAGTTTGCTCCATGACCCTTGTCTGGGTACGTTTGGTGGACCAGTGTTCCCGTGGCTTGTGTTGGGAGGCTATGATGGTAAGTAAGAGAAGCTTTGACTTTTCCTTTTAGATAAAGTCATCTCGGTTTTGTCATTAGCATCAAGTGGTAATTATGAAGATTTCATAAATTGGGCAGTTTTGTTAATTTCTTACCTCTTGAATCCCAGAATAGTATCTCCTTTGGCTTTGGGTTTGGGTTTCATTCCAGATTTAAAAGAAGTGGATTGGGTTAGCCATTTTTAGGTCACACATGCCTTTGAGAAGCTGTCGAAGGCTAAGTACCTTTCCCCAGAATAATGCAATTGCAAACCTCTGCATTGTTGTTCAGCTTGAAGGTCATGGGCCTCCGAAGTTCATTTATAGACCCTCTAGGGAGCTCATGGACCTCAGGTAAGAGCCTCTGTGATAGAGAAAAGATAGTATGTGAGGTATGTGGAAAAAGAAACAAAGTTGATGGATTTTTTTTCTTCTAAGCCAGTCAGTTGAGTATTTGGACACTCTTACAGTGTGAAGAGCAGCTGGTTTGCTCTTTCCTGGTTCCTGTAGCACTTTAGAACCAATTGTACTTGACAAAATGAGGTGATTATTCATGTGACACCTTTGGCATCTTAAGCCAAATTACAGGCTCAACAGGTTTTGCCCAACCAGTTAAGAATCCAGATAGGTTTTCTTCTCCTCACTTGGTGGCAGGGGAGAAGTTGCAATCTGTATTTAAAATTTACTGTGCATCAGAGAGGAAAATGCCATTTCTAATTGTTGGAGAAGGGATGGTGTCAGCAACTGACTAGCCATAGGGGAAACAATTGACTTTGATCTCTGACTTGTTCATTTCACCAAAATAAATTCCAGATGGATAAAAGATTGAAATGTAAGAACTGGGCCAGGCGTGGTGGCTCACGCCTGTAATCCCAGCACTTTCGGAGGCCGAGGCGGGTGGATCACAAGGTCAGGAGATCGAGACCATCCTGGCTAACACAGTGAAACCCTATCTCTGCTAAAAATATTCTTTAAAAAATTAGCTGGGTGTGGTGGCAGGTGCCTGTGGTCCCAGCTACTCGGGAGGCTGAGGCAGGAGAGTGGTGTGAACCCGGGAGGCAGAGCTTGCAGTGAGCCAAGATCAAGTCACTGCACTCCAGCCTGGGCGACAGAGTGAGACTCCATCTCAAAAAAAAAAAAAAAAAAAAGAAATGTAAGAACTGGAAGAAAATTCAGGAGGCATTTTTAAAAATAATTTTTAAGTGGAAAAGATATTTCTAAGCAAGACACAAAACTCAGAAGCCCGAAAAGGAAAGACTGATGAAGTTGAGTACATGTTCATTTGTGGAGAACAAACATACAGTTAAAAAAACAAAACTGGGCCGAGAGTTATTCATGCCTGTAATCCCAGCAATTTGGGAGGCAGAGGCGAGCACATCACTTGAGCTAGGAGTTTGAGACCAGCCTGAGCAACATGGAGAAACCCCGTCTCTGCAAAAAATACAAAAATTAGCTGGGCATGGTGGTGCATGCTTGTAGTCCCAGCTACTCGGGAGGCTGAGGTGGGAGGATCACTTGAGCCCAGGAGGTTGAGGCTGCAGTAAGCGAGATTGCACCACATTCCAGCCTGGGTGACAGAGCGAGACCTTGCCAGAAAAAAAAAAAAACTGGACAAAAATATTAGTATGCATGGCAGTCAGCATTTTCTTAATAAATAAAGATCTCATCTCAGCCTGGCCAAAATGTGAAACCCTGTCTCTACTGAAAATACAAAAAAAATTAGCCACACGTGGTGGTGTGTGCCTGTAGTCCCAGCTACTCGGGAGACTGAGGCAGGAGAATCACTTGAATCCTGGAGGTGGAGTTTGCAGTGAGCCAAGATCATTCCATTGCACTCCAGCCTGGGCGACAAGAGCAAGACTCCGTCTTAAAAAAAAAAAAAAAAGTTGTGAAAAAAAGATCAACAACCTGAAAGAAAAGTGGGTGAGGTCATGTGAAAGATAACAAAAGAAGAAATACAAAAAAAAAAGGTTTTTATTTTATTTTTCAGAGACAGAGTCTTGCTCTGTTGTCCAGGCTGGAGTGCGGTGGTGTGATCTCGGCTCACTGCAACCCCTGCCTCCCAGGTTCGAGCAATTCTTCTGCCTCCACCTCCTGAGTAGCTGGGATTACAGGCATGTATCACCAGGCCCAGCTAATTTCTTGTATTTTTAGTAGAGACACGGTTTTGCCTTGTTGCCCAGACTGGTCTTGAACTCCTGACCTAAGGTGATCCACCCACCTTGGCCTCCCAAAGTGCTGGGATCATAGGCATGAGCCACCACGCCCAGCCTCAGTAAATATTTTCTTGACTAAAGTAATGAAAAGGGAGGCCAAGGCAGGAGGATTGCTTGAGCCTGAGAAGTCAAGGCTTCAGTAAACCATGATTGTGCCACTGCACTCCAGCCAGGGCAACAGAGTGAGATCCTGTCTCTAAAAAAGAAGAAAAAAAGGAATGAAAAATAGTTAAGCTTCTTTGGAAGGCAGTTTGGGAGAATTTATCAAAATTGGAAATATACATAGTTTTTGATTCATTGATTATGCTTTAAGAATTGATTCTAGCCAGGTGCAGTGGCTCATGCCTATAATCCCAGCACTTTGGGAGGGCAAAGCAGGAGGATTGCTTGAGCCCAGTAGTTCAAGTCCAGCCTGGGCAACATGACAAAATCCCATCTCTACATAAATACAAAAATTAGCCAGCAATGGTGGTGCACACCTTTAGTCCCAGCTACTGGGAGGCTGAGGCAGGAGGATTAATTGAGTTCGGGTGGTCAAGGCCACAAAAAGCCGCGATTGCACCACTGTACTTCAGCCTGGGCAACAGAACAAGACACTGTCCCCCTGTCAGGCCCCCACCCCAAAAAAAGAAAAAAGATTTATTTCTACAAGTATGTGTTTTACACATTAAAATATTTATAGGCTATTTATAGTAACTTTGTAATAGAAAAAATTGCAAAACTACTCATCAGTTGGGGGGGATTGGCTAAAGTATACCAGAAAATACTGTAGGAAAAGAATAAGGAAACTCTTTATGGAGCAGTCTCCAAGATACAAAATTTTAAAATGTAATGTGCAGAATAGTATTTTACTGTTTGTGTGGTTAAGAGGGAAAGGGGAAGAATCTGTGTGTTTGCTTGTGTGTGTGTGGAGTGGCTCTGGAAAGATTCGCAGATGGTCACAGTATGGGGAGGAGAACTAAGACAATGAAACAGATGTTGGAGAAGGAGAGAATTTTCGATAAACACTTTTCTGTTCTGTTTGAAATTGTTAACATGCATGTACTGTATCCTTTAAAAAAAAAAAAAAAAAGAGTTACTCTTCCTGAATGATAACCATGCCTACCTCAGATAAAAAATCCTTTTTATTCATTAACTGAAGTACATAAAGACTATTTCAGCAAACTCTTGTTTAATTCTTAGAGCCCAGAGATACAGTCCATAGCTCCAGTGAGAAATCTGTGTTGTGATTTTTCCCCTGGTATGTGTCTAATTTTCTGCATGCTTGTAATCTGCTTTTTGATGTCACATTTTTCCTTTCTAGATCAAAACTACAATAACGCCACTGCCCTTGTGATTACCTTCCCTGTCAATAATTACTATAATGATACAGAGAAGCTCCAGAGGGCCCAGGCCTGGGAAAAAGAGTGAGTCACTCATGGGTGTGAGCAGACTGTCCTTGCATTGTGGGAAGCTAGACACTTGCGGCAAGCACTTAAACTTCATTTTCTAAATTAACCAATGGCAGATCTGAGTTACGTAGTTTTGTTCACTTGGTACTAATGATGCTAAGAAGAAACTGTAAACACATTTACCTTTGAGCAGGTGCTTTAAACAGCTCTCCCTCCACAGGAATGCAAAAGTGTGCAAAAAAAGGTTCCTTGCATTGTTTTTACTTATTTCATTTATTTTTTGAGACTGGGTTCACTTTTGCCCAGGCTGGGGTGCAGTGACTGAATCTCAGCTCACTGCAGCCTCAACCTCCTAGGCTCAAGTGATCCTCCCACCTCAGCCTCCTGAGTAGCTGAGACTACACGTGCATGCCATCACACCCAGCTAATTTTTGTATTTGTTTGTAGAAACAGGGTTTTGCCATGGTGCCCAGGCTGGTCTTGACCTACTAACCTCAGGTGATTCACCCTCCTCGGCCTCCCAAAGTGCCGGGATTACAGGTGTGAGCCACTGCACCCAGCCACCTGCATTGTTTTCTAACAGCAAAACTTGGGAGCATGCTGAATGTATTTAATAAGGAATGAATACAATAGAATATTGTGCTGTCATAAAAGACAGTGAAGTAAATGGTCCATGATGTATATTTGTATAAATATATATTGTTTATGCTGCTGTCCATGCTTAGAAAAAAATATCAAGCAAATGACCTCAGAAATTAACTGTGTTTGTGACCTCTAGAGAATGGGAAGAGAGGACTTAGGAGGCCAGGTTGCACTTTATGCCCTCCAGTACTTTTAAAAAATTGTTTTACTGAGATATGGTATATGTATCATGCAGTTCACCCACTTAAAGTATACAGTTCAGGCTGGGAATGGTGGTTCACACTTGTAGTCCCAGCACTTTGGGAGGCCCAGACGAGAGGCTCACTTGAGGCCGGGAGTTCAAGACCAGCCTAGGCAATGTTTGCATGTCTCTAAAAAAAAGAAAAAAGAGAATTTAAAAAGAAAAAAAAGCGTACAATTCAGTAGCTTTACTATATTCACGTGTATGTGCAGCCATCACCACAGTCAATTTTAGGAACATTTTCATTACTCCACAATAAAACTCTGTACCCTTTAACTAACACCCTCCATCTTTTCATCCTCCTATCCACAGCCCTAGGCAACCACTAAAATACTGTCTCTGGAGATTTTCCTATTCTGGACTTTTATGTGCATAGAATAATATGTGGACTTTTTTGTCTGGCTATCATTGAACATAATATTCTCAAGGTTCATTCATGTTGTGGCATGTATCAGTACTCCATTCCTTTTCATTCCATTGTATGGATATACCACATTGTGTGCATTTATCAACTGACAAACACTTGGGCTGTTTCCATTTTGGCTATTATGAATAATGCTGCTATGAACACTTGAGTACAAGTTCTTGTGGATGTGAGTTTTCATTTCTTTTGGGTACATACCTAGTAGTAGAATTGCTGAGTCATAGGGTAAGTCCACCTTGAATAGTTTGAAGAACTGCCAGACTGTTTTCCAAAGTGGCTATAGCGCTTTACGTCACCACCAGCAGTCCATGAAACTTCCAATTCGTTCGCATCCTCGTCAGCACTTTTTATTATCTGACTTTGTGATTCTAGCTATCTTCATGGGTGTGAAGTGGTATCTCATTGTGGTTTTGATTTAGTAGACTGAATGCATTTCTTTTTTTTTTTTTTTTTTTTTTTTTTTTTGAGACAGAGTCTTGCTGTGTCATCCAGGCTGGAGTGCAGTGGCATGATCTCAGCTCGCTGCAGCCTCTGCCTTCCAGGTTCAAGTGATTCTCGTGCCTCAGCCTCCCAAGTAGCTGGGATTACAGGCACCTTCCACCACGCCTGGCTAATTTTTGTATTTTTAGTAGAGACGGGCTTTCACCATGTTGGCCAGGCTAGTCTCGAACTCTTGACCTCAGGTGATCTGCCAGCCTCAGCCTCCCAAAGTGCTGGAATTACAGGCATAAGCCATTGAGCCCAGCCCTAAACTTACTTTAATTCAGCATGTATGGAACCTTAGCTGTAATCTGATAGTCTCCAGTGTGGAAGACCCTAATGCAGTGGCTGGGCATGGTGCCTGTCATCCCAGCACTTAGGGATGTGGAGGCAGGAGGAATGCCTTGAGGCCAGGAGTTTGAGACCAGCTTGCACAACATGGCAAAGACCCCATCTCTACAAAAAATTTTTAAAATTAGCCAGGCATGGGGATACGTCTCTGTAGTACCAGCTACTCAAGAGGCTAAGGCAGGAGGATCCCTTAAGCTGAGGAGTTCGAGGCTGCAGTGAGCTGTAATAGTGCCACTGTACTCCAGCCGAGGCAACAGAGAGAGACTCTATTTCAAAACAGGAACAAAAGCAAACAAAGGATCCTAATGCAGGATAAAGGTTAAGAAAACATGGCCTTTGAGCCGGGCACAGTGGCTCACGCCTGTAATCCCAGCGCTTTGGGGAGGCTGAGGCAGGTGGATCACTTGAGGTCAGGAGTTTGAGACTAGCCTGGCCAACATGGTGAAACCCTGTCTCTACTAAAAATACCAAAATTAGCCGGGCCTGGTGGCGCACGCCTGGAGTCCCAGCTACTCAGGAGGCTGGGGCAGGAGAAGCACTCAAACCCGGGAGGTGGAGCTTGGAGTGAGCTGAGATTGCGCCATTGCACTTCAGCCTGGGCGACAGAGCGAGAATCAGTCTCAAAACCAAAAAAAAGAAAACGTGGCCTTTGTATCGTGAAAGTTAGGGAGAAGTTTCTTACTTAGCTGTCAGTTAGTTTAACTAAAAATATAACATTTTGCTTACCTTTTAGGTTTATTAATTTTGTGAAAAACTACAAGAATCCCAATCTGACCATTTCCTTCACTGCTGAACGAAGTATTGAAGATGAACTAAATCGTGAAAGTGACAGTGATGTCTTCACCGTTGTAATTAGCTATGCCATCATGTTTCTATATATTTCCCTAGCCTTGGGGCACATGAAAAGCTGTCGCAGGCTTCTGGTAAGCCGGGGGGGGGTGGTGTATGTTCTAGAGGTTAACAGCAGTGCACAGTGTAACGTCATATTTTTGCCTCTTTATTCTTATTCCATTATGTTTAAAACTGCCATAAATTCCCCCATGTTTTAATTGTATGTAACGTTTCTGTTGCCTACATCTATTTTCTTCATTCCAACTTTTTGGTTTATCTTAAAGTTTATTTCACATAATCCAGTTTTTTCTTATTTGTCCAGTCCATCACCTAAGAATGCAAACTCATAACATGTGTTGCCCGAGCAGACCTAGAAATGTTTACAAGTCCTCTCTGAAACACAGAATTGTACATTCAACTCTAGGTTTAATACAGCCCTGTAAAGTAAAAAGGAGGACCTTTTAGTAACAAGTGGGACAGACAACCCTGTAACTAATTGGTGATTGTGTCTGTCGCCTCTCTCAGGTGGATTCGAAGGTCTCACTAGGCATCGCGGGCATCTTGATCGTGCTGAGCTCGGTGGCTTGCTCCTTGGGTGTCTTCAGCTACATTGGGTTGCCCTTGACCCTCATTGTGATTGAAGTCATCCCGTTCCTGGTGCTGGCTGTTGGAGTGGACAACATCTTCATTCTGGTGCAGGCCTACCAGGTATACTTCCATATTCTCACAGGGCTCAGCATCTGTTCAAGTTTCAGGGACTGTGAATGGCTCCTGGGCTCCGCATTCGTGAGTGTGACCTGTGAGGGTGTTTTGTTTCCTTTCCCTGTGTGGCTCATCGGTCGTCTTGACTTGCTGTGGACATCTTAGGACCAAGAATTTCACCCCTCTTTTTGGTTGTTGAAATAGTAGATATAAAGTAAGAATTGTGTTTTAAATTGTATCTTTAAATAGTGTCTTTTAATAGTATCTTTTCATTTTAAATAGTATCATGTGTACAAGAAGGGCTAACACACTTTTGGAAAAGATTTTGGGTACGACTGCTGTTAAAATGATGTTCAGCATAGTATAGAATGTTAGATTCATTTTGCCCAAAGGTGCCACTAAAAAGGCAAAAGGTCAACACGTGTCCCGCTGCTGTAGAAGGTGGTCTCAGTCGTCCTGTAGACCCGACGTGGGCGGAGACTCAGTGCACGTGAGAGTGATGTTCACTGGTCCAGTCCCCTGCCGCCTGTGTTCCGAGTGTTTTCCTGATAATGTGGCTGGCTCAGCTTTCCCTTTAGTTTCTCACTTGGTACCTAGCTCTGTAGTGCAGAAATACTCTGAGAACATTGGAGTCCCCCACCGAAGTTTATATGCTTAGAAGACACTGCTAATCGTCTACTAATCATTTATTTTTACCCTTGAGTTAACACAAGGCAGCAAGAAATGGCGTTGTTATTGAGAAATTTTAATGTCGCATAATTTTTTTTTTTTTTTTTTAAGAGAGATGAACGTCTTCAAGGGGAAACCCTGGATCAGCAGCTGGGCAGGGTCCTAGGAGAAGTGGCTCCCAGTATGTTCCTGTCATCCTTTTCTGAGACTGTAGCATTTTTCTTAGGTAATTATGCTTTCAATCCTACCAGTCCTGTAGTCTGCTGAGCCTGGAGAAAGAAGGAGCTGGCTACCTGAACATGTCCCTTTGTGTTGCTTCCTTTTTTTTTTTTTCTTTTTTTTTTTTTTCTCTGAGACGGAGTCTCACTCTGCCACCCAGGCTGGAGTGCAGTGGTGCAATCTCGGCTCACTGCAGCCTCCGCCTCCCGGGTTCAAGCGATTTTCCTGCCTCAGCCTCCCAAATAGCTGGGATTAAAGGCACGTACCACCATGCCCAGTTAATTTTTTGCATTTTTAATAGAGATGGGGTTTCACCATGTTGGCCAGGCTGGTCTCGAACTCCTGACCTCAGGTGATGTACCTGCCTCGGCCTCCCAAAGTGCTGAGATTACAGGCGTGAGCCCCCGTGCCCAGCCCGTGTTGTCTCCTTTTTTTAAGCTTTGTTCTGCACTGGGAAAGTATCACTGGACCACAGAAAAATTGGCAGCAGTAACTTAGGTGTGATTTTGCAAGTGGCTTCCTTCTCATTTAACTGTCAGGACAGCATTGATGTTGGGGTTCAGGGTGAAAGAGACCTAGAGTTCGTCTTGCCACTTTCCCCTTTTAGTAGCCACTGGGAATGTTGATAGTTGAAAATGGCATCCTTGAGTAGCCACTGAATCCTTCTCCACATGACACTCTAAGCAGCAGCTCCCAAATCCACAGGCACTCGCTTACAAGATGTTTGCCGTTGTTTTCAAAGGCAGTCTTTCTCTTCTGTGCACACAACTCATTGGGGAAGCAGCCTTGTTAATGACCAGAAGCTCTTGACTCACCACATTACAAGGAGCCAGAATAAGCTGGAACAAAGTCAGCACTTCTGTGTTTCTTTCACATAGAGAATCATCAAATAGACCCACTAGTGGGGCTGTCTGCCCCATGTCTGAAGTGTAGTAAGAGCAAAGTGACTCTGTCCACTATAGGGGAGGCTGGACTGGAATCACTCAGTCCAAAGAAGACCATCCACGGGCCACAAACTGCAATGCCTACATGGCTGGGAGGTCAGCTTAATCAGGGCCATTGTAAGGTCATTGTAGGTGGTAGTCTTTCACCACAGATACACTGCTAGCTTGTTATTCTTCATCTCCACAAAGCCATGTGCTTTTGAAACCTGTAGCCCTGTAGTTCCTTTTGACAAACACAGGTGCAGAAAAAAAAAAAAAAAAGAAAAAACTTTCTTTTTTTCACTACTATTATAAGAAAACCAGTGCAAGTGTGATGATAATAGCAGCAGAGACTGTGCCTCAAGGTTGGAGTGACCTTGGGACAGTAGGAGTGAGTAGGGATTGTGGCACCCCAACTGCACGTGTCCTATCTAAAAAGACAGTTATGTGTGTGGCCAACCCAGTGCTACAAGGTCTGTGTTGTTGTTGTTGTTTTTCTTCCAAGCAAAGCTGTGAATCTAGATTTTTGTGTAAAATGCCATTGTTAAATATTGGCAACTTATAAAAAAAAGTTTTTTAATCTTAAGATGGGTTGATACAGTGTGGGCTAAACAGGAACCATCTGATTCATGGGCTGCCAGTTTGCAGTTTCCAAGTCTTACCCTCATGCCTTTGATCCTCACTCGATTGTAGATTACCTCTTAACTAAACTGGGAGGCTAGTAGTGTTGATGTAATAAATGGAAAATACTGTCCATTTCTTACAGTGAAGCACAGAAAGTACTATAAGAAATGGCCTGTATTAGTGGTTCTCAAATTTTAATGTGTGTGAATTTGCTGTGAACCTGAGTATAGTAGAATTGGGGTTGAATTCCTGTCATAACTAGGATGGGGCTTCCCAAATGGTCTGGTGCTGAGTGTGCTTTGAAAAGCACTGGCTTATCACCTCCTGTCCCACTTCTGGTGTAATGTCCAGCCGCAGCATGCCTTCTCATGCGTTTGGCCTGTGCTGGCTCCTTGTATCTGTACATGCACATGAACATAAGACCTGCAGAGAGCCCCCGGCTGTAAACAGAAGTGACGCAGAGCCCTTCTCTCCCCGACAGGAGCATTGTCCGTGATGCCAGCCGTGCACACCTTCTCTCTCTTTGCGGGATTGGCAGTCTTCATTGACTTTCTTCTGCAGATTACCTGTTTCGTGAGTCTCTTGGGGTTAGACATTAAACGTCAAGAGGTAAGTTGGTGCCAGGATTATAGTCTATTTAATTTGAGTCTAGAATCTAGAGGAAGCAGCTAGCGGGTATAACCTTTGTTTCCCTCTGTCCCCTCAGAAAAATCGGCTAGACATCTTTTGCTGTGTCAGAGGTGCTGAAGATGGAACAAGCGTCCAGGCCTCAGAGAGCTGTTTGTTTCGCTTCTTCAAAAACTCCTATTCTCCACTTCTGCTAAAGGACTGGATGAGACCAATTGTGGTATGCGCTTATCTGTGGTTTTTCTCTTTCCTCTCACTGAAACAGATTATCACATGCCTTCTAAGAAGCCAGACAGCCTGGGAAGGAGATTCTTAAAGCTGTTAAAATGTATCTAAAAAAAAAGCAAAAGCAAATGTGGAACAGTAGATAAAATGTTTTTCCTGTGAGCTTTTATCAGTCCATATAAACAAGAGTTTTAAGTTTTTTATTTTGAAATAGTTTCAGATTCACAGAAAGTTGCAAAGAAACTTTTATTTTTCCTCTTAATAATGAGGAAATAGAAGCCAAGAGAGGTGAAGTGGTTTGCCCCAAGTCACTCAGCCCGTAAGTGGCAGAGTCAGGATTTGCACCCAGGAATTTGGACTCCTGGTGCTGTGGTCTCACCCACTGCCCTGTACTCCCTATTAGCCTGTCATTTAAGCTTTTCCATTTTAAAAAATCCTGCTTTTTGTGTGTGCTTAAGATTTTATTTCTGGTCGTAAGCTTATTTACTAAGCAGTCTCTGTCTTATGATTCATTTGTTGTTCCAGATAGCAATATTTGTGGGTGTTCTGTCATTCAGCATCGCAGTCCTGAACAAAGTAGATATTGGATTGGATCAGTCTCTTTCGATGCCAGATGTAAGATGACTTCCTTTTTTTTTTTTTTTTAACTTCTTTAGCTGATGATGAATACATTTTTCAAAACATGCACGTAGGTGTTTCAAGCAAGTGCCTGCTTCTAACTGCAAATGGTGACAGGGTTTCCAGGGTTAGGAGAACTGTCGCAGTGCACTGCTGGTGTGGGCTGTCTGGCATTCTGACTGAGCCCCTCTGGGCACAGCTGCAGAACACGAATAACTAGTCTTATGAGGTTACTTTATGAGATGCTCTCCTGATTGTGGGGCTAGCAGGAGGAGCACCCTGGGGCCCTGGGGGGAAGACTGGTGGTGTTAGGAATCATGAGTCCAGCTGGAGGCATCTCAGCCAGGAACCTCCTGGCACCCTCTTATTCTCCATGATCCTCGCCTTGCTTAGTTACTATCAGAGTGTTCACACTCTCTCCTATTCTTTTATCTTTCTTTCAGGACTCCTACATGGTGGATTATTTCAAATCCATCAGTCAGTACCTGCATGCGGGTCCGCCTGTGTACTTTGTCCTGGAGGAAGGGCACGACTACACTTCTTCCAAGGGGCAGAACATGGTGTGCGGCGGCATGGGCTGCAACAATGATTCCCTGGTGCAGCAGATATTTAACGCGGCGCAGCTGGACAACTAGTCAGTACCACCTTGTCTTGTACTTCAGAAGCAGCGGAGGAGGCTCTCAGCCAGGCAGTCAGCTCAGGCCTGAAATGTCTCACTGAAAATAGACTTTCTTGGAAAAGTTGTTTTTATGCAAAATGTATGTTAAATCTGGCTTTACCTTAAAAAACCTTTGAAAGGACTAATTTACCACCTAATACTTTGAAGGCTTTTTTCATTAAGTGCTCATGTAGTTTTTCTTTTGACTGTTAGCAGTATAAAACGTAGAAAAGGAAGTTAGGTTTTAAGAAAAAGTACTGAAACTAAAGACTTCCTCCCTGTGGAGCAGGTCAGTAACCCTGTCTGTCCTCTCTAGTACCCGAATAGGCTTCGCCCCCTCGTCCTGGATCGACGATTATTTCGACTGGGTGAAGCCACAGTCGTCTTGCTGTCGAGTGGACAATATCACTGACCAGTTCTGCAATGCTTCAGGTACCTTCTCCTTTACCAAATCTTTCCTGTTTTGCTGAAAAATTTTCAAATTATCATTTAAAAATCATTTGCATCGTGCCTCAGTTTATACCTATTTGTATATCAAAGCTGGGTCTCCCTGTGTCATCATTCCTTTCCTCAGTCATTCATTCTGAAATTGTCATGTTGTTCCTGGCTCAGACAGCCACCCTCGGGGCTGCAAGCTGAACAAGGTCCACATGTTCGGAGTGTGGTTTCCACATAAGGTTTCTCATCCTGTTCTAACTCCAGCGATTGCCTCTCAGGATTGGTATCTGGCCTTAGCTTCTCAGAGGAGGGCTTTTCTTTATCACTTTACCCTGTGGTTTTGTAGGAGCGTCGAGGTTGCCCTGGAATTTTCTTAATAAAAACATAGAAGCCCCGGGCTCTGACCAGTCAAGGCCATACTTGAAGGAGGAGATCTACTTCAGGGCAGAAAATGATGCATAGTATGCCTAAGATGAAAATGGTATTTCAGATTCATTAAACTGTGAAAGTGACATGTGGCTGAAGCTTTTAGATAAGGGGAAAGATTATCCCTCACTAGTAAGGAAAGTAATCGATAGAGAAGAAAGTAATGCCCCTCACTGTCAGTATTTTAAAATGTTTTACAAAAAATCTGGAGACCTATTCTTCTAACAGTCCTCCCTGCATGTCTCCGCCAGTGGTTGACCCTGCCTGCGTTCGCTGCAGGCCTCTGACTCCGGAAGGCAAACAGAGGCCTCAGGGGGGAGACTTCATGAGATTCCTGCCCATGTTCCTTTCGGATAACCCTAACCCCAAGTGTGGCAAAGGGTAAGTGCTGCTGCCATTGCAGATAAGCATCCACTGCAACTTTAATTTGCAGTAGAAAACTAGGAGAGGACTGGGCTAAGACAGTTGCATGGGAACGTCTCTTCTCCGCCCCACCCTGTCCTGGTCCTTTGGTGGAAGCAGGAAAACCGAAAACACCTTTTTAAGAAAATGCCTCATAGTGTTCAACTGATTCTGTCTTAGCGTGGGCATTCACATCTCATGCTCTCTCTGTGTCCTGGCCCCCTGGGCATGAGAATGAACGCAGATTCCTGTGCACATTCCAAGCGGGGCTGAGGGAGAGGACGGCCTGCTGGTAATCCAGGCCTGAAGGAACTTGGCCTGTTCACTTGTACTGATGGCAGCTGGGGCGTGATCTTAGCTTTAGTAACATTATCCCACATTAAGGTTGCGATTCTTTTAGCCTCGTCATGCTCCTTGCCAGCCCATCCATGTATAGGGTTATGGGCTATCTCACTCCCCCATCCAGCCAGGCAGCCAGTTACCCACGGAAGCCAGATATATGGCCCAAAAATAGTGATGATGACCGGAAGTCTCTGGCCTTGATTTGGAAGCTTTGGGAGGTGGAAGATGAGTATCCCCATGTATGTTAGGTAAACCCTGAACTTAGGTTTTTCATAAGAACATACATCTGACCAGAGTCATATCAGTGAATCATTTATATCATGCATGTGCTTTGAGACCTATTCGAGGTATCATGGGATGACTCCTCCTAAAAGTTAAGTAGAAATGAATCTTGCAGCTTGATTTACTCACTGACTGGATGCTTTGGCCTACGTAAAATAAGTTGAAGTAGATTCAGTTTTTCTGAAGGCAGTAGCCACCGTTCCTGGGGAGCCTCCAGGGTGCCAGCGTCATGCCAGGCACTCCCTGACATTATTCCATTTCTCATCACGCAGCCTATGAGTAGGTGGTGGTATACCCATTTACAGAAGAGGAGACTGGGGCTCAGAGGTGGTCATTTTGCTCGGGGTTACATGACCAGTAAGTGGCAGGGCTGAGGTTGTTCCCAGGGCCCTTGCCCTTTCCTGCTTCCTATTACACAACAGGACTGAGTAAACCCTGTACCTTTGATTATACATGAAACCAGGTGGAGAAACAGCAGCTATGTACCAAAGAACCCAGAGCAATCGAGAAAAGCCCATCTGGCCAGGCGAAGTGGCTCACACCTGTAATCCCAGTACTTTTGGAGGCCGAGGTGGGCGGATCACCTGAGATCACCTCAGGAGTTCAAGACTAGCCAGGCCAACATGGCAAAACCCTGTCTCTACTAAAAAAATACAAAAGTTAGTTGAGCGTGGTGGCAGGTGCCTGTAATCCCAGCTATTCGGGAGGCTGAGGCAGGGAGAATTGCTTGAACCCGGGAGGTGGAGGTTGCAGTGAGCCGAGATCACGCCACTGCACTCCAGCCTGGGCTACAGAGCAAGACTCTGTCTCAAAATAAAAAAAAAAAGAAGCCAGTCTGGGAGAGAACAAGCTAAACCTTTGGTGTTCCCTTATCTGGGGGCCTTCTTCATCCCTGAAATGTACAGCTGGGTCTGACCTCTGAGTCCAGGGTCAGGTGATTTTGCTTAGCCTCAAGTGCTCAGATTCTGCTGATATTTTGCAAGACCTGGACTCTCTTGACACCCAGGATTCTTTCCTCAGGGGACATGCTGCCTATAGTTCTGCAGTTAACATCCTCCTTGGCCATGGCACCAGGGTCGGAGCCACGTACTTCATGACCTACCACACCGTGCTGCAGACCTCTGCTGACTTTATTGACGCTCTGAAGAAAGCCCGACTTATAGCCAGTAATGTCACCGAAACCATGGGCATTAACGGCAGTGCCTACCGAGTATTTCCTTACAGGTAAAGCCTGCCCTTTTTCAATGGGGTTTACCCAGCAAAGGGCCTACACTGGGTGGGAGTGGGGAGGGTTCCCTTGGCAAGATGCTGATTTTCAGGTTGGGTTCTGGCCCCTGCTCCATTCTGAGCACAGGGCAGTATATCAAAGGAAATGGGTGCTGGGCAAAGGAGTTCAGAATCTAAAGTCTCTGTGAAGGCCTGAGGGCTAGAGACGCAAAACTTGATCTCTGCGCCACTGCACAGCTGCAAGAGACACACACTGGAAAATGGCTTAAGGCAGGGGGCGCTTGGAGAGCAGGCGGCTCAGAGCAGGGCCCGGCCCACATTCTTGGCCAACAATGAACCAGAATCCCTAACTGCTGGTTATTTGGGATGCTGCCTGTATGTAGACTTTTTATATTGTTAGGGGTTTTTTTTCCCAGGAAGAAAAGTATTATGTATGAACTACTGAATTTAGAAACTGTAGAAAGGTAGGAGAAACAAGTGATTTATTTTTCCTGCCTCCCCATGATCTCGCTTAAAGCAGGAAGGCCTGGATTTGTTTGGAAGAAGTTAAGAGCCGGTTAGCTCTGGCAGAAAATAAATGAAAGCATGTTTTCCTCAGGCCTTGCACGGACCCCGCTGAGCCTGAGGTAGTGTCTCAGGATAGATCAGGATTCTTTGTTTTTTTGTGTTTTTTCAGAATGCTGTGGAATGCTCTCTGTAAATGTCTATAAAATAGCATAGATTGGGCTTATAAACAGAAACTTTATCAAAAATATACATTTTGCATCACTGCTGGGCCCTTCTCTGGGTGGTCAGTGGCCATGAGAGGTCAAGTGAGTTGCTTTCGGTGAGTCTTGTAGACAGCCAGCAAGGTTTTCTGCAAGGGATGTTTCCCAAAGGAGTCTGACCACTTGGCAGTGGTGACAGGATGAACACGCAGTGTTCGGGAGTGAGAGCGAGCTTTAATGAGGCCTCCCCTCTCCCCTCCAGTGTGTTTTATGTCTTCTACGAACAGTACCTGACCATCATTGACGACACTATCTTCAACCTCGGTGTGTCCCTGGGCGCGATATTTCTGGTGACCATGGTCCTCCTGGGCTGTGAGCTCTGGTCTGCAGTCATCATGTGTGCCACCATCGCCATGGTCTTGGTCAACATGTTTGGAGTTATGTGGCTCTGGGGCATCAGTCTGAACGCTGTATCCTTGGTCAACCTGGTGATGGTGAGTCCTCATACAGTCTCAGTTTGTCCCTAGCTCCTGTTTCACTTGGGGGAATTGGCTGTCTTAGATTCCATGTAAACCCTAAAGATGGAGTAAGATACCAAGTCTGGCGCTTGCTCTTGGCACACATGGAGAGGCAGGATGAGTGCTGGAGGAGTGCTGGATGGTGGTGGGACAGGGCATAGAGGGAGCGAGCATTGAGTTGGACATCTGGGAGCATAGGCACATTACAGGCAATTTCTGTTCAATTTTTTCTCTTGTCCCATTCCTTGCGGCTATACTAGTATACCTGATGGTGCCTCTGACCATGGAAATGTGATTTCCTGGCCTAGTTCTGGGCTAGTCTGCCTGTAATTTGTTATTCTTTAGAGATTGCACAAGCCTGTAGCCTGATGACAGCAGGATGTTCACTTTTTACTTAGAAAATTGCACCCCGCCCCAGGAGCTCTCCGACCAGTGCCTTTTGCCTCCTATGTGGTTATCAGGTACTTTTAATCATTAAAGATGAGAGCACTTGAGAAGGTATTCATGGAAAATAGAACAGTGTATCCGTACTCTCAGATATGAGCCCTGCTTCAGATAGGGGAGCACTGAGGTCCAAGAAAAGAAGTTGTGACAATGCGCCAGCTCGGTGCGGGTGGGGTGACCTTAACGGGTTCCAGCAATTTCTCCTGGTCAACACAAACGTGCCACAGAAAACCAGGCTTTTGGCTGTGTGTAGAGAGGGCCCCAAAAAGTTCCTGGTACAGTAAGATTGGTGTGATGGAGGCCTTGTAAGTCCAATGGGATGCTTGGCCTCCTCTAGCACCCAGGGTGCCCTGGGTAATTAGCACCCATCCTCAGAACGGGGTGGCTGCCTAGGGTCTTCAACAGGAAGAGAGCCATCCTAAAGGAAGTGCTTTATTTCAGAGCTGTGGCATCTCCGTGGAGTTCTGCAGCCACATAACCAGAGCGTTCACGGTGAGCATGAAAGGCAGCCGCGTGGAGCGCGCGGAAGAGGCACTTGCCCACATGGGCAGCTCCGTGAGTACCCTGAGCAGGGCCACGCCGGCAGAGTCGCACCACAAAGTAATCCTCCTCAGTGACTGAAGAGTCTGGATCCTGTACTTACAAAGCAGCTTCTAAGGATTGCAAGCTTTCAGGCAATTCATGAATTAGCTGCCACATCGTGGACAGAACGGACGTTCTGTGGAACTGTACCTGTTGGTACGGCTCCTTTTTAGGTGGCAGTGTGCTGAAGCAGGAAAATAACAGACAAGTTAAACATGAGACAGCTGGCAGTCTTTCCCATTTAAAATGCAGGGGAGCCCGGGCCAGAACCCAGCGTGTGATGTGCGGTTGGTGCCTGGAGAGTCGTCTTGGTTCAACTCTACACCCTGGCTTAGCCTATCTCTTTACCACTGTAGAAAATACCTGGTAAAGAGTAAAAACTAAAACTTTGTTTCGTAACACTTTTAAATATTTAAGTTTTCACCTGAGAATATAAAGAAAGATAATCAATTGGGAGACACGATGCAGTGTCTGTGCAGAATACACAGCTTTTAACTTGGTCATACCTCTCCCCCAGGATCATAAGGCAGCAAATAGTGTTAGGTAGTAGATGATGCTACCTGGGTTCAGTTCCCATTGCTTTGAACCTTGAATATTAAGAAATCCCCATAAGGGCTGGCCACGGTGGCTCATGCCTATAACCCCAGCACTTTGGGAGGCCAAGGCTGGCGGACCACTTGCGGCCAGGGGTTCGAGACCATGGCCAACATGGTGAAACCCCATCTCTACTAAAAACACAAAAATTAGCCAGGCATGGTGGCGTGCACCTGTTTAATCCCAGCTACTCAGGAGGCTGGGGCAGGAGAATCACTTGAACCTGGGAGAAATCCTTGTAAGGAAGTGTTTTTGTTCAATTACAGGTTGGTAAAAGTGGTTTCTAACACAGTATCTCTTCTTTTAGGTGTTCAGTGGAATCACACTTACAAAATTTGGAGGGATTGTGGTGTTGGCTTTTGCCAAATCTCAAATTTTCCAGATATTCTACTTCAGGATGTATTTGGCCATGGTCTTACTGGGAGCCACTCACGGATTAATATTTCTCCCTGTCTTACTCAGTTACATAGGTAAGAGTTCTCATCTTAAAAGGGTGGCACAATAGAAGGACATTACTGAAAGGGAATTCTATCCTGAGGCATTCTTTTCAAGTATTTGAACTCATACTAATGGTCATTTGATAATGATAAATGATACTGAGTAAAAAAATTTCTTCTAAAAGAAAAAACCCATCCAGGGGATTCATGATGGTGCAGACTACTTTATTAGGAAGTTGTCGATGTTTTTTCTGGAGGCCTGATCTGTCTGCTTCACAAAGGCCTGGAGCCAGTCCTTGAATGGATCTGAGTGTCAGCAGGCAGGGCAGCTCCTCCCTGCCACTGAGATGAAGGAGTCCATCTGGCAGCCAGCTCTCACACCAGCAGTGCTGCAGAACAGCTTTTTATGTCCCTCATGGATTTCCCGTTTCTTAGCAAAGTGCTTGCTGCCTTTCTTCATCTCGAGACTGTCCTTGATCCTTTTACTTCTATGGCCACTTCACCTTGCACAAAAATGACCCACGGTTGAAAGAACAATACTGATTTGCTTCATTTATAGCTTTGTCACTAAATTGAAGCACTGAAGTAGAAGATTAAGAAAATGAGGGGCTTTTTATCATCTCCGGGGGATAGAAAGTAGTTCTATTACAATCTAATATACTAGTTCCTTTTAAGAAAAAAAAAAAAAAAAAGAGATGAGCACTTTGGAAGGCTGAGACAGGAGAATCGTTTGAGACCAGCCTAGGCAACATAGTGAGGCCTCCATCTCTACAAAAATAAAATTAGCCAGGTGAAGTGGTGTGCGTCTGCAGTCCCACCTACTTGTTAGGCTGAGGCAGGAAGCTTGCTTGAGCCCAGAAGGGTGGGCTTAGGATGCAGTGAGTCGTGTTCATACCACTGCACTGCAGCCTGAGGAAGAAAGCAAAGAGCCCATCTCCAAAAGAGAGGGAGAGAGATGTGGTCTCACTCTGTTGTCCAGGCTGGTCTCAAGCAATTCTCCTGCCTCAGTCTTCCAAAGTGGGATTACAGGCGTGAGCCACTATGCCCAGCCAACTAGCTCCCTTTCTCCTGCAGAAATAAGAAAAAGTCTCTCTCTCTCATAGGGCCATCAGTAAATAAAGCCAAAAGTTGTGCCACTGAAGAGCGATACAAAGGAACAGAGCGCGAACGGCTTCTAAATTTCTAGCCCTCTCGCAGGGCATCCTGACTGAACTGTGTCTAAGGGTCGGTCGGTTTACCACTGGACGGGTGCTGCATCGGCAAGGCCAAGTTGAACACCGGATGGTGCCAACCATCGGTTGTTTGGCAGCAGCTTTGAACGTAGCGCCTGTGAACTCAGGAATGCACAGTTGACTTGGGAAGCAGTATTACTAGATCTGGAGGCAACCACAGGACACTAAACTTCTCCCAGCCTCTTCAGGAAAGAAACCTCATTCTTTGGCAAGCAGGAGGTGACACTAGATGGCTGTGAATGTGATCCGCTCACTGACACTCTGTAAAGGCCAATCAATGCACTGTCTGTCTCTCCTTTTAGGAGTAAGCCATCCCACAAGTTCTATACCATATTTTTAGTGACAGTTGAGGTTGTAGATACACTTTATAACATTTTATAGTTTAAAGAGCTTTATTAATGCAATAAATTAACTTTGTACACATTTTTATATAAAAAAACAGCAAGTGATTTCAGAATGTTGTAGGCCTCATTAGAGCTTGGTCTCCAAAAATCTGTTTGAAAAAAGCAACATGTTCTTCACAGTGTTCCCCTAGAAAGGAAGAGATTTAATTGCCAGTTAGATGTGGCATGAAATGAGGGACAAAGAAAGCATCTCGTAGGTGTGTCTACTGGGTTTTAACTTATTTTTCTTTAATAAAATACATTGTTTTCCTAAGTTTTGGGGTTACCCTATCTGCTTTGAGAGACAAATACAAAAGCTAAATGGAAGAGATTCTATCTAACCTGTCCTTATGGTAACTAAATGCCGTCTTACATTGAGCTAGAAATAGACCTAGAAGTTTCATTAGACAGCCCTGATCCTTCCCTATCCTAAAGATGATGTCTTAGGTTGTATAACTATTTGGAGATGAGAATGATCAACCAGGGCCAGGTGCGGTGGCTCAAACCTGTAATCCCAGCACTTTGGGAGGCTGAGGCAGGCGGATCATGAGGTCAGGAGTTTGAGACCAGCCTGGACAATATAGTAAAACCCCATCTCTACTAAAAATACAAAAATCAGCCGGGTGTGGTGGCACGCACCTGTAGTCCCAACTACTCAGGAGGCTGAGGCAGAAGAATCGCTTGAACCCAGCGGAGGTTGCAGTGAACCGAGATCACACCACTGCACTCCAGCCTGGGCAACGGAGCGAGACTCTGTCTCAAAAAAAAAATGAGAATGATCAACCAATGTATACTTCATAAAACTGAAACCTTAATAAGCCCCAGACCCTTTAAAACCCTTAGCCACCATTTGCCGTCTTATTCCTGGCTTTAAGAGATATTCCAAGATCTGCTATAAGAGATGGGCTGTGCCTGATCTGGGTCCTAAATGTGTCTTGACTCAAAACACACCTCCTCGGTGAGTTCCAGAGCATAATTCAGATTCTGTCAGTATACTGAATTCACTCTACTACAAATAATGGGCCAAGGGCTAGGTGGGCTGTTATCAAATTGTGTTGTTTACAAAAATGCTAACCCAGGGTCCTCGCCCACCAGCTGCCAGTGCCCTCTGCTACTCTTTGAGGCTATGGTTACCCCAAGTCTTTTCATTGCATTCTCACCTGGTGTGAAATTGGGGCTCCCTCGCAAACGCTGGTTTCGCTGTTCAAAAAAGCGGAATATTGTATAGAAAAGCATGTTGTCTTCAGTCTGCTTTGCAGCATCTAAAAATTTTCGTGCAGAAATGTTGTCATGGCCACCAATGCCCCGGATAAACCTTAAGGCAGCTAACACTTGGTGTTTGGAAAGGAGAACTTCTACTATTTCATCATTTGCTGTTGAAAGTCGCTAGCAGTAAGGGAGAGAAGTCCAGGTCAGTGCAAACAACAGGAACAGAGTTAGTTTCCATAGTCTAAAACCTCACACATCAGAGTTACCTTCAGCATGTCCAGAGATAGCTGATGAGCAGGAGGATAGAAACTCTCTAGGGATAACAGCAGACAAGCCTGAAAGACATTTTTAGACCCACTTCAGTTGGAAAGATAACGGTTAAAATTTTCCATTTTTAACCACAATGGAAGTAAAAATCTGGCAATGCATACCAAAGGTTTGGAGTCGCTGAGGACGTGGTACTGCAGGAACTGATGCAGCATATAAAAGAGGTTGTGCTGGACAAGGGTTTTGATAACAAGTTCATGTAGGTAATGCTGAGGACAAAAGTAAAAAGTGAAAGAACACTTCCAAATCATTCAGCTACAACAGACTAGAGGCTCCCCAAGGACTGGCTATTCTAACCAACACAGTAAAAGTCTGTCATTACAAGAAGTGGTTTCGTCATGCAGGTAAAGACCCCAACTTGACCTTACACTTCCCATTCCAACTAATAATGTCAGGAGTCACTCAGCATTCTGAGTCAGGGAGGCAGACCTGTCTTAGCATATGAGTCATCTTCTAAGACAGTGACTGTGTTTTTTTTTTAAATTCCTTCTGTTTTAACTTGGGCCCAGATGATTTGAAGGTACCTGTACTGCAATCTGAAACTGGTTAAGAGAACGAATGTATTCCATCAGCACGGCTATCACAAATTTATGAGGCATCTCCTAGGGAGAAAAAAATGTGGTCTTACAAATACCAACGAGGTGCAAAAGAGGCTGCATATAACTCTCTATCCAACCCCCACCTTGTTTCCATCTTAAAATGGCCCAGTGTTCATCTTTCACTGGTTTTGCACACATCGCTCCAGAACCACCCGTCAACAATTATGCTTTAGGCCTCAGCATTAGAAGCCAAACTACCAGCTCTAGGGCCTCACCCAAGGAAACTCCAGTGATTCTAATCACTTCAAGTGACTCTAATCACATGAAGTCTCCTCGTTTTCAGCAACTTCCTTGTTTTGAGCATTCTCAGTCCAGAAGAGGCGGAAAGCTGCAGCCCACCTTCTTTTCCACAAAGGCTGACAGGACATGGGTGTACACATCTGACTGGTCCAGCACCGCCTGGGTCCGCACCGGCCTCTTGAGGAGCGGGCTGCTTCGGCTCTGCCCTGCTTCCACCGCCTGAAAGAAAAAAACCACAAACTATGATCTTCGGCATCTTAGAGGAAGGGTGCTGTTTACAGTTCATCCACAAGGACTGAATTCTTCGATGTGGACCCAGGATATGAGCGGAAAACACTTTCTCTACTTAGATACAACTTTTTCCTGTGCGCATGCCTGTAATCCCAGCTACTCAGGAGGCTGAGGCAGGAGAATCCCTTGAACCCAGGAGGCAGAGGTTGCGGTGAGCCAAGATCTCACCATTGCACTCCAGCCTGGGCAATAAGAACAAAACTCCGTCTCAAAAAAAAAAAAGCAGTTCAGATCCGTGCAGATTATGCAATAGCTGTGGGGTGTAGCCTGAGAACTTGCATTTCCAAGAAACTCCAGATGCTGCTCATGTGGCTGGTCAGTGGCCCACACTGCTGAGTCATGACGGTTTATGGAGCCCAGCAGACCGTGTGGGACGGCACAGAAACTGCCATTTGGGATCAGACCTACTGATTCCCACAGCCCAGAACACCCACAGCAATAGAGTCCAAAAGGACTCAGCCATCCCTCACGTCTGGCAGCGTAGGAATGGACACTGTCCCAGCAACTGGCCCTCTTCAGTGCCTGTCTCAGACCTCTTACCCTTCCATGAACAGCTAAAGGGGAGTGGAGTTCTGGGGCTTTTGTTGGTTTAAAACCATTTTCAGCCTAGGACTAATCAGATCCTGGAATTGAAATAATTCATTCTCCTTGTCCTAAACTTTTCTTCTGGCTTCAGAAGATATGATGTACAAGTAATACAGCGGGAATTGGTGGCGATAAGCCATGGTTATTACCTTGACTACAAACACGCCTGCTAAGTGCTAACACTGAATCGTCACTATCTCAACAGGATTCTTTCCCAAAAGGGAAGAAAGGTGTGGCAAATATAAATATTTCTAATTTAATTTTCTAAGTCCTCACTCTGGCATAACAGAAAAATATACAAAATATTGCAAAGCAGAGACTGATTTTTCTCATCTATAACAGTAGACCAAGGATCTACAGGCAAGATCAAACACAGATGGGAAAAACAAAAACAGTGAAGGTATGAAGTGAGATGCAGCCGCCAGCTCGTGGGATGCAGGGACCCTGAATTTACTACTCCTCCACTATCCCCCACTACTGCCACCTTGCCCTATGGCAGGCGGCAAATCTCAGCGACCTTATTCTAATATATAGGAAACAATTTTGCATCATAATTACTTAGAAAATACCCGGGAGGGGGTGGGGGAGGAGGACCCTTTGTCATACTCCATGTAACTCACCATCGCATAACTCTGCTCGGCATCCAGGTACTTTTTATACTCATGGTTGAGTTTATCAAAAACAGTGGCTATCACGGGCAGCGATGCTCTGTCTGACTCACTTAACACTGGAAAGGCACAATGTTCACACACGGATCAAACCAACTTCATGTCAGCTTCAGAATTTCCACACGTTGCTATGATAAAAACTAATCTCAAAAGGTTACCAATGCAAAAGTACCTTTAAAGGACACTCTACTTTAAAGACCTGACAGCTAGATGTCATTCGCAACCCCTTTCTGGTTACGGTTAAAAAAAAAAAAAAAAAAAAAAGCTATAGCAGGCCAGGCTCAGTGGCACATGCCTATAATCCCAGCACTTTGGGTAGGCCGAGGCAGAAGGATCACTTAACGCTGGGAGTTTGAGACCAGCCTGGGCAACAAGGCAAGACCCCATCTATACCAAAACAAAAACAAACACCAACAGCACATATTGGTAGGGGATTATTATTATTATTTTTTTTTGGATACAGGGTCTTGCTCTGTCGCCCAGGCTGGAGGTACACTGACACAAACGGCTCGCTGCAGCCTCGTCCTCCCGGGCTCAAGGAATCCTCCCTCGGCAGCCTCTGGAGTAGCTGGGGCCACAGGTGTATACCACCAAACTCAGCTAATTTTTTTTTTTTTTTTTTTTTTTTTTGTAGAGACAGGGTTTTGCCATGTTGTCGTCCAGGCTGGTCTCGAACTCCTAGGCTCAGGCAATCCTCCTGCTTCAGCCTCCCAGAGTGCTGGGATTATAAGCATGAGCCACCATGCCTGGCCTCAGTAGGGGATTCTTAAAGAAGACACATATGCAGTGAGTGGCTTGGATTTTGAAAGAGGTGTGTGTGAAGGCCAGGGGTGGTGGCCCACTCCCCTCCTGTGTGCCCACTTTCATTCAGAACCATCCCATTTATTGTTCTTTTCTACCAGTATCTCTACAAATCATCTTTCCATTTAGCAGCCTTTCCTAGGGGGTCACATAGCCACCCCTCACATAAAGAATGAGGCTGTGGGTCACAGACAAGACACAACAATGTAGCCCACATCCCGATAAAAAGTGTTGGGCAGCACAGGCCTCACACTGGAATCAGAGCAAGGGGGAAGGATTCAACTTACTCTGTGAACAGACAGACAGGATGACCATCTTGCATTCCTTTCTCTGGAGGAGAAAGTCCATGAGTCTTCCTTTGTCTGGTAAGAGATTTACTATGGGCTCAAGTTTCACTTGGAGGTTCCAGAGGTAACCTGGATTTTAAGAGGCAGCAAATAAAACAGTATGATGCAAACCGTAACAAAAGCCCAAAAGTGGTTCCCCTAAACATCTGCGGGGCGGGTGGCAGGTGGTGATAAAAAGCCGCAAAGTACAGTCAGTGTAGCTTTTCCTTCCTAACCAAAGCAGAGCTGAGCCATTCAGGAGCAATTCAGGAGCGTGTCTACCACAGGAGGATGACAGCCCAACCACCGCACACCTGGCTGACTCTTTTCCAAGTAACCTCTGCATTCAGGGGCACATCAAAGGTGTAGCTCCTAGTCCTTCATTCCAAACGGGGACTTCCCTAGACCTAGCCCCTCTTTTAACGTTTAAAATAGAAAAAGATGTCAACACGTGGCATCAACTTCAGTCCTGTGCTTTGGTTTCTCCTACAACAGCTCATTAGTTTAAAAGGTAACTCCAGAGGCTCTCAATGGAACATCATAACTCATCCATTCATCGACCCATAAATGTACTGATCACCCACACTGCCAGCATCTGGTGTGGCCTTTCCCAATTGGGATGCCACAGGAGAATGAAGTGCCACATAAAAAATCATCTGGGTGACCCCCTTTTCAGTTGGCCCAAGGCAGGTACAGAGCAGCTGTACAGGAAAACACCAGCGAGATGCACAGGAGAGAAATGACTTCATTACATACATACAGTGGATGTCACATGAGGCTATGGGTTACAGACAAGGCACAACAATGCATTACATACAGTGGATGCCTACAGCATCAGGGCTAATTCTCTCCTCAAGAGTTCTTAGGAATTCCAGAGGAAAGGCAGGAAAATACACAGAGGATTAAAGAGTAACATAGGAGATTCTCTAATAACCAGCCTGGCGAGGTATTAGAGACACAGGGGCAACATGGCAAGACCCTGTCTCTACAAAAAAAAAATTATAGGCCGGCTGTGGTGGCTCACACCTGTAATCCCAGCACTTTGGGAGGCTGAGGTGGGCAGATCACGAGGTCAGGAGATCGAGACCATCCTGGCCAACATGGTGAAACCCCGTATCTACTAAAAATACAAAAATTAGCTGGGTGTGGTGGCGCATGCCTGTAATCCCAGCTACTGGGGAGGCTGAGGCAGGAGAATCGCTTAAACCCAGGAGTTGGAGGTTGCAGTGAGCCGAGATGGCACCACTGCACTCCAGCCTGGTGACAAAGCGAGATTCCGTCTCAAAATAATTATTATTATTATTATAATAAATTAACTGGGCGTGGTGATGTGCGCCTGTAGGCCCAGCTACTTGGGAGGCTGAAGCAGGAGGATCGCCTGAGCCCAGGAGCTCAAGGCTGCAGTAAGCTGAGATAGCACTACTGCACTCCAGGCTGGGTGACGGAGCAAGACCCTGCCTTAAAAAAATAAGATTTCTTTAGGCCGGGCACAGTGGCTCATGCCTGTAATCCCAGCACTTTGGGAGGCCGAGGCAGGCGGATCACCTGAGGTTGGGAGTTTGAGACCAGCCTGACCAACATGGAAAAACCTCGTCTCTACTAAAAATACAAAATTAGCTGGGCGTGGTGGCACATGCCTGTAATCCCAGCTATTCAGGAGGCTGAGGCAGGAGAATCGCTTGAACCCGGGAGGCGGAGGTTGCAGTGAGCCAAGATCACGCCATTGCACTCCAGCCTGGGCAACGAGCAAAACTCCGTCTCAAAAAAAAAAAAAAAAAAAAAAAAGATTTCTCTAATAAAGAGATTACCCAGGAAGAGACAATTAACAGACTGAGGAGGCTTCCTCAGCAAGGCCAGAAAGAGGAGCACACCTCCCGGGCTCATGCAGAACAGAAAAGGGCACGGACACCGGTGGGAAGGTCGATGGGAGAAATGAGGGAGACACCCTGGGGTGGAGTCCGGCTTTCCATCCACCCTGGGGTGGAGTCTGGCTTTTCCAGAATGGGCTTAAGCAGGAGAATGGCATTCTTAGTTGTTGCTTTAATTATTAAAAGTAGTATATGTTCTTGATAAAATGCACATATAGTAAAAAACGTATAAAGTGAAAAAAAAAAATCCCATTCCCACGCTTGAAAGGAGGGGTCATTTCTAAGAGATTCACCTTGAAAACGTCCCTGGCTACAACTGGGATCCAAAGTCAACAAGCACCATGTTGTAACACGACAACTGTCCCCGCTGACCTACCTTGGCTTGCGCTGATAATGATGTCAGGTTGAAAGACAATCCAAGATGAAGAATCCACATGTTATAGGAAATTCTAAACCAGGAAAAGATGAAAACAAAAAGCAAACCCAGTTTCCGCTAGCACTCGCCCCTGCCCACCATGTACTGAGTCCACGCTAAACGCGAGGCCCCTGGACAGTCAGGGAAGCTGCCTGCGGGGTGGCTCTCGGAGTGTTATTCACAGCTGCCCGGAGGAGGACTTCAGGACCACTCTCTGAGGGTGACCACTTGCCCTGTTGTGCACGGTGCCACACCTTAGTAAAGGATACAGAGTTTACATGGAACAGGAGACTGGCTGGTCACGGCAGCAGGACCTACAAATTGAGAAAACATAAGTGCAACGATGCAGTCAGAAAATGCTGCAAATGCTGGTACTTATGACACAAAAGTCAATACTTTTTAATGTCATTACGAAATGTTTATTCAATTGTAGTCAAGGAAGAAATGAACTGTTCCGTCTCACTGAAAGCACGTACGGGGAGGAAGGGGGAAGGAGCTAACAATCCAGGAAAATCTCACCAAGAAAAAGAAAGCATGTCAAGGCTTCAATCACTGTGGTTTGGGTTATTTTTAATAACCAAAGATGACTCATGATCGTTTACATATGCACGTTAAGGAACTGAGAAATTTACTTGAAGGATTCAAAATCAAATACCCAGATCATCCACGGAGAATGTTTCAAATAAATGTGGCTTGTAGCTTAATTATCTTTTTTTTTCTTTAAGAGAGGGTGTTGCTCTGCTGTCCAGGCTTGAGTGCAGTAGTTGATCATAGCCCACTATAACCACGAACTCCTTGGCTCAAGTGGTCCTCCTGCCTCAGCCTTCAGAGTAGCTAGGACTACAGGCATGTGACCATGCCCTAACTTTTTTTCTTTTTTTTTTTTTTTTTTTTTTTTTTGTGAAGACAAGGTCTATGTTACCTAGGCTGGTCTCCAACTCCTGGGCTTAAGTGATCTGCCCACCTCAGCCTCCCAACATGCTGCGATTACAGGCATGAGCCACTGTGCCCAGCCACTTAATTATCTAAATAATTAGTTCGATTATCCATTGCATAGAGTAGGTCCAAGCACAGTGAGCTCGTCTGGGAAGCAGACCCCCAAAACCTCACATGACAGGGACCGTTAACAACCAGTTATACTGCTCATGAGCCATGCAGGCAGCCCTACAAGCTAACCATGACTCCTGGTTCTGTTCCAATTACCCAGGTACAATCAGAAGGCAGGTTTCAATCAGCTGGTCAGAGAAAGGGTCATTGTGAACAGACCACCCAAAGGTAGGAAAGAGCCCAGGCAGACAAGCTTTGGCGAAGAGCACTCGCGCTTTGGACCTAAGTGTCAAGGTCTGCGCCGAGTGCACAGCCCTCACCTTTGGGTGGCTGACCTACACACTGTCAGGTGAGAGCTTTCATTTTTAAGGCCCCCCAGATGATCCTAATATGTAGTCAGATTGAGACCCACTGTTCTAACAGGCCCAAAACAAAAAGAAAAAGGGTGGCTGACTCTTCCCAAAAGTGCTGGTTATATCTTTCTCAACAGGCCCATTCAATTCCTGAGCACGCCCACCCAGTGGCAGCACAGTGGGCAAGACACACGGATGCATCAAGCCGCCAGGGCTCACAGCCCAGCAGGAAACAAAAGGAGAGTCACTAACCTCTGAAAATGCTTTGCAGCCCACACTACCTAGATCCCCAGACCCTCAGTGGATTCCTGATTTCCTCCTATTGATCTCTGCACGGGCTGTTACTGTGACCAGGCCTCGCATCTGTTCCCTTATGACCAGATGGTTAGAACCTGATGCCTCCTAACTGGTCCTGTACCACCGGAACAGAGCTGAAGGTTCTAAGCCAGGGGTGTCCAATGTTTTGGCTTCCCTGGGCCTTAAGAGGAAGAAGAAGAATGGTCTTGGGCCACACATAAAATACACTAACACTAACAATAGCTGATGAGCTTAAAAAATATCATTAAAAAAATCTCATAATGTTTTAAGAAAGTTTAAGAATTTGTGTTGGGCTGCATTCAAAGCTGTCCTGGGCCACATGTGGCCCACAGACCGTGGGTTGGACAGGCTTGTTCTAAATGTTTAGTTTTTTTCCCCCAATTCACCAGCAGTTACCTTCATGCCAAGTGGGCAGCAGACACAAGACAATCACTTGGCAAAATCTATTCTTTCAATACTAACATTATTTACAAAGGAAAAGGAAGAAGCTTGAAAGAACACAGAAAGCCAAAAGACCTAATTGAACGTCTGTTAAGAACCAGCTCCTTCCTCCAACTGTGCCAGAAAGTAACTAAGCTTTTGGCTGGTCCAGCAAGACAGGGCAGTCAGGCTGACAATGGTGCTCTTGCTGAACTTTCAGCCAGAGTGCGATTCTGAACTCCCGGGTGAACGGTACAAGGAAATCCTGACTGCAGGCTGGGTCAACCCGCCCAATGCCATCGGACAAAGAATAAAACATTACTACTAGGGTTCCAAATGTGAGCCATCTGACTACGTCTTGCACACTGAAACCTCAGACTAGCCAATTCTGCACTCCAATCTCCTTCAAAAGAGAGCCGGGAGAGACTGCTGCGAGGGACAGGCACAGAAGAAAGACCCTGTGAGAACACAGTGAGAAGGTGGCCATCTGCAAAGAGGCCTGCCAGGAGGGAGGCCTCAGAAGAAAGCAAACCTGCAGACATCTTGATCTTGAACTTCTAGCCTCCAGAACTGTGAGAAAATAAAGTTCTGTTTAAGGAAAAAAAAAAAAGAGAGAGAGTGTGTGTTGAATATTCTTTCAGTTCTATCTTAAAATCAATTACACTGGAAAAAGGCAAAACGAAGCAAATAAATGACTTCTTTCCCTTTTCCTGAATTCCTGACCTCCACTCTTCTGACTTCCCAACCCCACCTCTCCAGACAGAAGGAGGACTGATTTGGGTAAGCCTAAGAGCCACAGCCGAAGCACTTACTGTGACTGTCAGTCCCAAAGAATGCAATATTCATCATCACTGTCACACGGAATGTGAGAAAGAGAAAAGTGATCCCAGGTTACAGTAACAAACCTACAGCCAAAGTTAATTTCAGCGTTACAGAGCTAAGGCAAACAGAAAACGTTACGGGTGTATTCAATATTAAAACATATTTCACCATCAACGGCTAATCAAAACTATCCATTCTAAAGCTCAGGGAAGATAAATTATTCTATTTCCTCCCAAGGGAGATTCATCTATCTTAGAAAATGCTTTTTTCACAACATAATTTTAGCTTATAGGATCAGTAGTAGTTGCATTTTTTAAAAAACTAGAACAGGCTGGGCATGGTGGCTCACACTTGTAATCCTAGCACTTTGGGAGAGCGAGGCAGGCGGATCACCTGAGGTCAGGAGTTCAAGACCAGTCTGGCCAACATGGTGAAACCCCATCTCTACCAAAAATATAAAAATTTGGGCCAGGCGTGGTGGCTCATGCCTGTAATCCCACCACTTTGAGAGGCCAAGGTGGGCAGATCACTTGAGGCCAGAAGTTCAAGACCAGCCTGGCCAACATGGTGAAACCCCATCTCTACTAAAAATACAAAAAAATTAGCTGGGCGTGGTGGTGCACGCCTGTAATCCCAGCTACTTGGGAGGCTGAGGCAGGAGAATCACTTGAACCTTATCTCCTCTCACAAGTATTTAAGCGATTGAATACTTGGTTCAATTGCTTGAATACCTCACAAGCTTGAACCTTGTGACAGACAGGTGGAGGTTGCAGTGAGCCGAGATCATGCCACTGCACTCCAGCCTGGGCAACAAAGTGAGGCTCTGTCAAAAAAATAAATTTAAAAAAATATAAAAATTAGCTGGGCACGGTGGCACACACCTGTAATCCCCACTACTTGGGAGGCTGAGGCAGGATAATCACTTGAACCCAGGAGGTGGAGACTGTAGTGAGCCAAGATCACGACACTACCTACCAGCCTGGGTGACTCAGTGAGACTGTCTCAAAACAACAACAAAACTGGAACAAATGGCCCCTGGCAAAATCAGACAGATCTGGGAATCTCTGTTTATTCCTCACTCCACTTTTAACGTGACTCCCAAAGATCATGGTGAGAACACAGCCACATGGTGAAAGGGCAGCACAGACTCCTCTACAGAACCCGTGTTACCTGTGATGGGGATCTGATAGGGCTGGATCGATCGAGCGGGAAGCACGGGGTGGTGGAAGGTAACGGAGCCGTCAAACTCTCCCCGTAACTTGATATCGAATATTACCGATGTCTGGGGGGGAAAAAGACAAGACTGAGGCCAAAATCAATCATGGTTTGCCCAGTTGCTTTCATTCCATCCCATCTTGCTGTTTAAATCAGTTTAAAAGCCTGTGTTTGCATTTCCTCCCTACAGGCTAGCTCTTACTTGAGAAGGAATTTGTCATTAACATCACAACTCTCTTTTAATATTTTTATCTCCTCTCACAAGTATTTCCTGCATTTATGACATGCTTCCTTTGATGAGCTCACTCAAAGTGACCTAAGCAGATCTCTGTCATTTCAACTGGAAACATCCTCACGTGTCACAGAGTTAGCGTCACCACCCTCTGGGAGGGTAGAGGAGGTAAGCAGCTTCTTTATATCAGAGGCCCAGCCCACAGGACCCATTCTAGTTGTCCTGGTCCACACGGCCTCAAAACCATTATCCCCCAGCACTGTCATCCATGCTCACAATTGCAACAGAGAGTTCAAGTACTCGTGGAATGGAGCGGATTCCCACCTTCTTCCAAGGTCAAATCTCAAGCGTTAGTTTCTGAAATAGTTTTGAATTATCTTTAATCAACTGACACAATCACTTTTTTCTAAACTACTTGAGACTACCAAACCCATTTCCATCTGGAAGACCAAAACTCTTAGCATAAAAATGCACTTTCTAGTCTTATTCAGACATTTTGCCAATTTTTTTTTTTTTTCGGAGACAGGATCTTGCTCCATCACCCAGGCTGGAGTGCAGTGGCGCGATCTCCACTCACTGAAGCCCCGACCTCCTGGGCTCAAGCCATCCTCCAGCCTTAGCCCCACAAGTAGCTGGGACTATAGGCGTGCACTACCACGCCCGGCTAATTTTTGTATTTTTTATATAGGTGGGGTTTTGCCATGCTGCTCAGGCTGGTCTCGAACTCCTGGGCTCAAGCAATCTGTCCGCCTTGGCCTCCCAAAGTGCTGGGATTACAGGCGTGATCCACCGTGCCCAGCCACCAATTTTCACAAGGCTTTTAAGCAACCTTAACTTTGGTAGAAACGCAGACAGCTTGTACCTCTGTATCCTGATGATGCACGACTACCAGGTTGTCCACCACGTTCAGGGCAAACTTTCCCGTCCTATTTAACTTCAATATGTGCATCTTTTTACAGGCACCTTCTCTGTAGGATAGAAAGCAAAAAACAGATCAACAAGCTGCAGTTCACATTTTAAAATCAGAGAGAGAGGGAAAACAAAGCATGAAATCTACCGTGGTAGATGATAGAGGACCACCTCCGCTCCTGTGCTGTTGGAGGTCCGAGAATGATGCCTCAAGAAGAGAACATACAGCTGCCCGTATCTAATTAGGGAACAAACAGACATAAATCACATCTGGCCATTCAAAATTCCTTTGTTCTAAATGGCATCACGGTTAAGTAAATTATAAGATATTCACTTAATGGAGTATTTTGCTGCCAACAAGTGTTTACAAAGAAACATGCAGTTACTCAAAGCCTATTATAAAGTTAAGTGGAAAAGAGAACACACACTAAACACAGCTTGATCATAATATTTTAAAAGAAAACCCCAAACCTAAGCATAGAGTCTAAAATGATTGGAAAGAAACACATGTAATAGTTATACTTGAGTGATATGCTAAGTTCATTTTCTTCTCTGTTTTCCAAGTTTTGTATAATGAATGTATATTCCTTAATAACAGGAAAATATAATCACTATTTTTTTTTTTCATTTTTCAGAGACAGGGTCTCCCTCTGTCACCCAGGCTGGAATGCAGTGGTGCAACCACAGCTCACTGCAACCTCCACCTCCTAGGCTTTGGCGATCTTCCCTCACCTCAGCCTCCCCAGTAGCTAGGACTACATGCACGTGCCACCGTGCCTGGCTAATTTTTAAATTTTTTTGTAGAAACAGGGTCTCACTATGTTGCCCGGGCTGGTCTTGAACTCCTGGCCTCAAGGCGATCCCCCTGCCTTGGCCTCCCCAGTCACTGGTATTACAGGTGTGTGCCACCATGCTCAGCCTTTTCTATTTAAGTGCCATCTAATAAATGTTGCTGTGAACAGTTCCTGAATGCATATTCTAGTCCAGTGGTAAACTCTGTGCTGGGCCTGCCCAGGGACAAGGAGGAGACCAAGGTGGGAGGGAACAGGTCCCCACCTCCACTTCAGCCAGGACTGCTCTCACTTTATCTATTGTCTAAACAGGAATGCTGGCTGGGCACGGCGGCTCATGCCTATAAACCCAGCACTTTGGGAGGATGAGGCGGGAGGATCACCCGAGCCCAGGAGTTCAAGACCAGCCTGGGCAACATGGTGAAACTCCATCTCTTCAGAAAATACAAAAATTATCCAGATGTGGTGGCATGCGCCTGTAGTCCCAGCTACTTGGGAGACTGTGGCAGGAAAATCACTTGAACCTAGAAGGCGGAGGTTGTGGTGAGCTGAGATTGTAACACTGCACTCCAGCCTGGGCAACAGAGCGACACTCTCCAAAAAAAATTTAAAAATAAACAGGAATGCCACAGAAGAGTACGTTTAAAAAAAAAGGAAGAAGAAATGAAAGAACATTATACTAACTACCATAAAGTTTGAAAGTTTGGGCCACTGTTTTAGGCCACAGAAGAATCAGAAGTAACTTAGAAGCAAAATTTTGACTATTGTCGAATCAGATACAGGCATACAGGGGTTCTTTTTTATTAGTCTCTATTGTGTGTTTAAAATTTTCATTACAAATTTAAAAACTGAGATATCCACTTTTTCAAATGAAAATATACCTCCGTACTGCCAGGCGTGGTGGCTCACGCCTGTAATCCCAACACTTTGGGAGGCTGAGGAGGGCAGATCAAGAGGTCAAGAGACCGAGACCACCCTGGCCAACATGGTGAAACCCTGTCTCTACTAAAAATACAAAAATTAGTTGGGCATGGTGGCACGCACCTGTAGTCCCAGCTACTCGGGAGGCTGAGGCAGGAGAATCGCTTGAACCTGGGAGGCGGAGGTTGCAGTGAGCCAAGATCGTGCCACTGTACTCCAGCCTGGCAACAGAGCAAGACTCCATCACAAAAACAAACAAAAAAAAAAAGTAAAAGAAAATATACCTCTATATATACGTAATTTAGTTCCATGTCTGTTACATAAAATCTTAATCTATTTTCTTATTTAGAACAATTATTATTTAACTGAGCTTTTAAAAAAAATAAACTTGGCCAGGCACAGTGGCTCATGCCTGTAATCCCAGCACTTTGGGAAGCCAAGGCAGGTGGATCACTTGAGGTCAGGAGTTCGAGACCAGCCTGGCCAACATGGTGAAGCCCTGTCTCTACCAAAAATACAAAGACTAGCCGGGCGAGGTGACGCACACTTGTAATCCCAGCTACTTGGGAGGCTGAAGCAGAAGAATCGTTTGAGCCTGGGAGGTGGAGGCTGCAGTGAGCCGACACTGCACCACTGCACTCCAGCCTAGGGGACAGAACAAGACTCTGTCTCGAAAAAAAAAAAAAAAGAAGAAGAAATTCTAAAACAAAGATACTAAGAAATAAATTGGTTCAATGTTCTTGTTTTATCAGGCTAGAAAGGTAAAGGAATTCCTTAGCATCACAAAGCTGATAAAAATCAAAAAGGAATGCCAAAAACACTGCAGGTTTTCTATGTTCACAGGACCTATACACTGAATACCCAGAACAAGGGGAGTCCTCCTTATGTGTTCTAGGGGTCAGGGCATCACGTGGTGCTTGTAACACACTCCTTCTATTATTTATATTACTGAAAGCAATCACAGGATGGAATTCTCTCTGACACGGACATACATGGTAGCCATTGCGATGTCTCTTTCGGAAAGGCTGGGTTTAGTTGACTTAGGCGCAGCTGGTAATTCAATCTCAAATTTGGGCAGCTTCGACATAGTGCCAGCCTGTTTAGGGGGAAAATGTTTTAGGAAAAGCTTATTAAACCCCTTCAATGTTTCATCATTCCCTGTGTAAAACCAACAAGGATAAACACAGACTTCGTCTTTGGATCCTTTCCACCGTCCCCCATGTCCTCTCACAGCCTGTCTGCCCAGCATAGAATGAATGGCTCCAGGAGCTGACGGGTATACAGAGTGCCCTCTAGTGGTCAGAGCGGTGACGTTACGGCTAGAGGAACCTGTCCCTAACGTGCCTGACACATTAGGATGCTACAGGAACAGGGGACAACTGGGGAAAGGTGTTTTTTTCAGGGGAGGCTTCCTCTTACCCTAAAGTGAAAAGGCTGCAGGACATTCTCCAGGACCGTGGTAGACAGCAAGATCACGGCGCTCTCGGGGCAGTACATGTACCAATTCACATTGAGATTGTGGCTCTTCAAGAGTTTCAGACTCCGTTTCTCTGGTAATACCTGAAGCAGAGTTTAAGAAACAGGATCTTCATTTAAAAAACGGCAAACTAATCCCAGCACTTTGGGAGGCTAAGGTGGGCGGATCACCTGAGGTCAGGAGTTCGAGACCAGCCTGGACAAAATGGTAAAACCCCATCTCTACTAAAAATACAAAAATTAGCCAGGCGTGGTGGCACATGCCTGTAATTCCAGCTACTCAGAAGGCTGAGGCACAAGAATTGCTTGAATGAACCCAGGAGGCAGAGGTTGCAGTGAGTCAAGATTGCACCATCACACTCCAGCGTGAGTGACAGAGCGAGATTCAGTCTCAATTAATAAATAAATCAATAACAGCAAACTGTCAGAAGATCCTTACAGTGCGCTCTGAGAATAAAAAGCAGAAGAAACCCACTAAGTGAAATGAACATTCTCACTTGTACTTATTACAGCTACTACTTAACCAGCCCTATGCTTGGTGCTTTACAGAGCCTCCTAACTCATTTACTCTTTGCCACGACTGAGAGGCAGGCATCACTGGCCCTATTAGCCAGATGAGAAACAAGGCTCCAAGAGTGGATTAGGGAACCTGCCCCTTAACAAAGCAATTATAGCCTGGGTAGGCTGTTTCCCTCCAAAATCCTTATCTGTGCCTCCACATGCCTGGGCATGTGGAGCACATGGATACACCTAAGAGCAATTTACAACAAATTTCTCCTCATCCAGGAAACGGCCAAAAGAAACTGACACCTCCAGGACCCCATGTGTTAACTCGGCCACCTCCCAGACCATGGCAGATCTGCCTTCTGCTTGGCCTCCACCTCGACTCCAGTCTACACTGGGCCTGGGAGGAGCTCCCTTCTTCTAGCAGATGTGTTCATAAGACTCCATACAAATGCAGTACTTTATAATCCAGGCACATTTTCAATGTACCCTAAATATTCCGATATTACAGAACACTGTACAGAGCCCCCAAGACATTAATGCTCATGGTACACTGCACTGAAGAACTGCTGCGCAAGTCAGGGGCAGGAGCCGTAAGCTTCTTAAGAACTATAATAATTAGGATGTGCTAGAGTCTTCTTTCTTTTTAACTTTTTTCTTGAAGATCTGAAGCCATCTAGGTAACCTTAAGGTATACTTTCCCACTGCAGAGAACAGAAAGACAGACTTTTAAATGATTACCATAGGGAACTCCCCCAGAAAGCAAGCCATCCTTCCCATGCAATCACATGTACAAAATTCTATTTCTGTGTGTATGGAATTTGTCTAAAGTTTGTTTAAAGTTCTCCTATTGGTCATTACAAATTTTTTTTTTTTTTGAGACGGAGTTTCACTCTTGTTGCCCAGGCTGGAGTGCAGTGGCACAATCTCGGCTCACCGCAACCTCCACCTCCCACGTTCAAGGGATTCTTCTGCCTCAGCCTCCCAAGTAACTGGGATTATAGGCGCCCACCACCACACCCAGCTAATTTTTGTATTTTTATTTTGAGACAGTAGAGACGGCACTTAGTAAAGATGGAGTTTAATAGAGACGGGGTTTCGCCATGGCGGCCAGGCTGGTCTCGAACTCCTGACCTCAGATGATCGCCCACCTCGGCCTCCCAAAGTGCTAGGATTACAGGCATGAGCCACCGTGCCCAGCCAGTCATTACTAAGATTTCGATGATGGCCTTACAGCAAAGCACCATGGCATTAACACACAGGTGTATTTTCTCTAACCATACATTCTAAATTATATGACTTTCATTAGGTCAACAAAATTAAAACCTGAAAGAACTCTTAACACCCTCTAAATTAGTTCCCCTTAGAGATCTCAGAAGCATGCTTAATAGGTCAGGAAGCTGGAACAGATGAAAAGAAACAGGCAGGTACATCAAAGGACACAATCCACAGAGTGGAAAGGCAACCTCCGGATTCGGAGAAAATACTTGCAAATTGTATCTCTAAGAAGGTGTTAATATCAGAATATATAAAGAACTACAATTCAACAAATAATAGTAATTTGATTTTAAAAATAGGCACAATGACCCGAATTAGTCATTTCTCCAAAGATGATACACAAAGTGGCCAAAACACACACACAAAAGTGCTCAACATCACTAATCAACAAAGAGCGCAAATCAAAACCACAATTAAGATGGCTAGTATCAAAAACAAAACAAAACAAAACAGCAAGTGTTGGTGAGGATATGGAGAAACTGGGACCCTTGTACACTTGGAGGGATTGCAAAATGGTGTAACTGCTATGGAAAACAGTATAGCGGTTCCCTAAAATATTCAGAAACAGAACTACCATCTGCTCCAGCAATCTCACTCTGGGTATAAATCTAAAAGAACTGAAAACGGGATCTTGAAGCGGTATCTGCATACCTGTATTGACAGCAGCACTATTCACAATGGCCAAGAGGCAGAAGCAACCCAAATGTCCCTCAACAGATGAATGGATAAGCAAAATGTGGTGTATACGCTCAGTGCGGTATTATCAGTCTTAAAAAGGAAACCCTATCACATGCTATGGCATGGGGGAACCTGTAGGAAATTATGGTAGATGAAATAAGCCAGTCACAAAGGGACAAATACTGTATAATTTCACTTATATGAAGTATAAAAGGTAATCAAATTCGGCCGGACACAGTGGCTCACGCCTGTAATCCCAGCACTTTGGGAGGCTGAGGTGAGTGGATCACCTGAAGTCAGGAGTTCAAGACCAGCTTGGCCAACATGGTGAAATCCCATCTCTACCAAAAATACAAAAATTAGCCAGGCGTGGTGGCGCACACCTGTAATCCCAGCTATTCAGGAAGCTGAGACAGGAGAATCGCCTGAACCCAGGAGACAGAGGTTGCAGTGAGCTGAGATCACGCCACTGCACTCCAGCCTGGGCAACAGAGCAAGACTCCATCTTAAAAAAAAAGGAGTCAAATTCATAGAAACAGAAAGTAAAATAGAGATTGCTGGGGCTGCAGGGAAGGGATAAGGGGAGTTGTTTACTGGATAGTTTTGGTTTCACAAGATGAAAAAAGTTCTGGAGCTATTTCATAACAATGTGAATGAATATACTTAACACTACTGAACTGAACACTTAAAAACAGTTAAGATAATAAATGTTGTATGTTTTTTTACCACAGTAAAAAAAATATTTTTGACCACACACAGTGGCTCATGCCCATAAATCCCAGCACTCTGGGAGGCCAAGGCAGAAGAATGGCTTGAACCTAGGAGTTCAAGACCAGTCTAGGCAACACAGCAAGACCTCATCTCTACAAAAAAAAAAAAAGGAAAAAAAAATTAAGTTGGGCGTGCTGGCACACACCTGTAGTTCCAGCTACTCAGGAAGCTGAGGTGGGAGGACTACGTGAGGCTAGGAGGTCGAGGCTGCAGTGAGCCGTGATTGTGCCACTGTACTCCAGCCTGGGTGACAGAGATCCTGTCTCAAAATAATTATTACAAAATAAAAAAATTTTAAGAGGAAGTTAACAAAATACAAATGGACAATATACAAATGAAAAGATGCTTACTTCCCTAGTAATGTAAAATGCAAATTAAAATGTCTTTCGGCCAGGCATGGTGGCTCACGCCTGTAATCCCAGCACTTTAGGGGGCCGAGATAGGTGGATTATTTGAGGCCAGGGGTTCAAGACCAGCCTGGCCAACATGGTGAAACCCCACCTCTTCTAAAAATACAAAAATTAGCCAGGCGTGGTGCTGGGCGCCTGTAGACCCAGCTACTTGGGAGGCTGAGGCAGGAGAATTGCTTGAACCCAGGAGGTGGAGGTTGCCGTGAGCCGAGATCGCACCATTGCACTCCAGCCTGGGCGACGGAGTGAGACTCTGTCTCAGAAAAAAAAAAAAAAAAAAAAGTCTTTCTACCTCTCAGGTTGGCAAATGTCTATAGACTGATAATATCCAGTCCTCCTAAAGGTATGAAAAGCAGAAGTTCCTATATTGCTAGTGAAAATACACATGTCTAGAAGAAATTTGGCGATACTGGTTCAGCTTTTCAGATGTTCGTACCTATACTGCAACTCTCCCTCTAATATAAAGAAGTGTGTACAAGCATGTTACTGAAGGGTTATTTGTAATCACAAAAAAATGGAAAACCAGCCAATGTCCAATAACAAGAAAATTTTTAAACTGCAGTCCATCCATACAGTGGAATACTACCCAGTCAGAATAAAATATAGAAAGATGTCCAAGATACACTTTGGACAAAAAAAAAAAAAGCTAGCTGCAAAAGTTTATATACAACATTCCCCTTTTTGTTAAAAAGAAGTTTGTATTTATTTTTAAAAATAGAGGAATATGCACCAAACTGTTCATAATAATTATTTATCGGGATTATAGGGAACATTTGCTTTCCATATTACATATCTTGCAATGTTTGAATGTTTTTTGTTTTAACTTTTAGGTTCAGGGATAGATGTGAAGGTTTGTTACATACGTAAACTCATGTCACGGGGTTTGTGGTACAGATTATTTCATCACCCAGGTATTAAGTCCAGTACCCAATAGTTATCTTTTCTGCTCCTCTCCCTCCTCCCACCCTCCCCTGCTCAAGTAGCCCCCCGTGTCTGTTGTTTCCTTCTTTGCATTCATAACTTACATTTAGCTCCCACTTAGAAGTGAGATCATGTGGTATTTGGTTTTCTGTTCCTGTGTTAGTTTGCTAAGGATGATGGCCTCCAGCTCCATCCATGTTCCCACAAAAGACATGATCTTGTTCATTTTTATGGCTGCATAGTATTCCATGGTATATATGTACCACATTTTCTTTATCCAATCTGTCACTGATGGGCATTTAGGATGATTCCATGTCTTTGCCATTGTGAACAGTGCTGCAATGAACATTCACGTGCATGTGCCTTTATGGTAGAATAATTTATATTCCTCTGCATATTACACCCAGTAATGGGGCTGCTAGGTCAAACAGTAGTTCTGCTTTTAGCTCTCTGAGGAATCGCCATACTGTTTTCCACAAAGGTTGAACTAATTTACACTCCCAGCAATAGTGCATAAGGGTTCCCTTTTCTCCACAACCTTGCCAGTATCTGTTATTCTTTGACTTTTTTATAATGGCTATGCTGACTAGTGTGAGATAGTTTCTCATTGTGGTTTTGATTTGCATTTCTCTAATGATCAGTGATGTTGAGCTCTTTTATGTTTGTTGGTCGCATGTGTGTCTTCTTTTAAAAAGTGTCTGCTCATGTCCTTTGCCCACTTTTTTTTTTTTGAGACGGAGTCTCGCTCTGTTGCCCAGGCTGGAGTGCAGTGGCACCATCTCAGCTCACTACAAGCTCCGCCTTCCAGGTTCAAGCAATTCCCTGGCCTCAGCCTCCCTAGTAGCTGGGATTACAGGTGCCTGCCACCAACCTGGCTAATTTTTGTATTTTTAATAGAGACAGGGTTTCGTCATGTTGGCCATGCTGGTCTCGAACTCCTGACCTCAGGTGATCTGCCCACCTCGGTCTCCCAAAGTGCTGGGATTACAGGTGTGAGCCACTGTACCTGGCCTTTGCCCACTTTTTAATGTTGTTGTGTTTTTGTTTTTTTTTTTGAGATGGGGTCTCACTGTCATCCAGGCTGGAGTGCAGTGCTGTGATCTTGGCTCACTGCAACCTCCTGCCTCCCAGGCTCAAGCAATCCTCCCACTTCAGCCTCCCAAGTAGCTGGGACTACAGGCGCACACCACCATGCCTGACTAACATTTTGTATTTTTTATAGAGATGGGATTTCATCATGTTGGCCTGGCTGGTCTCAGACTCCTGGACTCAAGCCATCCACCCACCTTGGCCTTCCAAAGAGCTGGAATTACAGGCATGGGCCACCAAGCCCTTTTTCTTTTCTTTTTTTTTTTTTTAATTTATTACTTGCAATTATAAAAAAAAAAAAAAAGAATAAAATCCCCAGCAAGAGACTAAAGCTGAGTGGCCAAGGCAGGAGTTGAGGTTAGGAGTTTGACACCAGCCTGGGCAACATAGCAAGACTTCGTCTCTACAAAAAAGTTTAAAAATTAGCCAGGGCCGGGCGCAGTGGCTCACGCCTGTAATCCCAGCACTTTGGGAGGCCGAGGCGGGTGGATCACCTGAGGTCGGGAGTTCGAGACCAGTCTCAACATGGAGAAATCCCGTCTCTACTAAAAATACAAAATTACCCGGGCATGGTGATGCATGCCTGTAATCCCATCTACTCACGAGGCTGAGACAGGAGAATCGCTTGAACCTGGGAGGCGGAGGTTGCGGTGAGCCGAGATCGCGCCATTGCACTCCACCAGCCTGGGCAACAAGAGCGAAACTCCGTCTCAAAAATAAAATAAAATAAAATAAAATAATAAAAAGAAAAATTAGCCAGGCATGGTGGTACATGCCTGTAGTCCCACCTACTCAGGAGACTGAGGCAGGAGGATTGCTTGAGCCCAGGAGTTTGAGATTACAGTGAGCCATGATGGTGCCACTGCACTGCAGCCTGGGCAACAGAGCAAGACTCCATCTCTAGAAAATGTTTAAAATATATATATATATATTCAGTACTGAATTCAAAAGGCTGCCAGAATGCTATCACTGAACTTTAACCAACAAACATAAATGATAAACATAATACCTGGTAAAATTCGATTCCTTGATCTGTTATGAAGACAATTTCAGTTGAACTAGTCCAGCAGAATCCTAGAATGTTGGCATTCTTAGTCTAAGAAAAATTTTTTAAAAATATTTTTAATTAATAAGAAAAAACACATATAACTCTCTTCAAAAGCTTCACAAACTCTGCAGTTTGTCATTCTTTAATGAACGTTCCCCGGAATGTTTACTAATTAACAAAACAAATTTTCTTTTAAATACAATGTTCCCTGATTTTTGCCCATAACTCTTCATTCAAGAACCTGAATCCTAATTCCTTCTACTAAACAGAACAGGAGAAGTCTGTGTTTTGTAGAAAAGTAACTGACCAGAGCTCACAGACAGCAGCTTCTACCTGCAGGAATCACCATACTGCCAACATTCTTAGTCACCCACGTTATAAAAATGGTTATTAAAAATGTACAAAGGCCTAAGGGTCTTTAGTGAGTGTTGACTAAAATGGGTTGAGGACCCTGAGACACACACCCGACTCGCTTGAGGGCAGACAGGTTTGAGAAGGGCCGGGCTGAGGGTCTCTTCACACGGGGCCACTGCAGGGCAGGCAGGACAGTGGTGGGGATGCACCTCTCCTCACCAAAGAGTCCGCCCTGAACTCCATTGAGCAAAACAGTCACAAAAATGCAGAAAGCCCTACCCCAACCACTAGCAGCTTCTGTCAGCGCCCAAGGTGCCACACTGCCAATTTTAGCTCAGCTCCCTCTAGCCTAGTTTACTACACCCAGCAAATCTCATTAATGTGGATTAGAATCAACACCTAGGAGAAGAAAGAAAGAGTAAGGACAAGACAAAGACAACAAATTGAGGAAAGGAAACTTCAGGAAACAGAAAAAGAAACTCCTCACCAGAAACCTCCACTCCAGGTGGCTGTGAGGCATCCCAGGGCCCAGACCCAGATGTGCTGTCAGCCCAGTGAGGAGAAAAAGGGCAAGACAGACGACAGCCCCAAGGGCTAGCACTACTGGGTGTTCACCACGCATCATCCATTGAACCCTCCCCCTCCAAAGGAACAAGCTTTCAAACTTAGAAAACTGTTCAGTGTCACAAAGCAAACACCCCGCCTGACTCCAGTTTGGGAATCAACATGAGGGACAGTCTGACTTCAAGTCTGTGCTCCCTGCGACCCCAATGCCCCGCTCTCCACTACATAACCCAGCTCAACACCACTGACACCAGCAGCTGAGAAAGGGCCTGGGGTCATACCTTGCACTCCTGTGTGTATTCCAGCTGGGAATTATCAGGGATAAAATTACAAAAATCCTGAAAGGAAAAACACACAGACACACACAAATTTGGATTAGGCAGCATACTGCCAACCTACGTTGGCATACTACAAGACAAGAAAAATAAATATTAACTTAAAAAGTGACCAGAAAATAACTGAAGACAACCAAAACACAGGAAAGATAAAAAGACCAATTCGGATCATCTGTCTCAACAGCAGCAGGCTTACGATTCAATTTTTTTTAAGTTAATACAAATATTCAGTTACAGTTTAGTAACTCCTTTCAAAAATTCATTCCTCAAGCAGCTGATGTCAGAGAAATGTGTTGCTGCACTAAGAGGCTTCCCCAAGACTTTAACACTTAAAACTGATGGAAGAAACTAACAGAGGATTCTGCCTGTTTCTAACAGCCTTCCCTCTACTCTACAAACGGCAATGGTGAACATTTACACGGGCTAAAGTGCCTGTAGGCTGCTTCAACTTGGAATATCTGCTCCTATCAGATCTAGCACTCAGAAATGAGAGATGAAAAGGCTAATTCACAAAGTAGCCAAAAATACCTCACATATTCTATGCTGCTATCAAGCAATACAAAAGACACATGAAGTTCCAAATTATTTTTTAACAATTTTTAAGGGAGACTGAGGCGAGAGAATCACTTGAGCCTGAGAGATCGAGGCTGCAGTGAGCCGAGATCACATCACTGCACTCCAGCCTGGGCAACAAAGGAAGACTGGCTCAAAAAAAAATTTTTAATTTAATTTAAAAATCAAACTAAGGTCATTTTTTTAACCCACTCAAATGTCTTTTTCGTTTTTGAAGGCTCTAATACAATGCAACATAACTATACCTTTCACAACAGTAAGATAATAAAAGTTTCCTTTAACACTGAAAATTTGCGATTCCTTCTCTTCCAAATGTATTTCTAATGCCCTTTAATGCTGTATTTTAAAGATAAGTCTTACCACAGTCTTTGAGGTCCTCTGAACAGCCAATATCTTATTTTCTAAGGAAAACTTAATGCACTTCACTTCTCCTTTGTCATCCATTCTTTAAGAAGAAAGATTGTGTTAGTAGTTAAATAACCGAATTCTAGCTACTACCATTTATTGAAAAGGCAAAAGACACAATCTATATTCAGGAGGCAGCAAATTCTAGTCTAAAATTAAAATTATGTTTCGGAAGCCATCAGTAGGACCTCTTTTCAAACTACCAAATCCAACTGGAAAGAACTTGCTGGGAAACTTACAGTATTATGGGTAACAAGTGATTGAAGAATTCAGATCACACACACATATCACCTGAGAATTGTTCCAACATAAATAACTATAGACCCGCTCAGGAGCCTTCTCCGTAACTGCTGTTTCTCTCTCACAGCAAAGCTTCTGGAAAGAACTATCTACTTGTGCATCTCACAGCACATTCATTATGCAACCCAGATGGCTCCACTACAGTGTCTCATGACCGCCTCAGACAGATGTTAAAAAGTGAACTCAGCTGGGCACAGCGGCCTACACCTGTAATCCCAGCACTGTGAGAGGATGAAGCAGGAGGATCACAGGAATTCGAGACCAGCCTCAGCAACACAGTGAGACCCCGTCTCTATTCCAATACATACATTTTTTAAATTAAAAATTCATTTAAAAAAAAAAAACTCAAGGGATGGATTACAGAAGGGCCCAAGGAAACTTTTCGGGGTCTGAACATGTTCATTGCCTTGATTGTGGTGATGGTTTCATGGGTGTATACATGTCAAAACTCACATATTGCATAATATTAAGTGTGTACAGTTTATTATGTGTCAACTATGCCTCAATAAAGCTGCTTTTAAAAATCTTTTTTTTTTTTTTTTTGAGACGGAGTCTTGCTCTGTTGCCCAGGCTACAGTGCAGTGGCATGATCTCGGCTCACTGCAACCTCTGCCTCTCGGGTTCACGTGATTCTCCTGCCTCAGCGTTCCGAGTAGCTGGGATTACAGGCACGTGCCACCACACCTGGCTAATTTTTGTATTTTTAGTAGAGACAGGGTTTCACCATGCTGGCCAGGCTGGTCTCGAACTCCTGATCTCAAGTGATCCACCCGCCTCGGCCTCCCAAAGTGCTGGGATTACAGGCATGAGCCACCGCGCCCAGTCTAAAAACTCTTTTTAAGTTAAATTCAGTACCTTCCCCCCACCCACAAACTTCTTAGAGCCCCCAATCTAGATTATCACGGGCTCACTCGTTTTCCACACCCAACCGACCCCCGGGTCTTACGAGAGACCCATCTTCCTAAGTATCCCTTGATTGCCTATGCAATGCCACTCTACACCACCAGAGCGCTGCTCTTCACCACACATGGCTCGCTGATTGCTACTCTCCATAGCATCCCTAACTCTGACAGGCTCCCAACTAAGCCAGCCTCCGTGCTGTGAACAGCATGATCTTGCCAAACACTGACATGATCATCCCACACCCCACCTGATAAGTTTCAATAAGAAGATAAAGCTCTAATTTCATAGGAGAATATGTAAGGTTCAAGCTGGCCCCTGCCAGTGGCCACACCACCACCATTTCCCCTTCCCTGTGGAGACACCCTATGTAACCTTCAGTTACACAGACCCAGAGTTCCCCAAAACACCATGCTCGAACCCCATCCATACTTTAAAACCTTGCTCAGGCCGGGTGCAGCGGCTCATGCCTGTAATCCTAGCACTGTGGGAGTCTGAGGCGGGCGGATCGTTTTGAGGTCAGGAGTTCGAAACCAGCCTGGCCAACACGGTGAAACCCCATCTCTACTAAAAATACAAAAAAAATTAGCCGGGCGTGGTGGTGGGCGCCTCTAATCCCAGCTACTTGGGAAGCTGAAGCAGGAGAATCACTTGAACCTGGGAGGCGGAGGTTGCAGTCAGCCAAGATCGCACCACTGCACTCCACCCTGGGGAACAGAGGGAGGCTCCCTCTCAAAAAAGGACAGTTTCTCATTAACACAGACCAACAGTAAAATTTTTTAAGTCACTACTGAATTGAGGGCCTACATTATACTTTCACCTTCTGTAAGCACCAGTGTTACAGTGGCCAGATAGCTTATCATCCAAATCGAGACACTTCTGAAAGTGAAAGGCCCTGCTGTTGATCATTAAACCTGTTCAACAGTGCGAACTGGGACTATGCAGTCACCTTAAGTATAGTGGAAGCCATGATTTTCTTGTATTATTACATGAGAAACAATGAATCTCCTCCACCTGCCACTCTGGAAAGACCTGGGCTAAAGAAATGAACGCCCTCCTCTGTGAACAAACCAGAAATGGGCACATCATCACGCTGACTTGTTAATTTCCAGTGCTAGGAAGTGGCTGCCCCACTTTTGAAGTATTTGGCTCCCAAATCAACTGCTCCAGATATTCCACTCTGACAAGAGGTGCTAGTAAGTGCCACGAAGACCCTCCCTACAGACAGGAATTCCATGTGCGCACACAGACTTCAGGCCTCTTAGGGCAGACCAAATGACAAAATTATAAAAAACCATTTGAATTAGAAAAACATCATTCTGTTTACATGACAAAATGATCTGAAAGTGTCTATACCATTACCTAAATGAGATGGGATTCCTATCATCTGGGCCTTTAACTACCACGCCAGTAGCTCCACCAGATCGAACAGCAAAAACCTGAGAGGGAAAAGCAGCAAGGTTAACAGCCTGAACTCTGAAAGGATCTAAACTCAGAAGCCAACCCGCAAGCGATTATTTCTGTTATACACCACCCTGGGTTCAACTAAAGTAACACGGCACATATCAAGGTACAGATGTTTGGCTGCTCAGGTGAATTTTAAAAACCAAGAGCAGAGAGCGAAAAGGATGCCACCGTGACACCGGGTCGGGTTCCCGAGGCTCCAAGTTCTAACACCGGTTCGCGCATCGGCGCCGCTGATACGCCTGAAGTACAGTCTTTTCCCCCTTTACAAAATTTCAAGGAAAATGAAAATCTCGACGTCTAAACCCTTGACTACGAGTGTAACTAATGACAAACACAACAAAAGAAGCCTAGATAAGACGGGCGCGCCAACAATTGAGACACTGGCCACGGGGCCACTGCATCCGCGCAGCTGGCTCGGGGGTCCAGCCCCGAGGTCACCTGCGAGGACACCTGGCCGCGGCTGAGCCCACCCAACAAGGAAGGAGCGCGCGCCGCCTCCCGCGCTGGGACGGGACGGGACAGGACAGGAGGGGACGCTCGGGCCTGGTCGCGCGGGACCGGCCTTGGCGCGCCCACGACCCCGGCAGGGCCGCGCGGGGGAGGAAGCGCGGGCGCGCCGGACCTGCTTGTTGGCCTCATCGAAGAAGACGCAGTTGACAGGGTTCGCCTTCTCGAACTGCACCGGCCGCTCGCACAGCTCCAGATAGTAGTCCTCCTCGCCCATGGCGGGCGCCGCGCCCGCGGCGGGGGCCCCGGGGGCGGTCGCCAGAGTGGAGCAGGATGCGCGGTGGAGCCCGGCCCGGACTGTAGCGGCGGCTGCGGCTGCGGCTCTGGGCCCGGCGCGGACGCCGCTTCCTGGTGCCACGCCCCCACCCCGCCCACCACGTGACCCGCGGCCCTCTGCGCTTAAACGGGCAGCGTCTGGCTGCGGTGGGGCCCACCGGCCTTAACCACGCCCCGCCCGGCGCTGGAGGCTCCTCCCCTCTCCCCGAGGGCGGTCGGAACGCGGCGGCGTGACCCGGAAGCCCGCGTGGTTCCCCGCGGACCGAGGGCGGCGTAGCCGCCAACCCTACCCTGCTGCGAGTTCCTGTGCCCGGCTCGGTCGCCCCTGCCCCAACCTGTACCCCCGCGTGGGACCGCTCCCGGTCTAGGAAAGGCTCCTCCTTGCTTTCGGGAGGATTTCCCAAGTGCCTCCCGCGCCAGAGTTCCAGCCTCTGGGAGCTTCGTCAGGGAGAAGGGGCTGAAGGCTCACTGAGCAGGTGTAGGGGCGCCAGAGACCGTCTCCAGTCCCCTCAGCGCTTCTGCGGGCTCTTCCGCTGGAGCCAGAAACCGAATTGACAAGAGGCAGATAAACAAAAGAAAAGCATACACACTTTATTAGTTTTTCATGGGGACCTTCAAAAGAGAGTGAGGTCTGAAGAAGTGGCCACAGCAAGATGCTTTTATACTTTTTAGACAAAGAATGATGCATTTGAGAAGAAAGCACAAAAGGCATCTGGCTGGGGCGATACATTTCTAAGAGAGTCACTAGGAGAAATATTGGGGAGGGTGTAAAATTAGTGGAAGGTAAGTGTTACTTGGGAAGTTCATTTATTCAGGTCCATTGCAGCCCCAACTCCCAGTCTCTGGTGATAAGGGCTATTTTCTGACCCGGGTACAGAGAGGGTGCCACTCCCAGAGGAATCTTTACTGCTTATTCCCTGTAGGAAACGACAGGTCATCTAGCCCTTTCTGAAACTACAATTTCTCCGGTGTTTTTAGCTCAAAATAATATACCAATTTTTGGACATATTTTGGGATAGCACATCCTTCACTCCTTGCTAGTAACAGGGAAACCTAATATAGATTGTGGGTCAGCAAGCCTTTTTACTTGATAAGAAACATGAAATTTACCATGTTAGCCCCTCTTTTTTTGTTTGTTTCAGAGACAGAGTGTCTCTGTGCCCAGGCTGGAGAGCAGTGATGCGAACACGGCTCACTGCAGTCTCAACCTCCCATCTCAGCCTCACAAGTAGCTGGGACCACGGGTGCATGCCACCACACCTGGCTCATTTTTTTATTATTATGCTTTGTAGAGACAGCGTTCTCTGTTGCCCAGGCTGGTCTCAGACTCCTGGCCTCAAGTGATTCTCTCGCTGACCGTGCTCAGCCCCCATGTTAACCCTTTATTTTTATTGTTTATTTTATTTTATTTTGAGACGGAATTTCGTTCTTGTTGCCCAGGCTGGAGTGCAATGGCCCTGTCTCGGTTCACTGCAACCTCCACCTCCCGGGTTCAAGCGATTCTCCCGCATCAGCCTCCCAAGTAGCTGGGATTACAGGCACCTGCCACCATGCCCAGCTAATTTTTTTGTGTGTATTTTTAGCAGAGACCGGGTTTCACCATGTTGGCCAGGCTGGTCTCCAACTCCTAACCTCAGGTGATCTGCCCACCTTGGCCTCCCACAGTGATGAGATTACAGGCATGAGCCACCGCGCCCGGCCCCGTGTTAACCCTTTTTGAGGTGTTCAGTAGTATCAGGCATATTCACATTATTGTGAAATACGTTTCCAGAAACTTTTTATCTTGCAAATCTGATTCTGTCCCTAAATTTGACTACTCTAAGTATCTCATATAAGTGGATTTTATAGTATTTGTCCATTAGTGTCTGGCTTCTTTTGCTTAGCAAAATATCCTCAAGGTTCATCCATGTAGCATGTGTCAGGATTTCCTTCCTTCATTAAGGCCGAAAAAGATTCCATTTTATGTATATAGCACATTTTGTTTATCCATTCGTCTGTTGATGGGCATGTGGGTTGTTCCCACCTTTGGCTGTTGTGAATAAAGCTATGCAAATATCTGTTCAATATTCTGTTTTTAATTCTTTTGGGTCTATACCCAAAAGTTGGATTACTGGATCATATGGTAGTTCTATTTCTCAGAGAGCTATTTTTGAGTGGCTTTGATGTCTGAGCCCAGGAGTTTGGTTTGGAGCATGTGAATCCAAGGAGAAATGACATCTAGGCAGATGGATATATTGGTCTGAAACTCATCAGAGGAGTGACAAGACTGGAAATGTAAGACTTCTACACTCAGCCTCACCCACCCAGGCCCATGTCACACATGGAAAAACCGATAACTCCAGAACCCTGCTCTCCAGCCACACAGTGCCATCCCTGCAGCTGGCTTGTTTAGCTGCTCCCTGTGACTCTTCCTCAACATCACCAGTTTGCCCTGTCATTGTTCTGTCCTCTCTACCCAAGTCTATCTGCCCTCTCCTCTCTTCCCTTCCCTCCTCATCAGCTTTGATTTCATTTCTCTGCATTCCAGTTATTTTTTGCCATTACCTTCAACATCCTTGCTGCACTGTTCTTGTCTGGCAGAGCCTCAGTCCTGGATGAACTCAGCCACCTGCTTTCCCAGTACCTACTGCTGGAGGGGTCACACAACAGGACAGAGGGCACTGCGGGAAATTCAAATGGGCCCTCAGCCCTGCCTGGCTGTCCCAGTCATTGTCTCTCCTGTTCTCTGCAAGGATATTTTCAGGCCTTCTTCACACTCCTCAGACTGTCTCGCCCCTATTTCCATGAACATCGAGGACTTCAGATGGAAACTGGGCTTCATACCAGTTGTGCAGCGCACCACGGCTGTCCTTCTAGAAAACGGTCCATCCTGCCCAAGGCCAAACCCTGTTTTTATTTATTTATTTATTTATTTATTTGATGGAGTTTTGCTCTTGTTCCTCTTGTTGCCCAGGCTGGAGTGCAGTGGCACAATCTTGGCTCACTGCAACCTCTACCTCTCGGTTCAAGTGATTCTCCTGCCTCAGCCTCCCGAGTAGCTGGGATTACAGGCATGCGCCACCACACCCGGCTAATTTTGTATTTTCAGTAGAGACAGGGTTTCTCCATGTTGGTCAGGCTGGTCTCGAACTCCCAACCTCAGGTGATCCACCCCCCTTGGCCTCCCAAAGTGCTGAGATTACAGGCATGAGCCACCGCGCCTAGCCCAAACCCTCTTTATTTTTATTTTTTCACAAATACCACAGTGACTTACCAGCACTTCTTTGAATTCCATCTTTCGGCTGGGTGCAGTGGCTCATGCCTGTAATCCTAGCACTTTGGGAAGCTGAGGCAGGTGGATCACCTGAGGTCAAGAGTTCGAGACCAGCCTGGCCAACATGGTGAAACCCCGTCTCTACTAAAAATACAAAAAAATTAGCCGGCTGTGGTGGTGAGTGCTGGTAATCCCAGCTACTTGGGAGGCTGAGGCAGGAGAATCGCTTGAACCCGGGAGTTGCAGGTTGCAGTGAGCCAAGATCGTGCCATTGCACTCCAGCCTGGGCAACAAGTGGAACAAGAGCGAAACTCCATCTCAAAAATAAATAAATACATACATACATACAGGGTTTGGCCTGTTTATATAAACAGGAGGCAGAAGTTGCAATGAGCAGAGATCACATCACTGCACTCCAGCCTGGGTGACAGAGCGAGACTCTGTCTCAAAAAAAAAAAAATTTAAAAAATTTAAAAAATGAATTCCATATTTCACCTTCTCAAAAAAACCTACAGTATTGACCATCCCGTTTCTCTCATATAGGCAACCTCTCCTCACTCCTGCTCCTAGAAGCAGCCTTTATATTTGCTCATCTCTCCCATCATAAAAACAAAACAAAAACAGAACTGAAAACACAGAGGACTTCCCTAAACACACGTCCCTGTCTGGCTATCACTGCCTTCCTCTACTTCACAGTGAACAGGAGTCAGTCTTGACCCATCCCCACTCCGACCCCTCATGCCCAAGCAGGCACAGGCCATCAGCTTAGGTACAAGTTTAGAAAAAGAGACTTCCAAGAAAACCCAAGCTACTCCACAGAAGTGCATATTTCGAACATGACCCCACAGGAATGTCTGCCAAGGACAGGGCAGCAGTGCAGTGTGTGCGCGTGTGTGCGCGTGTGTGTATGCGTGCCTGTGTGCGCATGCATCACACTTAAAAAAGACTATGGTCTTTTTATGACACCAGGCATCTCGTCCTTCCCAGAGAATTCAGTTTGGTTGACTCTGGCAGATGTTTTTGTCCTAAGAGCCAGGCTTGATTGTTGTGCAGTTCGCCTTGGGTCTGCAAGCAGCATTGAGGTCTGCCTGCATGTTATGGGTTGAAGTGTGTCCCCCCAGAATTCAGATGTTGAGGTACTAACCCTTAGTATTTCAAAATGCATCTGTATTTGGAGATAAGGCCTTTAAATAGGCCGTTAAGGTAAAATGATGGACCCTAATCCAGTATGACTGGTGTGTTTATAAGAGAAGATTAGGACCTAGACACACAGACTGAGGGGCCGCCCATGTGAAGACACAGCAAGAAGGCGCCACCTACAGGCCAAGAAGAGCTGCCTCAGAGGAAGCAACGCTGCTGGCACCTTGATCTAGGACTTCTAGCCTCCAAAACTGTGAGAAAATAAATGTTTTCAACCTCAGTCTGTGGTATTTTGTTGTGGCAACCCAAGCAGACTAATACACTGGCCATGGGCAAGACGCCCTGACCACAGTGATCTTGACAGGGGTGTGGGCGCAGGACATGCTGGGGCATCTTGAAGCTACTGCAGGCCCCACAGAATCTAGAGGGTCCAGAATAAAGTCTTTATCCCTCCATGAGCTATCTCTTTCTGTTGCACATTTTTTTCTGCATTAAAACAGTTTGATTATTTGCCCCATGCCCATATAGGATTCCCTATTCTTCATAAATTTTAAAAAAAAACTCTTTTCATTGATAAACATCAAAACTCTGCAAATAGTCTTTTAAAAATGAACAACAGACATTTCTACTTTGAGGTTCCATGTGTTACCAGAACTCACATTTTAAAGTGCCTAGTATTAGTATGGAAATCACCAAAAGGACTGGCCAGAATTTGAATTAGATGAGAATTTTCTTTCTATCATATCCCTACCTGGTCTGATCATTGCTTCCGTTCTCAGAACATTCTTTCTGTGGATTTCCTTTGCTACTGAGTCAGATACTTTCTTCCTCATTTCTGTTGTTTATGTAACAGATGTTTCTGCTGTGTCTTTTCAAAGACACAGTTTCAACTGCCTTTGCAAAAATTATAACTGAAGAAATTATAACAGTGAAAGAGATCAGACCTAACCGACTCCATCTTGCTTCTAACCTTTAAGCTGTCCTTGTTCATTGCTGGGCATTTGGGAAGGAATTCAGTTCATAGTTTGACTCTGAAACAAAATTAATAATAGCGCTTTCCCGAAAAGACTCCCTTCTTGCCTGGGGACCAGTCTGCCTTTGCAGGACTAACAAGTTAGCTACAAGATTAGAAATTACGGTTTAGGGGTCATGCAGCCTCTGGCTCCAAGAGTCTGAACCGCCCCAAATTGCTTTTGGGGATAGCATCACTATTGTAAAACCTAAGATCAGTGTTTGAGATATTTTGTAGATCCTATACTGGATGGATCAGCTGACACCATCCAGACCGGTAATCTGGGCCAATCAGTTCTGCCATCCCATCTAGGAGTAGAAAACAGCAAGAAAACCTCAGTTCGACCCCCCTAGGATTCCATCTCCAACCTTGACCAATCAGCACTCTGCTTCCTGAGACCCTACCTGCCAAATTATGTTTGTTTGTTTGTGATGGAGTCTCACTCTGTTGCCCAGGCTGGAGTGCAGTGGCACAATCTCAGCTCACTGCAACCTCCGCCTCCTGGGTTCAAGTGAGTCTCCAGCCTCAATCTCCCGAGTACCTGGGTTTACAGGCAAGTGCCACCACGCCCAGCTAATTTTTTGTATTTTTAGTACAGATGGGGTTTCGCCATGTTGGCCAGGCTGGTCTTGAACTCCTGACCTCAGGTGATCCGCCTGCCTCAGCCTCCCAAAGTGCCGGGATTACAAGCGTGAGCCACCACACCCAGCACCAAACTATCTTTAAAAACTCTGATCCCCAAATGCTTGAGGAAACTGATTTAAGTAATAATAAAACTCCCGTCTCCCTCACAGCCAGCTCTGAGTGAAATTACTCTTTCTTCATTGCAATTCCACTGTCTTGACAAATCGGTTCTGTCTAGGCAGCAGGCAAGGTGAACCCTTTGGGCGGTTACATCTTTAAACATTAAATTGAAGAAAGGATGCAAAGCTGTACCTGTTTTGGTTTCTTTTCATTACTGGCATGCTTTTCCCTGCTTTTGATTTGATTTTCAGAGGAAAATTTAAGTTTATAATACAAATTAGAATAATTCATATGTTTAACATTTAAAATTCACTTTTTAAAGTCAAAGCTAGACCTGGGAATAATTTGTAAATAAAATTAAATAAGTTAAATTCACTTTTATTGGAAATAAAAACTTGGTTTGTTTTTGTTTTTGTTTTTATTTTTTTTGAAACAGAGTTTCGCTCTTGTCGCCCAGGCTGGAGAGCAATGGCGCCATCTCGGCTCACCGCAACCTCCGCCTCCCTGGTTCAAGCGATTCTCCTGCCACAGCCTCCCGAGTAGCTGGGATTACAGGCAGGCACCACCACGCCTGGCTAATTTTCTATTTTTAGTAGAGATGGGGTTTCACCATGTTGGTCAGGCTGGTCTCAAACTCCCAATCTCAGGTGATCCACCCGCCTCAGCCTCCCAAAGTGCTGGGATTACAGGCATGAGCCACTGCACCCAGTCAAGACTTGTATTTTAAAAAACTCATTAAGCAATCTCAAAACATTGTTCTTTTAATTGCATTTAGCTGTCTTAGAAGATCATTTAAGCAAACATTTAAGCAAAAAAAAAAAAATCTAAAGACTTGTTTTTACATCAAAACCCACAGAACTACCAGTAGGCACTTCGCCCCTGCCTGTGACTCTGCTGGGGTCACAGGAGTTTTAAACTCCGAAACATTTCCAGAGACTGTCTAGCTCAATGGCTCCCCAGACCAGCTAGTTATCAAACTCCAAGGAGTCAAAAATTACAAAATAAAATCACACTATATTGTAATTATGAAAGAAATGCATGCATGTTAAAGAATTTCAATAGTATGGAAAAATAGCAAGTGAAAAAAAAAATCTCTCCTTCTTCCCCAACAATACTCAGTGGCACGACCCAGAAGAAACCATTGTTACCAATTTCTGGTTTTGGCCCTGATGGTCACAGCATAACTCTCATATACTTATCTTGTTTTATCAGCTTCAGAAGTATCTGTTATTTCCTGAGGATATAGTTTGGATGTTATCCCCTCCAAATCTCATGTTGAATTGTAATCCCCAATATTGGAGGTGGGGCCTGGTTGGAGGTGACTGGATCATGGAGGCAAATTTCTCATGAATGGTTTAGAGCCATTCCCTGGGTGCTGTCCTCCCGATAGTGAGTGAGCGCTCCTGAGATCTGCTTGTGGCACCTCCTCCCCACTCTCTCTTTCGTTCCAACTCTTGCCAAGTGAGACGTCAGCTCCTCTTCACTGGCACCACGCTTCCTGTACAGCCTGCAGAACTGCTAGCCAATTAAACCTCTTTTATTTATAAATCACCTAGCCTCGGGGATATCTTTATAGCAGCACAAGAACGGACTAACACACCTGCTATAAGAAATGGCCAGGCGCAGTGGCTCATGCCTGTATGCCCAGCAATTTGGGAGGCTGAGGCGGGCGGATCACCTGAGGTCCGGAGTTCAAGCCCAGCCTGGCCAACATGGTGAAACCCCATATCTACTAAAAATACAAAAATTAGCTGGGTGTGGTAGTGCACGCCTGTAATCCCAGCTACCCAGGAGGCTGATGCAGGAGAATTGCTTGAACCCAGGAGACAGAGATTGCAGTGAGTCAACATTGTGCCACTGCACTCCTGCCTGGGTGACAAAGTAAGACTGTCTCAAAAATAATAATAATAAGAAGAAGAAGATGAGGAATTTAGTGCATTGATCTGCCTCTCACTTTCTTTTCCTCCATACCTCTCAATTTTTGTTATATTTTTCATTCTTCTAGTATTTACTTGCATAACTTTTTATAATATCCATTGAATTACATTTTTTAATCCATCAGGGCTAGGAAGTTCTAGTGTCTCCCCACTGTATAAAATGGGGAGATGTGGATCCTTATACTGCCCTCCCCTTCTCTCCTCCCTCCTCCCTACCTGCCATTACATTGTGTGATGACTAATTTCATGTGTCAACTTGACTGGGCCACAGGGTGTGCCCAGGTGTTTGGTCAAACACTATTCTGGGTGTGTTTGTGAGGATGTTTTTGGATGATTTATCATTTATCAGTGAACTGAGTAAAGCAGATGACCCTTCCTAATGTGAGTGGGCCTCATCCAATCAGCTGAATAGAACAAAGGCCTGAATGGAACAAAAAGGCTGACCTTCCCCCGCAAAAAAGAGAATTCTGGCTGCCTGACAGCCTTTGAATTCAGACATCAGTTTGTTTCCCTGCCTTTAGACCTACACTGAAATGCAGGCTTTTCTGGGGTGTCCAGCATGTGTGTATACATGGTGGACATATATATATATTCTATTTCTTTGGAATATATATATATATGTATATTTGGAATATATATATGTATATTTGGAATATATATATTCTCTTTCTCTGGAGAACACTAACTAATACACATTGTTATGGTTTAGGACATTTACATTCCATAAGTATAAATTCAGTGACTTGTGTAACGATTAATTCTAAAATTTGAAAACTAAAGCCAGGCACAGTGGCATGCACCTATAGTCTCAACTACTTGAAAGGCTGAGGCAGGAGAATTACTTGAGCCCAGGAGCTCAAGACTAGCCTGGGCAACATAACAAGACCACACCTTTTTAAAAAAAAGCAATAAAAAAATTTTTTTTCCTTTTTTTCTTTTTAGCTGGTACCTTGATCTTGGATATAGTGTTTAAAATACTATTATTTTTATTTGTTTGTTTGTTTGTTTTTGAGATGGAGTTTTCACTCTTGTCGCCCAGGTTGGAGTGCAATGGCACAATCTCAGCTCACTGCAACCTCCGCCTCCTGGGTTCAAGCAATTCTCCTGCTTCAGCCTCCTGAGTAGCTGGGATTACAGGCATCTGCCAACACGCCCGGCTAATTTTTGTATTTTTAGTAGAGACGGGGTTTTGCCATGTTGGCCATGCTGGTCTCGAACTCCTGACCTCAGGTGATCTGCCCACCTCAGCCTCCCAAAGTGCTGGGACTACAGGCATGAGCCACTGCACCCAGGCAAAAATACTACTATTTTTAACAATATATACAACTATATAATGATTGAGTCTTTGGAAAAAGAAATGTAATCTTTCATTGCTGAACTCGAACATTTGAAAGAGAATGGTCAAAATCCTGTACCATTTGCTCAAATATCATACTACATTTTGGTTTGCTTATACTAAAAGCTGGCTTTTAGTATGGTTTGAACATGCCCTCCAAATTTCTAGTGTTGGAAACTTAATCCCCAAATTCATATATTGTTGGTATTTGGAGGTGAGGCCTTTGGGAAGTAATTAGGATTAGATGAGGTCATCAGGATAGGGCCCCCAGGTGGCTTTATAAGAAAAGGAGGAGGCCTGGTGTGGAGGAGGCCTTTGGGAAGTAATTAGGATTAGATGAGGTCATCAGGATAGGGACCCCAGGTGGCTTTATAAGAAAAGGAGGAGGCCGAGTGTGGTGGCTAATGCCTGTAATCCAGTATTTGGGGAGGCCAAGGTGGGCAGATCAGCAGAGGTCAGGAGTTTGAGACCAGCCTGGCCAACATGGTGAAAACCCGTCTCTACTAAAAATACAAATAAATTAGCTGGACATGGTGGTACACGCCTGTAGTCCCAGCTACTCGGGAGGCTGAGGCAGGAGAATCACTTGAACCCAGGAGGCGGAGGTTGCAGTGAGCCAAGATTGTGCCACTGTATTCCAGCCTGGGCAACAGAGCGATACTCTGTCTCAAAAAAAAAAAAGAAAAAGAAAAGAAAAAAAGAAAGAAATAAAAAGAAAAAAGAAAAGGAGGAAAGACCTGAACTGACACACTGACACACACACTCTTGCTGTCCCACCACATGATACCCTCTACCATGTTAAGATGCAGCAAGAAGGCCCTCACAAGATGCCAGTACCATGCTCTTGGACTTCCCAGATTTCAGAACTGTAAGGAATAAATTTCTTTTCTTTATAAATTACCCAGGATATGGTATTCTGTTAGCAACAGAAAACAAACTAAGATACGTTTTTGGCTTGTTTTTCCTGGAGTTTTTAATTGCCTTTCATTTTTTGTGGTTGTTGATAAAAGGGACTATGCTTTTATTGTATCTTTAAGCTCTTCCAGGTTTTTGTTTTGTTTTGTTTTGTTTTTTTCTGAGATGGAGTCTTGCTCTGTCACCCAGGCTGGAGAGCAGTGGCATGATCTTGGCTCACTGCAACTTCTACCTCCTGGGTTCAAGTGATTCTTGTGCCTCACCCTCCGGAGTAGTTGGGATTACAGGCATGCACCACCACGCCTGGCTAATTTTTGTATTTTTTAGTAGAGATGGGGTTTCACCATGTTGGCCAGGCTGGTCTCAAACTCCTGACCTCAAGTGATCTGCCTGCCTTGGCCTCCCAAAGTGCTAGGATTACAGGCATGAGCCACTGTGTCCAGCCTCTTCCAGGTTTTTGTTAATTATATAGTTTGTATAGTATACTCCACATCATTTTGCAGACATTCTACACAGAGCCCTCTCATTTCTTATTTCATGTTTTCTTTAATTTTTACTTTTTGTGGGTACACAGGTGTATATATTTGTAGGGTATAAGAGATGTTTTGATACAGGCATGCAATGCATAATAACCACATCATGGACAATGAGGTATCCATCCCCTGAAGCACTTATCCTTTGTGTTGCAAACAATCCAATTATACTCTTATAGCTATTTTTCTTTCTTTCTATCTTTTTTTTTTTTTTTTTTAGACAGATTCTCACTCTGTCACCCAGGCTGGAGTGCAGTGGTGCAATCTTGGCTCACTGCAATCTCCACCTCCTGGGTTCAAGTGATTCTCCTGCCTCTGCCTCCCAAGTAGCTGGGATTATAGGCACGTGCCACCATACGCAGTTAATTTTTTTGTTTTGTATTTTTAGTAGAGACAGGGTTTCACCATGTTGGCCAGGTTGGTCTCAAACCCCTGACCTCAAGTGATCTGCCTGCCTTGGCTTCCCAACGTGCTGGGATTACAGGTGGGAGCCACCACACCTGTATTTACTTAAAAAAAAAAAAAAAAAAAGAGAGAGAGATGGGGGTCTCACTATGTTGCCCAGGCTGGTCTCGAACTCCTGGGCTCAAGCAATCTTCCCACGTCAGTCTCCCAAAGTGCTGGGATTACAGGTATAGCCCTCTTTTTTTAGTTTTTTTGAGGAATCTTCAAACTGTTCTCCATAATGGTTGTACTAATTTACATTCATACCAACAGCATACAAGCGTTCCCTTTTCAGCTGGGAGTGGTGGCTCATGCCTGTAATCCCAGCACTTTGGGAGGCTGAGGCAGGCAGCTCACCTGAGGTTGGGAGTTCAAGGCTAGCCTGACCAACATGGAGAAACCCCGTCTCTACTAAAAATACAATATTAGCCGGGCATGGTGGCACATGCCTGTAATCCCAGCTACTCAGGAGGCTGAGGCAGGAGAATCACTTGAACCCAGGAGGTGGAGGTTGCAGTGAGCTAAGATCATGCCATTGTACTCCAGCCTGGGCAACAAAAGCAAAACTCTGTCTCAAATAAATAAATAAATAAATAAATAAATAAATAAATAAATAAAATAAAGAGTTCCCTTTTCTCCATCTCCTTGCCAGCATTTGTTATTGCCTGTCTTTTGGATATAAGCCATTTTAACTGGGGTGAGATGATATCTCATTGTCATTTTGATTTACATCTCTCTAATAATCAGTGATGTTTAGCATGTTTTCATATGCCAGTTTGCTATTTGTATGTCTTCTTTTGAGAAATATCTGTTCAAATGTTTTGCCCATTTTTTAAATCAGATTACTAGATTTTTTTCTATTGAAGTTGTTTGAGCTTCTTATATATTCTGGTTATTAATCCCTTGTCAGATGGGTAGTATTTTCTCGCATTCTGTGGGTTGTCTCTTCACTTTGTTGATTGTCTCCTTTGCTGTGCAGAAGCTTTTTAACTTGATGTGATCCCATTTGTCCATTTTTGCTTTGGTTACCTTTGGAGAATTACTCAAGAAATTTTTACCCAGACTAATGTCCTGGAGATTTTCCCCAATGTTTTCTTGTGGTAGTTTCACAGTTTGAGGTCTTGGATTTAAGTCTTTAGTCCATTTTGATTTGATTTTTGTATTTGGTGAGAGATAGGGGTATAGTTTCATTCTTCTGCATAGGGATATCCAGTTTTCCCAGCACCATTTATTGAAGAGATTGTCCTTTCCACAGTGTATGTTTTTGGCACATTTGTCAAAAATGAGTTCACTAGTAATGAGTTCACTGGTGTGAACTCATTTTTGACAAAGGTCAAAGGAGGTGTGTGGATTTGTTTCTGGGTTCTTATTCTGTTCCATTGGTCTGTGTGTCTGTATTTATGCCAGTACCATGCTGTTTTGGTTACTATAGCTCTGTGGTATAATTTGAAGTCAGATAATGTGATTCCCCCAGTTTTGTTTTGTTTTTTTTTTTTTGCTTAGGCTAGCATTGGCTATTCTGGGTCTTTTATGGTTCCATCTTATTCCATGTCTTGATTGTCCAGCTATTGTATCAGCTAGAATTACATTCACTGAAAGTAACTGCAAGAAATACCAACTCACAGTAACAACCAAACAGGACTTTATTTTTTCTCTAGGAATAAAAAGTCTGCAGGCAATCCATCTAGGCCTGTTACTGAGGTTCTATGATGCCTCAGGGATTCACACTCCTTTCGCTCCCCTTACCCATCTATCCCTATAGTGTGACTTCCACTCATGCTCATCACATCATAATTGCAAAATGGATGCTTGCTTCTCAGACGGGGCCCACAGTCCCCAGGCAGGAAGAAGGGGAAGAGTGAAGGGCAAAAGAACTTTCTAAGAGGCTCTCACCCAGTGACTTCTGTTTCATCTTATTGGCCAAAATTGCGTCTAGTAGCCACCCTAGCTGCAAGGGAGTTTGGGAAATGAAGTTTGTAGGTGAATATATCATGCCCTGTAGAAACTGGAGGTTTTAGTAGGGAAGAAGGTAGAAATGAATATTGGGTTAACAACAAGCAAGCAATGGGCTTTTTTTTTTTTTTTTTTTTTTTTTGAGACGGAGTCTCATTCTGTCGCCCAGGCTGGAGTGCAGTGGTGCAATCTTGGCTTACTGCAAGCTCCACCTCCCGGGTTCACGCCATTCTGCTGCCTCAGCCTCTAGAGTAGCTGGGACTACAGGCGCCTGCCACCAAGCCCAGCTAATTTTTTGTATTTTTAGTAGAGACAGGGTTTCACCGTGTTAGCCAGGATGGTCTTGATCTCCTGACCTTGTGATCCATCTGCCTCGGCCTTCCAGAGTGCTGGGATTACAGGCATGAGCCATTGCGCCCAGCCTTTTTTTTTTTTCTTTTTCATTGCATTTCAGGGTTAGTCATGCCTTTTTTTTCTCCCTCAGACTTTAGTGAGCATCAGAAATGTTATTTCTGGCCGGGTGCGGTGGCTCACACCCAGCACTTTGGGAAGCCAAGATGGGTGGATCACTTGAGGTCAGGAGTTTGAGACCAGCCTGTTCAACATATGAAACCCCATCTCTACTAAAAATATAAAAATTAGCCTGGTGTAGTGGCCCACACCTGTAATCCCAGCTACTCAGGAAGCTGGGGCAGGAGAATCACTTGAACTCAGGAGGCAGAAATTGCAGTGAGCCGAGATCAAGCCATTGCACTCCAGCCTGGGTGACAGAGCAAGACTCCATCTCAAAAAAAAAAAAAAAGAAAGAAAAAAACAGTGCTATTTCTTAGAATTCAGATTCCTAGGCCCTATTCTGGCATCCTTGCTTGGGAGCAAACCCCTCACGTGATTATTTTCAGCCAAACTGACACCTGTTCACAGACAAACACATGAGACCACTAGTTAGTTGTGAAATTCAAACCTGAATATGAACTGTTAATAAACTAAGTCAAGGCCAGGCACGGTGGCTCATGCCTGTAATCCCAGCACTTTGAGAGGCCGAAACGGGCAGATCGCCTGTGGTCAAGAGATCGAGACCATCCTGGCCAACATGGTAAAACCCCGTCTCTACTAAAGATACAAAAATTAGCCGGGTGTGGGGGCGTGCGCCTGTAATCCCAGCTACTCGGGAGGCTGAGGCAGGAGAATCTCTTGAACCCGGGAGGCGGAGCTTGCAGTGAGCCAAGATTGCGCCACTGCACTCCAGTCTGGGCGACAGAGTGAGACTCCGTCTCAAAAAATAATAAATAAATAAACTAAATCAAAATAAAATATTAAAATCAAAATAAAAGATTTTCTCATGAATCCTCAAGTTTTGGCACAGGTGGAACCCGAAAACATTAGAATATGAGAAAACAATTAGCAAATTAATTAAGATCTTCGTTTTCATTAATTGTGAAGGCAGTTCTTTTACCTTTTGTGAAGACATTGGAGAACAAGGCAGCTAGAACCTGAGAAGCCGTGATTCTGTAGAGAGGGAAGCCTGGAGAAGGGAGGCTCACTTTTTTTTTTTTGAGATGGAGTCTTGCCCTGTCGCCCAGACTGGAGTACAATGGTGCCATCTTGACTCACTGCAACCACCGCCTCCTGGATTCAAGTGATTCTCCTGCCTCAGCCTCCCAAGTAGCTGGGATTACAGGCGCCTGCCACCACACCTGGCTAATTTTTTGTATCTTTAGTAGAGACGGCGTTTCACCATGTTGGCCAGGCTGGTCTTGAACTCCTGACCTCGTGATCCACCCGCTTCGGCCTCTCACAGTGCTGGGATTACAGGCATGAGCCACTTCAGCCCGCCGGAAGCTGACATTTGCTGCCGCTTTGTTCCACAATGAACTTGCTGCTTTGAAAGCGGTGACTGAGAGGTTGAGACACTGAGCAGAAAAGGAAAGCTAAGAAGCTGAAAAGCTGTTAAAACTTTTTTTAAGGCAGATTCAGGACTGGGACAGTAAAATCTGGGGTACAGAGCCTGCTAGAGGCAGTCCTGGGGCCCTGGAGGGGACTCTGACCTAGGAACAGGTCAACTAAAATAGGGGGAAACCTTAAGTGCAGCCTCGAGCCAGCTCTACCCTTGATGGATACCTGGCTGCCCTGCCCACTGCTGGGGTTACTGAATCAGCGCTTAGTTCATTAGTTTGTTTTTCTTCTCCTTTCTTAGTTTACTATGAGCCAGTGTTTCCGGAGCCACCAAAAAAGCTCAATATAACTCCTGGTGTTTAAGATAAGCACTTGACATGCTTGTTTTCCTTTTACAGCAGCTTAAAATGTGCGTCTGACAGTTTCTAAAACCTAAAACAACACATAGGCTTTTCTGTTTATTTTTATTCTTATTTTTATTTTAAGTTCCGCTTTTCTGTTTTGCTGAGTTTTGTTTGCTTTAATTTTTGTTTTATAGTCTTTGTTAGACTCTATGACAGATGTCTGAAGGCATATGTAGCCAAATTTGTATAGTGGCTCTCACTACTTGGCATGTTTTCAGGTGGCTTTTACTTTGTTCTTTAAACTTTCTAAAGTCCTTTTTGTTTTAAAATGAGGATGAATAATATTTACAAAGAGCTATTTCTAAAGTATGTATTTGCTGGCAAATCTTGACTACGTATCACTGTTTTGGAACCTGCTTTTTCATTTCAGAAGTGTTTTATGTTTGAATGCATCTTTCTTTCTCTCTTTTCTTTCTTTCTTTCTTTCTTTCTTTCTTTCTTTCTTTCTTTCTTTCTTTCTTTCTTTCTTTTTCTTTCTTTTTTTTTTTTTTGAGACGGAATTTCCCTCTGTGGTCCAGACTGGAGTGCAGTGGTGCGATCTCGGCTCACTGCAACCTCCACCCCCCGGGTTCAAGTGATTCTCCTGCCTCAGCCTCCCAAGTAGCTGGGATTACAGGTGCCTGCCACCATGCCCAGCTAATTTTTGTATTTTTAGTAGAGATGGGGTTTTGCCATGTTGGCCAGGCTGGGCTTGAACTTTTGACCTCAGGTGATCCACACGCCTCGGCCTCCCAAAGTGCTGGTATTACAGGCGTGAGCCACCGTGCCGGGCCTGAATGCATGTTTCTTTCTACATTTGCATTTGCATGTACATATGTATATAACAAGTGTCAGGAGTAATGTATATGGTGATTGTCTTGTACTGTGGGTGATTTCTGCTTTTTTCCCCCTATGGTTTCCAGAAGTTTCAGGAGGGTCTGCAGATGCTGGTAAGACCCCCGCCCCAGTTGGTTTCCAGGTTCTTGACACCTTTTCGAGAAAGAATTCAGGGACAAGTCAGAATGAAGGGAAAGGCAAAAAGCTTTTATTGCAAAGTGATAGTATGCACTGAAGAGAGAAGTGCAGGCATGTTTGTGAGAATGAGTCACACAGAGGGAGTTTGGGTTTCTAATTTTATGGGTGTTTCTTTAATTAGGGGGTGAAATAATCATTAGGTATTTTGGAAGAGGGGGGATTTCAGGGACCCCCCACTGTCCCACACCCCCAGGTACCACCCCCTTTCTCCCTGATTTGGGTTTGCACTGAAGAGTCATGGACATGTCACCCTGTCTCTGTTGCCAAGGCTGGAGTGCAGTGGCGTGATCTCGGCTCACTGCAACCTTTGTCTCCTGGGCTCAGGTGATCCTCCCGAGTAGCTGGACTATAGGCGTATGCCACCATGCCCAGCTATTTTTTTTTTTTTTTTTTTGTATTTTTGGTAGAGAAGGGGTTTCACCATATTGCACAGGCTGGTCTCGAACTCCTGACCTCAGGTGATCTGCCCTCCTCAGCCTCCCACAGTGCTGGGATTACAGTCATGAGCCACCAAACCCAGCCTTCTCCTCCTGATTTTGGGTTTTCTGTTATCCCACAGTTTCTTTGCCTAGCTCTTGTTTAAGCTCTTGTGTGGATTCTTCCATCCTCTTGCGAGCACCCAGTGATCTTCCTATCTCATTCCCCCTTCAGAGATTTCCATCCCTTATTCTTAAGGGTTGATGAGGGAGGAGGTCAGTCATCTGTGTCGTCTTCTTGCTGATTTAAGGGCGCTGGCCCTGCCTACCAAAGGATTGGAAATCTCTGGCTGCTGGTCTAAGGATCCCAGGCTGCATTAGCAGGAGAGTCCCATGCTGAGACAGGAATTGGCTGAAATCCTTGCATCACCATCATCTTTACATGGAGTTGCTGTAACCTAGAAGATATAAACTTTATAAGGAAGTTGAATACGCATGGGCCAAATATTTTTATTATTATTATTTTATTTATTTTTTGAGACAGAGTCTCACTCTGTCACCAGGCTGGAGTGCAGTGGTGTGATCTCGGCTCACTGCAACCTCCGCCTCCCAGGTTCAAGCAATTCTCCTGCCTCAGCCTCCTGAGTACCTGGGACTACAGGCGCGTGCCACCATGCCCAGCCAATTTTTGTATTTTTAGTAGAGACAGGGTTTCACCATATTGGCCAGGATGGTCCCAATCTCTTGACCTCATGATCTGCCCGCCTCAGCCTCCCAAAGTGCTGGGATTACAGGTGTGAGCCATCATGCTCGGCCCAATGGGCCAAATACTAACAATAAGATCACCATTAATGGGCCTAAAAGTGGTAAAACCAGGTAACAGAAAGTAGAGCAGCCTTAACGCATTCCCTTTGGAATCGGCCAAAAGGTTTTCCTTTCCAAAGGTGTGAAGCCCTTTTGCTTGGTCAGCTGTGCCTGAATTCCAAAGTGGGGGAAGGTATGGCGAGGCGTGACTGACTCCCAGCTTCCTGTCATGACCTGAACTAGGTTTTCAGGCTGTTTCGGTTGTTGTTTGGATTCCCTTTGGCCAAGAGAGAGATCCATTCTGTTGGGGGCTTCTAATTTTTTTTTTTTTTTTTTTTTTTTAGTTTATATTTTCTCTTTTTTTGTCAACGCATCCCAGAGGCAGTGTTGATGGCCAAGCTTTCATTCTGGCCCATATTGATGCTGGGGTGGCATGCTACAGGCCCTGGGTCCTTCATGTCCCCTAGTGGGACCCCTATGGCCAAGAGACTTAGAGTCAAAAAAACTTATTGCCAATTAAACATGCTAGACAAGATAGGAATGGAGGTGGGCAGGGACTCAAGCTTCAGCCTGTTTTCCCTTTGCTCCCCCTTTCCCTTTTGTGTGCACTTTTAGGTCTGAAGGTTTGTCCTTTCCTGCTGCCTTCTTTTTTGGCTTCGTTTCTACTTTTGCAGGAGCAGGGTTAGGGGACAACTGTGCCCATCTCCTCCTGGGCTTTTCCTTCACAGCCCTCTTGACTGAGCTGACCTTCCTCCTGGGCATGTTGGTGGTGGGGAGGGGGCCTGCCGGGTGCCTACGGGCAATGGCGAAACCAGAGCCTTCTGGAAGCTGGGCTCACCAGCTGCTGCCGCTCCTCCCACCACCCAAGCTGCCGAGACCTGTGGCAGATTTTTTTCCCTCAAGTTTATAGAGCTATCTGTAGTAGCTCACTCATGTATTCTGTAATGAATACCCCACCTTCCCCACCCCTCCATCTGCCACTTTCTTATCTACCGAATTTGATCTTAACTCCTCAAAAAGCTAGCCAAGTCTGGGAGAAAGTTGGAAAGCTTAGGATGGTAAAAGTAATGCTGTTCCAAATGCAACCTTGTATTATTTTTACACTGGAAACAAATCGGAAAAGAATAAAAACAAGAGGCTTTCAAATTAGTAAACTGATGTCTCCAAGTATAAAACACACTTTGATAACTTATTTTTATGTAATCCTGACAAAAATCCAATAGAAAAATATTGTCTTCAAAAACCTAAGGATCAAGGTTTGAAAATATAATCAGATGAGCTTTTCTCTGCTCCTATAGAGCTTGGAATTTCAAAAGGTGCAGAAAACAATCTCTTCTGATGCCCGGAGCCCAAATGAGCAGTAAGAAATGTACTCCTAACACATCTTAGGGCCTATTGTCTTCATCTTCCTTAGAGTCTCCCGTGCTCAACATTTCCCCATCAGCTGCCTCGCTTCATCCTGCTTTTTGTTCAAAGGTTTTTTAAAAAAGGAAATACCATATGCTGAGGGGAAAAAAATTGCAGGGATGTATGCCACACTATAAACAATGGTCTTTGGAATATGAAGGACTTTTACTTTTTTTTCTGAGACAGAGTCTTGCTCTGTTGCCCAGGCTGGAGTGCAGTGGCACCATCTCAGCTCCTCTGCCTCCTGGGTTCAAGTGATTCTCCTGCCTTAGCCTCCCAAGTAGCTGGGATTACAGGCATGTGCCACCACACCCGGCTAATTTTTGTATTTTTAGTAGAGACAGGAATTCACCATGTTGGCCAGACTGGTCTCAAACTCCTGACCTCAGGTGACCTGCCCACCTCGGCTTCCCAAAGTGCTGGGATTACAGGCCTGAGCCACTGCGCCTGGCCGAGGGACTTTTACTTGAACATTTCTGAATTCCTACAATATTTAAATTCAAATAAATGACTTACTTTTGTAAGCAAGAAAAACTAATTTTTATGAAAAGAAAACTGGTAATTATCTTGTTGAAATAAAAGTTATCTAGTCATCCTTATTTTGATAACTTAATGTGAGACAAAATATCCCTATTTCCGTATTTTATATATTTTCATTTTATTAATTTATTTGAGACCAAGTCTTTATCTATCACCCAGGCTGGAGTGTAGTCGTGTGACCATAGCTCACTGCAGGCTTGATCTCCTGAGCTCTAAGAATCCTCCTGCCTCAGCCTCCCAAGTAGCTGGGACCAGAGATGCATGCCACCACACTCACCTAATGTTTTGTAGAGATGAGGTCTGCTATGCTGCTCAGGCAGATCTCAAACTCCTAGGCTCAAGTGATCATCCTGCCTCAGCATCCCAACGTATTGGGATTACAGGTGTGAGCCACCACGCCCAGCCAGTATTTGATTTTTTATTTACTTAGCAAACCAGTATTTTTCACTTTCTTTTTCTACTATGGGAAAAAAATCTACTCTCTAATCTACAAGGTGTGAGGGGGGGAACCTATTTGTAATGTGAAGTAGGCCATTTGCGATTGAAATCTAACAATGAGAAGTTGAGGGGGAATAATCTACTTAAAATAGCATTGCTTAACTTTATACAGAAACAGCAACTTGGTACCAGGACATAAGTTAATATAAGGAACAGGAAGATACCACACAAAGAACCAATTTTAAAATGATCTCTTTTTAATTTCTTAAAAAGCACATTCACAGCACACTCCAAGAATGCCACACAGCAGTGGTTTGCTGCTCTTTGTCAGAATATGTCAGAAAACAAAACAAAAAAAGTTTTAAATGCTAAAGATTTTAAAAATTAGTTCTCTGAAATTTCTGTAAAGCCAGTATCACCAGTCATATAAATCTTTATTTTGGAATCATAAACCTTTCAAAAATGTAATGAGCATCTACCCAAAATTACACCTCTCTGAAATGTAATTAAAAGCTATCCAACAAAAACAAAAATAAATATTTTTCTAGAAAGAACATATTTGGCATTTTAAAATAATGTTAAAAACAGCTTTCTCAAATGTAAATGATGTCTAGATTTTTACTTTCTATTACCAGACAGAAAGTTTGGATCTTTAGTGGTTCCAATCTGACTTCAGTAATAGGAGGCATGATTACATTGAAGTTAATGAACTTTAATCCTAACAAAGCCAATATACTTTTCTAGCACAGTGATTGCTTTTTAAAAGTGGTGTCCAGCACGTACTAAAAACTACTAAGAGTAAGGCCAGATAGCTCAAATTAGTTGATTAATTTGGTATCCAAATTGGGTTTTTTTTTTTTTTTCCTGGAGATGGAGTTTCCCTCTGTCACCTAGGCCGGAGTGCAGTGGCATGATCTCAGCTCACTGCAACCTCTGCCTCCCGGGTTCAAGCGATTCTCCTGTCTCAGCCTCCTGAGAAGCTGAGATTACAGAGAAGTGCCACCACACCCGGCTAATTTTTGTATTTTTAGTAGAGACAGGGTTTCGCCATGTTGCCCAGGCTGGTCTTGAACTCCTGACCTCAAGTGATCCACCCGCCTTGGTCTCCCAAAGTGCTGGGATTACAGGTTTGAGCCATCGTGCCTGGCCCCCAAATTGTTTTATATATACCTTTCATCCTTAGATTTAATATTTCTAATTTGTGATATTTCTCTGAAAATCAATCAAGTACACAGTTCTAGTGAAATATAAACTGAATTTTGCTTCATTAACTAAATTAAAATACGTCAAACATGGTTAAATCTTATATTCTGTCCTTTCAGATAATTTACATTTTATTGATAAATGTAGATTAGCCACACCATGAGTTATATCCTAACCATTTTACCTAAATGTAGAAAAGCTGAAAGTTGACTGGATAGTTAAAAAGCTGTTATATAGTTATCTCTTTCAGAAACCTATGATGCCTTTTCTTAGATATAAGTATGGAAAAAGAATTCTGTTCATTTTCATGATATATCAACAAAAATTACATGACTTATGTCGATTTCTGTCAGCCATTCTGAAACCAAATTTCCATTTGTTCTACCCACTAAAGAGCACACATTTTCCTTTAGAATCACGGCCACAGTCTGGAAACATAATTGAGAAAGGCTAACTCTGGGCCAATAAAATATTCAAGGAAAGACGCAACACAAAACAGGGAGGTGAATAAAGCAAGTATGTTGTAAAATCCTCCCTTGTAAACACATCTGTCCTTTCCTCCCATATTTGGAAGTGTTACCCAAGTTTTAAAAATTATCATCAAGACATTTTACACCACAAGTCACATAAAATTAGGTCTACTTCAGCCAGATAACCTATAGCTGTTAAAGAATTATATTATCCTGTTCATAAGATGAGAGGTAGTGACATTTTATTCTCTCAATGCTGAGCTAAAAATTCCACACATCTGGCACATGGGTTACAAGGGGGAAAAGCACAGAAGCACCATTGCCCACTCCTCAGGTTTTGGTATTTCAAGTCACCCATAACTTCATTTGCTATTGGCAGCTGACAATCACTGCTGTGTTAACACTGAAGCAGTGGGTATTAGTGCTATTCATCATATAGTAGTGGTGGGTCTCCATCATCTTTCAAAAATGAAGCAGCTTTCCTTCCATTCTTCTGAACGTGATCTTCATTCATTTTCTCCAAAGCTTCTATCTACAAAAATAATACATTGAATCCATTTGTCAAAATCCTACTTTTCACAGAAACCATATTTTAGATTGTGCTAGTAATTTTTTTCTTTTTTTGAGATGGAGTCTCACTCTGTCGTCCAGGCTGGAGTGCAGTGGTGCAATCTCGGCTCACTGCAACCTCTGCCTCCTGGGTTCAAGCAATTCTCCTGCCTCAGCCTCCCTAGTAGCTGGGACACATGTGCCACCACGCCAGCTAATTTTTGTATTTTTAGTAAAGACGGGTTTCACTATGTTGCCCAGGCTGGTCTCGAACTCCTGACCTCAGGTGTTCCACCCGCCTTGGCCTCTCAGAGTGCTAGGATTACAGGCGTGAGCCACCGTGTCCAGCCAGTTTTTTTATTTTTTATTTTTTAATGGAGTTTATGTTGCTCAGGCTGGTCTCAAACTCCTGGGCTCAAGAGATCCTCCCTCCTTGGCCTCCCAAAGTGTTGGGATAACAGATATAACAGGAGTGAGCTGCCATGCCTGGCTGAGCCAGTAATTTTTACTCGCTTAAAAACTAGGTTATTCCTAATGATTCTGCCTTTGAGTTGAAATTACTATGTGTGTGTGTGTGTGTGTGTGTGTGTGTGTGTGTGCGTGCATCCAAGTATACACAAATAGTCATACATACATGTATTTTTTTTAACTTGATTGCAAGGGTCAATATTTACTATCTTTATCCAGCTAGCAATTGGAATCATCTATGTTTTGAAATGTATTCTATAAAACATTCCAGAAACAGGAAAAAGAAAACTCTACCATTCATCAAACAACAGTATCACTTACTTACTGAGCAACTGTATTGTGCTGGAAGAATGAATTTACCATCTTTCTGTTATTTCTCTCTAGCCTTAGGCTAGGCCCAGCTTACCCAAACTCAAGTCATCCTGGGGATTTCTGGAACAGACTCAGTAATCACTCTCTGCTTTGGTATAATGTTGGGAATAATTAACTGCTATTTCACCTTTTAGATTTTGTTCAATTTTAAGAGACTTTCTCTGGAGGAAGCTTTTTCATGGTTCTCTAGATCTGATATTATAATAACCGGGTATTTCCAAAGATAGGCACTTCTAACTTTCTATGTTTAGTAAAGGGCAGGGACCACATGTTACTATTTTTTGTATCACTCAGAGTGTTCAACTTCCTCATTCATTAAATAGGGGAAATAGGAGTCTACTGGAAATGTACAGTTTGCCCATCTTAACCAAATGGTGCCCTCCGTGAAGAAATGTTTTGCTGTGTGTGTATTCTGAATTTTAAGTATAGAAAAAAACAGGCCGGGCACAGTGGCTCATGCCTGTAATCTCAGCACTTTGGGAGGCCAAGGTGGGTGGATCCCTTGAGGCCAGGAGTTCAAGACCGGCCTGGCCAACATGGCGAAACCCTGTCTCTACCAAAAATACAAAAATTAGCCAAGCATGGTGGCACACACCTGTAATCCCAGCTACTCAGGAGGCTGAGGCAGGAGAATCGCTTGAACCCAAGAGGCAGAGGTTGCAGTGAGCCAAGATCACGCCACTGCATTCCAGCCTGAGTGACAAACCAAGACTCCATCTCAAAAAAAAAAAGAAAAAAAGAAAAAACCAAAAACATCTTAAGAAAAGAAAAATCTCAAATTAATTTTGTTTTGGGGGAAAGGGAGGATAAAACTAGCTCTGGGTTTCAGTTATCTCCTCTATGCAGTTCTGCATGACCAGCAAGGTGAAAAACAGCTGTTTATCACATACCTCAGCTAAAAAATCAGCTTCATTATCTGCTGTGATGTTTAAGCCTGAAACAGCATTGAAGAGTTCTCGTTCACTAAGGGCTTCCTTGACTCCTCCTTTCTGGAAAAACTAGTAAGGAAATACAAGAAAGTCAGTAAGAAGTATTAGCAATGTTCTCTTATAAACTAAAAACAGGGAGCAGCACATTTATAAAAAGACTTGGATGCATGCACGTGTGCACACGCACACACACACACACACAGTAATTTCAACTCAAAGGCAGAATCATTAGGAATAACCTAGTTTTTAAGAGAGTAAAAATTACTGGCTCAGCCAGGCATGGCGGCTCACTCCTGTTATCCTTGTTATCCCAACACTTTGGGAGGCCAAGGAGGGAGGATCTCTTGAGCCACTACATTCCTTGCCTCATTTCTCAACCATCGATTTTCCTGCTTCCAAGCTGGACTATACTCAGGTTCTAGTTGCTTTTCATCCTCTCACACATCCATCCTGCCTTCTGGATTTAGCTCATACCACTGCACCTTCTATAGCTATAAAAATGAGTGCTATAAATAAAACCACTTGGCATTGCTTTGAATATGTAAAGGAAATACTTTCACTAAACCCCAGAAATTAAAAATTTCAAGCAGGCTCAGAGGTTATTTCCAATATGAAGTTACTCTATCCTTTAGAAAGATCATTGCTATCTGAATCTACTGCCAACAATTCATTTCCCTTAGAAATGCCAAACAAGTGTGACCCAACCCTGTGCTTACTAAATTTTACCATATATATATATATATATATATATATATATATATATATATATATATATATATGTTTTGTTTTTTTAAGAGACAGGGCCTAGCACTGTCATCCAGGCTGGAGTGCAGTGGCACAATCACAGCTCGCTATAATCTTGAACTTCTGGACTCAAACAATCCTCCTGCCTCAGCCTCCCTAGTAAAACAGCCTCCCAGTTAAAGCAGCTAGGACTACAGACATGTTCCACCACACCCAGCTACTTTTTAAATTTTTTTGTAGAGATAGGAGTCTCACTATGTTGCCCAGGCTGGTCTCAAACTCCTGGGCTCAAGCAATCCTCCCTCCCTGGCTTCCCAAAGTGTGAGATTGTAAGCGTGAATCACCATGCCCAGCCACCTAATCTTCTTACCATGCTTCACAGTGACAGTGATCAGACACTGTCCCACAATAGAGACTGTCCCTCTTTTAATGGTAATAATGGCAGCAAGCATACAGGCACACCAGCTTCTGTTTAAGCACTATGCACACATTAAATGTCTACTCGACTGCTTATATACAAGGAGCCAAAACACTCACTTATTCCCTTTAACATTTTTTTTTTTTTTTTTGGAGAAGGAGTCTTGCTCTGTCACCCAGGCTGGAGTGCAATGGCGCAACCTTGGCTCACTGCAACCTCCGATTCCCAGGCTCAAGTGATTCTCCTTCCTCAGCCTCCCAACTAGCTGGGATTACAGGCACACGCTACCGCACCCAACTAATTTTTTTGTATTTTTCGTACAGACAGCGTTTCACCATGTTGGCCGGGCTGGTCTTGAACTCCTGACCTCAGGTGATCCACCCACCTTGGCCTCCCAAAGTGCTGGGATTACAGGCATGAACCACTGCACCTGGCATATTTTTTTTTTTTTTTTTTTGAGACGGAGCCTCACTCTGTTGCCCAGGCTGGGTGGAGTGCAGTAGCACGTTCTTGGCTCACTGCAGCCTCTGCCTCCCAGGTTCAAGTGAGTCTCCTGCCTCAGCCTCCCAAGTAGCTGGGATTACAGGCGCCTGCCACCATGCCCGGCTAATTTTGCATTTTTAGTAGAGATGGGGTTTCACCATGTTGGCCAGGCTGGTCTTGAACCTCTGACATCAAATGATCCACCCACCTCACCCTCCCAAAGTGCTGGGATTACAGGCGTGAGCCACCATACCTGGCACCCCTTGAACATTTTACCCAACTGTAAGACATGGAATCAAATTCTTGCAAAATGAAATATGACAAATTGATCTTTATATCCTTGTCCTGAAAGCAGCCCGTATCCCTTCCTTCAATTTCTAAGAATATGGTCCTCTTACTTATCTTAGGAGTGAGAAAAATACCTGCAGCTGTTACATCCAACAAAAAAAGGCATATTGGTTTACACGTCTACCTGCGAGACATTCCTGCAGTCCCGGAACAAGAACTCCAGGCCGTGAGGGTGGGTAGGTTCTACTGACTGACTGACATCGATCAACCAGACCTATTTCAATACAGAACATGAACTGATGTATTTACATTTTAAATTTTACTTACAGTAATTAAATCTGAATGTTAACAAAATGTGCTCCTCACCTTTCCAGCATGCCACAGCATGTTATACTCACTGAGGTCAGCATGGACAAGCGTACATTCATGATATAACTGCCGCATCAACTGTGAAGAGGGAAGGCACACATTAGGAAATGAATAATTAAGTGGTATTATTGATGATGACACCCCTGAAAGTTTTTTATTTTTTATTTTTTTGGAGACAGAGTCTCACTCTGTCGCCCAGGCTGGAGTGCAGTGGTGTGATCTCAGCTCACTGCAAGCTCCGCCTCCCTGGTTCACACCATTCTCCTGCCTCAGCCTCCCAAGTAGCTCGGACTACAGGCACCCACCACCACTCCTGGCTAATTTTTTGTAATTTTTTTTAGTAGAGATGGGGTTTCACCATGTTAGTTAGGATGGTCTCAATCTCCTGACCTCGTGACCTGCCCACCTCGGCCTCCCAGAGTGCTGGGATTACAGGCGTGAGCACTGCGCCCAGCCCCCCTCAAAGTCTTACAGTAGAAATCAACATTAATGCATTTGTTTTCCAGCCTTAATAGAATTAAATAGAAAAGTTTCATCACTATTTAATCTCTTCCCCAGCCACCCCACCTCCCAAAGAGGCCAGAAAAACATACTTGATTTTCCTTTCAATGTTTACCTTTGGAGGCAGAGAAAGGTGGATCACCTTTCTAGCTATATCTTTAAAAATTAATTTGGATTAAAATTTCCATATCTAGATCAATGGCTGCATTACATGACAGCTTCATGTGGAGATTGCATAAAGTAGCACATTAAGTTTCTCCAGTGTTCAATTAAAACACAGAGGGATAATGGCAGTATTAGGAGCATTGTCTCAACCTGGAAGGCCCTCAGATTGAATTCAGTTGCTATTTCAAAGCATGTAGTTTCCTTGAGATTCCCAACATGCCTTCCAACTTAACACCTGCACTCCCTACTGTTTTCAATTTTCATCATCACTCTCTTATGATGAGACCAGACCTGCTTCCTTTCCTTCACTGTTAAAGCTGTAACATTCAATGGCTGGGTGTGGTGGCTCACACCAGTAATCCCAGCACTTTGGGATGCTGAGGCAAGAGGATCACTTGAGCCCAGGAGTTCGAGACCAGCCTGGGCAACATAGTGAGACCCTGTCTCTTATTTGAAAAAAAAAAAAAAAAAAAAAAGCCCCAAAAAACTATAACATTCATGAAAGCTCACAAACTAATGAGGCACTTTGCTAAATGTACTAACAGCAAATTTTATTTAATGAAGTTTGGTGAAAAATAGCTTCATGCACTGTGTCACTAATCCTAACAATGACGACTTCCCTGGTTAAGTCTGTAAGTTTTCTAAAACTATTTAAGACACACACATATTGATAGAAAAACAACTCTTCAGTGTTAACATTCTTTCACAAACTTCAACTTGTCTTTGTTATAGCACCTTGAAATAGCACTATCTAAGGAACTTGGGTTTTTTTGTTTGTTTTTTAAGACATAGGGTCTTGCTCTATTTCTTGCCCAGGCTGGGGTGCAGTGGCACAATCATAGCTCACTGCTGCCTTAAATTCCTGGGTGCAAGTGATCCTCCCACCTTAGACTCCCGAGTAGCTGGGACTACAGGTGTGTGCCCAGCTAATTTTTAATTTTTTTTTTTTTTTTTTGAGACAGAGTCTTACTCTGTCACCCAGGCTGGAGTGCAGTGGTGCAATCTTGGTTCACTGCAACCTCTACCTCCCTGGTTCAAGCAATTCCCCTGCCTCAGCATCCCGAGTAGCTGGGATTACAGGCACACGCCCAGCTAATTTTTTTGTATTTTTAGTAGAGACAGGGTTTCACCATGTTGCCCAGGCTGGTCTCAAACTCCTGGGCTCAAGTGATCCTACTGCCTGAGCCTCCCAAAGTTCTAGATTACAAGTGTGAGCCAACATGCCTGGCTTCTTTAAGGAAATTTTTTTAAAGTTTAGAGGAAATATTTTTTAAAGGTAGTGTGTGAATTCTTTTAAAAGCACAACTTACATGAAGAGTTTGATAGTAGGCTTCTTTCATTTCTTCACTATTGAGCTTTACTTCTTTTAATTTAGGGGCTGGAACTTGATCATGGCCAATAAAAGACATAACTAAAATGTGTTTCTTCAGTAGTACAACTGTTGGACAAGGAATTCCAGCTCTCTGCATTCTATACATAAAGAAATGATTCAGAATATACAGATCAGAAGGAGAGAAAATATGTCATTTATTCAATAAATATCTAATCAGGGCCTGCAATGAGCTGGCACTATGTTCTACCCTGGTGATGTGGGAATACAAAGACAGTAAAACACAGCCTCTGCCCATAGAGAGCTCAGGGACTGATGGAAATGACAGACAAGAGACAATTACAATTACGCACTGGCAGAGGTATGGGTAGGAGCTACAGGAGCACACAGCACCAAGGATGGCTTATTAGAAGAAGAGGTAGGGAACAGGAATTAGCCAGATAAAGACAGTGCAAGGGAATGCAGGGAGGTGTTCAAGAGCACAGTCCATTTGGGGAATGTATATCAATCAACATAGCTGGATCTGTGAGTAGGAGGAAGGGCAATGTGGGCTGAGGCTACAAAGACAGGCAAGCTCCACTATGGAAAACTGTTGAAGAATTTTAAGAAAGGCAGGAATTTCAGGAGTACAGAAAAGAGACTGGAGGACAGCAAGACCTTCTAGAAAATGATTCTACCTGGAATTAATTAATTTATTGAAAAAACATTTTTTTTTCTTTTTGAGACAAGGTCTTGGGAGTCTAACGTTTCCAGGCTGGTTTTGAACTCCTAGGTTCAAGCAGTCCTCCCATCTCAGCCTCCCAAGTAGCTGGGAGTACACGTGCACACCATGCCTGGCTTATTTTGGTGGGGAACTCTCAGTAGAAGAATTTTGTAACTGATATATATGAATAATTACTTTTGAAAGCAAATATCTTTAGAAAATAACAAACTAAAATTAAGCTTTTAATAAATTAAGATAATAGAAAGGTTTTTAATGAGAAGGATTATTACTGAATTTCTTGGTTGACAAAACAAATTCTTTGATAGAAAATAAATTGCTTAGAAAATTCAGATACAAGTATAAAAATTAAAACAAAATGTAATTTGATTGGTAAGAACTTACTCCCACAAAATTAACAAATTAAATGCAACAAACATTTTCTGAAACAAAAAAGAAACCATTTTTTTATGCTAAGCCTAATTGGATGCTGGAAGTTTTACTTCGTGATAAAAGCAATTTAAAAATGGCATTTAGATATATGATAAAGTGTCTAAGGCAGAAAATGCCCAGATTTCCCTCAAGCTTCATTGAGGAAAGAAAAAAGAAAATGGCTTTTTCATCCTAAAAGTATGAATCGAGGTTATACACCTGGCCTTTCATTATTTCTATAAATGAATGTAAAAGAAAGCATGGATTTTTTTATCCTAATGCAAAAAGGTATTTACCCAAGATTACGTCTAGCACAATATTTTCTTTACCTTGCGAGATTGTGCATTTCTTTTTCTGCCCACATGCGGATGATCTTACGTGGATTTAGTTTACTGAAGCGATCTTTAAACCTGAAATCATCTTTAATATATTTGTCACGATTCTTAAATTCATTAAGGGTTGTTTTAAATACCTTGATGGCACATTCTGTAGGTATAACTTTACTATCTTCCTTTTCATCCTCCATGCTAAGTGGAAGAAAAAAAATCAAGTCAGTACAAGTTGCCAGCTCACAAGTACAACAATTTCAAAATAAAGATTCTGTAACACTAAATTAGATCTACCTTCTCTCAGTGTCAAGTCTTGTTTTTTTAAGCCTTTAGGTTTTGGATCTTAATAAAGCCTTAGGTTTTGGTTTGATTTTTTAAATAAAATATACTTTCAAATAAATTGTCAACCGATTTTCAACCATCTATCACATAATGTTCTTCACTTAATGACTACGGAATCAAGCTTGAAATACAATGAAGACATATGCACTTGAAAATAGGCTACAGTCTTCCCAATATGGTTCAGGAGCAAAATTCAATAAAAAGCAACAAATAAAACAGCTTTTTAAAAAATAACTCTTTCACTCCTAGCAGACATAAAGGTGAATCAAATGGTTCCTGCCCCACAAGTCTGCAAGAAGTGGCAACGGAGAATAAAAGAAGTACATGAATAGGAAAGGTCCCTCTTCATTGGAAAGGTCAGGCAAGACTTCATGGCACAAGTGCCATCTGAAACAGAAACAGGACAATGGGTAGGATTTGAACAGCATGAACAAAAGCAGAGGCAGGAAACCACAGGACATGTCTGAGGAACAACAAACACTATAGTTAAGACTTGGCTGGAGAGAGATAATGAAAAAAAATTGGAGCTAAAGGACAGGACAGAGGCACATCTGTGAAGAGCCTGGACAAATTCCTAGAGGTGGTGGGGAATCGCGAGGGTTTCTGTGTATGGCACTCTCAAATGCGTGCTTCATGAAGATCGAGTGAACGATACTGTCAGAATGGAAGGGCACAGGGACAGGCTAGAGGTGTGGGGTCGACTCAGGATGCTACTGCAATAGTCCCCCAATAGTGAGCTTCAGTCATGATGGTGGCAGTGGGAATGAAAAAGTGGATGGAATGAGAAACAATATTAATATTTACCTTTAAATATCTGATAGGATGTTAATCTGGGAAAGAAAGGAACTATATTTCCAAAGGACAGAATCTGAATCAAACCTCCTTCTGTACCATATTCTCCCAGCTGACTCCTCTTCCATTTAGTCTCAAAAGGTTAAAGTCCTTCACCTGGTTCTAAGAAACCTTCCTTCTCTTCCTGGGCAATTTCACTTAGCCCCATGGCTCTAAATATCATCTCTATATAGACAACTCCCACATTTCTTTTTTTTTTTGAGACAGAGTCTCACTTTGTCACCCAGGCTGGAGTACAGTGGTGCAATCCTGGCTCACTGCAACCTCCACCTCCCGGGTTCAAGCTATTCTCCTGCCTCAGCCTCTTGAGTAGCTGGGATTACACGTGCATGCCACCACGCCCGGCTAATTTTTGTATTTTTAGTAGAGACGGGGTTTCACCATGTTGGCCAGGCTGGTCTCGAACTCCTGACCTCAGGTGATCCACCCATCTTGGCCTCCAAAAGTGCTGGGATTACAGGCGTGAGCCACCGCGCCTGGCCGATAACTCCCACATTTCTATCCCAGTCCTGACTTTCCCTAGAACTTCAGGCCCATTTATCCAACAACTACATGACATCACTTAGAAGTCTAACAGGCATCTCAAATTTAATATGCCCAAAACAAAACTCATGCTGAGTCCTCACCCTACCCTTCCCCAGGCTCTCACCTCGTCAAACGGTACCACCATCAGCTGCTCTAGCCCAGAATCTATCCTCCTACACCCACTTCCAATCCAACAGCGTGTGCTGTTCTCTCTACCTTCAAAACACACACCAACGCTCTCCTACTCTTCACTTCCACTACCGCCCTCCCTAGTCCAACCCTTCACCATTTCTCACTTCAACTACTACAACGTTTTAACTGATCTTACTGCTTCTTCTCTTCTCCTCCTATAATTCATTTTCCACACAGCAATCTTTTGAAAATAAGAATCAACTCATAGCTTTGGTTCCAGGGCAGTCAAAGAGCAGACTCCTTACCCTGGCCTACAAAATCCTACCTGGTCCAGCCCCTGCTTACTCCTCCAGCCCCCTCTCTCCCATTCACATCCTATGCTCCAGGGAGACTGGGTTTCTTACGCTTCCCTCAAAGATACTAACTTTGTACCTGTCCTAAGGCATTAGCACTAGCTGTTCTCTAGTCCAGAATGCCCATCCACCTGATCTTTGATGTATCTTAGATGTGTCACTCACATGTCACTTCATTGGAGAAGCGTTCCCTGTCCTACTAATAAAGCTAGTCAGCCTGTCACTATGACATCATCCTATTTTAACTATCTGCATAGCATATATCTGATATTTTTTGTTTATTATTGTCATGGAGAGGGGTTGAGGATGGGGGAAGCATATTCCATTAGACCAGAGACCTTCCTTGTACCATTCATTGCTGTATCCCTAGTACCTGGAAGAGTACCTGGTACTTGACAGCTGCTCAACTATTTGGTTAACAGATGACACAATTTTCAGGGAAGAAATCTCTAATAACTTAAAAGACATTATGACAGAATAGGCTAGATTTTGAGATAAGCTCCTTTCATTGGACTAGTTTAACCACATAGTAGGTGAGGCCCTAGCAAAAATGCCATACAAGAGATCCCTTACTTGGAAGGTCTCTAGGATAGAGTCCAATTTATAAGATTTGCCTTGTCATTGTCCTACTACAAAAAGATCCTGTTTCTCAGCAAATGACACATCCCTCTGCCTAGCTTTTAAGGTCCTCCTTACCAATTTCCAGTTTGCTTACACCACTTTACTACCTACTACCTCTAAGCACATACCTTCCTAATCTTCTCAGTGCCTAAACTTCAACTCTCCCACCCTTAGCCTTTTTCTTAAAGAATTAAACATTACAGATGACGCTGAAGTGCCCTCTGATTACCATTCCCCATCTTAACTCACCAGAGGCAATAACTATCATAAATGCTGTATTTCTAGTCTCTTTTAAAAGATAATATATAAGTATCCACAAGCATCTATAAACATCTCTGTAATTTTCTGTATGACTTAAAAAATTTAAATAGATGATATACTGTATATATATTCTGCAACTAGCTTTTTATACTCAACATTGGATTTTTTTTTTTTTTGAGACGGAATCTTGCTCTGTCACCCAGGCTGGAGTGCAGTGGCGCGATCTCAGCTCACTGCAAGCTCCGCTCCCAGGTTCACGCCATTCTCCTGCCTCAGCCTCCCAAGTAGCTGGGAGTACAGATGCCCGCCACCATGCCCGGCTAACTTTTTTGTATTTTTTAGTAGAGACGGAGTTTCACCGTGTTAACCAGGATCGTCTCGATCTCCTGACCTCGTGATCCGCCCCCATCGGTCCTCCAACGGATTTCTTTTTTTAACCTATTTTTAAAATCCAGATTGAGATCCAACTTCATTATGATATCTTCCCTGAATGTGCCTGGCAATGATCTTGTTCTATTCGCTATTCCTATCCCATATAAGGTCTCGTTTGCATAACTGGGTACTCTATTATGTAATTATCTTTCATTGACCATAATGGTTCTTACTGTAATGTTCTCCTTTTAGCTAAAGCTTAAGCTCTTTGAGAGTAAAAAATATGTCTTATATTTTATTCCCTGAGTAATCTAGCACAAATTACTGTTTGAATAATTGTTGATTGCCTGACCAACCTGAGAGTGACAGAAACCAGAGCTTTGACCCAGGCACAGTGGCCCACGCCTGTAATCCCAGCACTTTGGGAGGCTGAGGCAGTTGGATCACAAGGTCAGGAATTTGAGACCAGCCTGGCCAAAATGGTGAAACCCCGTCTCTACTAAAAATACAAAAATTAGCCGGGCATGGTAGTGTGTACCTGTAATCCCCGCTACCGGGGAGGCTGAGGCAGGAGAATCACTTGAACTTGGGAGGTAGAGGATGCAGTGAGCCAAGATTGCGCCATTGCACTCCAGCCTGGGTGACAGAGCAAGACTCCATCTCAAAAAAAAAAAGAAAGAAGGAAAGAAAAAGAAAGAAAGAAAGAAAAAGAGAGAGAGAGAGAGGAGAGAGGAGAGGGAGAGAGAGAGAGAGAGAGGAGAGAGGGGAGAGAGGAGAGAGGGGAGGGAGGGGAGGGAGGGAGGGAGGGAGGGAGAGAGGGGGAGAGAGGGGGAGAGAGAGAGAGAGAGAGAGAGAGAGAGAGAGGAAGAAAGAAAGGAACCAGAGCTTTGTGGAAAGCAAAACTCCCAGCCCCCTTGGTGTGCACACCCCTGTATAATACCTCCTTCCCTTGAGCATGTGTGGGATAGCCACTCCCTGGTTAGGTTATGTGGCAAAGGTGATGGTCTAGTCATTCCCATGATAACATAACACTAAGTCTCAGTCTTAGCAGACTGGAGAGATTCTCCTGCTGGCTTTGAAAGTGTGAGAGCTAGTGTGTGAAGAGGCCTGTGAGACGGCCCCATGGCAAGGAACTGCAGGGGCCTCAAGGAGTTGAGAGCAGCCCACTGCTGACAGCCAACAAGAAAGTGGGACCTCAGTCGTATAGCTGCAACTGAAAGGTGGCCAAGGGAAGAGGACGCCAAGCTCCAGAAAGGAACACAGCCTGGCCAACACCTAGACTGCAGGCTTGTGAAACCCTGAACAGAGAACCTAGTTAAGCCATGCCTGGATTCTGTCAACAGAAACTATGAGATAATAAATGGATGCTGTTTTGGCTGCTAAGTCTGTGGCAATTTATTATGTACCACAGAAAACTAACAAACTTTTAAAAGCATTAACTTTTAGCTGTAGAAAACTGAATGTTCTCTAGTTTTGCTAACTTAGAAATGTCAAAGTACAGATTATGATACCAATTCCACCAGAAAGACTGAACATTTATTATATTAGAGTATATTAAGTATACCAGGCCAGGCGCAGTGGCTCACGCCTGTAATCTTGGCACTTTGGGAGGCCAAGATGGGTGGATCACCTGATGTCAGGAGTTTGAGACCAGCCTGGCTAACATGGTGAAAGCCCATCTCTACTAAAAACACACAAATTAGCCAGGCGTGGTGGTGCGTGCCTGTAATCCCAGCTACTTGGGAGGCTGAGACAGGAGAATCGCTTGAACTCAGGAGATGGAGGTTGCAGTGAGCTGAGATTGCGCCATTGTACTCCACCCTGGGCAACAAGAGCAAAACTCCATCTCCCAAAAAAAAAAAAAAAAAAAAAAAAGGAGTATATTGAGTATAACAGAAAATGGACAAAGGATAAACAAGAGAGAAGACAAGAAAAAGAAATACAAATGGCCAATAAAGCACTTGGAAAAAATGTACAACTTAATCATAATTAAATAAATGCACACCAAAATACCAAGATGTTACTTTTCATCTCTCACACTGACAAAAAGCATTAGATTTGATAATACTAAACACTGATAAAGATGAGGAAGCCCGGAAGCAGTGGCTCACGCCTGTAATCCCAGCACTTTGGGAGGCCAAGGCGAGTGGATCACCTAAGGTCAGGAGTTTGAGGACAGCCTAGCCAACATGGCGAAACCCTGTCTCTACTAAAAATACAAAAATTAGCCAGGCGTGGTGGCATGTGCCTGTAATCCCAGCTACTCTGGAGGCTGGGATAGGAGACCTTGCTTGAACCCGGGAGGCAGAGATTGCAGTGAGCCAAGATCACGCCACTGCACTCCAGCCTGGGGAACAAGAGTGAAACTCCATCTCAAAAAATAATAATAATAATAATAATAATATACGCATTGAAAAAAACTGGAGAAGTCTACCCAAAATTATTAATGATTATCTCTGGGTGGTGGTATTAGGATGACTGTGTTTTTTATACATTCCTATACTGCCTAGACTTTCTACAATAACACTTTAAAAATTACTCTGCTTGCCATGCAGCATTATCTTTGATTCTGTGTAAATTCATTAATCTTGGGGAGAAGAGACTAAGTTTTCATATCATGGTATCATATTTTGCTCATTTACCTCCCTCCATATGCATGAAAGACAACAGACTCCTTTCCTGTACTAATACAGCCAGTGATTGTCTCCAACATTCCAGAGTTGACCATTTTATACATAAGTAAACGTGTCTTAGGATCAACTGCTTTTTCCTGCAAGAGATAAAGCACTGTAAGTGAAAATGACTGCTAATCACAAAATATTTTCTGAGCCACTTCTAATAACTTTTTTTTTTTGAGACGGAGTCTTGCTCTTGTCACCCAGGCTAGAGTACAATGGCACCATCTCTGATCACTGCAACCTCCACCTCCCAGGTTCAAGTGATTCTCCTGCCTCAGCCTCCCGAGTAGCTGGGATTACAGGCGCCCGCCACCACACCTGGCTAATTTTTGTATTTTTACTAGAGATGGGGTTTCACTATGTTGGCCAGGCTGGTCTCGAACTCCTGACCTCATGATCCGCCCGCCTTGGCCTCCCAAAGTGCTGGGATTATAGGTGTGAGCCACCACGCCTGGCCTAATATCTTTTTTTTTTTTAGAGACAGAGAGAGAGACAGGGTCTCACTCTGTTGTCCAGGATGGAATGCAGTGACATGATTATGGCTCACTACAGCTTCAAATTCCTGGGTTCAAGTGATCCTCCCACCTCAGCCTCCTGAGCAGCTGGGACTAAAGGTGCACACCAACATGCCCGGCTAATTTTTTAAAACTTTTGCTGAGACAGGGTCTCCCAGGGTCTCCCTATGTTGCCCAGGCTGGTCTTGAACTCCTGGGCTCAAGCGATCCTTCTACCTTGGCTTCCCAAGGTGCTGGGAGCCACCTCACCTGGCTTATTTACATTTTTTTTTTTTTTTTTTTTTTTAAGGCAGGGTCTCAATCTGTCACCCAGGCTGCAGTACAGTGGCACAATCATGGTTCACTGCAGCCTCAACTTCTTGGGCTCAACCAATCCTCCCACCTCAGCCCCCCGGGTAGCTGGGACCACAGGTGTGTGCCATGATGCCCAGCTAATTTTTTTTGTGAGCTGGGGATCATTATGTTGCCTGGGCTGTTCTTGCACTCCTAGGCTCAAGTAATCCTCCTGTCTCCATCTGCTATCCCAAAGTAGTGGGATTACAGGCGGGCACCACAGTGGCTGGATTTATTTACATCTTTGATTTAAAAAGCCAATCTCATGAAAAAATATCAAACATGAAGTTTTTTTTTCTTTACCCAAAGTTTTCTAATATGAATCTTTCTAGTAAAAAAGAAAAAAAAAAATCTATAAATCCTTACTGCTGTAGAATGCTCCTTTTTCTCATGTAGGCGGGCACTTCGACGTTCTTCTGAGTAGGCATGTTGTTTTAAAGCATTGAAAACATGGTTTGATAGTTTTAAATCCATTCCAATTCCATCTCCTACCTGAAACTCAGGTGCAAACTGCCAAAAGGAAGAATTAGCATCTAAATATTTTAAAATAGGGACAGTTAAAAACAAAAACAAAAACAACCAAATGAGATTAGTCTTTCTTACTCAATAGATGATCACACTAGAAAACCAGAAATCATAGCTACTACAGAGAAAAAAATTAAATAACTCACAGAAAGAGGAGCAATACTATTTAAGAAATTACAACCCAAAGGAAGGCATTTATTCCAGGCATAGAAAACATTTCATCACATCCAAAACTAAGGTCTTTCGGCATGTGCATTGTACCTTGCTTTTAGCCAAAGGACACAATATTGAACTGTGAAGGCTACACCAAATCTTACCAAAGAAATACAATTTTGTAATTATTTGTGGAGAGTGGGTTGTTATAGCAGACTATGTTCACACCATGACAATTATGTTCTAGAACTGTGCAATTCAGTTAGGTAGCCACTAGCCACACTTGGATATTTAAGTTAATTAAAATTAAATTAAAAATTCAGTTCCTCTATTATACCACCCAAATTTCAAGTGCTCAACAGCAAATGTGGCTACCATATTGAACAGCACACATACAGAACATTTCCATTACCACAGAAAGTTCTATTGGACAGAACTCTTCTAGAATTAGATCTGGAATATTTCTAGAAATGATATAATTGAATATGTTTACTTAACAAGCATTTGTGCTTTAAAATCTAAATGTTTAATATATTATATTAACCACAATATTTATGAAGGATTTAGAATGCTTTTTTTTTGTTTGTTTTTTTGAGGCAGAGTTTCACTCTTGTTGCCCAGGCTGGAGTGAAGTGGCACGATCTCGGCTCACTACAACCTCTGCCTCCCAGGTTCAAGCAATTCTCCTGCCTCAGCCTCCCGAGTAACTGGGATTACAGGCATGCGCCACCATGCCTGGCTAATTTTGTATTTTTAGTAGAGATGGGGTTTTTCCATGTTGGTCAGGCTGGTCTTGAACTCCTGACCTCAGGTGATCTGCCCACCTCGGCATCCCAAAATACTGGGATTACAGGCATGAGCCTCCATGCCCGGCCTAGAATGCTATTTTTTAAAGTTACACTTTACTTCTGATTTTACACAGGTAGTTCAGGCACAAGATAATAAATTCAAAATGCACAAAAGAGTATATGGTGAAAAGTATTTCTCCCTCCCATTTGTATTCCCCAATCGCCACCGTTATCTGTTTTTTGGGTAGGGATGCTATTTTATAGAGATATGATGAAGAATAAATGTTAATTTCATAATAACTATTTATTAATTTTAGAATCAATGTGAGTCAAAATAGTTTTTCAACACTGTTATGGAATTTTATTCTGAGGTACTTTATATTTTCATTAATGTCTCAGTTTCCATGATATTGCCATATTGTTATCTAAAAACATCTTTAGAAAGAAAGACATTTTTAGAAATCTAAGGTATTATATTTAGAATCCTGTTTTTGAAAGGTATTCAAACAAAACTCTAAATTCAGAGATAGATACTTTCTGTAACTTACATTTTCCATTCTTGCTGTGTTCTTTCTCCCACATACTACTTCATCATGTTTGGTGGTGATATCTTTTCCTTTTCCAATAAAGCCCTTTTTAGGAGTGGGAACCGGTTTTGCTAAAGGCAATTGAAATAAGCCAGGTATATAAAAATAGCAAAGACTACATTGCTGCATTCAACGTTGTCTGAAAAGACATTTGAATCTAAGAGTAAATTACCAAATGAGATTCAAAGAAAAATATAAAACTAAAAGAGTTCATTGAAAAGATTAGTCTTCCTATACCTCTATTCTGCTGCCCCCAGAAAGTAAAAACTTTGGTACCTGGTCTGTAGGGATCATCACGAGTATCCTGCCAGTCAACCTCATCTTCAGAGCTATCGCTGTCTTCATAAGGATGCACTTTTCGATAATTTTCAAAGGAAATGGAAACTTAAGAAGCAAAAATAGTTGAAGATTTACTTAGGAGCACATTATGAGTGTTTTCTACCACTCAATGAAGTTGTCACAATAAGGTTATAATACCTTTGCTATCTCCATTGAATTTTTTTTCTTCACGCCTAAGCTGTGCATCATATTCTCTGTCATATTCCATCTGTAGCATCTGAGCCAGCATAAGGTCACTGGAAGTATCAATGTTTTCTCCAGTAATAAATGGTCCTTCAGCAACACTATTCAAAATAAGGCAATATAAACTAATGTAATGTGCTTAAGTAAACAGAGGTTGCCAATTATGAGAGTAGGAGGTGCCTTTTCCATGTTAAAATTGAACAATGGGAAAGAACTCTATCAAACCATTTACCTTCTCCTGCACAGCTAGCCTTAAGACCAATGGCATGCACCTGTGGGAGTACCAACTAGGATTAAGAGAACTGGGAGAGAAAGCTAAACTGAGGCCTAGAATTCATTTGTTCTGAATGAAAGTATGAGGCCAGGTGCAGTGGCTCATGCCTGTAATCCCAGCACTTTGGGAGGCTGAGGCTGGCGGATCATCTGAGGTCAGGAGTTCGAGACCAACCTGACCAACATGGAGAAACCCCATCTCTACTAAAAATACAAAATTAGCCGGACGTGGCAGCACATGCCTGTAATCCCAGCTACTCGAGAGGCTGAGGCAGGAGAATCACTTGAACCCGGGAGACGGAGGTTGTGCCGAGCCGAGATTGTGCCATTGCACTCTAGCCTGGGAAACAAGAGCGAAATTCCATCTCCAAAAAAAAAAAAAAAAGAAAGTCTGGATGTTTCATTCATCCATAATGAAAGAATAGATACATATTCATGAAAAGATAAACTACAAACACTTGATCAAAACTGTACCTCATCTAGTTCAACTGCAGCATTAACGCGATATAACTAAAACCCACAGAAACAGTGGTTTGTCCAAGATAATAATGAAAACCAATGCAAAATCAGGACCAAAATTCAAGTATCACTGGACTCTCAATATGGTGCTTTCTTCTGCACTGCTTTTTCCAAACCACTTGTCATGACAATTACTCATCAAATCCTAAAACTCTGCTATAAGTTGCTAGATAAAGTATTTGTGAATTTTACTTACGCAACTTCAGGAAAAACGGCAGCTTCTTCTTCTAACTGCAATTCTTTGGCCAGCTGTTCACTCATTACATCAGCCAAAGAACAAGATATTGTATTTTGAGGAATAGCCCATGGACACTATGAAAAAAGAAAAAAGAACAGCTCAATTCATCATAATGAAATAAAGTACCTCTCATTTTACAAATAATGTTATATTTTGAGAATTAAACTATGTAGTTAAAAACCAGAAATGAATAACTAGCTATTTGCAGAAATCATCTCAAAAGTAAAATTATCTCCCAGGTCAAATTTAGTCAAGGATATATGTAAACTAAAACAGCCAAAAGCACTTTCTAGCCTGCTAAGTAGGTATATCCTTAAAGCTGAGGGGAAGCATCAGGCCCACTGGCATCGCCCCACTAGCCAATGAGTTCATGTAATTCCTCTTATTCCAATCCTTGCTCACCAAGCTACCTTCTGCTTATAATCTGATTTCCCAAGTAGATTTTCTTATAGGAATAGACTATGCCAACTAGCACCATTTGAAGCTTAATGAAAAGTTATATCTCATTCTAATTTAAGCATTGAGTCATCTAAGTGTACAAATTATGTCAGCCCCTCTCAAAACATCTTAGGATATGCTAAAACAAAAACAAGAACAGGCCAGGCGCGGTGGCGCGCGCCTGTAATCCTAGCACTTTGGCAGGCCAAGGCGGGTGGATAACCTGAGGTCAGGAGTTTGAGACCAGCCTGGCCAACATGGTGAAACCCCATCTCTACCAGAAATACAAACAATTAGCGGGCTGTGGTGGTGCATGCCTGTAGTCCCAGCTACTCAGGAGGCTGAGGCAGGAGAATCGCTTGAACCTGGGAGGTTAGGGTTGCAGTGAGTCGAGATCGCGCCACTGCACTCCAGCCTGGGTGACAGAATGAGACCCCCTGCCAAAAAAAAAAAAAAATAGCAAGAACAAACAACACATTTTTTTTTAAATTTTATTTCTTTTTTTTTTTTTGGAGACAGTTTCCTCTGTCACCCAGGCTGGAGTACAGTGGCGTGATCTCGGCTCACTGCAATCTCCACCTCCCCGGGTTCAAGCGATTCTCCTGCCTCAGCCTTCTGAGTAGCTGGGATTATAGGCATAAGCCACCATGCCCAGCTAATTTTTGTATTTTTAGTAGAGATAGGGTTTTGCCAAGTTGTCTAGGCTGGTCTCGAACTCCTAACCTCAGGTGATCTACCCACCTCAGCCTCCCAAAGTGCTGGGATTACAGGTGTGAGCCACCAAGCCTAGCCCCAAAATTTTATTTCTGAACTTTAGAAGCTGAGAAACAGGCTCTTAAAACAATACCAATACACACAGTAATATTCTGTCAGACCCAGTTGACCTTCCTCAGTGACATACTCCTGCCTCAGCCTTCTTGAAATCAAACTGTAGGTTTATTTCAAATTCATAATTTCTGAGGGAGCAAGATGCTTTACTTAGCAGCAGCAAATGATTATATTTTATAGCCTATTGATTAAGACCTTTACTATTTAGTAAGATGCCTAAGCATCTCCTGAACTTGCCCAACTCTTTCCATCCCTCTTCCATAATTCTACTCCAAGGTATCCCATTCGCTGGGTTACTTTCAGAGCATCCTAACGAATCTTTCTGCTCTCAATCTTGGTAGTTTCCATTCTTCACACTGTAACACAGTAATTGTTCTAAAATGCAGATGTGATGGGTTCCATCTCCTTACTCAAAATCTTTTTTATTGTTTCCCATTGCTTTTAGGATAAAGTCCAAAACTCATTCCTTAACTACTACTGAGTGTCTAATTTAGAATATAGCATAAAATGTTATCTGTTTTAGCCACAAAATTATTTGATCAAGTTCAGCCAGTATAGGCCCTCTAGTTGGTCTAAAGGCCTGCTGCATGACACTCAGAGACAACTGGGCAAGTGACCTTTGTTCAGGTTCCACAGTACTGACATTCAGGAATTTACTTAGCTCAGGCTGTTTGGGTGGAGCACCTAAAGGCGACAAATGATAACTATATTTATGCCTGAGTGAATGAGAATCAAGTTTTATCTAGTCTCACCCTGAGATTGAGGAAATACACCTGGTACCTAGCACATACCTACAATACACTATCACAGAACTCTTCCAGCCTTCTGTAAGGCCAGACTTGGGAGAGAAGAAGAGGCTTCCTGAAAGTCTGGTGTGTCTTTCATTCACTCAGAGCTTATCTGTAATTGAGTGGAGAACTCTCCTGGTAAGGATTTTAAGGTCTAGACTCTTGAAGCTTTCTATCATCTGGAGAACATAGCTAATTTTTTGGCCTCATGACTCTCCTGACTTCCTTCTGTATCCTCTAGGTAGAAGATACAATGCTGTTTAGCCTAGAAATGTTTCATCTGATCAGTTTCAAAGTCCAGGTTCCAAAAGGCAGGTGACTGTCTAACTCAGAATTCTCACTCACATTTGGCAATGACTAACAGTTACATAACAGACAATATCTGAATATTCACTATATTTAAGTCACTTGGTTAAATATACATAACTTACATAGATTACTTAAATCACACAACAATTGAGTAGTTGCAATCCATCCCCATTTTATGGATTTTAAAACTGAGGTACACAAAGGCTTTTCTTTTAACCCAAGAAAACATCATAGATGGAAGTACCAAGCTCTGAACCAAGGCAATGCCAGGCTGCACTCTTAGCATTTTGCTATACAGCTTCCCTATCATCTCACCCCGAAATGTGTGAAGCAAACTGCCCTACTGACTGCAATATAAAATCCAAATTCCCCACCCTAGGCAACACAGCAAGATATCATCTCTACAAAAAAATTAAAAAACTAGCTGGGCACAGTGGCAAATGCCTGCAGTCCCAGCTACTCAGGAGGCTGAAGTAGGAGGTGGATCATTTGAGCCCTATGATTGTGCCACTGCACTCCAGCCTGGGTGACAGAGTGAGACCCTGGCTCTAAATAAATAAAATCCAAGTTCCTCAGCAAAGGATGCCCTTTACAACTTGCCCTGATTTATCTTTCCAATCTCAACCCTCATCTATCCTACACTCTAGTAACACTAATTATATGCCAAAGATGGCATACTCAGGCCGTGTGCAGTGGCTCACGCCTGTAATCCCAGCACTTTGAGAGGCCGAGGCAGGCGAATCACCTGAGGTCAGGAGTTCGAGACCAGTCTGGTCAACATGGAGAAACCCCATCTCTACTAAAAATATAAAAATTAGTATTTTTTATACTAATTTACACTACAGGCATGGTGGCAGGTGCCCATAGTTCCAGCTACTCAGAAGGCTGAGGCAGAAGAATCGCTTGAACCCAGGAGGCGGAGGTTGCAGTGAGCCAAGATTGCGCCACTTCACTCCAGCCCGGGTGACAGAGCGAGACTGTCTCAAAACCAAACAAAAAAGATGGCATACTTTCCCCGCTGCATGCCTTCACACATTCCTTTCTCTACCATTGGTTTTTCTTCCTTCTTTATTTACACCAATTAAATGCCATCTCCTCTATAAGGCTGTCTCAATGTTACCAAAGTTGGACCCTTTCCTTTGTGTTCCCATAGCAGTATGCAAACACTGTTAATGCAGAACTCATCACTGTATTAGGGTTCATGCATTAGCCACAATGGAGCATGAACCCCTTGAAGGGTAGAGACTTCTCATCAACCCTCAGAGCCCAGCATAGAGCTTTGGATATAAAGAGGCATTCCAGTATTTCCTGAGCAGTATGTGCCAAAAGAAAACACTGGAGTGATTGGCTGCAGAGGTCTGACGCCTTTCTACATCCCTGCTAATCTAATGTCCTTTTCCCCATCTTGGAAAGTTGCCCTTTTGCCTGCCCGCTTCTGAGGTTTCAACTCCTTTGCCATCTGTCAATTAATTCTGCTAAGGTATTAAAGTATTAGCTGACAATTTGTCAGAAGAGGCAAAAATGACAGGCAGGAATTTTGTTATTTTGAGGCAGAGATTGATCTACTCACAGATACACTGAATCAGAAAGTGAAACAAGTAGAGACCTCAAACAGCACCAAAGCACCCTTGCTGTCCACTCCTACTGACCCTAGACTCTAGAGACTATACTACCCTGTAACAGCTCAACTGGTCCACTTCACACTGAGGCAACTTCCTTGGGTGAGGTAAATAAGTAAAGATTTCAGAAAGGCTGCCACTCCCATACTTTGAAATCAAACCCAAACTCTTCAAGCCAACAATTAAAAGCCCTCCATACACTTTTTCCAGGCTGTGAGACGGACAGCTTCTGGGGTCGGGGGAAGACCCGCTGCGTTTTCCCTATAGGCACAGTGGTTTGCTATCCCAAGTGCTCAGAAAATTTACTGCAGGCTCCTCCTATGAACAGGTACCATAGGTTGTATATAAGGGAATCCTCTGTCATCTGTGACTCTTCAGTAAACCGCTTTTTGTAAAAAATCTAACAAGATGGGGGAAACGCCCTCCATAATCTTGCTCTGTCCTAGCTATCCAAAGTCATTTCCTACTATTCCATTCATCAACACAAACTCCCTATAGTGTCACAATCTGATGGGACACCCCATACAATCCTTTCCAGTCAGCGATTCTACTTCAAAGGACATCCATCAAGCTTTTAACCAGCCTCCTGGTTCTTTCTTTCCTGTTGCTAAATAACCCTAAGACCCACCCTGTTTTCCTCTCCTTTGCAAAACTGCCACCACTGAACTCTGTTCCTTGGGGTTCTTCACTACTACCGCATTCTCCCCCACCTGCCTGGCTGCACATTAGTGGGGAATCATCTCCCTTTCCTTCCACTTCCTAAAGATATGACCTTCGCTGCTTGTATCATTTTTTTTAAAGGTTTCCTGCAGACAATTATGGGTAAAGAATCAAGTAAAATTAAAAACAGCAGCCGGGGGCAGTGGCTCTCGCCTGTAATACTAGCACTTTGGGAGGCTGAGGCAGGCGGATTGCTTGAGCTCAGGAGTTCGACACCAGCCTGGGCAACACAGTGAAACCCCATTTCCACTAAAATACAAAAAAAAAAAAAACAACTAGCCAGGCGTGGTGATGCACACTTGTAGTCTCAGCCACTCTGGAGACTGAAGCACAAGAATTGCTTGAGCCCAGGGGTGGAGGTTGCAGTGAGCCAAGATTGCACCACTGCACTCCAGCCTGGGCGATAGAGTGAGACTCTGTCTCCAAAAAAAAAAAAGAAAACCAGCAAACATGAAAGAGGCACACAGCAACAAAAATTCAGTCCTCTACTGGAAGCGAGTCAAGAGAAACATAACCTACAGGAAGGTCCCCTTTCTAACCATACAGCTAGAAGACATAATCTAAGCAGAATATTTAAGTAAGTAATTTTTCAACTCAAGACAAGTGGCTCTGAAAAAAATAATCTGGGACTACATAACAACACTAATCCATTTTTTAAAATTTTTTTGGTTTTAGAATAGTCTTACTTTTAAAAAACTAGAAAAAAACTGCCAAGACAGTACAGTTCCCAAATACTACACTCGGTAGTTTATCCTATTAATACCTTGCATTAGTATTATACGTTTGTCACAATTCACGAACCAATATTGATACATAATTATTATTAACTAAAGTCCATACTCTACTCTGATTTCCTTAGTTTTTCTCTAACATCCTTTTTCTGTTCCAGGATCCCATTCAAAATACCACGTTACATTTAGTTGCCACGTCTCCTTAAGCTCCTCTTAGGCTGTTGAGTTTCTCAGACTTTCCTTGTTTTTGATAACTTTGACAGTTTTGAGGAGTACCGCTATTTATTTATTTTTTTTACAACTCTCTATCAACAGAGCTACACACTTCCTCACTTTTGCTTACAGTTTGCCAATCCTCTCTTCTTGGAATATCCCCTAAAATTCTTTGTCCATAATAGTAGTTCAGCATTTTGTAACTTGCACCCTGGTACTCTAGGAGAAGGATCCCCAACACCCATTCAGAGGGTCTATGAAGTCAAAATTTTCATAATAGTAATATTACATTATTTGTCTTTTTAACTCTCATTCTCCCAAGAGTGTGGAGTTTTCCAGAGTCTACATCAGATGTGATGACATCATCACTGATGGCCAATGGAATGTGTGCTTGGTATTCTCGTGTTTTCTAAAATTTTCTAAAGAGTAGATTTAAGATATAAATGCATTTTTAGATATTTAACCCAGTTTGTTCTCAGTATTTCTACTACGCTCTTATTACCCACCTTCACTTATATCTGCTACAATCTACTTAGCTGTGAGGATGGATTTTCTTCAAATACTTCAACCTTACAACAGGTTGAATGAAAAAAAGAAGATAGAAGAATCCAGATATCTTCTAATAAGTCAGATGTTAGAGATTTGCAAAAATATAAAATACTGTTCACTAATTTTTGTTTTCAAATATAGTTTTCTTTTGGCCAGGTGTGGTGGTTCACACCTGTAATTCTAGCACTTTGGGAGGCCATGGTGGGAAGACTGCTTGAGGCCACACGTTCCAGACCAGCTGAGCAACACAGTAAGATCTCAACTCTATTTTTTTGTTTGTTTTCTTTTTCCACTTTTCTCACATGTTCTAATCTATTTTTTTAAGTTTTCTTTAGATATAAAAATGTTATTTATGTTAACATATGACTTTTTTTTTTAAAGCCAGCCAAATTTAGCAGCGGGGAGGTTGTATATCAACTTTAGTGACACTAATGTTAATAAGTTCTGATAACCCACTACCATCAGACTAGCATGACTTTTAAATGACTTAAAATTTTTCTATTTCTCAGTTTTAACTTCAGATTGATAAATATCAATTGATATAATCAATGTAAACAAAAGACATTTGGGGTCCTCAATTTTTGAGAGTATAAAGAAGTCCGGGCTGGGCGTGGTGGCTCACGCCTGTAATCCTAACATTTTGAGAGGCCAGGGCGGAAGGGGGTGGGGTACTGCTTGAGCCCAGGAGTTCAAGACCAGCCTAGGCAACATGGTGAAATCCGATCTCTACACAAAAATACAAAAATTGGCTGGGCGCGGTGGCTCACACCTGTAATCCCAGCACTTTGGGAGGCCAAGGTGGGAGGATCACAATGTCAAGAGATCGAGACCATCCTGGCCAACATGGTGAAACCCCATCTCTACTAAAAATATAAAAATTAGCTGGGCATGGTGGCATGCACCTGTAGTCCCAGCTACTTGGGAGGCTGAGGAAGAAGAATTGCTTGAACCCAGGAGGCGGAGGTTGCAGTGAGCTGAGATCATGCCACTGCTCTCCAGCCTGGTGACAGAGCGAGGCTCCGTCTCAAAAAAAACCCAAAAATTAGCTAGGTGTGGTGGCACTGGCCTGTAGTCCAGCTAATCAGGAGGCCGAGGTGGGAGCCTGCAAGGTCAAGGCACAGTGTGAGATGTGATCATGCCACTGCACTCCAGCCTGGGTGACAGAGTGAGACCCTGTCTCAATTAAAAAAGAAAGAGGCCAAGGTGGGCGGATCACGAGGTCAGGAGATCGAGACCATCTTGGCTAACACGGTGAAACCCCGCCTCTACTAAAAATACAAAAAATTAGCCGGGTGTGGTGGTGGGCACCTGTGGTCCCACTACTCGGGAGGCTGAGGCAGGAGAATCGCTTGAACCCAGGAGGCGGAGCTTGCAGTGAGCCGAGATCGCGCCACTGCACTACAGCCTGGGCAACAAAGCGAGACTCCGTCTCAAAAAAAAAAAAGAAAAAGAAAAAAAAAAAAAGAAAGACGTTGGGCATGGTGGCTCACGCCTGTAATCCCAGCAGTGTGGGAGGCCGAGGCGGGTGGACACTTGAGGTCGGAGTTTGAGACCAGCCTGGCCAATACGGTGAAATCCCATCTCTACAAAAAAAAATACGAAAATCAGCTGGGCGTGGTGGCAGGCGCCTGTAATCCCAGCTACTCAGGAGGCTGAGTCACAAGAATTGCCTGAACCCGGAAGGCAGAGGTCGCAGTGAGCTGGGAGCAAACCACTGTACTCCAGCCTGGGCGATAGGGCGAGACTCCGTCTCAAATAAATAAATAAATGAAAAGGAAAGAAAGGAAAGAAAAGAAAGGAAGGAAAGAAAGGAAAGGAAAGGAAGGAAAGGAAGGAAGGAAGGAAGGAAAGAAGTCCTGACTAAAAAGTTTTGAGAATCCTTCCATTTTTCAAAACCCTCCTCAAATCTTCACCTCCTCCATGTAGGCTTCTGTAATCACTTTGGTTTTCCAAAAGGTTAGAGAAAAAAAGGATTAATGATAGTACTTTCAGCCTGTTTCTAATTGTTTTGCCTTTCAAAACACTGTCCTCCCAATAGAGCGTCTATAAATCCCAGAAGCATTTTTGTTGCACAATGAAAATGGAATTTTATAGTTCTGATGATGTACACTTAAATAAAAATATGACTGTTAAATAGTTTATTACTGAATTAGTTTGTAAGTGAAATTTGTTCTGAGATTAGGATGTATTCTGAATAGAGTCTGTCTCATTTGACATTTTTACCAGCCTCTGCCAATGCTTAACTGAAGGACTTTAACATACAGGGTATATATTCATAATACTAGTCTGTCTACTGATTTCATCCTTTTATGTCTGCTAATCTTGACCTTGTAAACAAGGTCTCAAGGAAAAATACACAAAATAACATGCAGACTTAACCACATTTGCCAACGCAGTATCTCAGATTCTTCCAACAGCTGTACGAGAACTTTTACAAAATTAACTTTTGGTTACTTAATAGCTAATTATTGACCCCTTTTCCTGTTAAGGCCTAGCCTGAAGATCTAATAAGACCTTTTAAATGGGAACAAATATTCTGTGTTAGCATGTAAAGAACAACTATGAAGCTAAAAAAGCTAGACTCCTTTACGACCTTAATTTGTGGAACAAAAAATCCCAATGGAAGCACTCTGCTCTCAAGCAGACCCTCCATAAAGTGGCAGAAAAGTGTTTTCATCCATATAATCAAAGTATCATGAAAAGGACCTGCCTGGAAACCAGAAAGCAAATGTGAAATAAAGGTCTTTAGTTTGCCACTCTATGAAAAAGTTTAAACGTCAAAGCTTAGGCAGATAATGAAATTCATAAGCACTTTACAGTCCGTGGTGCGCACTTGAATTTCAGCGTCGAGGGAGGAGGGTGCGCCTGGGTTTTATCTTTTACTGCTTCAAAAACAAGACATTTCCAAACTGGGATAACCACACTTATCAAATTAAGTAAACAGCTTCCTAAACCAACTTTCTGTCTGGCTAGCTGTGTATTCGGCTGACTCACTTGGCCAGTGAAAAACAAGATCGTGCTTGTTTCCCCTCCAGTATCATCAGGGTGTGTAAGCCAGTCCTGCTCAAATACATGCTACGGTGATACAGAAAGTACGCTGAAGAAATAGAGAGCCCTAACCACTCAAGGTGGCCTTTGGGAGATCCAGCCGCCCTCCGCCCCTCTTTCCGCTCCCTCCATCCCCATCCCGGCACCCCCGCGGCCAGTGCCCCCTTGCCGAGGTCCGCGGGGTCCCGCCCCAGAACTTCCCGAATCGCCCACGAAGCCGCCCTCTCCGAGCTTTCCGAGAGATCCAGCCCGTGTGACCAAGGCTAGTACTCCAGTCTCGTCTGCCACTTACCTTGCTGGGTCCCCAGGCCGCTGCCGTCCCGGGCTCAGGCGATGCCACTCCTACCAGATCCATTCGGGAATGAAGGCAGAGACAAGAACAGAGCAGAGAGGTGGCAGGACGGGCAGCAGGCTCCGCCGAGGAGACAGGCGGGACACGGGCGACTGGCTGCTGATGCCGGAGTGGAGGTGACAGATGGCGGCGACGGCGGCGGCCGCGTCCGGAACTGGATCTCTCCTCTTCCGCCCTCTTCGCTAGGACAGTCGCTTGCAATTGGCCGCACGCCCCTAGCTCCTCCTTAAGGCACCTTTCCCCGCCCCCGGGCGGGCTACTTCCGGCTGCTGACCGCCGGGCTCGGAGAAGCAAGCATCAGCTGGCTGTCGCTTGGGGTCACGTTGCCTGTGTCGGGCAGGGCAGGGCAAGAACTGGGTGTGGCTTCCTTTGGCCCAGGCTCTGCCCTGTCCCCGCACTGCCATCTCCTTCTTTCCTCCTTGGCACCCCAAAAATTGCCGCTGGATCTAAACTAGATTAGACTAGTGGATTGTAAATAAATAAACAAACTAGGCTCTCTCTGTTCATTCATTATTTCCTGGAGCAGTTCTAAACTGGGATGACTTGGGAGACAGAAAACGGCAGGTTTATAGAGGGAAAGGGCCTGGAAAGGACGGTCGGAGTTTGTGGTGGTTGTTGTTGAAGGGCGGGGCGTGGAATGCGGAAAATGTGTAAAATGTGTTACGTAACAGTGAACAAAAATAAGACTGCATAATAAAACTTTTGTTTCTGTATTTTGTAGAGATTCTAATAAAATGACCAGATAAAAGATAACTAAACATTGCATTTCACTTAGTATATCAATGCACTGTTCAAATCTTTCATTAACTTTTTAGTCCTCAAAATTACCGTGAGAGCTAAATTCTGTCATTATCTCTATTTTACTGATATTGAAACTGAGGCACAGAGAGGTAAAGTAATTTAGTTGAGGTCACACAGATAACAAGTGGCAAAGCTAATAAGGGGTGAACCCAGACAATCGGTTTGGGAACTGGACTGGCTGTACATTATATTTTGACTATAAACTATACACTGTCTATATGTTGTATATTCAAACATTCTAGAAATAGGTACTGAATAACTGTTTTCCCTAAATCTCAGTTCCGAGTCAGTATCTCTAACTGTCCATACTTGAGAGCCCTGGGTTACTGATCTTAATGATTTCCATTAGCACACAATCTTTGCCTCCTTTCCATTCCAGGTGAAAACATGTTCTGAATCCTCCAAATACCCCTACTGCAATAAGGCAAACTATAGCCATATGATAGGGTGCAGATGTGTGCTTGGCAAATGTTGCCTATATATGTGAATGTGTGTGGAAATTGTGTTCCTTCCTAGTGTTCAAAGGATTATAATTGGACGATAAATAGTTTAAGAAAAATGGGTGTAACTATTAATAGAAATGGACTTCTCAATTCTGGCTAGGAAAAAATAGGAGAGGGCTGGGCGTGGTGGGTCATGCCTGTAATCCCAGCACTTTGGGAGGCCAAGGTGGGTGGATCACCTGAGGTCAGGAGTTTGAGACCAGCCTGGCCAACACGGTGAAACCCCATCTCTACTAAAAATACAAAAAGCAGCCGGGTGTGGTGACACGCACTTGTAATCCCAGCTACTCAGGAGGCTGAGGCAGGAGAATCACTTGACCTCGGGAGGCCGAGGTTGCAATTAGCCAAGATCATGCCACTGCACTCCAACCTGGGCAACAGAGTGAGACTCCGTCTCAAAAAAAAAAAAGAGAAAAAAGATTAAAAGGAAAAGACCAGACCAGAAAGAAAGGCTAAGGCTGAGATGCAGTGTATGACAAAAATGTGCCAGTGAGAGACTATTTGGGGGATATATCAGAAAAGGACAGGAAGTCGAAAATAAAACTAAGAATCTGAATATTCTTTTTGTTTTGTTTTGAATGTAAAGGAGAGAGGTCAGATCTTTTTTTTTTTAACTTTTTTCTTTTCTTTTCTTTTCTTTTCTTTTCTTTTCTTTTCTTTTCTTTTGAAATAGAGTCTCGCTCTGTCGCCAGGCTGGAGTGCAGTGGCATGATCAAGGCTCACTGCAACCTCCACCTCGTGGGTTCAAGCGATTCTTCTGCCTCAGCCTTCCGAGTAGGTGGGACTATAGGCGCGTGCCACTGCACCCGGCTAATTTTTGTATTTTTAGTAGAGACGGTGTTTCACCATGTTGGCCAGGCTGGTTTCGAACTCCTGACCTCGTGATCCGCCCGCATTGGCCTCCCAAGGTGCTGGGATCACAGGCGTGAGCCATCGCGCCCGGCCGGAAGAGGTCAGATCTACCCAGATGTCAGGAAGGATTCCTTAGAGTAGATGACACTTGATCTCAGCCTCACAAGATGACCAGGCATTGGTGAGATGGGCTGTAAGGTGGAGCAGGGCCTTCTGTACAAGGGGAGCAGTCTTCAGGGTACCTCGGAAAAGGCCAGGTGGTTCGGCATGGTCAGATGTAGGGTTCAACAGGGACAAAGTGAGAGAATGGGTTGGAGAATGCAGGAAAGGTTCAGGTCCAAGAGTTTTTTTTGTTTTTGTTTTTGTTTTTTGAGACGGAGTCTCACTCTGTCGCCCAGGCTGGAGTGCAGTGGCATGATCTCGGCTCACTGCAACATCCCCCTCCCGGATTCAAGCAGCAATTCTCCTGCCTCAGCCTCCCGAGTAGCTGGGACTACAGGCGCGTGCCACCACACCCAGCTAATTATTATTATTATTATTTTTTATTTTTTTATTTTTGGACACAGTGTCACTCTGTAGCCCAGGTTGGAGTGCAGTGGCGCAATCTCGGCTCACTGCAACCTCTGACTCCCAGGTTCAAGCGATTCTCTGGCCTCAGCCTCCCGAGTAGCTGGGATTACAGGCGCCTGCCACCACACCCGGCTAATTTTTATTTTTATTTTTTTGTATTTTTTATTAAGAGACGGGGTTTTGCCATGTTGGCCAGGCTAGTCTCTAATTCCTGACCTCAGGTGATCCGCCTGCCTCGGCCTCTCAAAGTTCTGGAATTACAGACGTGAGCCACTGCGCCCGGCTGACACAGTCTTTAAATGTGTTAATACCTTCAGTCTAATTTCAAGTCTCAGAAACTTTTTCTTTCTTTATTCCAACTCTGATCCAATTTCTCTTATTTCCAAGATTTGATTCTTGGGTTTTGGTGCCGATGTTGGCAGTGCCAGATGGGGGCAGGGCAGGATGGGAGGCAGGCATCTCAATGGAGGTCAGGAAGTCTGAGATAACTTCCGTTTTTTGATTGGTTGACTGGGTGGAAGGCGGTGCCTGGAGATCTGGTTTGAAGGGAAGATGATAGAATTAATTTTATGTTATACATGTCACAATTAGGTTGTTTATGGAACACAGCAGCGATCAAAAACTGTAAAACTGTAAATACACATTTATTTGCCTATCTGTTTTTTTTTTCCTCCCAGGAGAGCAGGAATTGTGTTCACTATTGTAAACCAGTGCCTAGCATGGTGGCTGGCATATAGTAGGCACTCAATAAATATTTGCAAATGAACAAACTGTATGGATGCTGTTTGAAAGTGGCCAATAGGCAGTCTAGAGTTTATGAGAAAAAATAGGGGCTGAAAACAAAAATTCAGTAGCCATCATAACTACCGTTTATTGAATGCTTACTACGTGTTTAAACATTTCAAATACATGAGCTCATTAGGTTCTATTTTTTGTTTTGCTTTGTTTTCATGATAGTGTCTCCCTCTGTCACCCAGGCTGAGTGACAGCTCACTGCAACCTGGAACTCATGGGCTCAGGTGATCCTCCCACCTTAGCCTCCTGAATAGCTGGAACTAAAGAGACGTGCCACCAAGCCTGGCTGATTTTTAAATTTTTAGTAGAGAGGGGGTCTCGCTATGTTGCTCAGGCTGGTCTTGAACTCCTGGGCTGAAGTGATCCTCTTACCTTGGCCTCCCGAAGTGCTGGGATTACAGGCATGAGCCACCACTCCTGGCCGATTCTTAAAACAATTCTGGGGGATATTGTTATTCCTATATCAGAAAGCTGAAAGTTGGAGAGCCTGATGTGACACACAATGAATTATGTGGTTTATAATGGCTGTGGAGATAATTTTTTGTTTTTTGTTTTTTTATTTTTGAGACGGAGTCTTACTCTGTTGCCCATGCTGGAGTGCGATGGTGTGATCTTGGCTCACTGCAACCTCCGCCTCCCAGGTTCAAGTGATTCTCTTGCCTCAGCCTCCTGAGTAGCTGGGATTACAGGTGCGTGCCACCACGCCCTGCTAATTTTTGTATTTTTAGTAGAGGTGGGGTTTCACCATGTTGGCCAGGCTTGTCTGGAACTCCTGACCTCAGGTGATCCACCCACCTCGGCCTCCCAAAATTCTGGGATTACAGGCATGAGCCACTGTACCTGGCTGGACATAACTTTAAAAGGAGCTGGTTGTTAGGAAGAATGCAGGGAGTTAGGGACAGGAGATTTTGATGCATTGGAGTAAAGAAATTCAGTGGGAGAAAGGACACTTTCTGGAGCTAAAGAATTAAGTTGGTGTGGATGTGGAGAAATGGGAACCCTCATACATGGCTTGGAATGTGAAATGGTGCTCTGCTATAGAAAACAGTTTGGCAGTTCCTCAAAAAGTTAAACATAGAATTATCATATAACCCAGAAATCCTATTCGTAGGTATATACCCCAAAGAACTGAAAACAGATAACCAAATACTTGTATGTGAATGTTTACAAAACCATTATTCATGGTAGCCAAAAGGTAGAAGCAAACCAAATGTCCATTAGTGGATAAATGGACAAAATATGATATATACAAATAATAGAATATTATTCAGTCATAAAAAGGAAAAGTTATGGGTTGATTTTGTATCCCCACAAAATTCGTATTTGAAGTCCTAACTCCCAGTACCTCAGAATGTAACCATACTTGGAGATAAGGTCTTTGAACAGGTGATTATGTTAAAATAAGGCCATCAGGATGGGGCCCTAACCTAGTATGACTAGTGGCCTTATAAAAAGAGGAAGAAACCCTAGCACCACACTCATGCACACAGAGATGACCATGGGAAGAGGCAACCAGAGGGCAGCCATGTGTGGGCCAAGAAGAGAGGCCTCAGAGGAAACCAACCCTGCCAGTACCTTGATCTTTAACTTCCAGCCTCTAGTACTATGAGAAAATAAATGTTTGTTGTATAATCACCCAGTCTATGGTATTGTGTTAAGGTAGTCCTAGCAAGCTAATACAGGACTGAAGTACTGATATATGCTACAATGTGTATGAGCATTGAAAAAAACAAGATGCTGAGTGAAAGAAGTCAGACATAAAGGTCACATATTCTATGAATTCATTTATATGAAAAATCCAGAATAGGTGAATTTATAATGATGGAAAGCAGATCGGGGGTTTCTAGGGAATGAGTGGGGAGGGGATAATGGGGAGTGACTGCTTCAAGGGTAAGCTTAATGGGGTTTTCTTTAGGGGTGATATAGGTGGTGGCAGCACACCATTGTGAATCTGCTAAATGCTGAATTTTACACTTTAAAATGTTAATTTTATGTTATGTGAATTTCACCTCAATTTTTAAAAAAAGTAACAAAGATAGTGGGCTACTGAAGGATTTTAGAGGTAGAGAAGATGCAGGCAATTCTGAGGTCAGAGGAAGCCATAATGAAGAGGTGGTGAGGTTGAGGTTGGGAAGCTTAACGGATCAGGATAAAAATGTCAGTGTATTGGATGGGTGATATGCGTGGACCCTAAAACCACCCAGCAAGATGGCAGGACTTGAGGTAGATTGGAAGAGAATGTACCGGTGCCACAGTCTTAGACAATGTGCAGATTGTACCCAAGAGATTGGTAGATGATGCTAAGGAAATTTAGAGGTCATGATAATGGAATGGTTAGAGACTGGAGAGACCTGACAACCTGAGGGGCCAGGAATAACATTTTGGGAGCTGTGCTGGGGAGAGTGAAGAATGCTGCCCTGCCCTGGAGGGAAATGAATAGTTCCAGAAGACCCTAAGGTTTTAAATGAGGCAAGAAAGTAGGGATGGCAGGCTGTAAGGACAAGGGAAGTTGATTAATCCCTTGTTATGGGTTTAATGGTTTATGAGTTCCCATGGGTTTTGTGGTTTAACAATTTTAATGGTTGCTTGTTGACAGTTAAGATACATACCTGATGCCACCAACTATGTACTCCTTAAAAAGGAAGATAGAAGGACATGCACAATATTTGCAAATTCTACATTTACAAATGTTGCTAATAGGAAAAATGTGGTTTACCAATAACAGCATTTAGTCCTATGTGATTTAATAGTGAGTCCTTGAATGGGGAAACGGCCATTTTGCTGTCAGGCAGAGTAAGCAATGTTTAGAGGCTTTGGCTCCAGCTCCTACTCCCTGTCTTCTCTGCTGATGAACTCACTGCTGGTTCTCTGTCTTTTTTTTTTTTTTTTTTTTTTTTGAGACGGAGTCTCGCTCTGTCGCCCAGGCAGGAGTGCTGTGGCGCAATCTCGGCTCACTGCAAGCTCCACCTCCCAGGTTCACGCCATTCTCCTGCCTCAGCCTCCCGAGTAGCTGGGACTACAGGCACCCGCCACCACACCCAGCTAATTTTTTTGTATTTTTTTTTTTAGTAGAGATGGGGTTTCACCGTGTTAGCCAGGATGGTCTCGATCTCCTGACCTCGTGATCTGCCTGCCTCGACCTCCCAAAGTACTTGGATGACAGGCGTAACCCACCGCACCCAGCCAAACTCACTGGTTCTCAGCAGGAACAAAACTATTTGAGAATCTGCCCTGTCTAAACACATGAATCAGCAGATTCTTTGGTCTCTAAAGAGAACAGAAATAAGGCTCTTTAGTTTTTAATATTGAAATAAGTCTATTCTGCAAATAGCTGTTTCAGGCAATGAACAACTATCTATTAACTACCTAGGATGCCCCCAGTCCTTTGGGAAAAACAAAGAACTGTGAGATTGCACTTGGAGAGATAACAATAGTCACACAATAACATTAAATAACAATACAACACCTCTATCTCAAAGAGTGCATGATTTATTTCCAAATGACAGCTATAGACACAAACATTTCAGGATTCATTGTGGGGTAGTGAGATCTGGAAAGGCTGCGTGGCACCAAAGTAGGTCATGAACGCTGGGGAGAAGCTGTAACGCTAGTTTGGGTGGAAGAACAGCCTAAGACTAGGCATAGGGGCAGGAAAGCCCATAGTATATTTAGTGACTGCTGAGTAGTTTCATAAGATTATTAGATGAAATGTTACAGATATGGTTCAGTTAGGGTCAGCTGGGACTCAGCAGTTCTTAAGCCTATCTAACCCATTGCCATTTTTAACAACAAAGATTTTGTTTTGCTCCCTTTACTGCATAGTATCTTTTAAAATTGATATATAATGATCGACTATAAGGGATAAACAAAAGGAAAATTATTTTTATTTATTTATTTTGAGACAGAGTCTTGCTGTGTCACCCAGGTTGGAGTGCAGTGGTACAATCATGGCTCACAACAGCCTTGACCTCCTAGGCTCAAGCAATTCTCTTGCTTCAGCCTCCTGAGTAACTGGGAGGTGTGCGCCACCACACCTGGCTACTTTTTTAATTTTTATATTTTGTAGAAACGGGATTTCACCATGTTGCCAAGGCTGGTCTCAAACTCCTAGGCTCAAGTGATCCTCCTGCCTTGGCCTCCCAAAGTCCTGGGATTACAGGTGTGAAGCACTGTGCCTGGCTTCTAGCATCATTTGTTAAAAAGTGCTGTTCTTTGTTCATCGGATTGTCTTGTCAAAAATCAACTGGCCATAAACGTGAGGGGTTTCAGTTCTATTCCATTGGTCTGTATGTGTATCCTTATGCCAGTACCATACTGTCTTGAGTGTAGCTTTGTAATAATCTCTGAAATTAAGAACTATGAATCCTTTAACTTTGTTCTTCTCTTTTAAGATTTTTAGCTATAAAGGGTCTCTTTAATTTCCATATGAATTTTAGGATCAGTTAGTTAATTTCTGCAGAGAAAAATAAACCAGGTAGAATTCTGATTGGGACTGTATTGAATCTGTAGAATCAACTTGGGGATTATTGCCATCTTAATAATATCCAGTTTTCCAATCCATAAGCATGGGATATTTTTCTGCTTAATTTTATTTATTTATTAATTAATTCAATTGGTCTTCTTTAATGCCCTTCAAAAATATTTTGTAGTTTTCAGATAATAAATTTTTCATTTATTTTGCCAATTTTTCATAAGTATTATGCTTTTTATGGTATTTTAAATAAAACTTATTCCTTAGTTTTATTTTCAGATCGTGCATTGCAAGTGTATAGAAATATAATTGATTTTTGTATATTGATCTTGCATTCTGCAACTTGCTGGATTCATCTACTAGTTCTAACAGTTTTTTAGTGTATTCTTTATGGTTTTCTATATGTGAAATTTTGTCTTCTGTATTAGAGATAGTTTTATTTCTTCTTTTGAAATCTGGATGCCTTTTATTTATTTATTTTTCCTTGCCTTGTTGTCCTGGCTAGAGCCTCCAACACAGTGTTGAATAGAAGTGACAAGTTGGTTATTCTAGTCTGGCTTCTGATCTTAGTGAGGAAAGCACTCTTTCATCATTAGCTATGATGTTAGGGTGTGGGTTTTTATAGAAACCTTTTATGATATTGAGGAAGTTCCCTCCTATTTCTAGCTTCTGAATGTTTTGTTTGTTTGTTCGTTTGTTCGAGGTGGAGTCTAGCTCTGTCGCCCAGGCTGGAGTGCAGTGGCGCGATCTCGGCTCACTGCAAGCTCCGCCTCCTGGGTTCACACCATTCTCCTGCCTCAGCCTCCCGAGTAGCTGTAACTACAGGCGCCCGCCACCACGCCCTGCTAATTTTTTTTTTTTTTGTATTTTTAGTAGAGACGGGGTTTCACTGTGTTAGCCAGGATGGTCTCCATCTCCTGACCTCGTGATCCACCTGCCTCGGCCTCCCAAAGTGCTGGGATTACACGCGTGAGCCACCACGCCCGGCCATAGCTTCTGAATGTTTTTATTGCGAAGGGGTGTTGAATCTTGTCAAATGTCTTATCTATGTCTAGGTATCCTTTATTATATCAATATAATAAATTATCCTTTATTAGATATTGTGTATTATATGAACTGGTTTTGTAGGTTAAACCAACGTTGCATTCCTGGGATAAGTCCCATTTGGTCAAGCTGTATATTCTTTTTCATGTTGCTGAATTCCTTCTGCTAGTGTTTGGTTGAAGATTTTTGCATCTATATTCATAGGAGATATTTATATTCTCTCTGTTTTTTAAGGGTGATTTAAGGAGTTTCAAAATGTGTGCTACTGCTTCTGTCATCTTTTGAGAATTCTGCATGTGTGCTATCATAAAAATTTATTATTAAAAAAAGATTTGTGGGGGAAAAATCCCACAAGCCATTGTTTTATCCAAGCTTCCCTCTTTTTTCATTCAATAAACATTTATTGAGCATTTATGAATATATTATCAAAAAAAATAATGGGCGGGGCGCGGTGGCTCACGCCTGTAATTCCAGCACTTTGGGAGGCCGAGGCGGGCGGATCTCCAGGTTAGGAGATCGAGACCATCCTGGCTAACACGGTGAAACCTCGTCTCTACTAAAAAAAAAAATTACAAAAAAATTAGCCGGGCATGATGGCGGGCGCCTGTAGTCCCAGCTACTCGGCAGGCTGAAGCAGGAGAATGCTGTGAACCCGGGAGGCAGAGCTCGCAGTGAGCCGAGATTGCGCCACTGCACTCCAGCCTGGGCGACAGAGCGAGACTCCGTCTCAAAAAAAAAAAAAAAAAGAGAGATCAAGACCATCCTGGCCAACATGGTGAAACCCCGTCCCTATTAAAAAATACAAAAAAAATTAGCTGGGTGTGGTGGTGTGCGCCTGTAGTCCCAGCTACTCGGGAGGCTGAGGCAGGAGAATCGCTTGAACCCGGGAGGCAGAGGTTGCAGTGAGCCAAGATCGTGCCATTGCACTCCAGCCTGACGATAGAGTAAGACTCCATCTCAATAAATAAATAAATAAATAAATAAATAAAGTAATTAATGATAATGCCCCTTTGGTCTCAAACATCTCAATTAATAATACAAGTACATATTTTCATGTGCATAGCAAGTTTACCTCAATCTCACATTAACAGCTATGGTTCGTCAATGTAAAATCTGCTGATTTTGTTTTAATTCAGTCTTTGTTTCTGGAACAGAATAATACAGCTTTGGAAAAATCAATACCTCTGGCAATATCTTTCAGCACTTTTACTGCTAATGTCAGTATCAATTTTCATGACTCACTGTTCTGGTTGTTCCCGCTTGATAAGCAAAATTTGTAAAAGAAAACAAGTTAAGCAATGATTGGGAAATAATAAGGCCTGAATTGAATTTGCTCTTCTACTGAAAGAGCTCAGAGAAATCTCAGGTAAATACGAACCATTGATTTCAAGAAAATTCTACTGGGCAAAAAATTTCTTTGTAAGGACACTTTAGCTCTGAAATAAGTTTCCTAAAGTAACTTCAAGGAAAAATAACTCTTTATCTGATTTATGCTTTATGCTATTTATCTGATTTAAGCTGTATTTATCTTTTCCAGAGGTTTATTTACCTTTGATGTAGAGATGATATATCTGGTGTTTGCTTGGATAATATAGTTTGATAAGCAGTTTACTTAGGGAAAACAAATAATTAGTTCTTTATTTGCTGGCTATACAATCTCTAAATAATTTTGTAAATTTTAATCATGTAACTAAAGAAGTCTAAATTATCTTATATACAGTGATTGTTTCCGGGTAGGCATTTGTCCTGAGATGGTCTAATTTTAAGGAACCACAGGCTTGTTGTTTGTTGAATGGGGGAAGAGAAATTCTCATTCTGAAGCTGAATGAGCCACAGGTAGCCCTGGTTCCTCTGGCAGCAGTAATCACATGAGAACCCAGGCGCCCTGGAAAGCAGAGCCAAGGGTAGGAAGAAACTAAGTTCTTGGTTGGTGACCATTTATCATCCAAACCAAGACACTTGTAGGAATGAAAGGGGTGCTGTTAATAATTATGCTAGGACAAAAGCATAAATCAGAAGTGTTTTAGGCAAATCAGGATCCATGGTCACCCTAGTTCTTGGTGATACCCCAGGTATTGTTGAATACCTGGACCAAACTATACTTGAAGCCTGATCTATCTGGACTTTTCAGTTACATGAATCAATGTATTCTTATCATTTGAGCCAATATGTGTTAGAAGTTCTCTGACTTACACTAGAAAATATCCTAACTAATGTAGTCTCTCAGCTTCTTTCCAATTTCTTCTCTGTTTTGAAGCCATTGGAATCCGCCCCCGACCCCACATGTCTGGAAACAATGTTAATAATTCCATCACATACGTTTATACATACCACTCCACTAGCATTTCTGCATTTGATCAGAAACCAATTTCACATTCTGCCTATTTTTTGACACTTTAAAATAAAATTAAATAGCTAAATAATACAATCTTATATTAGAACTATTAGATTTTGGCTGGGCACGGTGGCTCACGCCTGTAATCCCAGCACTTTGGGAGGCCAAGGCAGGTGGACGGCTTGAGTCCAGGAGTTCAATACCAGCCTGGGCGACATGGCAAAAGTTCATCTCTACAAAAAATACAAAAATTAGCTGGGCATGGTAGCATGTGCCTGTAGTCTGGCTACTCAGGAGACTGAGATGGGAGGATTGCTTGAGCCCGGGAGGCAGAGATTGCAGTGAACCAAGATTATGCCACTGCACTGCAGCCTGGGTGACAGAGCAAGACCTCACCTCAAAGGAAAAAAAAAGAAAAGAATGATTAGATTTCTTTGATAATAATATATAACAGAAGTGTGATTAAACTCAATATAGTATGAATACCTTTAATTAGGAACTGAATTGGCATACTCATTACTTTTTAGGCAACACTGTACAAAGCCTGGACAATAGTGAAACAAAGCAATAACAACTAGCAAAGAAGTTTACCAACAAAAGTGTTTCTGCCAATGCAATTTAAGTTACTCATTTGCTATAGTCGTTATCCTCTTAATAGCAATATCCCTTTAAAGGCAGTCTCCTGTGAGGTTGTTTGATGTCCATGTGGCAAGCTGGTGACTGTAGGTGTCTTTTGTGTTATGGATTCCAGGCCTTTTTGGTATTATATGTGTTCCATGCTATTTGACATTTTAAAATCCCATTCCTACATCACTTCATTGATGCATTCATTCAGTTGATAGATTCCTTCAACATGCCTTTATCAGTGTACCTAGTTTGTGTAAGGCACTGAGCTAAGCATAGGGACGCCTATGTGCTCCAAGAGCTGCCATGTGGCTGAGGAGAGAGGGTATGCATCACCCTGACTCTAATACAGCTTCTTTTTATTGTTTTAATTTTTTTGGGGGAAAGGGTATTGCTCTGTCACCCAGCCTGGAGTGCAGTGGTGTGATCTTGGCTCACTGCAACCTCCGGCTCCCAGGTTCAAGTGATTCTCCTGCCTCAGCCTCCCAAGTAGCTGGGATTGCAGGCGTACCCCACCATGCCCAGCTAATCTTTTGTATTTTTAATAGAGATGGGGTTTCGCCATGTTGGCCAGGCTGGTCTTGAACTCCTGACCTCAGGTGATCTGCCCACCTTGGCCTCCCAAAGTGTTGGGATTACAGGCACACTCCACCATGCCCAGCTAATTTTTTGTATTTTTAGTAGAGATGGGGTTTCACCATGTTGGCCAGACTGGTCTTGAACTCCTGACCTCAGGTGATCCACCCGCCCCAGCCTCCCAAAGTGCCGGGATTATAGGTGTGAGCCACCACACTCAGCCTAATACAGCTTCTTAACTGGTGTGGCTGGGCAAGAGTTACAGGAGTTCCTCCTCAACTTCAGGGAGGCCTGGAAGCATTTCAGACTCTAAGCAGTGTCAGCAATTTGGCCTGGGGCTCTGAACAAATACTATCATTTTCTTCATGAACCACAATATGGAAAAAACGTAAGATGCTAATTATTGTAATACGTATTAAAAAGTAGTACTGGAAAAGAGAGGAGAATAAGTTATGCCTGAAGTGCTTGAGAAGAGCTAGATGTAAGTAGGATTCCCACAGGCAGAAAGTAAAGGGAAGTGGAAAGTAATGATTTAAGAAAATACACACACGCTGTGATTCTGCAATCCTCCTGTTGGGAATCTATTCTACAGAAATTAAACCAGCAGGAGGTAAAGACATATGTACAAAGATGTTTATTATAGCCTTGTTTGTTGTAGCAAAAGACTAGAAACAACATAATTATGTCAACAGCAGAATGGTTGAATACATTACGGTATATCCATACTATGGAATGCCTGCAGCTTTTTTAAAAAATTAAATCTCTATGTGTTGACCTGTAGTTGTAAAAGTAAGTTGTTTAGCAATGTGAATAGCTAGATCCATTTTCGTGAGGCAACAAATTACAAATGGGTATATGTTGATATGTGAATACGGAGGAAGGTGTAGAAGGATACACCAACCTGTTGGTATTGGTTATGTGAGTGGTTAAGAGTGTGGTATTGGTTTGCTAATTTTTCTTTTATAAATCTCTATTAGTCTTGTTACAATGATTTTTTTTTTTTTTTTTTTTTTTTTGAGACGGAGTCTCACTTTGTCTCCCAGGCTGGAGTGCAGTGGCACGATCTTGGCTCACTGCAAGCTCCGCCTCTCAAGTTCACGCCATTCGCCTGCCTCAGCATCCCGAGTACCTGGGACTACAGGCGCTCGCCACCACGGCCGGCTAATTTTTTTGGTATTTTTTTAGTAGACACGGGGTTTCACCATGTTAGCCACGTTGGTCTCGATCTCCTGACCTCGTGATCTGCTTGCCTCGGCCTCCCAAAGTGCTGGGATTACAGGCATGAGCCACCGCGCCTGGCCACAATGATCTTTTTAAATTGTCGTTAAAGATTGGTGTTTTGGAGAGGGAGACACAAACTCTGGGGCAAGAGTGATAGGTGAGAAGCGAGTGTAGGCTTGTGAAGGGGCCTCCTTGTGAAGTGTTAACTTCTTACATGATTTTATTTCTATGGAGAGGAAAATTTAGTGCATTTGAAGCTTCATCTCCTCTCTTCCTGTTCTGTATTTTTGCTTTTTAATAACCCAGTGTACTAGTCTGTTTTCACGCTGCTGATAAAGACTTACCCGAGACTTGGTAATTTATAAAGAAAAAGAGGTTTAATGGACTCACAGTTCCACGGGGCTGGGGAGGCTTCATAATCATGGTGGAAGGCAAAAGGCACGTCTTACATGGTGGCAGGCAAGAGAGAAAAAATGAGAGCCAAGCGAAAGGGGTTTCCCCTTATAAGACCATCAGCTCTGGGGAGACTTATTCACTACCACGAGACGAATATGGGGGAAACTGCCCCCATGATTCAATTATCTGCCACCAGGTCCTTCCCATAACATGTGGGAATTATGAAAGCTACCATTCAAGATGAGATTTGGGGACACAGCCAAACCATATCATCCAGTCTTGGTAGAGAAAGCTATACCCATCTGTACAAGTGGTTTGAAGGAGACTGTGGGAGAAAAGGGAGGGAAGGGGTGACCAGCCTACCTCCATCTCTATGTTGGTCCCCTCTGCAGACCAACCAGCAGGCCCAGGAAGAGACCTGTGGAAAAGTGAGCAGAGGCAAAGGACTGCGATGAGACAGTGGTGGCTGGGGAGTGGCTTCAAGGGGACAAGCCGAGGTCAGCCCTCCCTCAATGCTGGAGGGAGCAGAGAGAAACAAGGCATGCTTCTGAAAAACAGAAAAATTACATAAGGGTTGGTGTGTCGTTTTCCATCCACTGCTCCAGCACCGAGAGCCAGGAGGACTTTTGCTGTGGCTTAAGAGTGATGGTTTCCCCGTGTGTGGGTGTTTCTGAAAATCTGTGTGTTTCTACAGGCAGAGAACACTGGCACTTTTTGCTATTGTCCAAGTCCATCAATAGGTTTTCTTGCATGTTTACTAACATTTGCCGGAAGCCTCATGAGTCCAGTTTTCCACCCTATAGACTAGGAATAGGAATAGGAATAGGGGCTGTGCTTGGGAAAGGGTTCTTATTTTATAGAAATGTCAAGAGAATGGAATGACTTTAAATACAAACAAAACTCAAAAAACCTATACTCAATTCCAGTTCCTTCTTCCTTCACCTTCCCTCTTTTAAGTGAACATTTGTTGCTGTTACCTTTTTTGTGTCATTTGCCAAAGCGCTACAGACTCAGTGGAGAAAATTGGGAAAATTCAGTGAAGCACGGGTAATATTTTGGTCTCATAGTTTAGAGATAGCGATGAACATTTTTCTTTAAACACTGATGGGGTATTGTGAACTGCGGTATGCTTTTTTCCTCTTCTGCCACTTTCTACTCTTTAAAAGAAGATAAAAAAATAAAAAATAAAAAATAAAAGAAGAATGACCGTCCTTCGAGGGCGCGGCCCCTTTAAGAAGGCAGACGCCGGGGGCGGTCCCCGCGCTGATTGGCGGAGCTCGGAGCCACGTGGCCGTCTCTGGGCGGCTGCTGCCGCTGCCGCTGCTGCTGCTGCGGGGGTCGGGCGGCGGCCAGGGGATTTGGGCAGGCACCGTGGATCCCCGAGAAGGGGACGAGTTGACAGATGTGCGTGAGGAGGTCTCTGGTCGGCCTCACCTTTTGTACCTGCTACCTGGCTTCTTACCTCACGAACAAGGTGAGGGGGCGGGCGCGGGAGGCAGCGATTGCACGTGGGAGGTTTGAGTCGGAGAATCTTCCCGTGACAAACGGAGCCTCCTCCTGCTTTTTACCTCATTCTTCCTGGTGGCGATGGAGATGGAGAGCGAACCTCCTCCGTGTGTGGGATGCTCTTTCAGAAATAGGATTTGCCAGCCTGTACTGTCCCCGTTTCCTGCACTGTAAAGCACGGTACATCTCCAGGGAAACAGGATTTTTGGGCTGGCCATTTCCCGGGAACTTGGTTTGGGGCTGTGTGGACTAGTTTTAAGAGAAAGCAAGCAATTGGCTCCTGCTCCCCCGGGGAGGAAGAGTCAGAAGAAATCTGACACATCCTGCCTTTTTTCTAAACACGCCCCTGTCCCAGAGCCCCCGTGAAGTTCCAGAAGCCTTTAAATAGAAGAGATTAAGCCGTCTCCCCCTCACACTGCTGATTCCCGAATCAATTTTTTTGTACGTCTCCATTGTAAGCACTTCAGGAGTTTTTCATGGAATTATTATTTTTTAAAATAAAACATACATTTAGTTTTAGGTTTAAACTAATGTCATGACATCATGAAAACCTTTTGGTGAGGAGGCAGAGAAGCAGTGGTGCCAGCTTTGGGGTTTTGTTTTGCAAGGAGAGGGAAGCTGGCTTTAGGTTTGGTACCACGCAGGGAAAGGTTGGATCCAATAGGACCGAGTGGGCATGGCTGGGGCATTACCTGCTGGCCTGGACTCTGGGCTGGCCCCAGCCAAAGTGGGAATACAGGGTGCAAGACCACCTGGCCCCACTGTGGGGTCTTACTGCGGGCTCCCCACCTGCTCCCCGCTCTTCCTTTCTCCTCTCTTCCTCTCTGGAAAAGAACCATCGACAAACAGCATTTCCTTCTACCTCCTCTCCTACAATGAATGGCTGCCTTTATATATTCAGAGGATGCTCCCCAACCCCCTTTCCTTCTCCAGTTGATTTTTATTTTTATTTTTTTGAGATAGAGTCTCGCTCTGTCACCCAGGCTGGAGTGCAGTGACGTGATCTCGGCTCACTGCAACCTCTGCCTCCTGGGTTCAAGCGATTCTCCTGCCTCAGCCTCGTGAGTAGCTGGGGCTACAGGTGTGCGCCACCACGCTGGGCTAATTTTTGTATTTTTAGTAGAGACGGGGTTTCACCATGTTGTCCAGGCTGGTCTCGAACTCCTGACCTCAGGTGATCCGCATGCCTCAGCCTTCCAAAATGCTGAGATTACAGGTGTGAGCCACTGCGCCTGGCCTCCAGTTGATTTTTAGTTATGGCGATAAGCCTTTGAAGGTCCATAAATGCAGCCTTCCTGGGAGGCAGTGATGGGTTTTACTTCCTGGCTCCACTTACTTGGCGTTTGGAACCTTACTCTTTCTAAACCTAAGTTTCTTAACTTTAAGATGGGACAAAGAGTCCTCTTGAAATTGTTGTTGTGGCCCGGGCGTGGTGGCTCACGCCTGTAATCCCAGCACTTTGGGAGGCCGAGGCGGGTGGATTGTTTGAGGCCAGGAGTTCGAAACCAGCCTGGCCAGCATGGCGAAACCCCGTCTCTACTGAAAATACAAAAATTAGCCAGGCGTGGTGGCAGGCGCCTGTAATTCCAGCTACTCAGGTGGCTGAGGTAGGAGAATCACTTGAACCTGAGAGGCGGAGGTTGTAGTGAGCCGAGATCGCATTCCAGCCTGGGCAACAGAGCAAGACTCAGTTTCAAAAAAAAAAAAAAAAAAAAGAGAAAGTGTTGTTGTGAGAGTTAATGGAAATGGTGTTGGCCAGGCACAGTGGCTCAGGCCTGTAATCCGAGCACTTTGGGAGGCTGAGGTGAGCGGATCGCTTGAAATCAGGAGTTTGAGACCAGCCTGGTAAATATGGTGAAACCCCATCTCTACTAAAAACACAAAAATTAGCCAGGCATGGTGGTGGGCACCTGTAATCCCAGCTACTCAGGAGGCTGAGGCATGAGAATCTCCTGAGCCAGGGAGGCGGAGGTTGCAGTGAGTGGAGATCACGCCACTGCGCCTGCAGCCTGGGCAATAGAGCCAGACTTCGTCTGAACAACAACAAAAGAAATGATGTTTGTAAGGTAGGTGGCCTAGTGCTTGCCATTGTGGCAAACTATAAGATAAACGGTCGTTACTCTGGAAGAAAAGGACAATCTTTTGTTTATACTGTGACAGTAATTAGTAACTTTTAACAGATTTGTTTTCTTCTCATGGGACAAGTAGCTAAACTAAAAGCAGTTTTTTTGGTTTGCTTGTTTGTTTGTTTGTTTGTTTTTTGTAGCACCTATTCAGAAATTTGTGAATTTGTGAAATCTCTGGCTTTTTCAATTTAACTCTTCTAATTTGTCTAGCGAACCTGATGGATATAATGATAAAATTTTACTTTAAAACAGAATAACCTTTCTTTTATTTCCACATAATCACTAGAAGGGGTAGATTAACACATCTGTCATGAAAGCCCATGAGCCATGGCATTGGTTAGATAAAAAACATTTTATCTAAGCAAAAAAAAAAGCAGACAAATAGCATTTAGTTCATAGAAATTTATGCCCCTCTTTGGATGTACATTTTCTTTCTTTCTTTTCTTTTCTAATTTTTTTTTTTCTGAGACACAGGCTCACTCTGTCACCCAGGCTGGAGTGCAGTGGTGTGATCTCGGCTCACCACAACCTCCGCCTCCCAGGTTCAAGCGATTCTAGTGCCTCAGCCTCCCGAGTAGCTGGGACTACAGGTGTGCACCACCATGCTGGGCTAATATTTATATTTTTAGTAGAGATGGAGTTTCGTCATGTTGGCCAGGCTGGTCTTGAACTCCTGACCTCAGGTGATCCGCCCACCTCAGCCTCCCAAAGTGCTGGGATTACAGTCATGAGCCACCACTCCTGGCCTGGATGTACATTTTCATTTGTGGCACTTTTTCAAAATTTTTTGGAGCCCCATGGCCTTTTATAAATTTTTGTTTGTTTGTTTTTTGAGACAGGGTCTTCTGTCACCCAGGCTGGAGTGCAGTGGTGCAATCATGGCTTACTGTAACCTCTGCCTCCTAGGCTCAAGCGATCCACACACCTCAGCCTCCTCAGTAGCTGGGACTACAGGCGTGCGCCACCATGCCTGGCTAATTTTTGTATTTTTTTTAATAGAGACGAAGTTTTGCCATGTTACTCAGGCTAGTTTTTAACTCCTGGGCTCAAGCGATCTGCCCACCTTGCCTTGGCCTCCCAAATGCTGGGATTATAGGTATAAGCCACTGTGCCCAGCCAACAAATTTAATAAAAGGACAAAATACCTTCCATGTGCATAATGCATCTATGTATTAGATGAAATTAAACCAAATTGTTTGGTCCCAGGAATATATAATCTGAATAATCGAAATCGTAGCTGACCAAGGGTCCCGAGAATGTAAATACAATGGTTTGGAATGCTTTGGCTTGGGGATGTTGGGAAGTGTCAGAGCTAGTGGAAAGAGTAGGTCAAGAACAGCAGAAGGCAGGAAAGAAGGGGAGACCAAGGAGATTGTCTACAGAGGGAGGAGGAGGTGAGCTCGAGAGTGGAGGAGAGGAGATGGGAGAGCCAGGTAGGTTGTACATTATGGGACTCTGGTGAGGAACTTTATATCTCTTATAAGCTTGAACCTTTTATGGCCATTGTTTCATCTTCTCAAGCAGGATGGTGATGCTCCCTTCTGGTAACCAAGGCTGGGTGGGTCGGCTTGGACTAAGTAGAGGCCAACTGGGAAGAAATCTGCAGTGGACACCCCATGAGCATATTCATTCTACTATGAGCATATCCTACTATGAGCATATTCTATTATGAGCATATTGTACTCTAATGTGGCAGAGAGCATGTAATTTCTCTGCCACATTAATTTTCTTTTGAATTAGTGAAGTTTTTTTTTTGTCTAAAGTAGAGGATGCTCTCTTCTAGTTTTTTGAAGCCTCCATTTCAGTTTATTTCCATTTTTTTTAGTGTAATTTTCTCCTTCAGCAGTTCTCCTATTTATTCGTAGAAAGAAAATTCTTTTGAAAAAGATCTTATATAGCTCATTCTGACCCCCTTCTATTGTTTGAAAGAATGGTCGATATTTGTTAGAAGTTTGAAGCAGCAAGTGTGCTGTCAAAGGAAGCTGCCCTAGGTAGGGAGGGAGGAGAAAGCACCACACCCTTGAGCTCTGGCTTGGTGGCCTGGGCTGGCCCTGGCTGATGACGTGTTCCTCCATCCTTTGGGAGGTTCCAGCTGTAATCAGGCCCTAGGCAGCCAGCTGTCCTTCTTCCCCTCATAGCAATTGAGCCTTCAGCTCAGAGGCAAAGTTCATTTCTGTTCTGGACAAGTGGTTGGCATCTGTAAAATACAAAGAATTTATTAAATTAATAAATACTAAAACCTCAGTGAAAATAAATGGGTAAACAGCAGAAGTAGACAATTCACTGAAAAAAGAGATACAAGGCCAGGCACAGTGGCTCATGCCTGTAATCCCAGCACTTTGAGAGACCAAGACAGGTGGATCATCTGAGGTCAGGAGTTCGAGAGTAGCCAAAAATTAGCTGGGCATGGTGGTGCGTGCCTGTAGTCATGGCTACTTGGGAGGCTGAGGCAGGAACACCACTTGAACTGGGAGGCAAAGGTTGCAGTGAGCCAAGATTGCATCATTACATTCCAGCCTGGGTGACAGAGCAAGACTCCATCTCAAAAAAAAAAAAGAAAAGAGTTACAAGTGGATAATAAGCATAAGAAATTTGCTTGCATGCCTTTCAATGGCTCCAATTTTTTTTTTTTTTTTTTTTTTTGAGACAGAGTCTTGCTCTGTTGCCAAGGCTGGAGTGCAGTGGTATGATCTTGGCCCACTGCAACCTCTGCCTCCCATGCTTAAGTGATCCTCCCACCTCAGCCTCCCAAGTAGCTGGGAGCACAGCTTGCACAACCATGTCCGGCTAATTTTTGTATTTTTTGTCAAGATAGGGTCTCACCATGTCGCCCAGGCTGGTCTTCAACTCCTGGGCTCCCGCCTTGGCCTCCCAAAGTGCTGGAATTACAGGCGTCAATGGCTCCCAAATTGCTCCTTCTCTTTCTTTTTTTTTTTTTTTTTGAGAAGGAGTCTCACTCTGTCTCCTAGGCTGGAGTGCAGTGGCTCAATCTCGGCTCACTGCAACCTCCACCTCCCGGGTTCAAGTGATTATCCTGCCGCAGCCTCCTGAGTAGCTGGGGTTACAGGCGCATACCACCACGCCCGGCTAATTTTTGTATTTTTAGTAGAGACGGGGTTTCACTATGTTGGTCAGGCTGGTCTCGAACTCCTGACCTTGTGATCCTCCCGCCTCGGCTTCCCAAAGTGTTGGGATTACAGGCGTGAGCCACCGCGCATGGGGCTCCTTCTCTTTCCTCAAGAACCTCATTGCTAGGGCTTTGCTGTTCAATAGAATAGCATTTTGTCTGAGCAACACTTCTCAGTGATGTGAGGAATTGCGTTTCTTTTTTCTCTGTTCTTTAGCAAGGTGAGGCAAGAGCTTCAGGATCTTTGATTTCCTCCAGTATGTAGGCCAAAGCTAAGCACACAGTAAACTAAATATTTATTGTCATAATGAAGCTTGTTAAGGGCATTTCAGGCTGTGACTCAGATGCTCAGTTAATCCTTTCCTTTTCTCCATATAAGAATAAAAATATCAGAAAAGTAGGGAAGAGCATATTGAATTATGTAGTAAATAGATTTCAAGGAAGAAGAGGAAGTGTAGAACAACGCATAAGCAGTTAGCCATAATTGTGGCATTTAGGAGCTCAGACAAGGGGAATTCTGTGTGGACTAATCCCTGGGAAAAAAGTAGATATATAAACTTGCCCAGCACCAGTCCACTCCATTTTTTTAGAGCATGTGAAGGATCAGCAGAGTCCTTGCCTAAAGCCGTTTAATGGTTTTAGACTTAAAAAAGTAAATTCTACTTGGTCAATAATAGGAAAAAAATGGAAAAGATACCCAGAAGGATAAAACACAATTCCTTCACTCATAAAGTGCTGTAAATTCAATTAATATACATAAATATACATAAGAGAAATAGAAATTGACCTTAACTGAGTTGGTTTAAAAAAAGTCCGTAACATGCTAAAACACAGCAAAAACTATGACTCCTATGCAGAATTGGTTTGAAAAAATCATTTAATGCAAACAACATACAAAATCCTAAAATGCAGAATTAGTTTGAAAAAAAATCATTTAATACAAAAGACATACAAAACCCTAAAAATTGAAGGACAACAAAGGAAAGAAAGACTAGGAGGTGATTTTACTTGAAGAGAAACAAAGAAAGGATTGGATTTTTAGGTAAACTGGACCATAGATGAAGTGGATACCCTGAGAAAACAGACTGTGTCCAGGGACTTGTCTGAATGACTCTGGGGCTGCTACAGTTACAATGTGACATTTCTGACATCTGGGAAGGTGCTGAGTGTTCCAGCATCTATAACATCAGACCCAGCTGCTGTGCTTCCATGTTTGCTCATGATGCCAGCTCCATTTCACCAACTAAAAGGCAGCCAGGCTTCTGGTAGCCCTGGGAAAAAGTGGCTCAATCTCTTTTTTCTTTTCTTTTTCTTTACTTTTTTTTTTTTTTTTTTTTTTTTTGAGATATACTCTCACTTTGTTGCCCAGGCTGGAGTGCAGTGGCGTGATTTCTGCTCACTGCAACCTCTGCCTCCTAGGTTCAAGCGATTCTTCTGCCTCAGCCTCCTGAGTAACTGGGACTACATGTGCGCACCACCACGCCCAGCTAATGTTTGTATTTTTAATAGAGACGGGGTTTCACCATATTGGCCAGGCTGGTCTCGAACTCCTCACCTTGTGATCTGCCTGCCTCACCCTCCCAAAGTGCTGGGATTACAGGCATGAGCCACCGTGCCCAGCTGGCTCAATTTCTTTAGTATGACTTGGGAGGTCATTTGTTTGCCCAGTTTGTGATTTTGGTGGGAATAATGGCCTTTTTAAAACTTGAATTTACTTAGGTTATGTGGTTATGTTTTTTAATAGAAATGTCTTTGATTATATGGTTTGTCAGTTTTCTATCATTTGAAATGTCCAGTAATTTGGTGTTTGTTTTTCAGTATGTGCTGTCTGTCTTGAAATTTACCTACCCTACATTATTCCAAGGGTGAGTATCTTCTTTGCTCTTTATATACATTTTTAGGAAATGTCCAACCACCATCATTCTTTGAAATAGTTTTAATAACTGCATAGATTTTTTTTGTCAAATAGACATATTGTAAGATATTTAGCCGCCTTATTAACAGACATTTATGTTCTATTTTGGGGGTATGAAAACAATGTTACTAGACATTTTTGTGTTAAAGTCTGCCAGATCTCCAACTATTTCTTTGGGATTGATTCCTACATAAGAAATTTGGTTTAGGCTAGGCGTGGTGTCTCATTACTATAATACCAGCGCTTTGGGAGGCTGAGGCAAGAGGATTGTAGGAGGCCAGGAGTTCAGGACCAGTCTGGGCAACATAGCAAGACACTGTCTACAAAAAAAAAATAAAAAAGAAAACTGGCTAACCATATGCAGAAAAATGAAACTGGACCCCTTTGTCTCACCATATACAAAAATTAACTCAGGATGGATTAAAGACTTAAATGTAAGATCTCAAACTCTAAAAATCCAAGAAGAAAACCTAGGAAATACTTTTCTGGACACTGGCTTAGACAAAGAATTTATGGTAAGTCCTCAAAAGCAAATGCAACAAATACAAAAATTGACAATTGGGACCTTATTAAACTAAAGACTTTCTGAACAGCAAAAGAAACTATTAACAGAGTAAACAGACAGCCTACAGAATGGGAGAAAATATTTGCAAACTATGCATCCAACAGAGGACTAATATCCACAATCTATAAGGAACCTAAATAAATCAACAAGAAAAAAACTAAATAATTCCTTTAAAAGTGGGCAAAGTACACGAATAGACACTTCTCAAAACAAGACATGCAAGTGGCCAACATATGAAAAAGTGCTTAACATCACTAATCATCAGAGAAATGCAAATCAAAACCACAATGAGATACCACCTCATACCAGTCAGAATGGCTGTTATTAAAAAGTCAAAAAATGGCCGGTGTGGTGGCTCATGCCTGTAATCCCACCACTTTGGGAGGCCAAGGTGGGAGGATTACCTGAGGTCAGGAGTTCAAGATCAGCCTGACCAGCATGGCGAAACCCCATGTCTACTAAAAATACAAAAAAATTAGCCAGGCATAATGGCACATTCCTGTAATCCCAGCTACTTGGGATGCTGAGGCAGGAGAATGGCTTGAACCTGGGAGGCGGAGGTTGGAGTGAGCTGGAGGTTGGAGTGAGCTGAGATTGCACCGTTGTACTCCAGCCTGGGTAACAAGAGTGAAAATCCGTCTAAAAAAAAGGCAAAAAATAACATGTTGGCGAAGTTTTGGAAAAAAGGAAACGTTTATACACTGTTGGTAGGATTGTGAATTAGCTTAGCCCCTATGGAAAGCAGTTTGGAGACTTCTAAAAGAATGAAAAATAGAATTACCATTTGACCCAGCAATCCCATTACTGGGTATATACTCGAGGAAAATAAATTCTTCTACCAAAAATATACCTACACTCACGTGTATTTTATCACAGCACTATGCATAATAACAAAGACATGGAATCAACCTAGGTGCCCATCAACAGTGGATTGGATAAAGAAAATCTGGTGTATATATATACCATGGAATACTATGCAGCCGTAAAAAAGAGCACAATTATGTCCTTAGCAGCAGCATGGATGTAGCTGAAGGTCATTATCCTAAGTGAATTAACACAGAAAGAGAAAACCAAATACTGCATGTTTTTACTTATAAATGGCAGCTAAACATTGGGTACACATGGACATAAAGATGGAATAGTAGACACTGGGGATTCCCCAAGGGGAGAGTTAGGGAGAGAGGTAAGTAAGGATTGAAAAACTACCTATTAGGTACTGTGCTCACTGTTTGGGTGACAGGATCAATAGAGGCCCAAACCAGCATCACGCAATGTACCTGTGTAGCAAATCTGCACAAGCACCCCTTGAATCTTTAAAAAAAAAAAAAAAATTAGCTAGGCATGGTGACATGAACCTGTAGTCTCAGCTACTCAGGAGGTTGAGACAGGAGGATTGTTGGACCCTAAGAGTTAGAGGCTGCAGTGGGCTGTAATCATGCCACTGTACTCCAGCTTGGGTGACAAAGTGAGATCCTGTCTAAAAAACATAAAAATTAATAAATTTGGGTTAAAGTGCATGAACTTCTTTAGTATTCTCCTTGAATATTAACATATTCTTTTCCAAAAATGTTTTACCAATTGACATTGCCACTCAGCCTCTACGTGAATGTTTCTATAATATTGTACTCAAACTGTGATTCTCTTTGCTGATTTCATGAGCAAAAGGTATGTTGTTTTGTCGTATAATTTTTTAGATTATTCATCAAGGTGGACAATTTTCTTATGCATATGATCCACTTGTATCTCTTTTTTAGTGAATTGTCTAGTTGTGCCTTTTACCCATTTATTTTCATTGAGGTTTTAGTGTTTTTCTTATTAATTTAATAAATTCTTTTAATTTTTTTATTATTATACTTTAAGTTCTGGGGTACATGTGCACAATGTGCAGGTTTGTTACATATGTATACATGTGCCATGTTGGTGCGCTGTGCCCATTAACTCGTCATTTACATTAGGTGTATCTCCTAATGCTATCCCTCCCCTCTCCCCCCAACCCATGGCAGGCCCCTGTGTGTGATGTTTCCCACCCTGTGCCCAAGTGTTCTCATTGTTCAATTCCCACCTATGAGTGAGAACGTGTGGTGTTTGGTTTTCTGTCCTTGCGATAGTTTGCTCAGAATGATGGTTTCCAGCTTCATCCATGTCCCTACAAAGGACATGAACTCATCCTTTTTTATGGCTGCATAGTATTCCATGGTGTATATGTGCCACATTTTCTTAATCCAGTCTATCATTGGTGGACATTTGGGTTGGTTCCAAGTCTTTGCTATTGTGAATAGTGCCGCAATAAACATATGTGTGCATGTGTCTTTATAGCAGCGTGATTTATAATCCTTTGGGTATATACCCAGTAATGGGATTGCTGGGTCAAATGGTATTTCTAGTTCTGGATCCTTGAGGAGTCGCCACACTGTCTTCCACAATGGTTGAACTAGTTTACAGTCCCACCAACAGTGTAAAAGTGTTCCTATTTCTCCACATCCTCTCCAGCACCTGTTGTTTCCTGACTTTTTAATGATCGCCATTCTAACTGGTGTGAGATGGTATCTCATTGTGGTTTTGATTTGCATTTCTCTGATGGCCAGTGATGATGAGCATTTTTTCATGTGTCTGTTGGCTGCATAAATGTCTTCTTTTGAGAAGTGTCTGTTCATATCCTTTGCCCACTTTTTGATGGGGTTGTTTGATATTTTCTTGTAAATTTGTTGGAGTTCTTTGTAGATTCTGGATATTAGCCGTTTGTCAGATGGGTAGATTGTAAAAATTTTCTCCCATTCTGTGGGTTGCCTGTTCACTCTGATGGTAGGTTCTTTTGCTGTGCAGAAGCTCTTTAGTTTAATCAGATCCCATTTGTCAATTTTGGCTTTTGCTGCCATTGCTTGTGGTGTTTTAGTCATGAAGTCCTTGCCCATGCCTATGTCCTGAATGGTATTGCCTAGGTTTTCTTCTAGGGTTTCTGTGGTTTTAGGTCTAACATTTAAGTCTTTAATCCATCTTGAATTAATTTTTGTATAAGTTGTAAGGAAGGGATCCAGTTTCAGTTTTCTACATATGGCTAGCCAGTTTTCCCAGCACCATTTATTAAATAGGGAATCCTTTCCCCATTTCTTGTTTTTGTCAGGTTTGTCAAAGATCAAATGGTTGTAGATGTGTGGTATTATTTCTGGGGGCTCTGTTCTGTTCCATTGGTCTATATATCTGTTTTTGTACAAGTACCATGCTGTTTTGGTTACTGTAGCCTTGTAGTATAGTTTGAAGTCAGGTAGCATGATGCCTCCAGCTTTGTTCTTTTTGCTTAGGATTGTCTTGGCAATGTGGGATCTTTTTTGGTTCCATATGAACTTTAAAGTAGTTTTTTCCAATTCTGTGAAGAAAGTCATTGGTAGCTTGATGGGGATGGCATTGAATCTATAAATTACCTTGGGCTGTATGGCCATTTTCACGACATTGATTCTTCCTATCCATGAGCGTGGAATATTCTTCCATTTGTTTGTGTTCTCTTCTATTTTGTTGAGCAGTGGTTTGTAGTTCTCCTTGGAGAGGTCCTTCACATCCCTTGTAAGTTGGATTCCTAGGTATTTTATTCTCTTTGAAGCAATTGTGAATGGGAATTCACTCATGATTTGGCTCTCTTTTTGTCTGTTATTGGTGTATAGGAATTTAATAAATTCTTTATATTTTAAGGAGCTCAACCTGTTGTCCATCATGTTTTTGGAAATAATTTTTGCAATTTGTTCTTTGCCTTTTAATTTGTTTATAATTATTTTGATTATTTAAATATTTTTTATGTGGTCAAATATATTGATTGTTTCTTTCATGATTGCTTCCATTGCTTTTATGTTTTTTTCTTCTCCATCATAAAACCATTTAGATATTCACCTATATTTCATTAAAGCTTTATTCAAGTTTTAATCCTTGTCAGTTTAATTTAGTGTATGGTGCAATGTGAGGAAATTGTCCCTTCCCCAGTAGTTAACTAATTTATACTGGCCTCATTTATTCTATAATCCTTCCTTTTGCCTTATGCCCAAAGGCATAATCATCATTTAGATATTCACCTGTATTTCCTTAAAGCTTTATTCAAGCTTTAATTGTTGTCAGTTTAATTTAGTGTATGGTGCAATGTAAGGAAATTGTCCCTTCCCCAGTAGTTAACTAATTTATACTAGCCTCATTTATTGTATAATCCTTCCTTTGGCCTTATGTCCAAAGGTATAATAATCTGTATATGATTGTTAATATCATATACAGACTGTCCCAACTTAACGACGGTTGGACTTACAATTGTTTGACTGTACAATGGTGTGAAAGCAATATGCTTTCAGTAGAAACCATACTTCAGCTTTTGAGTTTTGCTCTTTCCCAGGCAGATATGCCCTACAATACTCTCTCCTGATGCTGGGCAGTAGCAGCAAGTGGTGAGCTGCAGCTCTCAGCCAGCCACACTAATATAAATGTTCTGAACATGTTTGTGGTAGGCGAGGCCAAGCTCTGGTGTTCAGTAGGTTATGTGTATTCAATGCTCTTTCAGTTATGACATTTTCAATGTATGATCAATTTGTTGGGATATAACCCCATTCTAAGTTGAAGAGCATCTGTATAAAGTCATTTTTTTGGCTGGGCACAGTGGCTCACACCTGTAATCTCAGCACTTTGGGAGGCCAAGGTGGGAGGATCTCTTGAGGCCAGGAGTTTGAGACCAGCTTGGCCAACATCATGAAACCCTGTCTCTACTAAAAATACAAAAATTAGCCAGGTGTGATGGTGAGCACCTGTAGTCCCTACTACTTGGGAGGCTGAAACACGCAAATTGCTTGAACCCAGGAAGTGGAGGTTGCAATGAACTGAGATCATGCCACTGCACTCCAATCTGGGCAACAGTGCGAGACTGTCCCAAAAATAAAAGATAAAAAATAATAAAGTCATTTTTCTAGGGTCTCTTTTTGGGTAAGTATTTGTCAATTTTGATGTTAAGGGACTAGTGCTGAATTGTTTTAATTATTAAACCATTTAAATATGTAGTAGAGCAAGCCATCCCTCATTCTTCTTTTAAAAAAATGTTTATTATATTATCACCACTTTGTTATTTCAGGTGAACTTTAAAATACTTTGTCAAGCTCCTCCCTAATATTTCATAGCAAACGTGTTTGTTTGTTTTTGTAGAGGCAGGCTCCCTCTCTGTCACCCAGGCTGGAGTACAGTGGCATGTACTCCATAGCTCTCTGCAGCTTTGAACTCCTGGCCTCAAGCGATCCTCCCAGGATTACAGGTGTGAGCCACTGTGCCCAGCCTCATAGCAAAAGTTTTAAAGTGTCTTCTGTGATTACGGGTATTTTAGTCAATAAAGCTGGGATACTGGTTTCTCTCTTACAGAGTAGCAAGCGTTTTTTTGGTTCTGGTTGTCTTTCCACATCTCTAAAGGTAGAGGGACTTAGCGAATGTGCATAGGAAAGGGTAATCTCTACGCTTGGATTGCCATTCTTTTCCCTGTCCTTGGTTGGATGAGACAGACTGAATGCACCTCCCCCATAGAATGTAAGATCTACAAAGGCAGGAATTTTGACTTACCCATTTTGTCACTGGAGTATTCCAAGTGCCTAGAACAATGCTTGGTGTCTGGTAGGGCAGAGTAACGTATTCTGCAGATGCCTGGGGTACATCAGTGAAGGAAACAGATCCCTGCCCTCATGGAGCTTGCTTTTTAAATTCCATCTGTTGCTTAAATTCACCTGCAGTGAATGGTTACCCTCCATTTAACTGCACAACTCAGAACCTGGGAGTGATTCTTGTTTCCTTTGTCTCCTTCATCTTCAACATCCAGTTAGCCACCAGGGCCTCCTAGACATCTTCAGCATCTGTCCACTTTCTTCATCCATCTTGCCCCTTTCTGGGCCATTGTCATCTCTCCAATTACTATAAAAACTCCTAACTTACTTCTTTACCCCTAGTCTTGCTTCTCTCAGTAACATTCCCTCCCTTGTAAAGAGAGGGAGCTTCCCCAAATGTAAATGCGACGTGTCACTCCCATGCCTGGAACCCTTCAGTGAGTCCCCAGTTTGAAGTCCCAGCTCCTTATGATTGACGTGGTCCTTCAGGATCAGCCCCTTCTCTCTAGGGTCAGCCCTTGCTGCCCCCTCTCCAGTGCTCCGGTGCTGGGGTCCAGACCAAATGAACTTCTCCAAGAAGCTTTGAATCAAGCCATTGTTGTTCTCACTTCTGGGCCTTTGTCCCTTCTGGGTCTTCTGCTTTGAACACACTTTGGGTTTTTGCTCAAATTTATTTTCTCTAGGAAGTCTTACCCACTCACTAGACTAGGTTAGTTGCCCTCAGTAGAGTGGCTTATAGTACCTGGTACACTTCCTTTTAGGGCTTCACACAGTTTCTTGTAATTATTGATTAATTACCTTACTTTCACTAGACCGGGGTTTCTCAACCTTGGAATGACATTCCAGCCACTGACATATTGAGTTGGATAATTCTTTGCAGCGGGGACTGCCCTGCACATTGTAGGATGTTCAGCAGCATCCCTGGCTTCTACTGGCTAGATTCCAGTGGCATACCTTCCGCTCCTCTCCCCCGGTTGTAACAACCAAACATTTCTCTAGACACTGCCAAATGCCCCCTGGAGGGGAAGATTGCCTGGTTGAGAATCACTGTACTGGACCAAACTGTTTGAAGGCAGGACCCACATTTGGTGTGTTCTGCTTGGCTGGGTCAGTGAAACTTCACACAGGATATGTGCAAACTGGGTGTTATAGGCTGAGCAGGTGTTCACTACAGACAAAGAGATGGGAAGAACATTATGGGGCAAGAGGATGGCACAACCAGACTCCTAGAAGTATGACATGGCCTGGCATGTTCCCAAGGCTGTGGGCCATCTGCTGTGGCTGGAATGTGGCTGCACATAGCAGACAGACAGGAGCTGACCGTGGAGAGGGGCGGGTGCAAGTCCCGAAGGACTTTATGTGTCACACCCAAGTGACTTGTCCTTTAGGCCAGAGTTCTCAACTGTAGTGTCGCAACACATGGGTGGGTTGTGGTCATAGTCACTTCTGAGGTGTGGTGTCTCAAGTCATTTATCATGAAAAACAGGGTTTTGACATTTATGAATGACTCAAGTAAAATGAAAAAGCAATTAGAGCAAGCAGCTGTCCCTCTCACTCATTTGGCATTCTGATGTGCTTTCTGCATTGGGGGGGGGAGGGGTGTTTGTGACCTGTGCTGCCCCTGCACTGTGCATGCTGGGGGCTGTGTGTCTCAGGTGAGCTTCATGACCCCGAATGTGTTGTTGACAGAAAAGAGGCTGAGGGTTGCTGCCTGTGGCAGCAGGAAGAATCATCTGTTTTTAAAACAAGCGAGTAGCTCAATTAAATTTGCATTTTAGGACAAACGCTTTGACTGCAAAGTAAAGAATGGATGGGGGGCAACCTTGGAGAGAGGGGGACCAGTTAAGGGACTAATGCTGTGAGCCAGGCATGAGATGATGAGAGCCTGAATTGAGACAGAGGCAGGAGGGTTGGTGGGGAAGACTTCAGATTTGAATGCTGTTATGGGGATAAATAAAATCAATAGGATATTGTGCTTAGACGAGGGAGGTGAAGGCCAAAGAGGTGAGGTGGAATGCCACCTAAGTTTCTGGTTTGGCTGATTGGGGATAGGGAGGATGATTTGAGGGAGAGGTTCGGGGTAATGATTTAGGCATGTTATCACTGGGAGCTTGGTAGGGAGGATGGGAGGGGGCTGAGGGTTGAAACGGTATCTATTGGGCACAAGGTATACTATTCAGTTGATGGACACTGGAAGCCCAAACCTCACCATTACTCACTATATCCATGTAACAAACCAGCATATATACCCCCAAATCTATGAATAAAAACAATAATAATAATCATTGAGAGCTTGTGGGAGATATTGTGGGAGATATTGTGGCAGTATCCAAGTGAGAACGGGGATTTGGGAATCATCAATGTAGAGGCAGTGGGAGAAGCAGTGGCTATGAGTGAGGCTGTTCAGGAAAAGTCTAGAATAAGAGGAGAAGAGGCCAGGCATGGTGGCTCAAGCCTATAATGCCAGCACTTTGGGAGGCCAAGGCAGGAGGATCATGAGGTCAGGAGATTGAGACCACCCTGGCTAACAGGGTAAAACCCTGTCTCTACTAAAAATACAAAAAAATTAGCCAGGCATGGTGGCACGCACCTGTAATCCCAGCTACTCAGGAGGCAGAGGCAGGAGAATCGCTTGAACCTGGGATGCGGAGGTTGCAGTGAGCCGAGATTGCAACATTGCACTCCAGCCTGGGCGACGGAGCGAAACTCCGTCTCAAAAAAAAAAAAAAAAAAAAGAGGAGAAGAATGTCAATGTCAGTACTTGCTGGACAGCTGGACTCAAGGAAATAGTAGAGATTGAGAAGGAAAGGTCTGAGAAATGGGATAATTGGGAGAGAGTAGGAGAAAAGAGTAGTAAATAGAGTTGAACTTGTCTCTTTGTGTCAGTCAGCAGATCTGCTGGGGCTGGATGGTGTTGGAGACTGTAGCACTCTATGAAATTCACATTGCCCCTTGTCCTTTCCAGGTGGCAGACGCTCATTGGTGGACTTTTGCTTCATGTGTCCTGGAAACTGGGCTGGGTAGAGATCAACAGCAGTTCAAGGTATAACCTCTCTATGCTGGACTCATGCATGATTCACACTCTGCTTGCTTTTGATATTATATAATTTCATATGGTGTTACACTGGAAGCACAGAGGTTTATTTATTTACTTATTTATTTATTTTTGAGACAGAGTCTCACTGTCTCCCAGGCTAGGGTGCAGTGGCATGATCTTGGCTCGCTGCAACCTCTGCTTCCCAGGTTCAAGCAATTCTCATGCCTCAGCCTCCTAAGTAGCTGGGATTACAGGCGTACACCACCATGCCCGGCTAATTTTTGTATTTTTAGTAGAGACGGGGTTTCACCATGTTGGCCAGGCTGGTCTCGAACTCCTGACCTCAAGTGATCCACCTGCCTTGACCTCCCAAAATGCTAGGATTACAGGCGTGAGCCACCATGCCCAGCCAAAACAGAGGTTTGTTTGATTTGTTTGATCTCTTAGTTCCCTTCTAACCGTGAGGTTTAGTGATTTTATTTTCAGATAAAATTCAAATAGTATTTTCCTGGGTAATAATGCCACTAATATAGTATTAACTGATACATTGATGTAGTGTGGGGAAAAAAGTTAATTGAGATATATATTTTATAATGTCAAATTAATTTTGCTTTGTTTTAGATCATAGGATATGATGAATGAAATTATATTAGCTTAAAATTTTTTTTTAGTAAATTTCTTATTTTAAATTATTTCTGGCTGGGCATGGTGGCTCATGCCTGTAATCCCAGCACTTTGGGAAACCAAGGCAGGAAGATCACTTGAACCCAAGAGTTTGAGACCAGCCTGGACAACATAGGGAGACCCCACCTCTACAAAAATAATAAGAAAAATATTAGCCAGGTGTGGTGCATGCCTGTGTTTCCTGCTACTTGGGAGACTGAGGTGGGAGGATCACCTCAGCCTGGGAGGTCAAGGCTGCAGTTTGCTGTGATTGCACCACAGCACTCTAGCCTGAGACACAGCAGAGACCCTGCCTCAAAAAAAATTCCTACCTATAGAAAAGTTAGAATAATACAATGAACTCCCCTACCCATTACTCAGATTTCATTATTATTATTATTATTTTGAGATGGAGTTTCGCTCTTGTTGCCCAGGCTGGAGTGCAATGGCGCAATCTCAGGTCACTGCAACTTCTGCCTCCTGGGTTCAAGCAATTCTCCTGCCTCAGCCTCTTGAGTAGCTGGGATTACAGGCATGCGCCACCACGCCTGGCTAATTTTGTATTTTTAGTAGAGACGGGGTTTCTCCGTGTTGGTCAGGCTGGTCTTGAACTCCCGACCTCAGGTGATCCATCCACCTTGGCCTCCCAAAGTGCTGGGATTACAGGCATGAACCACTGTGCCCGGCGATTCCCTTATTTTACCATGCTTTCCCTATCATTTTGTCTTGATGTACTGTACATGTATATATGTATATATGTATATGCATACATACGTATATAAATATATAAACTTTTTTTCCCTGAACTTTTTGAAAGTAAGTTGTAGATTTGACAGGAAATGTCTCTTTTCTTTACTTCTGAATTCTTTAGGGTGTATTTCCTAAGAGCAAGGACATTTTCTTAGAGGACTGCAGTAAAATTATCAAAATCTGGAGATATTAACATTGATACAATACTGTTATCTCATTTAAAGACCGTATTTTGCCAGTTATCTCGATGGTATGCTTTGTAGCCCTCTACTCCAAAATTCTAGTACGAGGTCCAATCCAGATCACACATTACATTAGTTGTTATGATTCTATTAAAACAGCCTTTTAAATATGTTTAAAAGAAATTTAGGCCAGGCACAGTGCTCATGCCTGTTATCCCAGCACTTTGGGAGGCCGAGACAGGTGGATCACTTGAGGTCAGGAGTTCGAGACCAGCCTGACCAATATGGTGAAACCCTGTCTCTACTAAAAATACACAATTAGCTGGGCGTGGTGGCACATACCTGTAATCCCAGCTACTTGAAAGGCTGAGGCAGGAGAATCGCTTGAACCCAGGAGGCGGAGGTTGCAGTGAGCCAAGATTGCGCCACTGCACTCCAGCCTGGGTTGTAAGAGCGAAACTCCGTCTCAAAAAAGAAAAAAAAGAAAAAAAAGAAATTTTAAAGACCATGACATTATCTAGCCAAAACTATAATCTGAACTGGTTATCTACTCCTGCCTCACCTAGATATCCTCCTAACTCTTTGAGAACATCCTTCCTATCCTGAAATGATGCACAAAGTGAAAAGAAAACTAAGCTAAGGTTAATATGAATAAAGTAAACATCCCAGCTGAATGAGCAGGCTAAGTCATTCACCTTGTGATGACTCTGCCCAGTTTCTCCGTTAATCAGATTAACTGCTTAATTTTTTTTTTCTTTTTTTTGGTTTTTGAGACAGAGTCTCGCTCTGTCACCCAGGCTGGAGTGCAGTGGCGCGATCTCAGCTCACTGCAAGCTCCGTCTCCCGGGTTCATGCCATTCTCCTGCCTCAGCCTCCCGAGTAGCTGGGACTACAGGCGCGTGCCACCATGCCCAGCTAATTTTTTGTATTTTTTAGTAGAGACGGGGTTTAACCACGTTAGCCAGGATGGTCTCAATCTCCTGATTCCGTGATCCACCCGCTTCGGCCTCCCAAAGTGCTGGGATTACAGGCTTGAGCCACCGTACCCGGCCAACTGCTTAATTGTTAAGTCACTCCTTTGGCACTCTGGAGAAGATTTGAGAATATATTCAGCATAATATTAATACTTTTGGCTCCTCTACCGGGTGTGGTGGCTCATGCCTGTAATCCCAGCACTTAGGGAGGCCGAGGCAGGAAGATCACTTGAGGTGACCAGCCTGGCCAACATGGTGAAGCCCCATCTCTACTAAAAATACAAAAATGAGCCCAGCATGGCTACTTGGGAGGCTGAGGCAGGAGAATTGCTTGAGCCAGGGAGGCAGAGGTTGCAGTGAGCCGAGATCACGCCACTGCACTCCAGCCTGGGTGACAGAGTGAGACCCTGTCTCAAAAAATAATAATAATAATAATAATAATAATAATAATAATTTTGGCTTCTCCTGAAAATTTAAAACTGGAGAGCAAAAAACTAGTATTAAGAAGTTTTATGAAGGAGAGATCCTGGGAACATAGGTGTACATTAATGTACCTGACCATGTTATATCATAATCCATATTCAGAAGGAATATTCCACACTGTATGCTTAGCTAATCCAAAGGAGAAGTTATTAAGTCACAATTTTGCATTTTCATGATATAGTATCCTTAATTGGATGAAATAAAGATATTTTTGGGATTTTATATGTTATACTAAGCACAAGTCTTACTAAATACTCCATTGTTATGGTGGATAGTTCAGTAAGAATTGGGCTTCATTTAAACAAATAGGGATACAGAATTCACAAGGCCTGAGATAGTTACAATATTGAAATACTGAAGGACCCTGGCTCCAAATGGGTAAACGTATTCCTTTGGAGAAGCAGGAGCTTGGGCCAGAATGAGGGAATTGGCTGTCACATTATAGCCTGGGGACCACTGGTGCAGATCAACATGAGTCTTCCTTGCTGATTCTAATTATCACATAATATCTGATGTAAATTATTTACTTATTAATAGTAGTCTTTAAAAAATTACCTTACTCATATTTTCTTAAAAGCAATGCCATTTTTCCCATGAAAAATTTTTTTGTTTATTGTGTTATTAATAAAATATGTATTACATAAGATTTACCATTTTAACCATTTTTTAAGTATACAATTCATTGGCATTGATTATAGTCACAATATTGTACAATCATCATAACTATTTTTGCCCAGAACTTTTTCATCATTCCAAACATAAACTCTGTACCCATTAAATGATATCTTCCCATTCTCCCCTCCCACTTGCTCCTAGTAACCCCTGTTCTGCTTTCTTTGTCTATGAATTTGCCTATTCTGGGTACCTTGTATAAATTGAGTTGTACAATATTTGTTCTTTGGTGTCTGACTTATTTTACTTAGCATTAATGTTTTCAAGTTTCATGCATGTTGTAGCATGAATCAGAATTTCATTCCTTGTGGAGGCTGAACAATGTCTACATGTACTCATCACATTTTGCTTATGCATTTATCTGTTGATAGAATTCTCCATACTTTTATTAATTTTTTTTTTTTTTTGAGGCAAGGTCTTGCTCTGTCGTCCAGGCTGGAGTGCAGTGGCTCAATCTTAGCTCACTGCAGCCTTGAACTTCTGGGCTCAAGCTATCCTCCCACCTCAGTTTCCCAAGTGACTGGGACTACACGTGTGCACTACCATGCCCAGCTAATTGTTTAATTTTCTGTAGAGATGGGGGTTTGCAATATTGCCCAGGCTGGTCTCTAACTCCTGACCTCAAGCAGTCCTCCCCTCTCAGCCTCCCAAAGTGCTGGGGTTACAGGCATGAGCCACTGTGCCCAGCCTTCTAATTGATGTTTTGAAGGGCAGCTAATGACTAGTAGAACTGGCCAAAGATTCTCAAGATTGCTTCCCTGCAAGAAGTTGTCCTTTGACTGTAGAAGTTTGAGACCCACTAGACATTTGTCCCTTGGACTTGACAGTGTGCTGCTAGGTTCTACGTATCTCGGAATATCTGTGATCACATCTTCTTTTCAGCTCCTAGCTAAACTCCACAGAAGTCTTTTCACCACTGTCTCCTGCAGGTGCATTCACAGCCACCCACAGCTCCATTAAACTTTTTGTCCAAGATCCCCATATCTGGGTTTTTGGTAGATCTTGTACCTGAGCTGGTACAGCTCAGGATTTCCAGTTCCCATGGCCCTTGGCAAAGGAGCGTTACCAGATGTTTAGCAGAAGGATCCAGCACCCACGTTCTTTCGTGTGTGCTGGGCTGGGTTTGTATTTGCTGTGGCTGCTCTTTCCTCCTGGGCTTTGTTTTCTGATTATGTCATTAGGGAAGTGAAGCCCAGCTTTACTGAGTAACTATGAATGCAGAGATGACAGAGGTTTGGCTCTTCTAAAAATGGAAATATCAGGAAGACAGTTTGGAGTCCCAGAGGTTACTATGGGGTGGGGATTGTAATGGTGGGGCTGGAGAGTGGGTCCTAAGTTAAGACTGGGCAGCATAGGCCATGGAGAACTCATTTAGATTGCCCTTCTAACCTGGAGCTCAAAGAGGCCCCCATTCCCTCTCAAATGTCAAATGAGCCTCAGAACCTGTTTTGCTCTTATCACACAAGCTGGAGGGCAATGGCACGATCTCGGCTCACTTCAACTTCTGCCTCCCGGGTTCAAGCAATTCTCCTGCCTTAGCTTCCTGAGTAGCTGAGATTACAGGCACCTACCACCATGCCCAGTTAATTTTTTTTGTATTTTTAGTGGAGATATGGTTTCACCGTGTTGGTCAGGCTGGTCTCGAACTCCTGACCTCAGGTGATCCACCTGCCTCGGCCTCCCAAAGTGCTGGGATTACAGGCATGAGCCACCATGCCCGGCCAACACATTTCTTATATTGCAAAGAGGCCATATCTCCTGTGCCTGCCAGTATTGGCTCTACATAGCAACCTTATGGGGTCATTCTCTTGTCTAGGTGTTTGCCTGGTGACTGGTTGTTGCCACCTAGTCTTGGATGATGCTCTTGGAACAGTCTGTCTTGGGACAGATAGCGCTGTTGTACAGCCATAAGCTTGTCAATACATGGCAGTTACTGCTGTTGCCAAGCCATTGCAGAACATTGAAGCAATTTTTCCAGCAGATGCTGAAATCCTTTGCTAAAGGCTTCCTGTATTTGCAAAAAGTGGTTCTAAAAGAACGTTGTGACCCGTTTTATCTGACTGGACATCTGTTAGCACCGTGAGACCATGGCATTCTTTTTTGGATTCTGGAACCATTGCAGAAGGCAGGCTCAGGTGTAATTTCATTGGAGACTTCAGATGCAGTCCTATAATTCCTGTATTGCCAGGCTACAGGTTTAAATAAAAACACTTTGAAAGTAATTTTTAACCTACTTGCCACTTTTCGTCTGTTATAAGTAAGAGAGCAAAGTTTGAACTCTCAAGCTTTCAAAGATGAGAAATTCTAAGTTAAAAATTTTATGCTACAATACCTTTGTGACCAGAAATTTATGAGATGAAACAGAAGCCCACATCCCTTAATTTTTCATCAAGAGTCTGTGCTGGAGAACCGTAACAAGTATCTTTGATAAAACCTCCAAATTAACTTAGCACTGTTTATAAAGAAATGAACAGTTAACCAATCATTTAGGGTCCAGATTGTATTTATTTAAAAAAATTTATTTATATATTTATTTAGAGACAGAGTCTTGCTCTGTTGCCCAGGCTTGAGTACAGTGGTGCAGTCATGGCTTACTGTAGCCTGCAACTCCTAGGTTTAAGAGATCCTCCTGCCTCAGCCTCCTGAGTAGCTGAAACTATAGGTGTGAGCCATCATGCTGGCTAATTTTTAAAACTTTTGTAGAGACAGCATCTCACTATGTTGCCCAGGTAGGTCTCAAACTCCTGGCCTCAAGCAGTCCTCCTGATGGCCTCTCAAAGTGCTGGGATTACAGGCATGAGCCACCATGCCTGGCCATACATTTTATTTATTTATTTTAGAGACAGGATCTTGCTATATTGTCCATGATGGCGTCAAACTCCTGGGCTCAGGTGATCCTCCCATCTGTTTCTGAAGTAGCTGGGACTACAGGTGTGTGCCATTGTGTCTGGCTGTACTTAAATTTTTTTTTTTTTTGAGATGGAGTTTCGCTCTGTCACCCAAGCTGGAGTGCAGTGGCGTGATCTTGGCTCATTGCAACCTCTGCCTGCGGGGTTCAAGCGACTCTCTTGCCTCAGCCCCCCGGGAAGCTGGGATTACAGGTGGGCACCACCACACCTGGCTTATTTTTCTACTTTTAGAAGAGACGAGATTTCGCCATGTTGGTCAGGCTGGTCTTGAACTCCTGACCTCAGGTGATCCACCCGCCTAGGCCTCCCAAAGTGCTGGGATTACAGGCATGAGCCACCGTGCCCTGCCCCAACTCTCTCTCTCTTTCTCTCTTTCCCCTTCCTGCCTGCCTGCCTGCCTGCCTGCCTTCCTTCCTTCCTTCCTTCCTTCCTTCCTTCCTTCCTCCTTTCCTTTTTCTTTTTCTTTTTTTTCTTTTCTTTCTTTTTGAGACAGAGTCTCACTCTGTTGCTCAGGCTGGAGTGCAGTGGCTTGATCTCAGCTCACTGCAACCTCTGCTGCCCTGTTCAAGCGATTCTCCTGCCTCAGCCTCTTGGGTAGCTGGGGTTACAGGCTCCTGCCACCATGCCCGGCTAATTTTTGTATTTTCAGTAGAGACGGGGTTTCGCCATCTTGGCCAGGCTGGTCTGGAACTCCTGACCTCATGATCCACCTGCCTCGGCCTCCCAAAGTGCTGGGATTACAGGCGTGAGCCACCGCGCCCAGCCCTCTTTTTTTTTTTTTTTAATTTTTTTTTTTGAGGCGGAGCCTCCCTCTGTCGCCCAGGCTGAAGTGCAGTGGGATGGTCTTGGCTCACTGCAAGCTCCGCCTCCCAGGTTCAAGCACTTCTCCCGCCTCAGTCTCCCAAGTAGCTGGGGCTACAGGCGTGCATCACCATGCCTGGCTAATTTTTTATTTTTATTTTTATTTTTTTATTTTTAGTAGAGACAGGGTTTCACCGTGTTGGCCAGGCTGGTCTCGAACTCCTGACCTCAGGTGATCTACCCACCTCAGCCTCCCAAAGTACTGGGATTACAGGTGTGAGCCACCATGCCTGGCCAACTCTATTTCTTAATACTAACATTGCCTCTGTTCTGTGCTTTTCCTGCAGTCCATCTCCTGAGGCTCACTCAGCGACACATCTAGCCTTGGTCCTCCCAGGAAGGGGTGAGGTAGATAAGGTGGTGCTGGAGGAGGCAACTGCCCTTACAGTGGAGGGTACAGGGTAACAGCCCCTAACACTGCGGCAGGGTCAAAACCTGACCACCTGGTGGGGAAGGAGAGCAGTGGCCTTTCAAACACTGTGGTGTTGGGAGCTGTAGACTGGTTTCTTTGAAGCTCTTATTGGGCTTTAGGGATTGTCAGAACCTTACTGAAGATGACAAGATTTCCATTTCAGCATAAACTAGATTACATGTTGAGAATCTTGGATCAGAAAAAAAATGAAACATGAAGTGGGAAGAAGTGATGATTCTGCATGATCAGAGAGCTGGGAAGAACCAGTGATGAAAGTGCCTTGAGAAATGGAGCTTGAGGCTGGGCACGGTGGCTCACGCCTGTAATCCCAACACTCTGGGAGTCTGAGGCAGGAAGATTGCTTGAGCCCAGAAGTTTGAGACCAACCTGGGCAACATAGTGAGACCCCATCTCTTTAAACAAAACAAAAAAAAAGAACTTTACGGAAACCCAGTGGTCACATGGTCCTTTGTGTATAGCCCAGGGCACTGTCTAGTGTGTGAAGCCTTGAGCATCTCAGCTAGTAAGGTCCAGAGGTTGGGACTCAGACTGCCTTATTCTAAATTGGGCCAACAGATGTGCCAGGAGTAAATATGTTAGCCTTGTGGGCTCTTCTATCTCTGTTGCAGCTACTCAGCTCTGCTGTTAGAGCATAGAAATAGCAACAGACAATACATAAACGGTTGGGTGTGACAGTGTGCCGATAAAATGCTATTTTCAGAAACAGGCAGCAGGTGGGGTTTGGTCTATGGGCCATAGTTCTTTGACTCCATCTCTAAATTATGCTCTGTGAGAAACTGTCATCACAGGACTCTTGGGTTCAAGAAATATTAGGGCTGGACTTCGTCAAGGGAATGTGATCCTCTCTGAGTCAGGAGGAAGAGTGAAGAATGAAAGAGAAAAGTCTAAGGAAAGTGAGAAGAAGGGAGAAAGGGGGCAGTAAGACTGACAAGCATAGTCACCAGTAGTGGACCAAAAAAAAAGAAAAAGAAAAAGAAATCTAGGGGTCTTCTATAATTAGTGATGTAATATGCAGAAATCCTTTCCAACTTTAAAGAAAATACTGACTTTACATTTGTAAGGTATTAGTATTTTAGGCAATTCCAGTAGTCAACATGAACCTTGGTTTCTTTTTGTTTGTTTGTTTTTTGAGACAGAGTCTTGCTCTGTTGTCCAGGCTAGAGTGCAGTGGCATGATCTTGGCTCTGCAACCTCCACCTCCTGGGTTCAAGGGATCCTCCTGCCTCAGCCTCCCAAGTAGCTGGGATTACAGGTGCATGCCACCATGCCTGGCTAATTTCGTATTTTTAGTAGAGACAGGATTTCACCATGTTGGCCAGGCTGACCTCGAACTCCTGACCTCAAGTGATCCTCCCGCCTCGGCCTCCCAAAATGTTAGGATTACAGGCGTAAGCCACCATGCCTGGCCTCTTGCTGTTTTATTTTCATGTTTGGAAACTATTTTTTGGTCCACTAGGTGTCAGTGTAACATAGAATTTTCAAAAATTCAGCTTCAGGAGCCTTTTCAGCACCCATGAAGAGCTAAACTGCAAATTGTTTTCAGGGAGTAGATGTTCTCTCAATAATGCATGCTCTATTTGAAAAACAAATAATTTAATTTAATTAGCCTTCATCTCAATAACGACAGTTTTGTAAACCGTGCCAACAGACTTTTGTTAGCTTCTTATAAAATGCTTTGTTCATCAGGGTTCTTAGGGATGACAGAGTGTGTATGGAAACAAAAAACAGGCCCATGATTCAAACAAGATGCAGTATTTGTGCTTATAAATAGTTAAGAAAGATCATCTATTACCACAGTTTTCAAATTAGACCCCTTGGCAAATAGTCCTTCAACATGGTAAGGTCTGCAGTCTTTGTGGCTAGGAGTTGCTGGGAGACCCTACAGCACACACCTTTCTTTCTTTCTTTCTTTCTTTCTTTCTTTCTTTCTTTCTTTCTTTCTTTCTTTCTTTCTTTCTTTCTATCTCTTTCTTTCTTTTTTCTTTCTTTCTTTATCCTTCTTTTTCTGTCTGTCTTTCTTTCTTCTTTCTCTCTCCATTCCCTTCTCTCTGCCTTCCCTTCTCTCTCCCTTCTCTTCTCTCCCTTCCCTTCTCTCCCTTCTCTTCCCTTTCCCTTCCCTTCTCTTCCCTTTCCCTTCCCTCCTCTTCCCTTTCCCCTCCCTTCTCTCTCCCTTCCCTTCTCTCTCCCTGCCCTTCCCTTCCCTTCCCCTTCCCTTCCCTCCCCTCCCCTCTCTTTCTTT